>NC_000016.10:78255682-78880682 GCF_000001405.40 Homo sapiens | reverse complement strand
GTACATCAGCAAGTTCGGCAAGTGAATTCCCTCACCAATAATAAATAAGGAGCAAAGGGAATGAAGATGGGCATTTTGGCTGGATTCCAAATGCAAAAACCTGCCTATCTACCTTCAAAATGATGCAAGATTGCAGTTTGTTTAATGTTCATCTTATGTGCTTAATTACCGATAGTGCTTGACTAATTATTTCTTGTTTTGTAGACTATTTAAACAGAGAAGGAAAGCAGCTATATACTTTCGTATACCGAATGAGGATTTGTAACTCATTTTTGTAATCGCATAATTCCCGGAGGGCTTCATTACAAACACGAAAGAAAACAGGATGCTAAAAGCAGGTGACAGTCTAATTTCCACAGGTACGGGTGAAAGCATTAGAGTGAAGTAATGGAAAATAAAATAAAAAATAGCCTTTAGATGTTTCCATCTATGTAAGGTGTTTTCATGTTAATAAGAGAGAAAACTGCAAATACAGCAAAGATATCTTCGTTTGGTACTGTTGTCTTTTCTGATGTCTGATTTGATCCAACATCTCTGAAATAAACCACCAAATAGACCCCAGTTTTCTTATTCACAAATGTAAGTGTTTGACAAGTTGCATACGGTATCATCAACTCGTATCATGTCTCTGTTTTCACTCTTTTACTTTATCTACTTTTGACTATAAATTCTTGGTCATCTAACGCCATTACACCAGATTTCAAAATGTTTAGAAAAATGTGAGGCTTAAACTAAAGGATAATACCAGAGACCCTAGAGATTCCAGACTGTTAGGAATTACTTCTTCTTCTTCTTTTTTTTTTTTGAGACAGAGTTTTGCTGTTGTTGCCCAGGCTGGAGTACAATGACATGATCTCAGCTCACGGCAACCTCTGCCTCCCAAGTTCAAGCGACTCTCCTGCCTCAGCCTCCCAAGTAGCTGGGATTACAGGCATGTGCCACCATGCCTGGCTAATTTTGTATTTTTAGTAACGACAGGGTTTCTCCATGTTGATCAGACTGGTCTCGAACTCCCGACCTTAGGTGATCCGCCTGCCTCGGCCTCCCAAAGCGCTGGGATTACAGGCGTGAACCATCATGCCCAGCCAGGAATTCCTTCTAAGCACAAACAATGTTGCCTCTTGGATGGAAATCAGATTTGGTGGTCACGAGGCCAAAGGCCAAATTTTTTTTTTTTTTTGAGAGTGGACTTGAAGACCAGGGTGGTATTACATGTTTGGGGAAGTGAGAGCAGATCCTGAAAAAGTATGAGATGTGGATTTTGCCCTTATGGCATGAAGAAACTAATTGGGAATTTGAAATAAGACATTTGAAACAACAGCAAACACCATCTTTGACATCATGTTGTCAACATCAGAGGGTCCACCATTTATCAAGCTCTTACGGTGTCTCATACTGAGATGCAATCTTCACTTGCTCTTACATTGTCACAAAAGCCTGCCCGGCATGCCCAACCAGCTCTTTTTCCAGATGTTGCAACTGAGGTCTATGACCGTGAAAGATGAGCTCCTTGCCCTCAACTTCGATTTTCTTATCTGCGTTTTTCTGCCTTAACAAGTACTTAGGATTACAGAAGTTAATTTGTTTCTAGTAAATTCCTCCTTCCCTCCCTTCCTCCTTTCCTCCCTTCCTTCCAGATCCAGGGTGAAGTGTAGTGACACAATGATAGCTCACTGCAACCTCAAATTCCTGGGCTCAAGCGATCCTCCCACCTCAGCCTCCTGAATAGCTAAGACTATAGGCATGTACCACTATGACAGGCTTTTTTTTTTTTTTTTTTTCATTTTTTTGTAGAGATAGTATTTTGCTATCTTGCCCAGGCTGGTCTCAAACTCCTGGACTCAAGAGACCATAGGGATTCTCCTGCCTCAGCTTCTTGAGTTTCTGGGATTACAGCCATAAGCCTGGCCTGGTAAATTTCAAGCAAGCAACTTCACTAACATTGTCAGGATAGAAGCCAGACTACTGGGTGTTGCAGGGAAAGGGGTCTATAAAGGAAATTAAGGAATAAAATGGGTAACATTTACAGAACCCTCACATGCACCAAACAGTGTGCTAGGTTCTTCATACATATTATCTCATGATATCCTCATAGCAACCCTGTAAAATAGGTGTTAATATAATTATAGTTAACATTTATTAAGTGCCAATGTGCTTCAGAGATTAAACCAAGCCTTTTATATGTGTTATTTCATTTGATGCTCCCCCAAGCCCTATAAAATAGTTTTGATTATCAATCATCCTCATTTAGCTGAAGAATAAACTGAGGCTTAGAGAGGTCAATTTGTTCCAAAGTTATGATAATTACTTTACTCAATGACAGGGGCAGGAATTGAACCCAGGGGCCTGCCTGCAAAGTCTGTACTTCCCAATGTCATGCTAGGCCATCATTCAGCATGGTATTTTTATTTATTGTAACTCAGACAAGCTCAGTCATCTGCCCAATGTCATGAGGCTAAGGAGTTGTGGCTCAGGATTTCCATCCATGGTCTGTCCTCCTGAATAGCATGCAGCACCACCTCGGAAGCAGGCATGGCTGCTCAAGAGGCAGGGCAGTTGTATTCCGAACCCCAGTGGATACTTACTGAGCCAGTACTAGTTATGCTAAAAACTACAGGGAATGCTTTGTCTTAGGGGATCTTCCTCTCTGGTGACGCAAAGAGAAGGGACCTGCTAGAGCCTATAAAAACAAAATCATCTGACCTGTAAAAGGCACAAGAGGGGATTTGCAATTGAACAGACCTGGTTTCCAATCCCCTCTCATCCAGGAGTATCTGTGGGCGCTGAAGTCATTTAGCTTTTTGGGCTGCTGGGCTTAGCTATAAAATGTATATAAAACTACCTATGTTGCTGTGTGGTAGAGTGAGTTGGACATTATACATCCAAGGATATTTCTAGATTCATTCCTCCAATAAATATTGTCTTCCACGTGCTAAGCCTTCCTCTAGGCCCTGAAGTACAATAGTGAGCAAAAGAGACAAAAATCTCAGTACTTACAAACTTACATTCTTCTAGAGAATAGGAGAATAAACACAAAACTCATGTATGTCTATGTCTCTATCTATGTCCACATCTATGTCTGTATCTATGTGATATAATAAGTGCCACAAGGAATACAAAGCAGGAAAAGGAAGAGAGGGTGCAAGGCTCAGAGAGGCAGGCTGCCATTTTATAGTGAGTGGTGAGAAACAGCTTCACTGAGAAAGTGTCAGTTGAGCAAAGCCTTTTGGAGAAGAACAGCTCATGGTGCTACGTGGAAGAATACTCCAGGCAGAAGGAGCAGCAAAGGCAAAGCGTCTGAGACAGGAACACACCTGGCATGTCTGAGGAACAGCTGAAGAAGAACAAGAGGCCAGTAGGTGGAAAAAGCTCACAGGGGGGAGGCAGGCGGGTCAGAGGGGGGGAGGCAGGCAGGGCATACAGAGGGTTTGGTGTCCTACTGTGACGATTTTGCCTTTTAATCAGCCTGAAATGGGATATAAAGTCTTAGATGGATGAAATAGGAATAACTTTTCTCGTTTCCTTCCTCGTCTGACTAAATTAACAGATGAAGGAATTGTCAAAATACAAAACCTTCTTCCTTACTGAACCCACTGACCTGGCAGGGCTTGTAAGGAAAAGAATTTGTTTCTAGAAGAGCTATTTAAATGTCCTGGACCTCTTCGAACCAGCAGAAATAGGAACCAGTTAACTTAACAGGCAAAGTAATAAGACTATACAGAGGAAACACATTTTCCTACTTTATGCCTTAATTTTAAGTAGAGTTACAAGATTTCCTGTAGGAATTCAGAGTGTTATCTTATTTTATGCCCCAAACTAGAAAGAGCGTTCCACTGGGTTTGCCAAGCTGTTAAGATGAAAATATCTGTTTGAGCACAGCATAATAGATGAGGTGTTTAAGGCATTTTCCTTTAGATTTTTGGTTAATCTTCTTTTAGTTAATTTTCTGAGATAAAATCCAGTTATAAATAACCTGAGGGTACCCTAACTGGGCTGTTCTGAGAATGGCAAATCTTTAATAGCCAGAACTTCTGCCTTTTAGAGATCTCTAGAGAAAGCAGTACTTTGAAAATTATCCAAAGCAAAATAAGTCGAAAGCATTAACAAATTAAAGACACTGGGAGAGAGAAGAAAGGGGCGAATGAGAAACTTCTTTGACATTCACAAGACAGCAGATCTTACCCTTGAAACTCCTTTAAAAAAAAAAAAAAAGAAGAGTCAAGCATTCACAATCTATTTGTTGATTAACAACAGAGAACTGGTGAGTTTCTGTCATAACAGAGTCTTGGAAAATTCATCCTTTTTCACAAAAGGAAAGGAGAGAAAATTCCAGACAAAACACCCAAAGTGCAGAAGAAAGGGCATGGCCATAAGCAGCCATCACTTAGACTAAAGTACAATGGGTACAATATTAAAATAAGAAGTTTTAGAACTGCTTTTAAAGATAGCTGGCGGAAGAATTAAAAAAAAAAAGAAAGGAAAAAAACCTTAAGTGTTTTCCGTTGTTAAAACGTAAAGCAAAATTTATAAAAGGATTATAAGGTAGCGTAGGTAAGAAAGTCATGTAAACTAGTTGAAATATCTAGAGTTCCTCAGCACAAAAAGAGCAGGTTGGCAGCTGTCCATCTGCAGTGTATATAGTACCATGGAGCCTGTTTATAAAAATAAGAGAGGGTGGGAGACCTAAAGTGGGTATAACTCAAAACAAAACAAATCTGTAGGACTAGATAAGGGAGGGTGATTATTCCCAGGTACTAATAGGCTAAATGGTATCAGGAGAAAGAATTAGAACAAGTTTCTACTAAGCAATAAAAGTGTGGAAGAAACATTCTTTTAAAAAACGAATGAGATGCCCTAGAAACCTGTAAGTCAATAACCGTGTCACCAATTGTAGGATTATCCAGGACATGCAGAGCCTACACTGACAGGCCAGTTGAAAGGGTAGACACAGTTGTAATCGACTAGGAAATTGCCACTGTGGCTTAGAAAAACCAAGTCTTGTTTATGGGTTTGCCTCCATCTTTCTAAGCTTCTATAAAAGGTGGCTGGTGAAATGTACCGGGATTCTGACGATACTCACCTTGAGATAAGGGATATGAAGAGTCGGGAAGAGAGGCAAAGTGAATTCCATATAGCCAAGAACAGACAGAAGGAAAAACAGATTAAATAGCAATCAAAACACTGTCCTCCACTTAATGAAGTGGACTGTCAAACTGATTTGCTATTTTTTTGTTTTAATCATTCTAGCCAGGCAGATCAGACACTCGAGAATTAGAGAAATACTAATTTGGACTAGACACTGGAAATGTCTTATATACTGGGAGCATCATAAAGCTAGAGAAGGCTTACAAAGCAAGATGGCTGCCACTGAGATCAGCACACTGGGGTTTTTAACAGAAACCTATTACTTGATTTACTGGGAGTGGTAGAACCCTAAAGAAGCGGTGAACATCCAACACTGAAATTTGAGCTGGCTCTTCCTCAGAAAGGTTTCAGCGGCTTAATCTCATGCAATCTTGCAACATTCCTGAATTCAAACCCATGAAGTAGAGAGTCAGCCCGAGACCCTCTTCAGAATCCACCGAGTCTGCTGGGCAGGAAGAGCTAGCTTGTTGAGTTGTCCTGCTGCAAATGAAATAGTAACTTTCTCAGAAGCATAGGATATTGAAAGATTCCTTTAAGAGGCCAAGTCCTCAAAGGCATGTATGCAACGTGAAGTCATGGGGGCAGGCCTTCCTGGTTCCAATGCATGTTTTCACAGGGTTGTGTCTCTATGCTTGAAGGGGAGCTCTTGGGCCTATCTGAGGGATCATTTACCACTTGCTGTAGGAAAGTCCAGTGGAAATCACTTCTAGTGGTGAGTCTTGGCCAAATATACTCCTATGTAGAAGGCCTGTGTAGGAGGTTATGCTTGGAACAGTTGAGTAGATGTTCTGGCAACCTGTGATGGCCTTACTAAGTCATGACAGTCAGCCAAAAAAAAAAAAAAAAAAAAAAAGAAAAAAATCTTCTGGTCACAGACACAGTTGAAGGTGTTTCAATTTTTGTCCACTACCCATTGCCAACATGTCTTTAAGTCACTTGCCATCAGAATCTGTAGTGGAGACCATCCAGACATCTTTTGCCATGAATAACATCAAGTTCTTCCTGTATACCAGGCGCTGCAGTGAGCCCTGGCCAGGCACCACATCAGGCTCAGACAAGTCCATAATTTTTTGAAATCGACCCAGTTGGAGGTAGCAGAACCAGGACTGCATTCCAAGGGAGCGGGACTTGACAGCTTTAGCAACTGCGTCTGCTTTCCCTCCGCTCCTAGCCTCTCACTCACCCAAGATCATGTCTGTTCAGGATGCAGCTCTCTATTCAACTCCCCAACTCAGGGCCTCCTTTCCTGGCGGCTCAAATGGAAGCTTTTTTTTTTTTTTTTGAGACAGAGTCTCGCTCTGTCGCCCATGCTAGAGTGCAGCGGCGCCATCTCAGCTCACTGCAACCTTCACCTCCTGGGTTCAAGCGATTCTCCTGCCTCAGCCACTCGAGTAGCTGGGATTACAGACGTGTGCCACCATGCCCAGCTATTTTTTTTTTAAATAATTTTAGTAGAGACAGGGTTGGTCAGGCTGGTTTCAAACTCCTGACCTTGTGATCCGCCCACCCCGGCCTCCCAAAGTGCTGGGATTACAGGCATGAGCCACCGTGCTCAGCCAGAACCTTTCTTTAACTTGATTACTGTGGGTAGTTACACATTTTCAATGGCCACTAGAATGAAGTCTTCAGAGACACTAGGACCTGACCTGTGATTGCCCCTCGCTATACTCCCAGGGACTAAGCACATGGCCTGGCAAAAAAACATAGCCTTCCAAATATCTCGTTTTATTTTACTATTTTATTTACTTTTTGAGGCAGGGTCTCTCTGTTGCCCAGGCTGGAGTACAGTGGTACAATAACAGCTCTCTGCAGCCTTGAACTTCCGGCCTCAAGCAATCGTCCTCCTCAGTCTCCCAAGTAGCTGGGATGACAGGCATGCAACATCATGCCCAGCTGAGTTTTAAAAAATATTTTATAGAGATGAGGTGTCAGTATGTTCCCCAGGCTAGCCTCCAACTCCTAGCCCCAATTAATCCTCCCACCTCAGCCTCCAAAAGTGCTGGGATTACAAGGTATAAGCCACTGTGCCTGGCCCTCCAAGTATTTAAAATGAATGGATATCTCCCAAAGACTAAGCTGTAAATGGCTGAACAACTTACATTCTTACCACATCTGCTAGATGGTAAATATTTGTGCTGCTATTTAAAAGAAAAAAAAAATCAGCATAAGGAGATAGTCAACTTGAAGGGTGATGACCAGATCTCTGATAATAGGAGCTAGTCCCTTCTTAATTCCAATTAGGAGCTACACGTTGGTAATTAGTGACATTCAAACCTCTATCTAAAACAAATTTTTAAACTTTTTTTATCAAGCATAATTACATGCAGAAAAGCACATACATAATAAGTGCACGACTCAAATTTTTCACAAACTGAATACGCATGGAACCAAGACCCAGATGGAGGAAGAGAAAAAGGACTAGCATTTAAAGAAGGCCTCTGGGCTGGGTGTGGTGACTTACACCCGTAATCTCAGTACTTCAGGAGGCCAAAGCAGGAGGACTGCTTGAGGCCAGGAGCTCCAGACCAGCCTGGGCAGCATAGCAAGACCTCATCTTTACAGAAACACAAAGATTAGCCAGGCATGGTGAAATATACCTGTGGTCCCAGATACAAAGGAGGTCAACATGGGAGGACTGCTTGAGCCCTGGAGGCCAAGCCTGCACTGAGCTGAGATCACACCACTACACTCCAGCCTGAGCAAGAGAGCGAGACCCTGTCTCAAAAAAATTAAAAATAAATAAATAAAAGGGGCCTCTGCATGTGAAGTAAGTGTTGATGCTTCAAAAACCACCAAGATGGCAGCTTCGGAAGGCAAAGAAAGAGAAACGCAGGGAGTGGTTGGGGACACTGCCTGTCTATGGTTTTGAGCACTGGCTGCAAGCAAATGTGAGGTAAGCAAAAGGATGAGAAAGACAGTGAGCATTTACTGAATTCCTACCATGTGCCCTAAGGTATTTTAGTTAATTATTTTTAAAACAAAGAAATTGAGGCTTAGAGTGATTAATGCACTTGTTCAAGGCCACAGATGCCAGGCCTGTGTGACACCACAGCCCCTTTATCCCCCACTGTAATTCACTGTCTCATCTCTCAGCCTGGCATTTCTTTCCTTTAACTCCCTTCTTTAAAAAAAGATGGCTATTTTCATAATAATGACGTTAGTAATAGCTTTAATTATAACTTTGTTGAGTCCTCAGTCTGCAACAAGTGTTTTCCCTACATTATTTCCTTATGCCCATCTTTCTTATGAGAAAACTGAGACTTGGAGAAATTAAGTAAACTTTTCTGAGCTCTCATAGAGATCTCAGTAATAGCAGAGCTGGGATTTGAATCCAGGCAGCCTGGTTCTATGGGTTGCACTGTTAGACATCGTCTCTAAAAGTACCTGCAATTATAACCAGAATTCCTTTATAAATCCGTTCCTCTAATTCCTCATTAGAAGTGGAAATGAACGTCTTACGTACTTCAAACACTGGTTAGAAGGGTTGACAGAAATTTTGTGCCCTAGACTAGAGATTTCTCTCCAGTTGGCCCTTGTTGAGTGGCATCTGAGAGGGTCTGCAAGGCCACAGCCAAGCTCTCCCTAGGGCATGGCTGGAAGAAAACAGGTTGAGGGGCCAGAAAGGAGGGGCCCAGGGTAGGGCCTGGGGGCTCACACCTGTAATCCCAGCGCTTTGGGAGGCCAAGGTGGGCGGATCACTTGAGGCCAGGAGTTTGAGACCAGCCTGGCCAATATGGTGAAACCCCTCTCTACTAAAAAAGATACAAAAAATTAGGTGGGTATGGTGGTGCCTGCCTGTAGTCCCAGCTGCTTGGAAGGCTGAGGCAGGAGAATTGCTTGAACCCAGAAGGCAGAGGTTGCAGTGAGCTGAAATTGCACTACTGCACTCCAGCCTGAGCAACCTGGTAATAGCCATTTCTCTAGAGCCTGTTACCTAGTGCATTTCCTAGTAAGCCTCAATTTAGGATTTAGATTGTCACCACAGCTCCAGAGTCATCCAAGCGTGAACTGCTTCCTTGGAGATCTTGTCACCTGTGTCTCACAGGACTCATTTCTGACCACCCAGGTGCAGAAGCACTGGAAACTGTGGTGGACACAAGCTTCATCGAAGCCTGTGCCAACCATTCAGTTATCACCCTGGTGCTTTGCAAACATCATTACAAGGCTTTAATCCAGGCATCGAGGCTCAAGTTCACCCAGTCCCTCTCCTGCCACTGTGACATGGTTATTCAGCAGGTTCAGCAGTGCATACAGGTTATAAGAATAAGGACGAAGCCATGGGGGGAAAAATCCCCCCTCTTTCTGTCTTAGGACAGCAGCGGGGGTTTTTACCCCTGATTGCCTCATTAAAAAAAAAAAAAAAACAACCTTCACGAAAGTTGGGAATTACTATATTCAATGTAGAATGCCATTTGTTCATTCATTTGATATTCAACAAGTATTTACTGAATTGCTTCTATGAGCTATAGGGGATAATTTAAAAACTTGTTTTACCTCGAGAAATTAATTTCCCCAGAAGAATTAACCATAAGCAGAGTCTATGAGACCCTGGCTATTGGGACACTTAAGACTCTGGTGGTTGTGGTAAACCAGAATCAGGCAGACAGTTTCAGATTTAAAGGAACTGATTAGATTAGGCCGGGCATGGTGGCTCATGCCTATAATCCTAGCACTTTGGGAAGCTGAGGTGGGCAGACTGCCTAAGCTCAGGAGTTCGAGACAACCCTGGGCAACACGGTGAAAACCCGTCTCTACTAAAATACAAAAATTTAGCTGGGCATGGTGGCATGCACCTGTAATCCCAGCTACTTGGGAGACTGAGGCAGGAGAATTGCTTGAACCCAGGAGGCAGAGGTTGCCGTGAGGCAAGATCGCACCACCGCACTCCAGCCTGGGCAACAGAGTGAGATTCCGTCTCCAAAAAAGAAAAAAAGAACTGATTACATTGGTAGGGGTGAGAAGAGAGACAAGGGGAGAAGAGGAGGAAGAATTACATATTTAAAAGATCAGTAAGGGTTTTTTGTTTTTTTTTTAATCTGACACAGAAAAAATGAGCTCTGAATCTTGAATCAAGACATTGTATCAATTCCGGTTATCCCCATGATGGCAGGTCATTCAAGCTTGGACCTTAGTCTTCCCATCTACAAAATGGGAAGGTCAGGGGAGATGTCCTTTAATGGACCTTGTGATTCTAAAGTTTGAAAAACTTATGATTCTTAGAATGAAAAGAAGTAATGTGTGTCTATACATTTATTTAGTCAAAGAAACTGGGTCATTGTCATCAAGCAAAACAGAAACCAGAGTCCTGAATGTGTATCAACAGAATCTTGAGGAAGCAGATTACCTGCCATCCAGGATCTTAGGGTTAGGAGACGGAAAGCAATTTCCCCCTTCCTGTTTGAGGATTGAGTCATGCCCTGTCAGAGCACTTAGGCCTGGCCTTACACATGGACAGGTGACAGACCAATACTTTGATCAATGATTTGTAGTTGATGGAAGAAGTCCCCTGGAGGACTGGAAGACAGATCAGTGGAGAGACTTTGATCTGTGTCATTCAGCTTCCAAAACCTTTAAGCTCACATAAACATAGACTCCCAAGGCACTGACGTCAATGATAAATCCCATGTTCTCCAAATGTGCTGGCCCCTCAGTTATTTGGGAAAAAAGAGCCCATGAGTAAAAGGGAGATAAACATACACACACAAACTTACTCCAAAGCAAATGCTGAGTCTTCTCTCTGCTGGCTTTTGGCTCTGCTAAGAGGCTATCTGCGAGCAAGACTTATTGTTGTTTAGAAACTAGAAATCTACAACTCAGCAGCTCTTGCTCATCTAAATCAGAGTGGGCGATGCACTGTAAGTAGGCCACCACTCCCCACGTCCACAAAAATACCGCAGAATCAGTAACCCATCATGACACCCTTTCCCAACGAGCCCATGCGCAGTGTCAAAATCCTTTTCAACACAGCACTTCAATCGGCTGTTTCAATTGACCAGACTTGGGTCATGAAATGAATCCTATTTTACATCCTTCATCTAAATTGTTACCGGATGAGCTGGGAGGGAGGGCTGTGTGCACTTCTTGCGTATAAACTTGTGTTGGTGACTGTAGTCCAGGCAATTGCCAAATAAGAATAGAATCCATAAAAACCATTTTGAGTAGGAAAAACAGGTTGCAGTCTGGATGCTTGGAAAAGTAGGCACTTTCTGACTGAAGATAATCACAACCAACTCTCGGACTTTCCTTGATCCCCTTCTAACCCCTAAGTGTTTCATTTCCAGCAGGGTGACAGGATAGAGATCTGCTTCAGGGAGGCTTGGACCCCACCCACCACAGAGTCCACAGAACATGAATAAGTCAGCTGATGGTTGACTAAAACGTATATACAATTTTAATTACATATACTAGTGTATTTAAAATTTCATTCTAAACTAATGTAATCAAAACTAATGTAAATAAACATACAGTGGTTATCTCTGAATGATAGGACTACAGGTGATTTTTATTTTCTTCCTTTAAAACTTTGGCCTTTGTGACTTTTTACAGATCGCATGCATGTGTGTGTGTGTCTGTGTGTACATGGGTGTGTATGGACGTTTGCACGCAGGTGTGTTTTAATGGAAAAAGGGGGGAAAAGTGCAAATTTCTAAGGGATGCAAAGACATATTAAAAATCCATGAGACAATGAGATAGCATAAGGACTAGAAGAGCTGCAGGTCTTTCCTCTCCTGCCAGATTATTAATGGTCATTATCTGAGGGTTAGGGGCATGTGAATTTTAGACATATATAGTGAGCCAGAGCCTATGAATGGCTCATCAGCATTGGTTCCAACGTTCCCTTCCTCTCTTCAATCTCAGAGTGACTCTTGCTAAACTGTTGGACAGATAGTAACAGAATTTGTCTAATTATACAGAATGGGTGAAAATCTTTCTATGTTCCTGTAACTATTGGCTCAGTCACCTGATTTAATGGTCCTGGAATTCATTTTTTATGACTTTATTAATGTGAAATTCACATACCATATGATTTAACCATTGTAAATATACAGTTTGATGTTAGTATATTTATCCAGTTGTGCAGCCATCACCACAGTCTTGTCCTAGAACATTTTCTTGACCCCCCAAAATTGCCCCACCCTTTCCAGGTAATCCCCTCCACTCACTCCCAGCCCCAGGCAACCATCATTCTGTTTGCTGTCTATAGAGTTTCATCTTTTCTAGAAATTTCATATAAATGTCATCATATACTATGTGGTCTTTTATGACCGGCTTCCTTCACTTAGCGTAATGTTTTTGAAGTTCATCTATGTTATTAAAGGTATCCAGAGTTAGTTCCTTTTCATTGCTGAGTAGTATTCCATTGTGTCGATAGACTACATTTGTTTCTCCATTCCCCAGCTAATGGACATTTGGGTATTTCCGGCGTTTGGCTATCATGGATGATGCTGCTATGAACATTCATGAACAAGACTTTGTATAAGCATTTATTTTCTTTCCAGTAGGTTCTTAGGAAGGGAACTGCTGAGCCACATATGTGTGTGTTTAACTTTTTAAGGCACTGGACAACTGTTTCCAAATTCATTGTACCATTTTACATTCCCACCAGCAGTGAATGACAGTTCTAGTTCTTCCACATTTTCACAACTCTTGGGATAATAAATCTTTCTGGTTAGAGCTAAGCTAGTAGGCATGTCATGGTCTGGGGCTAGAATTCATTTTACAGTGGCAGCGATGAGGTCAGAAAAGGCCTCAGATTGGCAGTATAAAAATTAGTTCCACAATTTACAGCTCACAGCTCACCAGTTGTAGGACTTTAAGAAACTCACTTAATTAGCCAGGCATGGTGGCAGGCACCTGAAATCCCAGCTACTCGTGAGGCTGAGGTGGGAGACTCTCTTGAACCTGGGATGTTGTAGTTGCAGTGAACTGAGATTGCACCAAGGCACTCCAGCCTGGGTGAAAGAGCAAAGCTCCGTCTTAAAAAAAAACAAAAACACACACACAAAAAAACAAAACACACACACATACACACACACACACACACACACACACAAAATCATTTAACTTCTCTGAGTCTCAGATTCCCCATCTGTCAATTGGAAACTATAATAGCTCTAGATTATGAAGAGTCACCAGTTGAGGTAAGATGTGTAAAAGATTGTGCCTAAGTTCCCATTTATTTCTGGAACAAAAAGTATATTGATAAATATGTACATAAAATAGAAAGGGATATGAAAATAGACGGCGTTGGTATTCTTTTCTTCTGTTAACCAAGCCAAGATGTTCACTCCATTGTCCTTTGCACCTAAACTTCTTGCACTCCCCCACTCACCAGTGTGCCATGAAGATGAGTTGCAGTTTTGTCTGTCTCATCTTCTCCACTTTTCTTGTCATTGACCCACCCCTTCTCATCATTAACCACTTTTAGTGAGCTAAGAACATAACAGAAGGCGCCCTTCTCCAATTGTGAATACTTCCTCAAGCCTTCTCCTTCCACAAAGTCAAGAAGGACTAGACCCAGCCTGCAATAGGAGCGTTTATGACAAATCACAAATTTGAAACCCTTTGGCTATCATATTTATGCAGCTGGTGGCAAGGGTTCATATTTGAAGCTTCAGACCAAAGAAAGAGTTTGCTCCTCAGCCCTGATGCTGCAGGCTTGGCTTCTGAGTGTGGTCACCTACTGACCCTACTATTTTAAGAAAAACTGGAAAGGCCAGTAATTTGGATATGGTCCTAGCTCAAGATACATTACAGACTGTCCCCAATTCCCTGGATAGCCCGTGGCTGGAAACAGTGCATTCCTGGTTTATTGCCAATGTCCTTGATTTGCGTGCTCTGCCATTTACTTAGAACAATCAGGCTACGTTGCAAGCCAGGGCAACAAAAACACCGCCAGGAGCCAAATAGGCTCACAGGGGATGCACCAGTGCCTTGGTGGCCCTGAACACTTAAGTGATTTTGTTCCCCTTCCAATTTCGTGTGGTACATTAGCTTTTATCGATAGCTCATAGCTTCAGCAACTGTTCTTCGTTTTACTAACCTGAAGGACAGAGGAACAAGAGGTACCCACACAGCTGATATGCAAGAAAAAAAAAATAGCACGGGATGTCTTGATCAGTCTCAATGATTTCTTCCCTTGCTACAGCTCTCCTTTAATGAGGGAGTCACAATTATTGCAAGTTAATCATGTCTCAGTCCCCCAGAGGGAGAAAGAGTGAAATGACCACTTGAAATCTGACCGTGGCTCCCTCCAAGAAAATCCTGGTGGCACAGCGAGGCATTCATGAAACTGCGGGCTCTGATTTATATCACTGCTATGGAGACTGGCAGAAGGATTCTTCGGTGTTTTCATAATACAACTACTAAACAAAAGTTAGCCCAGGAGCTAGATGGGAAATCTATGTTATGGAAGAGAAAGAGATCAATTTTTTCATTGCTCTAAAAAACTTAACATTTCCAACTAGAATCTGCACCTTGGAGCAATGCAGTGAGTCTATGACTCACGGATGCTGTGAATGCTGTAACTGCTTCCCTTTCTGCGTAGTATGTGATCACCTACGGTTTTTAAAAACCATTATTGTTAAAACCAAAACAATCACAGATATGATTTGTTGAGTAACTATCACAAAGGCCAGACACAATTCTTGTTTATTTTTTGAGACGGAGTTTCACTCATCGCCCAGGCTGGAGTGCGGTGGTGCAATCTGGCTCACTGCAAACTCTGCCTTCCGAGTTCAAGTGATTCTCCTGCCTCCGTCTCCTGAGTAGCTGGGATTACAGGCACTTGCCACCAAGCATGGCTAATTTTTGTATTTTTAGTAGAGATGGGGTTTCACCATGTTGGCCAGGCTGGTGTCGAACTCCTGACCTCAGGTGATCCACCCACCTCAGCCTCCCAAAGTGCTGGGATTACAGGCTTGAGCCACACTGCACCTGGCCGGCCACACACAATTCCTTGCACTTTACCTACCTTGCCTCAATTCATTCTCACAGCAATCTAAGGAATTATAAATTTGTATTGCTATTTTGTGGCAAAGGAAACTGAGGTTCAGGGAGCATTTGAAATTGTCAAAAGCCTCAGCAAGGAAGAGAAGGAGCCATGATGTGAATCAAAGTCCACTGGAGTGTAAAGATTTATCTATGGTGTTGACCTCTATCTGCCCTTCACCTGACGTACTTCTTTTAAGGAAATCAGTCATTTAATAAGTCTTGCAAGTTGTCTTACATTATTTATGAGATTGGCAAGGAATAACAGAGAAAGTGAAGAAGGGAAAAAAATAAAGGAAGAGAGTAAGTCAAGGAAAAAAAACTGATCGCATCCTAAATCATTCTCTTAAACATATCCATCGCACAAACATACAACCTTTAGCACTTTAAAATGTACGGAATTTATTTTACATATTAACATATGTAATATGTTAATAAGGGTGTTTAACATATTAAAGCACTAACTTTAAAAAATGGAATTTGAAAGCCAGGCGCGGTGGCTCACGCCTGTAATCACAGCACTTTGGGAGGCCAAGATGGGTGGATCACTTGAGGTCAGGAGTTCAAGACCAGCCTGGCCAACATGGTAAAACCCCAACTCTACTAAAAATACAAAAATTAGCCAGGTGTGGTGGTGCACGCCTGTGGTCCCAGCTACTCGGGGGGCTGAAGCAGGAGAATCGCTTGAACCCGGGAGGTGGATGTTGCAGTGAGCCGAGTTCACACCACTGCACTCCAGCCTGGGCAATAGAGTGAGACTGTCTCAAAAAAAAAAAAAAAAAAAAAAAAAAAAGGAGTTGGAGAAAAATAGCCACACAGCTCTGTTTTTAATTACCAAAGATCCATTGTTCATCTGTGATGTGTCAGACCCTGTGCTAACAGGGAATCTCAGAGCTGGGCCCAATGGGACCTCAACAGACACAGCCAGAATCACATCATGGAGGTTATGTGCAGCCCTGTTTCAAAAAGCCAAATCCAGGGCTGGGTGCAGTGGCTCATGCCTATAATCCCAGCATTTTGGGAGGCCAAGGCAGGCGGATCTCCTGATCCCAGGAGTGTAAGATCAGCCTTGGCAACATGGAGAAACCTTGCCTCTACAAAAAAATACAAAACTTAGCTGGGTGTGGTGGCATGCGCCTGTGGTCCCATCTACTCAGGAGGCTGAGGTGGGAGGATGGCTTGAGCCCCAGGAGATCGAGGCTGCAGTGAACCATGACTGCACCACTGCACTCCAGCCTGGGCAACAGAGCAAGATTCTCTCTCAAAAAAAAAAAAAATCTGTAAAGTAAAAAAGGGCTCCATTCTGTATTATCTTCAGATATCCAACATCAAAAATTTATAAAATAATTCCTGATGAATTAACCATAGATTTACTGTATGACCCCGTAATTCCACTCCCAGGTAGGTGGTTAGGTAGGTAGTTTGGCTTGATATAAATACATATCCCTAAGAACTGGAAATAGGTGTTCCAACAAAAACTTACACAGAAATGTTCAGAGCAGCTTTATTTGCAATAGTCAAAGGGTAAAAACAACACAAATGCCCATCAACAGATGAAAGGAGAAAAATATTTGGTATATCCATACAATGCAATGATATTCAGCCACACAAAGAGAGATGGACATGCTACAACTGTGGCTGAACCTCAAAAACACGATGCTAAGTGGAGGAGGCCAATCACAAAAGACCATATATTGTACAATAGCATTTATAGGATGTGGACATAGTTTTTTGAGAGCCATCATTCCAACTCACTATGCCTGTGATAGTTTGTTTATGAAGCAATAGAAAACTAGTACAGTGACCACCCATTAATTTATTCATTTGTTTGTTTTGCCGGTTCAACAGATACCCACTGAGCACTTGCTGTGTGCGAGGCACTATGCTGGGCTCCAGAAACACTGAGTAAATAAGAGACTTCGTGCCTGCCTGAATACAGCTTATGGTTGGGAGATTCACTCTTAGGCCCTTCTCACAAAGGGAGCCACAATGCCGAAAGATCACGAGGACTACTGATGGTTTTGAGCTGTGACACTAAATCAGCAGGGACCAGTGGTCCATTGGTGACTCTCTGATGAAAGACAAGTACCCTCTTCCCAGGTACAAATGGAATATAATGCTGCATATTATTTCAGAAGATTCTAAGATACTCAGGGTCCATTCATCAAGGTCCATAGTTAAGAACACTTGGCCTAGAGATTTTTGAGATGACTCTGAAAAAGAAATATACTAAGTAGAGAATGTACTGCGAGTGTCTGCTCATTGTTTCCAAGTTAAAACTTACTTGGCTGGCTGGGAGTGGTGGCTCACGCCTGTAATCCTAGCACTTTGGGAGGCCAAGGCGGGTGGATCACCTGAGGTCAGGAGTTTGAGACCAGTCTGGCCAACATGGTGAAACCCCATCTCTATTAAAAATACAAAAATTAGCCAGGCTTGGTGGTGGCGCCTGTAATCCCACCTACTTGGGAGGCTGAGGCAGGAGAATCGCTTGAACCTGGGAGGCAGAGGTTGTGGTGAGCCAAGGTTGCACCACTGCACTCCACCCTGGCAACAGAGCAAGACTCCATCTCAAAAAAAAAAAAAAAAAACTTGGCATAACCACCATGATGTCTAATTGTATGTGTCCACTTGACTGGGCCACAGGATACCCAGATATTATGTTAAACATTATCTCTAGTGTGTCCATGAAGGCGTTTCTGGAGGACATTAACGTTTCGATTAGTACTATGAGTAAAGCAGACTGCCCTTCCCAGTGTGGGTGGCTTCATACAATCTGTTGAAGGCCTGAATAAAATAAAAGGCTGAGTGAGAAAGAATTGCCTCTCTATGCCTGACTTCAAGCTGAGACATCAGCTTCTCCTGCCCTTGGACTCAGACTTGGATATGGAATGGAACTGATGCCTTTTTATCTCCTGCTTCTCAGCTGCTCAGACTCAGACATGAACTGTACCATTGGTTGTCCTGGGTTTCGATGTCTCAGTCTCTGTAATTTCATGAGTCAATTCCTTATTTAAAAATCTTTATATATATCTTTATACATATATACAGAAAAATGTGTGTGTGTATGCACTTGTGTGTTTATAGATCTATATTGAATACTATATATATACATTATACACTGTATTAGTACACAGTGTATAGTACATACACTATAGTGTGTATATGTATACTCTATATACTATAGTGTTTATATATATTATTTAGTACATATAATGTATAGATATAGAAAGACACACCCATAGGTGTGTATAGATACAGAAAGACACACCCATAGGTGTGTATAGGTACAGACAGACACACCCATAGGTGTGTATAGATACAGACAGACACACCCATAGGTGTGTAAAGATACAGACAGACACACCCATCGGTGTGTATAGATACAGACAGACACACCCATAGGTGTGTATAGATATAGATAGACACACCCATAGGTGTGTGTATAGATACAGACACACCCGTAGGTGTGTATAGATATGCATATATCTCTCTCTATATATATAATAGATACATGTGTGTATCTATATCTATACATAGATACACACACACATATAGTATTAGTTCAATTTCTCCAGAGACTCCTACTACAACCATCAGTATCACCAACAACCAAATCTTTCTCAAATGTTTATCACCAGAAAGCAATTTTAGCCTTGCACTGGATATTACAACCTTGAATAGAAAACATTAGAGGCCTGGAAACATGGTGTATTTAATTTCTTTTGTGCTTTACCTATTTCAACAATTTCTGGACTTTTTAAGACAGAAACTATTCAACCAACTTTTGAAAAATCAAAAGAAGGAAATGAGTTAAAGGTTTTTACCTGGAATTCAAACAAACTAATGAAAGATGACATTTATAATATTTAGAGAATGATTGGAAAAATGGGCCTTCACTTCATGATATTAAATAATTTGTGATGTTTTTGGGTGTGATGATGATACTGTAATTATCATTTTTTAAAGAGACCTTACTTTTAGTTA
This sequence comes from Homo sapiens, assembly GCF_000001405.40. Taxonomy (NCBI): domain Eukaryota; kingdom Metazoa; phylum Chordata; class Mammalia; order Primates; family Hominidae; genus Homo; species Homo sapiens. The sequence continues at coordinate 78,861,563 of NC_000016.10, read as the reverse complement.
CTCAAAATGTCTATGAATAACAATATATAATGTCTTGCATTTACTTTGGTAAATTTTCAGGCATGGGGGAAGTGGGTGGAGAGAGATAAAACAACAATGGCCACATGTAATAATTACTGAATCTGGATGGTAGACTCATGGGATTTAATTATACTCTCTGTCAACTTCTGTAAATCATTTTACATTTTAAAATAATAAGCTGGAGCCAAAAATAATTTTAAAGCCAGTGTGAATAAGTTAATAGGTGGATAGGTGGATGGATGGATGCATGGACTGGGAGAAGACTTACGTCCCAGCTTGAAGTCAGGCAGAGGGAGTCAATTCTTTCTTACTCAGTCTTTTATTTTATTCAGGCCTTCAACAGAGAAGGAAAAAAGGAAAGAAGCAAAGAGAGGAAGAAAGAGAGAGAGGGAGGAAAGGCAGGCAGGCAGACAGGACCTCTGAGGCTGTGCACAGTGGCTCACACCTATAATCCCAACACTTTGGGAGGCCAAGGCAAGCACATTGCTTGAGCCCAGGAGTTCGAGACAAGCCTAGGAAACATGGCAAAACCCCATCTCTACAAAAAAAAATACAAAAAATTAGTTGCGAGTTACGGCATGCGCCTGTAGTCCCAGCTACTCAGGGGGCTGAAGTGGGAGGATCACCTGGGCCTGGGAGGTTGAGGCCACTGCACTCTAGCCTGGGTGACAGAGTGAGACCCTATCTCAAAAACAAAACAAAACAAACACCTGGGAGAGAAATCCTCCCTATAGCCTGAGCTAAGCTGGATCATTTTAACTCCCTAATTTTAGCTAGTTCCCAGACATACTCAAGAACATCCACACATTTTGCAGTGCAGCAGAGCACTAAAGCGGATGTTGGCACTGCTAACAGGAAGAACACTTCTTTTTCACGCATTATCATTACCTGAACTTATATGAAGTATTTATTTTGTGTTTGTTGCCTTACCTTCTCCACGATAATCTAAGATCCACCAGGATAGGGACTTTTCTTTTTCACAGTATCTTTCCCTCTTAGAACAATGTCTGGCACATGATAAGAGGTCCATTTTTTCCTTCTTTTTTCTTTGAATGTCAGGCAATTTGCATAAATGAATAAATCAAAGTCTAGCCAATTCATTGTGATCTTCATTGACTGCCTACTATATACTAGGTCTTATGTGAGGCATCAAGATAGTGAATGGGAGGTGCTCAGAACAGACGTTATATCCAAAGGGGGCCAAGTGTGGGAATTCTTCAATTACCTTCACAGAAGTAGGCCACTATTCATTCATCCATCCATTTACTGATTCACAAATATTTATTAAGCATCTACTATAGTGGAATTGACAAATAGTATAAATAATAGCACAGTATAAGTAAATATTTGGTAAAATTTCTCAACTAATACAATCTACATTTTAGGATATGGGCGATGGAATAAGGATGGGAGCTACTTCATATTCCACAATTCCAGCCAAAAGTTTATGTGTTTGTGCATAATGCTAATATGCGGCTAGAAAATTGTTACAATTTTTCTTTTGAGAACTAAAAAGTTTACTCGTGAAAATGCTATTTATCTAAGGCATTATAGCTATTTGCTATAGCTATCTGGATATGTCACCAAATCACAAAGTTCATTATGCTTTCTCATTCAAGCAAGCAAAAAATATGTCTACTTGGAAACCACCTGTTTATAAGTAAGTGAAAATAGGAGATGCAAATAATGTCTTTAAAAAAAAAATCACTGTTAAATCACATTAAATTTCCTCTTCATTTTCTTCCTTAAAACTTAACTATCGATGTCCATCCTTTGAAAATAACCATCAATAGCTATTAGTGTTCTGTTTGCCAGCTGTTATATCCTCTAACCCAGAAGGCTATGGAGAAATTTTTGAGTACATTACTCGCCCTGCTCTTAAACCAAGAGAATCACAGAAGATCATGAGTTTTAGGGACTGACACATAAAATGCTGAACATGAAGGTATTTTCCCTAAAACCAAATCCATAATGACAGGAAAAATCTGAAGTTTTACTAACAGCAACATGCCCTCTGGAATGGGTGCTAATGATAAAAATCGAGCTATAACACATTCCATTTTTAATTAATTTTTAACACTGTAAAAAAAGCTTTTCCTTTGCAATAGTAGACCCAGTTCTTCCTGGTAAGATTCCCAAAAGTACTGCAAGGTACCTCTGCTCTTTTCTGGAAGGCAGAGCTCTTCTAATTTATTAGAAATTGCAGGAAGGGAGTAGGGAGAAGGGGAATTCAGCAGGGGGGAAAAATCAATTCCATTCCTGCCTTCTCCACTTCCCTTTCAGGCAGCTCAGCCCAAGCTTTATGCTGGGAAACAAAGTTGAAATCAGTTGAACTCATTTTAGGCCCCTTCATCCTGCTTCTCTGCAAAGGTGGAGGGTTCTCCCCAGTGTCTCAGATTACCCCGAGAACATCAAGGAGCCACTTCATCGATTATAGTTGTGCAACTGAAATCGTTTGTCCTTTTTTTCATATATATATATATATATATATACATATATATATATATATATATATTTTTTTTTTTTTTTTTTTTTTTTTTTAAATTTCAAAACTAGTAGATATTGGCCAGCCGTGGTGGCTCACACCTGTAATCCCAGCACTTTGGGAGGCTGAGGTGGGAGGGTAACTTGAGCCCAGGAGTTCAAGACCAGCCTGGGCAACATGGTGAGACCCCAACTACAAAAAAGTTCAAAAAATTAGCCAGATGTGGTGACACATGCCAGTGGTCCCAGCAACTGAGGAGGCTGAGATGGGAGAATCACTTAAGCCTAGAAGTTTGAGGCTGCAGTGAGCTGTGATTGTGCCCTGCACTACAGAATGGGTGATGAAGTAAGACACTATCTCAAAAAAATAAAAAGGACATGTTGATGGAACACAATTCAAACATGACAGGTAAAGAAAAAAGAAAGAAAATTCCCTCCTCAAAGCCTTCTCAGCTCCTAAGCCACACTCCGTGCTGGTGATAGAAGTTATCTACCACTATTTATAATTACTGTTTATCACCTCAACCCCAAATCATTTTATGAAAATACACACAAAAACATTCAGCTATGTGTATAGTTTTTTTTTAAAGACATGATAATACATGTATTATTCTTCAATTTGCTTTTTCCAACTCAAAATTATATCATGGACAGCCATTATACATATACAGATACATACATATATATACATACACACACATATATATACATACACACACACACACACATATATATATATGACTACATATTGGGTACAGCATATGCTGCTCAGATGGGTACACTGAAATCTGATAAATCGCCACTAAAGAACTTCTCCATGTAATCAAAAACCACTTTACCCCTAAAACGATTGAAATAAAAACTTATATCATGCACAGCCAATTTATACACACACACACACACACACACACACAAACACACAATGTATGTATATAGAGGTATCTTTTTAATTTCTTTCATTTTTCCTTTTTTTGCTATAGAGTATTTAAAACTTTGGAAAAACTGTAACTCAAATACCTCTTTATTAATATCAATTTAGAATGTAATAGGTCAAATAACTAAATAAATATGTATGCACACAAAATAACGCTAAAAAAGCATTCATTCTTCTAATTGGGTGTCCTGGCACATTCATTCAAATATTTCTGTATTTTCTGGTACAGAATGGAATTGCTTGATCAAAAGGCATGTGTTTAATTTCGGTCAAAAATGCCAACTTGTTCTTCAAAATAACCAAAAACAATTTATGCTCCTATAAACAGCAGATGTTCTTTTCTCCTGTAAAGGAAAACTTTTTGGAAAATCGAGTTATGAGCATGAGTCAAAGTTTTATTATAATGTTACTACTAGGGAAAAGGCCTCTAGTGATCAATTCAAAGATTCAGCCTTGGTGGAGGCATTTTATAGGAAAATGAAATGACAAGATAGTCAATGTTAGGCTAGATACAAAAGGAAAATAACATTTGGTTTAAGGTCACTAGACTCTTGACCGACAGTCAGCTTGGGTAGATGGGTGACTGATTTCTCAGAACAAGTCTTAATCGCATTAAAGTTTATCAGAAAATTGCTTAAGCAATTTATCAGGAATGAGGCTGTGAATTACATCATGCATCATGGAAAAAAAGGTTCTATTCCAGACCAGATTCAGGACAACTCTTCTTTTTTATACCTTTTTATACTTACATGCTCACCAACATGGAAGTTATCTGCCTTCTTAACTTTTGCCAATGTCATGGTGAAAAACAGTATCTCATTGTTCAATTTCCATTTTTATGATTAAAAATAAAGTTGAGAATTTTTTCATGTTTGCCAATTCTTTTCAATGAATTTCTTGTTCATTATCTTTGCCCATTTTTCTATTAGGAGGTTCACATTTTTCTTTTCCCTTAGCCAAAACTCTTTGCATATGTGAGATAAATTATTTAAGCACTATCACACACTGCATAATGACATTTTGATCAACAATGAACCACATATGCAATGGTGATCCCAGAAGATTGTAATACCATATTTTAACTGTACCTTTTCTATGTTTGTATATGCAAATACTTAGCATTGTATTAAAATTGCCTACAGTATTCAGGACAGAAACATGCTGTACATGTTTGCTGCCAGGGAGCAATATGCTCTACCTAGCCTAGGAGTATGGCAGGTTATACCATCTAGGATTGTATAGGTATACTCTATGATGGTGGCACAATGACAAAATGGCCTAACGAAGCATTTCTCAGAACACAACCTCCTCTCTAAGCAATGATGACTGTATATGTAAATGTGTATGTTCGTGAATATGTGTGTTAAATCTATGTACATGTATATTTCTATTTCATAAGATAGTACATTTTTTTAAAGTACTGAATTATATGCCCCTTCCCATTGTACTGAAAGAGATCTATTCCATTTCTTTCCTCTTTCTGAGACAGAGTCTTGCTCTGTCACCCACGCTGGAGTGCAGTGGCATGATCTGGGCTCACTGCAATCTCTGCCTCCTGGGTTCAAGGGATTCTCCTGCCTCAGACTCCTGAGTAGCTGCTATTACAGGGGTGTACCACCACAACCAGCTGATTTTTGTATTTTTAGCAGAAATGAGGTTTTGTGATGTTGGCCAGGCTGGTCTCGAACTCTTGACCTCAAGCTATCCACCCGCCTCAGCCAACCAAAGTGCTGCGATTACAGGCGTGAGCCACTGTGCCAGGCTAGATCTATTCAACTTCTACTTCGATAAAAGTCACTACAAGCCTGTTACTCCCTGCTTTAAAGCTTTCGGTGCCCCTACTTGCCTACAAACAACGTCCAGGCCTGTTGCAAGGCCCTTTCCAACGCAGTCCCTGCCTAAATCCTTATCATTTTCCTCTGTCATTCTGTTCTGGCCCTTTATGCACCAAAAAAATTATTTCTAGGGACCAGACTGACTCTTTTCAACCCTGAACTCCTTTCCTATGCTGATCCCTCTGCCAGAAACATCCTCCCTGGATACTCATATTTGTCTTCCCCTGTCTGAAGGAAACTTTCCCTAATTATTTGCCTTGCCCTGCAAGTAAAGTTAGATAAAGTTAGTCACCTCCTTCTTGGGTACCTTGTGCGTGCACCGACTTTTTCCGTACAAAACTCATTTTGATTGATTTGTTCCCAAGTCTGTCTTCTGTAAAAGACTTCGAGTTACATGAGAGTAAGGACTGGGCCTCAATTTTCCCTGGATCCCCTGGGCTTCACACAGAATCTGACAGACCCAAGGTGGAAGTCAGGAAATAAGTGATGAATGAACAGGCTATCTTTTCTGATCCACACAGCATGAGGGAAGCAAACACAGAAGTTAGGAGAGGTGGTGCGTCTCTCTCCACCCCAACCAATAAACAAAAACAACCTTAAACCTTGAAAATGATTAAGTCTATACAGGCTGGAAACTGGGAGAAGACAGGTTGTCTTCCCTCTTCGGTTAGCTCTAGAATCTGATGGGCTACAGCTCTGAGCAGGAAGTATTAACACAAACATCATCAAAGTGCTTGGGGAAATTTTATTGTCTGCCACATTTACAAATTGGAATCGATCTTCATTCAGCCAGTTTCGCCAAAGTTTCTGCAAAGTGAACATAGCAAAAGATAGGTGGTGCCTTTCAGATCACCTGTGATTAAACTCACTGCATTTGTCTTCAAACAAAAGTGTTTTTTTTTCCTCCCCGCAACATACAATTTTAGTCAGCTAACACTAAATTAGACACCCACTCAGATTTATTATGATAAGAACATTCAGTAAGCTAATTTCAAGAAGATGACTCCTATAAATTCTTATAATTTATTATTTAGTACTTTGGTTTTTAATCATTAAGTACGTGAAGACTTTGTAGGTCAAACCTGTATTAATGAAGACAGTAATCTATTTTTCAAACTCTTCTCCTCACCCACCTTTCAAATTGTAAATTAACAGAAAGAGATTTAAACACACTTGTAAAAACAAAGGTAATAATTGGGGGGTGGTCCCCACTTTCCTAATCTTTCTAGGTAGACTGTCAATCATAGTCCTGACTTATTTATGATGAATCATACTGATTTTTTTAAATAAAATAATGGAGTGTAAATTTGAGAAGCCATTACTTCACTAAGAAAATAAAACACATAACCCATTTTAAAGTTTTGTTAAAAAAAAAAAAAAAAAGCTGCTGTTCAAAAATCAGCAAATAGAGCTGGCGCGGTGGCTCAGGCCTCTAATCCCAGCACTTTGGGAGGCCGAGGAGGGCAGATCACCTGAGGTCGGGGGTTCAACACCAGCCTGGCCAAAAGTGGTGAAACCCCATCTTTACTAAAAATACAAAAAGTAGCTGGGAGTGGTGGCATGTGCCTGTAATCCCAACTACTTGGGAGGCTGAGGCAGGAGAATCACTTGAACCCGGGAGGCGGAGGTTGCAGTCAGCTGAGATCGCGCCACTGCACTCCAGTCTGGGTGACAAAGCAACATGCTGCTTCAAAGAAAAAAAAGAAACAAATTAGCAAATACAGGTATCGTTAGGTGTTAATCTCAATAGAGGAATTTTTATGTTCCAGGGGTGTTACAATTTGAGGGATGCATAGGCAGAAGTAAAATATTAACTGGCTACATATTTTAGAAAGCTATTGATGTTAACTAAAGGACAGTCTTCATCTCCTGAACTCACTGCCAAATTAGAATGTGTTTCATGATAATTTCAAACATTTGGTGCTAAAAGACTTAAAGGTTTCATTTTGCTGAACCAAGGAATTCTATTTGATAAACTGCATGCAAATAATAAATAAAGTTACCTGCATAGTAACATCTTTTCATTTTATCTAAAATAAAATGAAGTTTTATTATAATACAAGCTCATTATAAGCAACCTGAGTAGTTAGAGTAGAAAGAACAATGTTCACAATTATTATTTTAATTGAGAAAAAATATCAAGATGCGAAATGAAATAACTGTTCGGCAAAGTCACTACTATGTAAAAACAATCGTGTAAATGCTGAGAAAAATATAGAAAGAAATATAGCAAAATGATAGTAGTGGTTATCTTCAGGTGGTGGTACAACAGACAATTTTATTTTTCATTTCCTCTGTTCATTTTTTAATCGAACATTCTGGAAATTCCTTCAGAAATAAAAAGGCATATGTTTGTATCCATGATACTACAAGTATTTTAAATTACATCAATGTCTGAATCTTCATATGACAGACAGACAGTCAGCATCCATTTTACCTGAAGATCTATTGCTGAGGGCTTCGCTATTAAATTATTACAACAAGGACTGCTTATGGCATCTCTTGGTTCAGTGAAAACCTCCCTGGGATGTAGATACATGCTTACAAGCTGGGTTTCATAACAGGAAGCCCACTACACCCCCACCACGCAGGAGAGTGCATACTACATTACTTTAGAAGTATTTATCCGCCCCTCTTCTCCACCCAGGGAAAGGCGAAGTACTACAGGTTTTTCAGATAAAATCCTTGATGAGAAGAAAATACAAAGATTCTGCCTCATGGTCAAGAAGATTCATGAGTAATGGAGAGCAGTGAGGGGGTTTTAGCACACCGGGTTATGGAATGTTTGCTGAAACTGGATTTCTGGATTTTGATGATCAATAACTAAATAAATAATGATAACCACAATAATGAAAACAATACCAGCCTGGTTAACGTGGCAAAACCCTGTCTCTACTAAAAATACAAAAATCAGTCGGGCTTCGTGGCATGCGCCTGTAATCCCAGCAGGCTGAGGCAGAAGAATTGCTTGAACCCAGGAGACAGAGGTTGCAGTGAGCCGAGATCACGCCACTGCACTCCAGCCTGGATGACAGATCAAGACTGTCTCAGAAAAAACAAAAAAGAAAAAAATAATAATAATTATACCTGCTATTTACTATGCATTTGCCATGGCTATACATGGCAACATATTAACATATTGTTATAACGTATAGTACAACATATTGTTATGCAACAAATTAAACACCTTACAGACATTAAACTCCCACACTAACCCCATCAGGTATTCTCATTTTGCAGATAAGAAAACTGAGATAAGACATTACTAATTATCTGTATGACCCCGGGCAAATCAACACTGGGTGGGGGCAAGATATAAATTGCAGTTCATCTGACTGATCTCCAGTATGTCATTTAATGATGAGAAGAAAGAAGCCTGTCACCAAACTACTTTTTGAGAAAGTGCTATATGCAGAGGGAACAAAGAATTTATTACTGTATAAAAGTTTCTGCCCACAAATGTGTACATTTTTAACCTCAAGAAACAGGTGGAACCATTGAGGAACTCCTACATTTTCTTCCATTTTAATTGTTATTAAGCTATTACATTATTTATCCTGTAGGCAGCGCATATGGGCTCTGTATTAATATTGGTGTGTAGCAAATTACTCCAAAATGAAGCATCTTAAAAATTAATAAATATTTACTCCCTCACATAGATTTTCTGGGTCAAGAATTCAGGAGCAGCTTAGCTAGCTGATTTGACTTGGGTGTCTCCTAAGTCAAGATGGTCATTTCATCTGTGGTCATCCAAAAGTTTAAAGGGGGTTGGAGGAACTGCTTCCAACAAGGCTCGCTCATGTTGGCTGGCAATCTGGTCTGACTGTTGGAAGCCTGATTCCTTGCTATGCGGATCTCCCCATGGTGCTGTTTGAGTATCCTCGCAACATGGTGTCTAGCTTCTGCCACAAGGAGTGATCCAAGAGAAGCAAAGCAGAAGTCCAAATGTATTTTGTCACCTAGCTTCAGAGGTCATGCGCTATCACTTCCCCCTGTAGGTTACACAGGACAATCCTGTTCAGAGTAGAAGAGAAATATACTGCAATGTAAAACCCAGGAAGTGAGGGTCACTAGAGGCCATCTTGACCTCTGGCTACCACAGAAGCTCATCTCCCTTTCTCTAGACAGTGCCATGCTCTTAAGTATTTAAGGTTGAACTCTAACATTTCAACAACAAAATGACCTCAAAATGAATGAGATGAGAGAATGAAAAGTCATCTTGAAGAAATACAAACATGTCCCAGTTCAAGTCACTCTTGATTGTGGGGCCAGTATTATACAAGGATCCCAAAAGTGCTGTGTTTCAAACAGCTGAGGAATGAATGAAGATTACAGGTACAGAAACCAAGAGGCTTTAGCAATGATGCTGAAGATGGGCATGAAGGGTTTAAATGAAATTATTTCATAAATGTAAGGATATATAAAAACTCCAGTCTTTTAAAATAAATACATTACTTGTGAAAATGCATTAGCAAGTGAAATCCTACAATAAAACTTTTGAACAGTTCATCTACAGCCCCTAAAGTTTATAAACTGGGCACAAAATTTAGGGGAGGTCCACTTCATTTGAAAATAAAAAATTGTTTTATATTTGGAGTCACCTTGTATTTTGAAACGTATTGCCTCAGCCAAGATTTATTGAGCATCTCTATGTGTCTGACACTGTCCTAGGTTGGACAAAGTGGTGAATGAGACAGATAAAGTCCCTCACCGTCTAGTGGGAAAGATGGAAAATAAACAAACACAAACGTGCAATACAGCTTCACTGTGAAAGTATCAGGCTCATTATCTTCTGAGGCAACCAAGCATTTGAGTCATATAGGCAATGACCTTTGCTTTAATCATTTGCCAATTAAATAACTTACAATGTCACTTGGCTCAGTACCCGTACTTCTGCCTATAAGTAAACTCTTTTTCTGTAGTTCCACCTATAAGAAAATTCTCATCCTCTCTTCCTACTCAGATTAACAAGAGCATTTCAAACTATGTGATAATTATAGCTCCTGTTGAAAATTATTGTTTATGACCCTGGGTTTACACATCAGTTTCTGTGAATTTGGTTATTGTAGAGTCTGTACCTAACAGAAAGACCTACTCTTAGTGGGCTCACAAAGTCTAATTTCTGAATGAGCAAGTTTGAGGGTGAAAGCCATATTGTTAATGAACTCATCAAGGTAAATACCACAGGCAAGCTTCTGGAAATTAAGTCACCTGGCCTCACTGTCCACACCTACCCTCTTTCAAATAACTCACATGTAATACATTAAAAAATTTATCTCTAGGAGCTGCAAAAGAAACACTACATGCAGAGAGACCCAGAATACTGAGAGAGGTGTTGGCACACTCCCGACTGCCATCCCGATTCCTTATTCATGACTGATCAATAAGTGATCACAGAAATCTTCCATGTTGAGCCAATATGGCACCAAGTTCTACTCAATCACCAAAAATAGACACTAAGAACTCATTAGTGTGAAAAGACAGTGGGGCTCAAAGACCAGGGGTATCAATATCTGTTTGTCCCAATAAGATTGGGTTCTTTTTTGAATTGAGCCCTGAGTCCACACACCCCTGGTTCACAGGCAGTGACTGGCACAGAGACACAAGTAGGTCCTGGATGAGGCTCGTCATTACATAAAGCTTCAACAATGGTGAACAAGGATGGTGATGGTAAATATGAAGTAGCAGTGGAACTCCAAGGAATCGTAAACAATGGGGGAGAGGGGACTAAACAGCATTATATACAAACGTTTCATTGCAACATTATTCTTAGCAGTAAAAAAACTATAAACGGTATAAATTCCCAGTTATTGAAGAGTTCATGAGCTATAAGGACTTTCTATCACTTGACAGCTTTTATCTAGCTGATATTTGACATTAATAATCACTATGTTACAACAGGGGAAGACACTTGTGCTATAATGTTAAGTGAAACACTCGGGATGTAGTATCAATGTATTATAACTAATATTATGGAGGCGAAAAAACTCATTCATAGGGGAAAATCTGAATGGGTTAACCAAATACTGACCATGGCTGTTGTCTGGAGTGATGACACATTGGCTAGTTATTATTATTTTCTCTATTTTTTTATTGTTTTCTCTTTGGTATTTTACACACACACACTCACACACACTCACACACACAGAAACTGGTAGTGAAAACTTCTGTAGACTAAAAGCCAAATTCTCACTCTATCACTCTATTTTTTTTTTTTAAGAAGGAATTTCGCTCTTGTTGCCCAGGCTGGAGTGCAATGGCATTGTCTCGGCTCACCACAACCTCCATCTCCCAGGTTCAAGCTATTCTCCTGCCTCAGCCTCCCAAGTAGCTGGGATTACAGGCCTGTGCCATCACACCCGGCTAATTTTGTATTTTAAGTAGAGACAGGGTTTCTGCATGTTGGTCAGGCTGGTCGCGAACTCCCAACCTTAGGTGATCTGACCACCTCGGCCTCCCAAAGTGCTGGGATTACAGGCATGAGCCACCACGCCCAGCCCAGCCTATCACTCTATTTTTTATGGGTCCTTTGGCTCAGGTAAGAACAATATAAACCTCGCCCTTTGCTCACTGCATCAAGATTAGAAATCTAGTCTAGGGAGGGAAACAACCATACTGTGTTTTGTCCTCAAATACAGAAACGAAATCAAAGTTTGCCAAGGAAGGCCTATCTCAAAATGTGGTTGTAGTTGTTTTCTTTTTTTTTTTTTTTTTTTGAGAGGGATTCAGGCTCTGTCACCCAGGCCGGAGTGCAGTGTCACGATCTCCGCTCACTGCAAGCTCCGCCTCCCGGGTTCACGCCATTCTCCTGCCTCAGCCTCCCCAGTAGCTGGGACTACAGGCGCCCGCCACCAGGCCTGGCTAATTTTTTTTTGTATTTTTAATAGAGATGGGGTTTCACCGTGTTAGCCAGGATAGTCTCGATCTCCCGACCTCGTGATCCCCCCCGCCTCGGCCTCCCAAAGTGCTGGGATTACAGGCATGAGCCACCGCGCCCGGCCTGTCGTTGTGTTTTTTGACAACTTCGTGACTTCGCAATTTCTAGGAATGAGTGACTCTGTAGCAACATGCCCAAAGGTGAGTGCTCCCAGAGACTTACATTGACTCTTGTATGTTTGGGCAGAACAGTGGCCAAACTAGGAGGGGTACACAGTTAATGTTGAGTTACTGTATAGACTGTCCTCCGTGGGACACCAAGTAGACCCTGGGGAGCTGTGGCAAGATTGTCAACAGTGATCATGCCCATGGCAGTCTGGTGGCCACCCATCCTACTGCTGCTCATGGTAACTATGTCTTTGCGAGTCATCGCAGCAAATGATTTTCAGCACCTTTACCCCTAAATAGAAATATGATCACAACCAGCAGAAAAAGAAGCGTACTAACTTATCTGCAAGGATAAAAACTGGGCTAAATAGATTTTTCGGGTCATTAAGGAAATACAGAATCTCAGAGGAGGTTAAAAAAAATCTCAGAGGAGGTTAAAAAAAAAAAAGGTCTCTGTGTAACTCCCGTCTATTTTGGGAATCTCATGTATGGCATTGAGAACTGGTGGTTCAACCTCATCATTACCCTGTTGGTAGGAGGAGAGCAGACTGATCTAGGCTTTGCTTTCTGCTTCAGGGTCAGCCCTAGGCAAATCTGTTAATTAGGCTAAATTTGGCCACTTAGATACTCCTGCCCTTCCCACTCTGCACCCTGTTTCCTCCCAACACCAGGCCAGGTTCCCCGTACCCTTAGGCAACACCACATAAAGGACTTTCCATTCCCCAGCATTCACAGTGCTCACTCCACCTCATGCCCAGTCGCTCCTGAGCTCTCTCTTCCTTGGTGTGAGCTGATAAACACTCAGAGCCTTACATTTTAACAGTGGTTCTTTCTCGAGGTGCTGGTCTAGTCCAAAAGCCAAGTTCCAACAGTTAGCAAATACAGTGCATTTAGTTAGACTGTCTGGGAAGGTCTGTGGGGGCAAATATGACTTGAAGATTTTTTCAACATTAACAACAACATCAACAACGAAAAGCAGCACTGATTGGGAGCCCACGGTGTACAAAGTTACTCTTACTTGTTTTCCGTATGTCAACTCTAATTCATTGGCATTTGCTGGATATTAAACCCCTGCAAAACCCAGTGAGTAACAACAGTGACCATTTTTCTTATATTTAGTTTCTGAGTCCGCGAATGGGCTGTGCTCTTTCTCTGGTGTGTCTGGGGTCAGGTGGTAGCTTGGCTAGTAGCTAGATGACTCTAGAGGGACCTCACTCATATGCCAGGCACCGACAGGCTATCAGCTGGGGCAACCACTCTCCCTTTATGTGGCCACCATGCTCCAGCAGGTCAGCTCAGGGTTGTTCGTGCAGTGGTCACAGGGTTGTAAGCAACGAAACAGAAAGTCCCAGTATCTGACCGCTTGTCATGCCTCTGCTGCTAAGATTCCACTGGGCAATGCCAGTCATACAGGACAGGTGTTGATGCGGTGAGGGAAATACTGTTTTCCTTTTTCTTCTTCTTTTTTTTTTTAAACAAGCTACCATTTTTACAATTTACCATACCTTCCCCAAATCCTAGCCTTTAGTTGTTATTATTTCCATCTTATAGAAGAAGAAACTGAGAGTTAAATAACATCCCAAAGAAAGCTCAGAATAATGAACTCAGTTGTGGCTAGATGCAGTGGCTCAAGTCTGTAATCCCAACACTTAGGGAAGCTGAGGCGGGAGAATCGCTTGAGCCCAGGACTTTGAGACTGAGCTGGGCAACATAGCAAGACCCTGCTCTCCACAAAAAGAAAAAAACAAAGAAACAAGTTTGAAAAAACCCAGTTGTTGTGTTGGATTGGAATTAGGTACAAACACACATTAAAGTGTACATATATATAATTTATAATAGATACTGATATGTTATAAATATATGAACAAATAATGGAATGTGTCCAGAAAGAAATATAAATATACTAAAATTATAATATACACAGAGATACAGGAATAAATGGAGATAGGTGTATGTGCATGGGTTTGTATAATACACATATTTCTAAACTCTGTTGAGAAGTTCTAGAAGCAATGACACTCCAGCAGTAATGAGCGCAACTAGCACCTAGATCTTAGTTCTAAATATGATTCTATAATAAAACGAACCAAGCCTCCATGGAGAATGAGTTAATTCCAAGACTGAGGCAGGGAAGTCCAAGATGACAGTGTAAAGCCTCTTACAGTGCCAAAAAATAAGAAAGTGCTCAAAAAAGAACGGGGCATGTCAAAAGGGTGCAGGAACCTGCCCGAAAGACCTCCTATGGGCCAAAGCCGGAACAATTTGAGCACCAAAATATATCACAATACTGTCGTATTATGACCTACAGAATAAACTAAATATTCACGTATCCATACCAATATAAATGGAGAAGAAGAAACAGCCTTCCATGTAGAAGAATTCCCACCAAAAAATAGAAGGCATGACAGAAAGACAATATCAGTCATGAGAATACCACAGTATTAATCATTGCAGGCAAGATCCCCAGAGGGATGCTAAAATTAATGGATGAAAATTTGAGAAGTAGTCCCAAAGTACCTCCCCCAATATATTTATTAATTACAAAGGAAAAAAATGATCCTTTACAGTGGAGAAATCTGGCAGATACCACGTTAACCGAGAGGTCAAGGCTAACATCACTAGTAATAAGATATTTTCACATTACACATCCTCTGACTTGATGGCCGAAGAATGGCACATCACTTATGTATATTCCTCCCAAAAATGCACCACGTCATTCTAATCAAGAGAACACATCAGACAAACCCAAATTACGGGCATTCTACAAAATAACTGACCGGAACTCTTCAAAAATTTCAAGGCCATTAAAAAAAATAATGCATGAGAAACTGTCCCAGACCAGAGGGGACTGGAGAGATATGATAATAAATGCCAGGTGGTATCTGGTTGTAAAAGAAGGAAGAGGACACACCGTCAAATCCAAATAAAGTCTGTTGGTCAGTTATAGTCTGAGTGTAGTTAATAGCATCATAACAAGGTTAACTTCTCAGTGCTGAAAAATGTATCATGTTAGTATTAGGGGAAGCTGAGTGAAGAGTACATGGGAAATCTTTGCAGTATTTTTTATGGCTTTTCTGTAAGCCAACATTTATTTCAAAATTTAAAAACTGGAACAAACCAACCAACCAACCTTTCCCAAGGTCCCACAGCTCCTGATGACTAAGTCTGAATTCAAATCCACTTGTGCCAGATTCCAAACTCCATGCTTTCCATCCTGTGCAGTGCCTCCCGCATCCACGCTACCATCTTAGAATTGGTTCAGACTGGATTAGGCCACCCCTTCCAAATGAATTATTTTATGGGAAAAACTGGTGGCACAATTAGGCATAAACCCATCTACCTTAAATGGGGAAAATGAGGCACAAGGTCATTAAAATGGACGTGCAGAATATTCACTCTCATATTCACTCTCAGCTCCATGTCTTAAGTGCCCACATAAGCCAGCTTATAATGTCATTTCTTGATTCCATTAAATTAGTACAGGATTAGTACATATCTCAACCTTCAACCATTTTGTCACTTAAAATGAGTGTCTGGAAGGCCATTCTTCCGGAAATATTAGTTACCTTGTCCATTACTTACTTAATCATAGCTTGGAGTTATTTTTTGCCTTGTGGAGGCTGACTATAAATTATGGACTATTACGCAGCAAAGCCACACTTAGTAAATTATATGGCATTGGAAAACCCTTGCTTTTGGGGGAAAATTACACTTTCTTTAAAAATATGTTTTATAAAATATTATGCTAAGCCTGTAAAAGAGAATCCATGAGCATACTTTGTGGCCATAAGGACATATTTGACAGTTGACTCCAGTTTCCAGGCCGCTCCTAAAAAGGGTTTGGAATGGAAAACTTCTCATTTGATATTCATGTCAGAATGGCCGTGGTCTGTGAATTTCTACATGCAGACAGATAGGAGGAAAGGCTGGAAACCTTGTTGGTCTTCACCCATGATGCAGTAAATAAATTAGCCATGTAGTCTTAAGTTTCATTTTGAGCCACAATAGCAGACTAATAGGCAGTATTTTTTCACAGTTATGAATGGATTCTTTTTTTTTTTTAAGACCAGTCCATAGAAGTACTTTGGTATTTGATTAAAAAAAAAAAAAAAGACAGCAAGATAAAAAAAGTGCATGAATGCAGGGCTATTAAATAGGAGGAGACAACGACCCTTTGGAATGAAGGTTTTCCATTTGTCTGTAGCTTTTCCAACCGCTTCACTGCGCTGTGTCCGCATGGTTGGAGACAGCCTTTCAGGCTGGCCAAGGAAGTTAAGACTTCCTGCCTCAATAGGCCAGTCTTTGTTGTTCTCTCAGGGCCAAAGATCCTGAGAGTCAGCAACCACTAGCTCTGGCCACTTTGGTGTATGCTCAGTCCCTGGTGAGCTAGAGCAAGGTCACTGGGTCAGCTTACACGGTGACACTGTTAGACTGTGCCCCAGCCAACTCTGGCCGGGGATACATAAATATACAAGACTAAAAAAGGAGGATGGCACTGGGGTTTCCAGACGCATCTTGTAAGGCAGACAGTTGCCCAGCTTAAAAGTCTGCAAAATCTTTCTTTAAAAAGGTATGTTTTAATTTGAGGATATTAATTGCACGGAAATTATTTGACTGTATGATTTATAACCCTGCCAGAATTCTGCGGTCTTTCCCTCCACATGTGCTGTTGCCATTTTCCCTTTTGTACACCTATCATTTCCCATTGTTTATCTTCCCTGATTGATGTTCGGGCTCGGGATGTTTTCCATTATGAGATTCATAATTATCACTGGTAATAGAGAAGGCTTCCCTATTATCTTCAGTGAGACTGCCCAAATTATTCATCGTAACCCACTGGTACCACACGGCAGGAAAATAAGAATTTATTTCCCATCCCAGGCATATGGTAGATAAGAGGATGTATTTATTTCTCCATGTTTCAAAAGGATTAAGCTTTGAAAAAATAAATATCACTTAGGCTGTCAGTAAGCAGAACTTTATGGTTCTGGGTTTAGAGGGCCTCTCTTGGGCTAAGAATAGCACAACTAAACTCTGGTTTCCAAAAGAGGGGAAGGTATGGAGGTGGGGAATCACTTACAGTTTTACTTGGCTAAATAAACAAATACGATAGATTTCAACCACAGTATCGGTCTACAAGGCACCCAGCGTCACCTTAGACCTCCACGTTAAATAACGCACCAGCTTATTTATAAAAATGTTACCAAATTCCAGCAGTCTTTAACCCCTGGCTATTCTCAGAGCATGTTGAATACATCATCTGGGTTTTGCCTAATTACACATAATTAGGAAATGTAATTACGCTTTTCGGTGTTGCTCTGCCATTAGGAACCGAGTGGACAGCTGAAACGCTACCAAGGATGCAGCGCTTCAGAGAAAACAAATTAAAAATATGAGCCAACCTCTAAAAATAGGGATTGTGCTGAAGGTTAGTAAATCAAACTTATTTTAAAAAACATAATAAATTGCTTTTGGCTCTGGCTAAATATTTGATGCAACAGTTATGCTGGCTGTCTTTGTTTTGTGGACTTACTTAATGATACATTATTTGCATCCATGCTGAGCCACGGAGAGGGAATGAATTATTTTGCTCCTCGATGAGTGTGATTTGCTCACTTCCTCATTCATTTATGCTTTTTTATTTTTATTTCCTCCTTTACACCGGACCCCTGCTCTGGCCAAGGAAGTGATTTCCAACCATTCTGTGTCAAAGAGTCAAAACATGTCATTTGTGGGTTTGTTGCATATGGAGGGTGCTAATGCCCAAAGCTTAGGCAAAGCTGACAGTAATCTCATCCCCTGAGCTGGGCATTCGCATCTTAGCAGCATAGGAATGGGCGATTGGCTTTGTTAAGTCAACAAAACAGGCACCACAATAATCGTTTTCCAGATTGGGTTGGACATGGCACTGACCTAGGTGGCTTTACCAGCCCAAAAAGTAAGAATTTTGCAGGTGGAGAAATAGAAAAATCGCATTCTTTAGAGGTACAAGCTCATGAAGGATCTGGAATTGGAAGCTTTCAACGTTCTAATCTTTGCTTTTGTGTTTATTGAATTTTCCTCTCCTAGGACAGTGGCTGACAGTAATAAAGTAACACACTCCATTGAATGCACTATTTATGGAAACATTTCTATGGTGCCAAAAAAAAATTAACAAGAGAAGTGATTGCCAAAAGCAAAGACCCAAACATTAGTGCAATGTTTGCAGCACTTAAAGTAAAATAGCCAGCCCTGTTAACAAACATCCTCTCCACCTGCCAGTCCTGTGAAGCGTGCCTGTGGGTGCGTGCATTTTTCTAAATTAGATTTCTTTCCATATTTCTTTCTTTTTTCTAGAGAGCGTATTTTAAGTCTATCTTTATCCCCCCTTGTATTCTATTTTTATTTTTATTTGAGATAGGGTCTCACTCTGTCACCCCCGGCTGGTGTGCAGTGGCGTGATCTTGGTTGACTGCAACCTCCGCCTCCTGGGCTCAAATGAATCTACTGCCTCAGCCTCCTGAGTAGCTGCGGCTACAGGTGTGAGTTGATTTTTTTTACTTCTTGTAGAAATGGGGTCACACTATGTTTCCCTGGATGTTCTCAAACTCCTGAGCTCCAGCAATCCATCCGCCTTGACCTCCCAAAGTGCTGGGATTACAGGCATGAGCCAGCATGCCCAACTCCTCTTGTATTCTATGTACACTGTTTCCAATCATCTTAGATCCTTTCCCACTCATTTCCAACTTTTTGTTTTCTTTTTCGAAACAGGGTGTCACTTTTTCACCCAGGTTGAAGTAAAGTAGCGTGATCCTAGCTCACCATAGCCACACACATCCAGCCTCAAGCAATTCTCCCATCTTGGCCTCCCGAGCAGCTCAGCCTACAGGTGTGCACCACCAAGCCCAGCTAATTTAATTTTTTTTTTTTTTTTTTTTAGAGATGGGGTCTGCCTATGTTGCCCAGACTGGTCTCAAATTCTTGGCCTCAAGCAATCCTCCTGCCTCAGCTTCTAAAAGGGCTGAGATTACAGGAGAGAGCCACTGCACCCAACCCATTTTGAATTTTGACTTCCTCCTCTTCAAGTGTTCCACTGCTGAATCGGTTGAAAATGAACTCCTCCTGGATTACTTTAAGAGATACATTGCTGATCTCTCTAATCTCAGTTCAAAACACACTTCCACAAAGGCACCCAGTCAGCTCAGATCCTCCTGGTCCCCTTGAAGGGGAGATGCCAATTACCATTCACCTTTATAGTGTGTCTCTTATATCCCCCTTCCCTTCCAGAGAATAGCTGGGTGTCCCACACGTCTGCCAGCTCTGTCCAGTGCATTAATTAGATCAGGATACTCAAGCCCAATAATCGAGACCCTCGTTTCAAAAGAAATATTGTATAACCCCTTACCAAGGTCCTGAAATAAAATTCATGAATAACATAATCTACCCACACACATAATTAGCAAAAGTAATATGTCATAAATTTTTTTTAAAGAAAACATAATTGACAATAAAATAGTACACATTTTCAAAGGTAACTTCTCGGACAGGAGTGTATCAGAAGCCCAAAATGAAATCGTCTAATGTTTGCACCTACTTATAGGTTTGGATTCAAGAAACATAAGACAAAAAATTCGCCAGAGTTTTGTTAATGTATTCTCATAATACTTAACATTTTGAAAGCAGCATTACATATATTTTAATACAGACATCATATTGGTAAACCAACTCTGAAAATTACAAAATGAAAACTAAAACAATCATCCTTATTAGTAGCATTTGCCACTTTCCATGGTGTAAATATTCTCACCACGGTCAGTTTCAAGCTACCAACACGATGTCACTGAATCCAGATTTTGGAAGAAACAGGCAAAATCTGCTCTCATGAGCTGCTCGCTAAGGGCATGTCTAGCACCCAACTATTTAATCACCATGAATACAAACAGCTACATATGTAGACAGATCACATTATGGTGACTCAAATATTATGAGCAGTGCTGCATGATGTTTCAAGATGGTATTGAGACCTTGGTAAAAGACTGGAACAAAACACCACACAATCTTCCCTTGATTTAGAAGGCCCCTGCATTTCTGGAAGACCCAGTGCACGTTGTGTATCTGTATAAGCACAGGGAATTCTGGGGTCAGATCAATGGAAACAAGTTTTTTACCGAAATGAATGTCTGGGGGCACAGGTGTATGTTACCGGGACGAGGGCAGTTCTTTGTTATATTGGACTGCCTATGGCATCACAGGATGGACCCGTGGACCCCACCTGCTAAGTGCCAAAGGCCACCAAAATGCCTTTCCAAATTTCCAAAATGCCCCCTCCACTGGCAATAGTCCTACTATTGAGAACTACGTCTAGATGTTTGCTACTCCAAGTGTGTTACCTGGACCAACAAGGCAGGCATCCCCTGGGGGATTACCAATTTATAAGAAACACAGACCACAAATATATATACCTACTAAGTGCCCACAATTTTTTTGAAAAAACCACATATATATATACATATATATGTACATACACACCTACTAGGTACCCACAAAAATTAAATAAGAAAAGGAAACAAAGAAGCTCGGGCCCCACCTAGACCTACTGAATCAGAATCCAAATTTAACAAGATCCCTCGGTGATTTATGAGGACATCACATTTGGAGCAACTACTAGAGTAGATACTGAGTTTTAAGACTTACAAACTGTGTAACAATACTGCTTAATGCTGACATAAACAATGCAAAATAAACCACTGGCTCTGTAGACACTACATAATTAGCCTCCCTAAGTAGTGGGATCATGCCATGCCATCGCTCCTCTTCATTGTAACTGTGCTGCAGAGGCAAGAGGACTTTTGCATTGACTGTGGGCCTACTGAATTTGTCAACCACAGACGTACAGTGGCCTTACCATGCCTCATGCCTCCTCTCCCTGAATTCACACAAGAATCGCTCTTCAAAACTAGAACAAGACGTGAAAGAAATCAAGGCACAGAGAGGTTCAGGATTTTGCTCAGTGTCACAGAGTCAAGAATGTGCACAGTTAGGATTAGTGATGGTAATTATTTTATATTAAAAAATTATTCCACAAGTACACACTGAGGGTCAACTGGGAGGCAATGTCCACAAACAGTTTCTCCCATGCCATAATGATAACTTATTTTGCATACAACTTTGTTTGTGCAAAGCATGTTCTCATGTGCTAACTCATTTGATCTTTCAAACACCCAGTAATTTGTTAACTCTACTCAAAGACGAAGAAACTGTGGCTCAGAAAAGGGAATGGAGGATCAGGAAAATGAAGCAACTTGCTCAAGTCACTAGCTAATAATATATGGTTAACTAGAAAATGCAGGATTTGTGCGCTTACCTGCCTGAAGGCTTCGCTAGTTCCTGGGGTTGGGAGGTCACTGGAAACAAAAGCACTTGGAGAAATATCTCTAGACGATGATGAGACGGTTTTAGGAGGTGGGTTCTTCAAGCCTTCTCCTAACCCATTCCTCAGTCCCAATTTAGCATCACCAACCAAGCCTGTGACTTGGTAGGAACATCACCAGGGATGTATTTTCCAAATCAGATATGCCCTCCAGCCTAACCTTATTCTACCCCCTCCCCACCCTCCATAACAGTGAGAACCTGGAGAAACTAAAATGAGAAAATAAATATGTGCTGACAGGCTGGGATGCAGTTCATTTCATAGACATAAGTAATATTTATTGCAAAGTATTAACACCTATTAGCATGAGGAAGGGGAAAGAAAAAGTCACAGCCCTGTACATAAAATGCATCCATTCTGAATCCATAGTAATCCACATGGGTTCCTAGAAAGGGGATCTTGTTGCTGTCTTTTGTCAAAATCAATGCCAAACCAACAAGTTTCAGCAAAGCCTTTGGACCTCTCTGAGGACATGAAAAGGTTGGATATTACCAAGCCAGGGGATAGTTAGATGTAATTACATTTTAAAACCTCTCCATTTTATATCTAGGAACAGAAGAGAGAGACTGGAAGGGAGGAAGAGAAAATATATCAAAATAGAGCAGGTGACTCTCTCTGGGTGGTGGGCTCGTGGGTGATTTGAATTTACTTGTTGAATTTTTCCCCCAAAATATTAAGCAGTTATTTGATTTTAATGAAAGTTTTTATTTTTGAGATAAGTGTAGATTCACATGCAGTCAAGAAATAATACAGCAATCTCATGCACCCTTGATCCAGTTTCCCCCATAGGTGATATCTCACAAAACTCTAGTACGATTTCACAACCAGGAAATTGACATTGAGACAGTCAAGATGCAGAACATTTCCATCTATACCAGGATCCTCCAGTTGCTGTTTTAAATCCACTCTGGTTCCCACTCACCCCCCACTCCTCTCCAGTCCCTGGCAATCACTTATCTGTTGTCTTTCCTTTTCTTCTCTTTTCTTCTCTTTTGAGATGGAGTACCACTCTGTTGCCCAGGCTGGAGTACAGGGGCACGATCTGGGCTCACTGCAACCTCTGACTCCCGGGTTCAAGCAATTCTCCTGTCTCAGCCTCCCGAGTTGCTGGGATTACAGGTGTGTGCTACCACGCCCGGCTAACTTTTTGTATTTTTAGTAGAGATGGGGTTTCACTATATTGGTCAGGCTGGTCTGGAACTCCGGACCTCAGGTGACCCATCTGCCTTGGCCTCCCAAAGTGCTGGGATTACAGGAGTGAGCCACCGTGCCCAGCCATCTGTTTTCTATTTTTATAATTTTCTAATTTCAAGAACATTATGTAAATGGAATCCTACCAATGTAATCTTTTGGGATTGGCTTTTTCACTCTTTTATAGTACATTTGCAGCCAAAGAAAATATTCTTATTGTGTATACGTGTAAGTCTCAACATTTTAAGATGCAACTGTGTCTTTAGTTCTCTAAGAATCAACATGCAGGAGCGCCTAAAGCCTCCTCTGAAGTCAGCTCTTCTGGTTCCTGGTTCACTGTCACTCTGCAACGCCATGGCCCAACTACCCTGTCTTTTTTTGACGCTCGCTTTGCTTCCTGGGAATGACCAAGGCACAGCCCTCCACGTACCCTGCTTTGCATCCCTCTGCTTCACCACCACCCACCACAACCTGAAAAGCTACCTTCCAATGTGCATGCAGCCTGACAGAGTTGAAGGAGGAGGCTCTCAAGCTACCAGCCTTCCCCACAACCCCAGAGACAAAGCAGAAGGCACACAGCCAAGATGGGTTCCTGGCCTCTAACTGTGCCAGTCTTTCTCAAAATGAGAATAGCCTTGGGAGGTGCAAAGACCTTTGGAGAAACCTTTGGAACAACACAAAGTAAATTTACTCATTCAAGCTTTCTGTGCCCTTGAGCAGGTAGGTCCCTGGGACTCCATTTTCTCATCTGTAAAATGGGGACAATAATACTTACCTTTATATTTATTGATATTTCTACACAGGATGACTATGAAAATTAAGTAAAATAATAAATATAAGACTCCTAACACCATGCCCAAATCTAGGAAGTATAGATAGATGGTGGCTATTGTTATTACAAATTACCAAGTCAAAATAATAAATAGAAATTCACTTGGATTTCTAATCACTCAATCTTTGTCAGCCCCTCTTTCTTGGTATAAGATACAAAATATTTGGTTCACCAATAAACAGTTTCTAGGTAAGAACCACGCAGACGCCTAAGAGGTCTGTATTAAATCTTCAATCTTGCACTGCTAGAAAATAAAAAATAATAATAAAAAAAAGTATCCCACTCCTGAGAAGTGTTCAGGCTTTGAGTGATGTCAAAGGCCTTTGAACAAGCCTTATAAGTGACATCCATATTTGTCCATTTTTGACTTAAATTGCTTTTGGTTCAACCACTGCCGTGAATTGCCTTGATGCAATATCACACAGAATGACACAAAACACAGAGGAAAAAGCAAGTTGCTGGGTGAGGGTTAGGGAATAAAGGAGTCACTGCCTCGTTCACTTCTCTAAGTGTTGGAAGAAATGAAAATGAAACTCGCGTTGAAAGGTAATCTCTATGAACCGTGATAAGAGCAAGTGACATTTTTACATAGCTCAAGTCTTCTGGTTCAGCCTAGCAGTTATAATAAAAGCCATCTACATGCAGCTAAACATTTTTTTAAGTTTCCACCTGCTCTTTTTCTTTTTCTTCTTTTTCTCCTTCTTCTTCTCCCCCCTCCCTAAGCAGCAAAGGGCCATCTGCAATTCTGGAACTTCTTGTTAATATAATCTGGGCTCTGGTTTCCATTGTGTGGGATGAAGAAGCGGCTTCTATGTTCTAGAGAACAACCTCCACTCTCCCTGTTTCTCTCTTCTGCTGCACTTGACCTTCCATCTCTCATATTTTGCTGCCAACCTCTGACTCTGAAAAAAGAAAAAACTTCTTCGCAAAAGCCCATCTACTGCTTGGCCCCCTATGCTAAGAGATTCTGTTTCATCTCAGTCCCGTGATTAGGAATCCAAACCACAGGGGCTTTTGGTGTATAGAATAATTAAAGAGATCAGAAATTAGGTCAGAAATCCTGGGGTCCAGCCTCATCTCTGCCACTTACCATCTGCCTGATATTAAGTGAGCTGCTACAGTATTTCTGCATGTCATTTTCTACACCCCGCAAATGGCCTAATGCCAGCCACCTCAAGGATGGTAGCAAGAATTAAATGAGGTACTGTATTGGCAAGGCCTGGTGCAGTGCAGGAACTGAGGAATGCTCATTCTCTTTCCTCCCAAACAACATAGATGACTTACTAAACATGGCAAGGGGCAGAAGTGTCTGAAAATACCAATGTGAGATCCTACTAGAAGAGTGGATGCCACCCTTCAGGTGGGTCCACAGTAGTATGTCCTTGCGGGAATAAGTTTCAGGAGACCTCAATCCCAGGGAAACCACTGCCGAAATCACAGAGAGGGCCTCCTATCTCTGCTGGGGCCACTGGCTTTGCAAATGGAGCATAAGGTTTTACCTCCTTGTGTGGCCCTGCCAGTTGTCCCTCCCTAGGCCACAGCAGTACAACTTGCCAAGGAGCCGTCCCTGGATCCTACCTCAGTGTGCTATTAGTCTGTGCAAAGGAAGAGTAAATCTAACTGTTAAAAAAAAAAAATGCATGTTAACCACTGCTGTTATACCCTTACAAAGAAGAGGCCAGGCGGTATATATAGATCTCTAAATTCTCATGTGTGCATACAAGGTCACTTTCTCAACGAAATCAATAGAACAATGTGAATACACAATTTTCATGTCACTATGTATTTTGGAGTTGAAATACATTGAAGGGAACAAGAATAACGAGGCTTTGAAGAAGTGGCAGCTTAGGTAGTAACATAATTTTATATTTCCTTGTTGTTAGTCTCAAATATATCTGAGGATACAACTCAGAGCTCTGTTTACGTAAAAAGTCAGAAACAAAAAAATAAATATGTTGAATTCAGATTTGAATTTTTCCTCTTTTCCTACCAAAAGAAGTTGAAGACATTTTTCTAGATGTCTGCTAGCAATTTTTTGGCAATACATTTTTTGTTGTTATTGTTTTCGTTTCTCCCTGGAGCCTAGTTTGCTCAATTTCTTCACGAGGTCAGATTAGCACAGGGTGAGTTTCAGAACTGCTGTGTGTTCTTAGGCAAGTCACGTCGCATCTCTGTTTCCTACTCTATAAAACACATTCATAATAACTGATCTAGCCAATAGGACTGCTATAAGGTCTGATATCAATATGTGTGTGAACAACTGTGTGAACATTCTTAAGTGCTGATTGTGTGATTTTACGGGGTATTCAGTATCACTCCACCTTCTCTTTCTTCAACACACAACTGCTCTACTAACATGCTCATGGGCGCTTGTAACATTGAAGGAATATTTCCCCTTTAAAGTCATTTTTGTTGCTGGCCCCTTTAAGAGGATTTGACCATTATCAACGTGTGGATTTAAAGCCTCTATTTACTACTAGAATATTTTGCACAACGCTTTGAATGGTGTAGTTAAAGGGATAAAAGCTACAGACTAAAATAGTAAATAATCTCGGAAGGTGAATAAATTTTACTAGAATGCTGGCACTTGTTTTCTAGGTGGTAAGAAGGCCACTATAATAAAGACAGCTAATGTTGGATAATGACAAAAGCAAGGCTGTCGGAGCAAGATACACTGGATTCAAGCCCATATATTACCTTAAGATCCTTGGGCTTCATTTTTGGAGCTTCCTCCTCCACCTCTGTAAAATGGGCACACTAACGCCCTCCAAACCCCTTTAAAAATTTGAGTGGAAATTGAACAAAAAAGAAGACTGGAAATACAGTTTGTAGAACACTCAGCACAGTGTCTGGTTCCTGACAGCCCTTCAATAATTACGAACTGCTAATATGATTGCTCAGACTAAGGTGGTACGCATGATTATTACAAACAGTCATTATCATAATAATGTCATTACGAACAATCATGAAAAACTAAAGCTTCATATTTATATATTGCATAATTTTTTTGGTTCTGGGTAAACTAATGTAATGATTTGACATACGCAACATCCTGAAGTTAGCCTTTCTCTTTGTCTGTATCCCCTTTGTACCTGTATCTATAAATTATCTCTGCAATATACAAAATCTTTATTCTGTTAAGAAGTCAGTGGAATGTTCAAGAAAGATCAAGAATTCCTGGAACCCTGTCTTCATCTGCAACAAACTACGCTGTACTTTCTGATCATCGGCAATGGGGATTCTACATTGCAGACCCTGGTCCTTTCTGCCAGCCTTCAGACCTTGTTTACAGACCTCCTGAGGATACACTTTTCTCACTTACTATGTTTCTTTGGATGGCAACCTATACACCTCTCAATAAATTT
This sequence comes from Homo sapiens, assembly GCF_000001405.40. Taxonomy (NCBI): domain Eukaryota; kingdom Metazoa; phylum Chordata; class Mammalia; order Primates; family Hominidae; genus Homo; species Homo sapiens. The sequence continues at coordinate 78,834,448 of NC_000016.10, read as the reverse complement.
TGGTTTACTTAGGAGCTGAGGGGCACAGAAACCTAGAAACCTAGATTCAATTTGTGCCGATTTATGAGACACACGCACGACAATCCTGGAAACTTTCCCGTAGCTCACTTTATAAATTAACCCCTTATTTAAATATTCTGCAGACTCAGCACAGAGCAGTGTTCAATGGGGACATGGTCCCAGATCAGCCTTTTGGGCCTCTCCATGTTTGCTATCAGAACACACGGGCCCTGTTCGGCACAAACAATGCAAATTTACAAGATTTATGAGAAGAAGGGAATGTTCCTATCCTGTTGTTATTCAGGCCACAGCATCACTGGTCTTAACAGGCTCCATACTGCTCAGTTCCAGACGTTCGACAGCTGGACTTGGGATGCATGTGTGAGCAGTGTTCTGATTTGACTGATGGCTTCACTCATTCACTCATTCACTCATTCAGCTGAAATGTTCCAAATGCTTAATAAACTCAAGACAATGAGGCTGAAGCCAAAGGGATGCAACACAGAATAAGACACAGTCCTTGGCCTCAAAGAACTTATATTCCACTGGGAGACAAAGTGCCTGTATGGTACCATAGAGAAGGCATGAAACGCATGAGCCAGCAAACCTTGGCTGGAAGCCTGCACTTGCTTGTGAGCTGTGTGACTCTGGGTAATTTATCGGATCCTCTTATGCCTCAGTTTCCTCATCAGCAAAATGGGTGTAGTCATACCCAGTTTCACAGAGGATGCTGAGGTAACAGCATTCAATCAACTGCTGTGAAATCTCTAAGCACCATATAGATATTCAAGATTCTTAAACACATCAGTAATGCACAAGAGAAAGGAACATATGTGCAGTAAATTAACAAGCGAAAGACTATGAAAAATCAGATACAAGCACCATAAGCCTACTGGGGTTATGATAAAAGAGTGTCCTCACTGCACGTTGTAGGTATTGTAACCCAATTTTCTGAACTCGCAGAAGAGGACAATGATGAGGAAGGAGAATAGAAAGCAGGAGGAGGAGGAGGAGGAGGAGGAGGAGATGGCTGGGCCATTAAGTAAACATGAGAACAGCCACATTAGAGAAACAAGCTGTATGCAGGAAAGAGTGCAAGTTGAGGACTGGTATAAAGAAAGAGCTTGTCATCCCAGTGCTTTGAGAGAATGAGGTGAGAGGACTGCTTGAAGCCAGGAGTTCAAGACCAGACTGGAGAAAAAAGCAAGCAAGCCCCATCTCTACAAAAAAATAGTCAAAATTAACCAAGCACAGGAGTGCATGCTTGTAGTCCCAGATACTTGGCAGGCAGAGGCTGGAGGATCGCTTGAGCCTAGGAGTTGGAGGCTGCAGTGATCTCTGATTGTACCACTGCACTGCAGCCTGGGCAAAAGAGCAAGACCCTTTCTTAAGAAAGGAAAAAAAAAAAAAAAAAGATCGAGAGAAAAGGCTGAGCCTGGCCACTTTGCTTTTCTATATCCCACCAACTGATTAACACCAATGGGGACATAGCACATTGTCCAAATGGCAGAAATCCTTTAAAGAAAGTTTCTTACTTTCAGAGAGAAAAATAAATAGAACTGCATGAGCTCAAAAGTCACTGGTGAAATAATTATAAATGGATGTCATCTGTCTTTGGGGGAAGTTCTGTAATGAATATCACAGAAGAAGCTCAAGGTTTCCTCTGTAAAGGCGCCTCCCCAACTCACCTGCTGGCCTGTATGCTCCACCATGACACATGATTCCCTTGGGTTGTCCATTCTTTAATCACAATCCCTCCTGAGAGGGCCACCACAGGACATGGATTCACACTAGCAGGATGATGACTTTTCTAATCCAGGAAGGAGAGAGGGACGCATTTTCCCACACTCCATGCCACTGCCAATAGCCGAACCAGTGAAGCGAGCAGGTGTTAGGAGAGTCAGGGTGTGTGGAGTGGCAGAGTGTGGTGGTCTTAGAATATGCCCACAAGTTCTTTGATAGACCTCCCTTCCAATGGTGGAGCCAGGTTCCCCTCTCCTAACTATGGTCTTTACTAGTATTCTTCTAATCAATAGAATGTAGCTAAAGTTACGGTGCTTGACAGTGCATGATGTCTAAGAATGGGGCTTAAAAGGCCATGCCACATCTTCCTCACACTCTCTCTGAGATCATCACTCTGTGGGAGACCAGATGACATATTGTGAGGCTGCTCCTGAAGCTGTACAGAGAGGCCCCCATGGTGAAGAACTGAGGCCTCCTGCTAAAAGCCACATCAGTGAGCCCCTTGGACACGAAACCTCCCCTTCAGTCAAGGATTCTGAGACTGCAGCCCCAGCCAACAGCTTGCTGGCAACTTCAGAAAAGACCCTGAGCTAGAATCACCCAGCTAAGCCACTCCCTAATTCCTGACCCACAAAGACAATGAGATTCTAAGTGCTTACATTTTGGGGTAATTTGTTAGGCAGCAATGGATAACTGTTGCAGATACCTAGGTAGTGAGTTAGTGGATCCAGGCAAAAGTGACAAGAGCAACACAGGTAGTTATCACCAAAAGTGAGGAAAGAGGAAGGGTATTTGAGAAAATTACGACGAGATCACCAATATGCGAACCTGCCAAGGATGTTTTCCTCCCCTGTGTCTCCTAAGAGACTGTACTCTAGCTTGGCTTGACATGCAGTGCTACAGATAGATGCTCAGTAAAAGCTTCTGGAGGTCATAGTTATAATCATTATTTTCACTAGTATTTACTGAGTACTTATTGAATACCAGGGATTATGCTTTGTGCTTTACATAAATTATTTCTTCTTCTCAATGGAAATAGTATTATGATCACTCTTTCACAGATGAAAAAACTCAAGAAAAGAAAGACTGAGTGACCCACCTAAGGACTTGCACCCAATCATCATGCAGCCTGCCTCCTGGTGTGCAGGTCACTGATGCTGGCTTTGTGCACCCGGGCATGGGCACCGGGGTCTCCCACGTAGGGTACCAGTGTATACTCAAAGCCACAGGATAAACTCACTGCATCTCCCTAGAGCACCCATTTTATTCACTGCTAAGCATCTTAAGACATCATTTTTACATTTACATGAACACAGATATTTTGAGTGAAATGTAAACTTCCATAGGAGCTTTTAGGATACATCTTGGAGGCTGGTCAGGGGCTACTTCAGGGGATATCAATCCTCCAGGAGCCTAAAGATATTCTTTGCTGAAAGCACTAGCTAAGACACAGCTTATAAAGGGGGAAATGAGGGCTGGAGGGAAAACATGACCTCGAAAGTCACAGAGATGGTGCTCAGACAGCCAGGGTCTTCAGCCCCCAAATTCTGAGTGGTTCTCAGCTCTGCAAGCCCCTCCACCAGCCAGGCTGTGATAGCTGCAAGCTCTGGAGGGCTAGGAACGCAGTCCCTTCTTCTCTTACAGAATTCACTCCCAAAACATCACATTCTGCCCTCCCCTTCCACTAGCACTGTGATTACTGCTGCATCATTAGTGCCCTTTAAAAGAACATGGTTTCCAAATCCTCCTAAACATGTTTGCAATGATTGCTATGGCCCTTTTGATAAATAAATGAAGAAGACGCACCTGACCTGATGGCTATAGAGGGTAAGGATGGGGCTGTAGGAGAAAGAAAAGGACACTCTGCAAACGACAGAAATAGTCATTTACAGTGGCAAGGAGGGAGGGAACGCTCTGACTCCCAGGGGGCCCTGAGCTGCTCAGATGTTCCCTCCAATACAAGCTGATGCCGTCCTGCTTGGCCAAATCGACCTGAACAGCCCAGAAAGCTGCACGGCCGTACCTGTCAGCCCCAATCGGTGCTGCAGAAATTTTGTTAGGAAAATAGAGGTACTGAGATTCAATTTTTCGATTGTCTGAAGGCTTAATTTAGTGACCTTGGAAAATATCTCCTAGAGGTGAAAGAAGATGCTGGGAATCTGCTGGGAGGAAGGAGGCTTCCCTGGTAATGGGTAATTTGTTTACTCTAATTTTGAGGCCTCTTCAGGCAGCCAAGAAAATAGTCAGATAGGTACTACCACTTCTTAGAAAAAGTGGGGGAGGGGAGAGCCATAGAAACCAGTGAGAAAAACCCCCAGCCATACGGCACTACTTTCTCAAGAGCAGGTAGGCATTATGATAATATGTACATATATGTTTTATGTGTATATATATAAATATGCTTATTATGAAAATTTTAAACATACACAAAGGGAGGACAATAACCCCATATAAATATCATTCAGATGCAAATATTACTAGAATGTTAACACTGCTTCTTTCCTTCATCCTCTCCCTCCTTTTCTTTCTTCTTTCATTGCGGCAGCTCTTGCTGCTGCTGTTGCAGAAGTATTTTGTTTATTTTTTTTCATGTAAATTTTTTATAGAGATGAGGGTCTCCCTATGTTACTATGTTACCCAGGCTGGTCTTGAACTCCTGACCTCTAGTGATCCTACCACTTCAGACTCCCAAAGCACTGGGCTTACAGGTGTGAGCCACTGTGTCTGGCCCCAAAGTATTTTAAAGCAAGCCCCAGACCTCACATCATTTTTCCTCTGCTGAATGTATATGTCAGATGGTATTTAGAAGAGGCGGGGTTGCTCTGGTGCTCAACAGCTTTTCTCATTAATAAAACTACTCAAAGAAAAATGCTAGCAGGAGGGAGGAGCTCTGGAATTAGGAGTTCCAATTTTGGCTACAATCTGCAATTCCTGTAGGATCTTGGGATACTCTGAATCTCTGGGTCTCAGTTTCCTTAGGTTGGGGAAGATAATGACTCCTAGACCTGTTAGGGGAACTGAATGAGACATGACTTTCTAAAATCCTTGGCACAGAACCTAGTACAGGCTAAGGGAAAGGTGTGATGATTGACTATATGTGCCTTGGACACAGGATGACAACACCAAAAATAAAAAGAAGGCAAAAAAAAAATTGTAGGTGTCAACTTGACTGGGCCACACAGTGCCCAGATATCTGACTAACCATTATTTCTGAGTGTGTGTCTGTGAGGGTGATTCTACATGAGACTAACCTTTGAATCAGTAGACTGAGTAAAACTGATTGCCCTGCCCTGTAGGGGTGGATCTCATCTAATCTGTTGAAGGCCCGAATAAAACAAAAGTCTGAGTAAGAAATAATTTTCTCTCTTTGCCTGACTGTCTTCAACCTGGGATGCTTGTCTTCTGCCTTTGGATGAGGTTTCTACCATGGGCCCTTCTGGATCTCCAGATTGCTGGCTACACTTCTTGGGACTTCTGGGCTTCCATAATTGTGTGAGCCAATTCGCCAGTTCCTAAAAATCTCTATCTGTCCATCTGTCTAGCTATCTGTCTGCCTATCTGTCTCTCTCTCTCTCCATCCATCCATCCATCCATCCATCCATCCATCCATCCATCCATCTTCCAGATGGACCCTGACTTATGATGGTTCTGCTTATGATGTTTAGAATTTATGATGGGGTGGAATGGCAAGGAGAAGAAGTCCAAGGGTTTAAATCCTAGCTTTGCCATTCATGGCTGTGTCGCTTTGGCAAGTCCCTTTAACCTCTATAAGTTTTGATTACCTTATCTCTAAAAGGGGGAAAACTACATCTACATTTTAGGATTACATACAAGAATGCAATGCAGAAAATGCTGCTCAAAAGACAGTGGCCTGAGAGTCTCCATTACATAGTTTCCAATCCAGCTGAGGCTAAATGGCAATTGCAATAGAGAAATAATAATTGTGCCCACTTTATAGGGTTGGAGGACTAGAGACGATATTGCTAACTACGATTAATACAGTTCCCTGCACATAATTGGCACACACATAATTAATAAAGGTCAGAGTGTGAAGTTTTGTAAATAATGATAGATTATATCACGTTTATTATTAGGACATGTGTCCGATAGAATTTGGTATATAGTAGGACCTTAATAAATGATATAGTTATAAATTAAATTATTATTATATATAATTATATACTAATGATAATTTAAAAATGCCCAGTGCAGTGCTGGACTTTAGATGGTAGACACCCCACAGGCAGATGGCAGGGAACAGTAACACTGATGGTGACGATGGTGGTAGAATCCTGTACACGGTCATATTGCCTAAATGTTGGTCCTAACCGTATCCGTTCTTCTCACTCACCTCCAGCCCAACCTCCTATTCTGCATCCCCCAGTTTTTGCCTGGCCCCTGGATTAACACCCAGGTCCATCGAAGGCTCTTCTCTCTGGAGGCTGTGCTTTTATTGTCATTGTCTTTGCCACTGTGACAGGGAGCAGAAGCCAGGTCTTGAAGTCCTCAGCCCCCAACTCCTGTGGGGCGTACAGATTAGATTAGCTGGCCTCTCTCATTCCTACTGTCACTTGCTGCCTCCTGTAATGTTGGCAGGGGTGTCATTAAGGCCTCACAGCCTGAGGAGCTAATAGACACACCAGGGCTCCCAGTTGCCAATGCCTGCAGCAATGTGCACCTCTTGACACCCAGCAGCTAATTTCCCTTCATAACCTGACAATTTCAACAGCAACTCTGTCCCCAGTCATGTCAACCAGCTTAGCCCCCTTACTCTGACTCCTAATGAGGAGGTGCAGTGCCTGGTTCCCATCCTGAGATAACAACACTGGCTGCTGGCCATATGTTTTGTTGTTGTTGTTTTTCTCTGAAATGGTGTCTTGCTTGCCGCCCAGGCTAGAGTGCAGTGGCGCCATCTCGGCTCACTGCAACCGCTGCCTCCCAGATTCAAGTGATTCTCCTGCCTTAGCCTCCCAAGTAGCTGGGATAACAGACATGCACCACCATGCCTGGCTAATTTTTTTTTTTTTTTATTTTTAGTAGAGATGGGGTTTCACCATGTTGGCCAGGCTGGTCTCGAAGTCCTGACCTCAGGTGACCCACCCACCTTGGCCTCCCAAAGTGCTGGGATTACAGGCATGAGCTACCACACCCAGCCCCTTTTTCTCTTAGACCTCACTCTTCCAGCTCCTTTCAGTCCTGGGGTCTCCCTGCCAGAAAATGGGGCTGGAAATGTGTTAAGGAGAAACTTGCAGAACAGAAAACAGCCTTCGAGACTACACACCTGACCCTGGAGCCACAGAGACTCCAGCTCCACTTCCTCTGTGAGTTGATGACACCGAGCCTTACCTTCCTCATCTGTAAAATGGTCAAGATCATCGTGCTTCCCCCACACATGGTGCTTTGATGTCATCTGCGTGAAGCTCTTATCACAGAGCCCAGCACTTGGACAGTGAGCAATTAACATCTGCTCTCACTGTCTTAGAGGATCAGCCATTCAGGTTTTCATGCATTTACCCTTTCACTTGATGCCTATGTACTTTGCAGTTGGGGGAACAGCTAAATTTGATTTAGCCCCCACAGAAAGGCATCCTGGAGTTCTGGAGAGGAGAGCAGGTTTGTGACCAGAGAAACCAGGGATCAAAGCTCTCTGGTTCCCTTGCACCATCTATAACATGTGGGGGCAGGAAAGCGACACGGGGAGGAAATAATCTAAACCCGGCTGGTTAGTCCTCAAGAGGCAAGGAAGAAACATATTCAAAAAATGTAATAGCTTGGTGTCCGGCATGTAGTGTGTGATCAATGAATACCACTTCCACTTACAGGGAAAGGGAGATGGAGGCAGAGGACAGCTAAGTAAATCCAGAATTGTCACACAGCTGGTGAGAGGGGTGGCTGTGACTGTGACCTCATACCACCCCTCAAACCTCACCACTGTGCTCTTATTGTGGGTTGAATGGTGGCCTCCAAAAAGGCAGTTCCATATCCAAATCCCTGCAACTTGTGAAGGCAAGCTTATTGGGAATCAGGTCTTTGCAGATGTAATTAAGTTACGGATCTTGACATGAGATCAGCCAGGAAGACCCTAAATCCAAAAACAAGTGTCTTCATAGCAGAAAGGTAGAGGGAGATTTGAGGCAGACAGGAAAGGAACACAGGAGAAGAGGAGAAGGCCATGTGGCTGCAGAGGCAGGGATTGGAGTGATATGGTCACAGCCCACAATCACGAGCAGCCACCAGAAACGAAAGATGCAAGGAACAGATTCTTAGCTAGAGCCTCCAAAGTAAGTATAGCCCTGCCTTGATTCTGAATGTCTGGCCTCCAGAACTGTGAGAGAATACATTTCTGTTGCTGTTGTTTTGAGACTGAGTTTTACTCTTTTTGCCCAGGCTGGAGTGCAATGGCACGATCTTGGCTCACTGCAACCTCCACCTCCCGGGTTCAAGCGATTCTCCTGCCTCAGCCTCCCAAGTAGCTGTGATTACAGGGCACGCCAGGCTAATCTTTGTATTTTTAGTAGAGACAGGGTTTCACCATGTTGGCCAGACTGGTCTTGAACTCTTGACCTCAAGTGATCGGCCTGTCTTGACTCCCACAGTGCTGGGATTACAGGCATTCCCGGTTGTCTTTGTACAATATTTTATTAAATGTCTTTACAAAGCAACATCCAGACTCCGAATACAACTGCCAAGGACAGCCCGTTATGCTATGGGGACTGGCTGGGGCATAGCAGGCGGCTCTGGCTTCCCACCCTTCTGTTCTGAGATGGGAGTGGTGGGCACTACCTCATCTTTGGGTTCCATGATGCTCACGTGGTCAGGCAGAGGCTTCTTAGGGCCAGTCTTACCAGCGGGGTCCCAGGGCAGCATGACCTTCACCTTGATGCCCAGAAAACCCTATCTGAGCAGCACATGGCACACAACAGCATCAATGTACTAGTTAACATGGTCTCCGCTGGGGATCATCAGGCCATCCACAAACTCATGGATTTGACCCTCTGTCCTCAGAGTCTCCCAGAAACCACAGCTTGGCAGCCTATGGCCCCCCTATTCATGATGAACCACAGCCCACCATCGCAGGCCCTCCGCACAGTAAGCCCTCCTAGGAGTTTGTACTGCAGACTCGACCTGGGCAATGGCACACAGACCTCTGGGGCCACCTTTTCAGCATAAAGCTCTACAATGCCCTGTGGGAAGCCAAATCTCTTCTGAACTACAGCAGTCAATTCCAGAATCCCTGGCTGTTCTCACCAGGAACATTTTTTGTTCTGTTGGCTAAGATATTTGTTACTGTCGTGATGGGTGTAACTTGAACCTGAGCTTCAGAGAAGCGTCTTTAGCCAGCTCCGGAGTAAGAAACTGATTCCGTTCAGCTTTGAAGATGCCATCAGCGACCAACATCCTCTTCTTGGAAATTCGCGCGGCCATCATGCTGCTGCACACCATCAAAAGGAAAGCAGATTGTGCCTCTCTTAGATCTCACTAGAGCAAGTCAGGACAGTGCAGTAAGAAGACGCTGCCCATGGAACACACCTGGGTGGGAGTCAGCCCTGCCACTTGGTTGCTCTATGACCTTATGAAACTCACTTGACCTCCCCGAGTGCCGGCATCCTCATTTATGAAGTGGAGTTGTTCATGAGTATTACCATTTTCCCCTAGCCTTGTAGGGTTTAGGGGATGGTGAGAGAGAAACCACAGAGCACTTTGTTTATGGCTATAACGCTGCCATTTTCTACTGTTACTATTACTACCAGGAATGAAAACAACAAATAAAAACAAAAGCAACCCAAAAATTGCTCCCAAAGGAAAGGTGTGTCGCTTCCTCTCTGTTCTGTTCTCACACAAAGTTGCCTAGGACCCTGATATGCTTTGGGTGTGTCTCCACCCAAATCTCAACTTGAATTGTATCTCCCAGAATTCCCACATGTTGTGGGAGGGACCCAGGGCGAGGTAACTCAATCATGTGGGCCGGTCTTTCCTGCGCTATCCTCGTGATAGTGAATAAGTGTCACAAGATCTGATGGGTTTACCAGGGGTTCTCACGTGCGCTTCTTCCTCATTTTCTCTTGCCGCTGCCGTGTAAGAAGTGCCTTTCACCTCCTGCCATGATTCTGAGGCCTCCCCAGCCGTGCGGAACTGTAAGTCCAATTAAACCTCTTTTTCTTCCCAGTCTCGGGTGTGTCTTTATCAGCAGCGTGAAAAACAAACTAATACAGGCCCTGAAGTACTTTGCTTGTTTCTCCCCAGCACCTAGGAAAGTATCTGACATGTACCAAGTGAGCAATACATATTGATTAGAGGAATGAATGAATGAGGAAAACAGAGTTGTAGAGTCAATGAGCTAACCTTTGGGAGGAGCTTGGACTGAATACAGTAAATCAACCAATCACACATTTGAGTCAATAAAAATTTCATCATCATTGGTCAGTTTATTGTTAGAAAAACTTTCTACAGGCAAAATGAAGCATCTAAATGTGTCTACATGTAGGAGTGGACTGTTTATAAAAAGCAAAATGAGAGTTATTTTTAACCTTCATATATTTCTAAAGATCGTTTAAAATCAAATAGATTTTTAAAAACTTTATTTCAAGGTTTCAATCAATAAAAAGTAAAATAAAATAAAGTACTAGAAAAATAAAATTTGGATTCAGAGGCTAGAAACCTACAATGAACACGTCTATCAAGGCAGGAGGATTGCTTTGAGGCCAGAAGTTTGAGACCAGGCTGGGCAACATAGGAAGACCCCATCTCAATAAAAAACAAAAATTAGCCCAGTATGGTGGCTCTCGCCTGTAGTCCTAGCTACTTGGGAGGCTGAGGTGGCAGGATCACTTAAACCCAGGCATTGGAGGTTGTAGTGAGCTATGATCATACCATTGTACTCTAGCTCGGAGACAGAACAAGATTCTGTCTTAAAAAAAAAAAAATAACAAGTCTAGAAAGCTCAGGGTAGCCAATCCTTCCATCCCCTTAGAGAAACAGCAAAGTTAAGACATGCATATCAGCTCAGGCTCGGCGGGCCTTAAATGCACACATTTGCACAGATACGTGTATACTTTTATATAAACTCCCTGACACCAGTGACTGGGTCTGTTTTATCAAACAATGTCCATTAAACTTCAGATGAAGCCTTTATTAAACATTTGCTGAATGAATGGAACATCTTTAGAATGCTATATGCGATTACACAGACAGGTGACCTCTCTCGTTTTGCAGCATCCTGAGATGTGGGTCACCATGGTGAACATTCAGGTGATGATAAGCGATGATGACTTCCCTTACATTTTTCTGCTTTAGGAAGCACCTGCCTCTTATTGAACCTGGAATGATGGGATGGGGTGGGAGTCTGTCCTTCCTTATTCACACAGGCGGCTGACACAATAATGTGATCATCAACTCCTCTCTTCCTGCAGCCCCCAACCCGCCAGCCGCCCCAGCTGCAGAATGCAAACATCTGCCAGCATCATTAAGGCATTTCTATACAGCACCATCCAAGGCCTGACCCTGTGACCGTTTCCACCATTAGATTTGAATGACCTCAGCAGCAGGGCTGAAAGGCCGGAGTATTAATTCACAGAACCACAAGCTCAATTTAAGATTTAATTTGAGATAACGAAGAGCTACTGAAAGTGTATTCAAACTTCAAAGCATGCAATAAAAGGCCTTTCCCTGTTTTCCAAGTTGAATATGAATCCAATATTTCTTTAACAGATTTATTCACAAATTTACAAACAACACGAAGCCTCTTTTCTCTGTTTCTAATTCCTTTTTTTTTTTCTTTTAGTTTTTTGGCTTTATCAAGCCCCTTTATGATGTTTCTTGCTAGGAATCTTTTTTAGCTCTTCCTCCCTAATTTACAAATGACTCTTCTTTAGGAATTACCTTTCAATTTGATAGCATTCTTGAAGAGAAAGTAGACTTCCTTAAGAATCTCCCCTACCTTTAGTTCCCTTGCATTCCAACCTAAATATGCTAAGCGTCTGTTTATTCAACAATGATGATGTTGCATAAAAAGCTTTCACCCAGCAATGTAACTCTCATCATGGAAAGATTCAAAATAATATTCCACCCATTAGGAACACGTGACCACTGGGTTCTAGTGAATATCTAGGCTCTGAAGACTTTATTTATAAAATATTTAGAATTCTAGGTGGGGATGGGAATTTTTATTGGTTCAAGTAGATTTTTGTTTGTTTTTGTTTTTGTTTTTCTTTGAGACAGAGTCTCGGCTCTGTCTCTCAGGCTGGAGTACACTGGCGCAGTCTCAGCTGACTGCAACCCCTGCCTCCTGGGTTCAAGCCATTCTCCTGCCTCAGCCTCTTGAGTAGCTAAGATTACAGGCACATGCCACCACACCTGGCTAATTTTTGTGTTTTTAGTAGAGATGGCGTTTCGTCATGTCAGCCAGGCTGGGCTTGAACTCCTGACCTCAGATGACCCACCCACCTTGGCCTCCTAAAGTGCTGTGATTACAGGGGTAAGCCACCACACCTGGCCTCACGTAGATTTTTTGACACTAAAGAGTTTATTTAAGGCTGGGCATGGTGGCTCACACCTGTAATCCCAGCACTTTGGGAGGCCAAGGCAAGAGGATCACTTGTAGCCAGGAGTTTAGGTCAGTCTGGCCAATGCACTGAGACCCCATCTCTACAGGAAATTTTAAAAATAGCTGGGCATGGTGGTGCATGCCTATAGTCCTACCTACTCAGGAGACTGAGGCAGAAGGATCGCTTGAGCCTGGTAGGTCGAGGCTGCTGTGAGCTAAGATGCCACAGCACTCTAGCCTGAGCAACACAGTGAGATTCTGTCTCTTAAAAAAAAAGTTTATTTTAATATTTGAAGATGGGAATTGGAGATGAGAATTGTTAGCTTTGGACTCAGAAGCCTGAATCTACGATGGTATTTGCTGACTATTTTGTGTCTGACACTATGCTAGGTTACTTTGCATTTTCTCAAAGACTCAGTCCAGCCTCAGAAATAGACTTGGGTTTAAAGCTCAGCAACCAACTGAGTTCCCTGAGCCTCTGTCTTTGTCACCTGTGAACGACCACATGCCTCAGTGCTTCCTGAAAACAACTTTAAAAGTTATAAACATTGACACATATATGGGTATAAAAATACCACAGGTCATCTGAGCTTGACCCTGGGACACTGTTGGGAATGGGTGAACTTCCTAGGAACTGCAAACACTCTGGTCACTGTGAAGATTACACAATGGACAAAGGCCAGGATCACAATATTTTGCAATCCTGAAACTCATCTACTTTATTAGCCACCGGGTTTTCAAAATGAGAAGCCATGTGGTGAGCAGGGGGAAAGAAGGATAAACCAGAGGCCACATACACCTGTTGTGGGGTGGGGGCTGGGGGGCGCTTGGCTTCCGACCCACCCTCCATCATAACTAGCTGTGTAACCTGGGGCAAGCCTGTGCCTCAGTTTCCTCACTTTTATCATCCTTCTGCTCTTCAGGTAACAGACGATGCTCAACATGCAGGGATAAGTAGATGGGTGTGAAGCCACAATTCCCAACACAGAGAAGGCAAATAGGAGAAAGGCCAAGAGAAAGCACACCCATACGTTTGATGCAGTGCAGTGGGTTCAATAGTGTCCCCCTAGAAACATGTTCACTCAGAACCAACGAATGTGACTTTATTTGGAAACAGGGTCTTTGCAAATGTAATTAAGATAAGGAATGAGATGAGATCATACTCAATTAGGTGGGTCCTAAGTCCAATGACTGGTGTCCTTGTAAGAGACAGAAAGGACACAAAGCCAGAGGAGAAGGTGATGTAAGGGAGGAAGTAGAGATTAGAATGTGGTGTTTCCAAGCCAAGGGACATCAAGAATTGCCAGCAGTCACCAGAAACCAGGAGACAGGCATGGCATGGTTTCTCCCTCATAGCTTCCAGAAGGAACGAACCCCACAAACGCCTTGATTTTGGACTTCCGGCCACCAAAACCATGAAACAATGAATGATTCTCAATCTACCCAGTTTGCGATAATTTGTTATGGCAGGCCCAGGAAACACATACACGTGGCATGGTTGGTATTAAAATGCAAGGCACTTCCCTGAAGACAGGCCCTGTGGTCTTGCTTTCACCAAGGTTGTCATTATATTTCAAGGAAGGGCCACACTAATCCTAAGTTCATCCACTAATCCCAATAAAAACCACCTAAATTTTCTTAGTGGGCAATGGCCAACTCTACTCATGGAAATGGGGCTTACAAGAAGTTCTCAGATCATCAGTAAGAAAGATTTTTATTTAAGGATGGGAAAATGAATTAGGAATACTGAGATGTCTCCAAACAATACTCCCAGATCTTCGTTGACTCCACGATTATTTCTGGCGTATTCAGGGCACCACTTCCACTGTTGGAGGGCATGCAACGTCTTCAGTAGCCAAAACTTTGGGTCACACATGGAAAGGACATTCTGGTACTGCAAATTTGGCTCTTTGGCATCAAAACTTAGCAGTGTCCATGACTGTTCTTGCTTTCTTACAACACCCAGATGTCAGTGGCTGGGGGCTTCTCCTATGTCTCCAGCAAGCAGGGACAGGGTCATTGTGCATCCTGAGAGCCTACTAGAGTGCCAGGCCCATGACAGGTGCTCACGGTTATCAAAGGAATGATAACGATGACAGTACAGAGGTAAATAGTAAGAACAATGCCAGAGTTATTTTATTTTCCTCCATATCACCACATTACCATCCCCATTTTACAGATGTTGATATCAAACTAAGAGTATAAATTAATGAATAGATGAGTGAATACATAAATAAGTAAATAATGAGTCCATCTAGGAAGGAGGAGACTCAGAATCGAGTTCAAGTCTCACTCAAAGAAGACTGAGTGCAAGTCTCACTGGCGCAAACACGTAAGCTCTTAACCATCAGAGATATTGCCAAGCTTTGTTTACGGATGAAAATGCTGTGAGCTTGTGGCCTTCCACTGTGCTGGTGATGCAGGGCAGGCGAACCCCAGAATTGCGGCTTAGGCCAACAGGGTTCTTGGCTTTGCCCAGGAAAGAATTCAAGGGCAAGGTGGTGGTGTTAGCAACTTTTATTGAAGGGACAGTGTACAACAGGAGCAGAGGTGCTGCTCCTTGCAAAACAGGGCTACCCCACATGCAGAGTACCCACAGTGGCAATTCCGAGGCAGTTCTGCCATCACATTTACACCCATTTTTAATTATATGCAAATTAAGTGGTGGATTATGCAGAAATTTCTAGAAAAAGGGTGGTAACTTCCAGGTTGTTGGGTCATTGTCATGGAAAGGGGCAGTAACTTCTAGGTGTTGCCATGGAAATTGTAAACTGACATGACACACTGGCGGACACAGCTCATGGAAAGGTGCACCCACCCTATCCCTGTTTTAGCTAGTCCTCAATTTGGTCCGGTGTGTAAGCCCTGTCTATGGAGTTGAGTCTTGCCTCCAGAATCAAGTCCCACCTGCTGCCTCACTGGGGGTCACTGAAGACAACTGGCCTGCTGAGCCGGGGCTCATTTCACCTGGGAACCTGATGGGGCTGAGAAGATCCAAAAGAAGTGAACTGAACAGCAGTGGCCAACTGACTGAGAAAGAGTGCAGAAGAGTGAACGCTTTTCTGTGGAATGAACACCTGAGTACTATGGGCCTGCTCATGTGCTAAGTGCTTCGCCGTTATCGTTTCCATTTAATTTTCTCAACAAGCCTCCATTCTAGAGCTAAGCACAATGAGGATTAGAGAGATTAAGTGGCTTACCCTGGAACATTCAACTCAGAAATCAGGGTGCAAGTCTAGGTTTCCTGACTCTGCTCTTAAGCCGTACACTTAACCTCCACTTTACATTCCCTCTCTCAGTGCTAACGAATTTCTGCCAATATTCTCACTTACGCTTAAAAGCAACCTTTGGAATTACGTATACTGGCTCCAATTCAGAAAAGACGAAACTAAGGCCCCGAATAGTTAATGACTTGACTGGCAAGCTAGTTACATGGTAGAGGCAGCACTCAAAACTGCCCAGGCTATAGTCCTGTGGCATCTTAGTTCACTGCAGCCTCGACCTACGAGGCTCAAGTGATCCTCCTGCCTCAGTCTCCTGAGTAGCTAGGACTACAGGCATGTACCACCATGCCCAGCCGATTTTTAAACTTTTTGGAGAGATTGGGTCTCGCTGTGTTGGCCAGACTGATCTCAAACTCCTGGCTTCAAGTGATCCTCTTGCCGTGGCCTCCCGAAGTGCTGGGATTACAGGCATGAGCCTCTGCACCCAGCCTCAAAACTGGGCCTGCCTTGTCCTAGGGCTTTCTACTGCACTTCAAGGCCTGAGTCAATGAAGGTGGTAGAACAGCTCAACCAACCCTAATCAACAGAGAAGGGCTGTGTGTGCTGGAGAGGGTGATGGTGTGGCAGGGCTGGGGCAGGAGCTGGAACTTGTCCACACTGGAAAGTAGATGGGCTCTGATGTGCAGCCCAGGTCTCCCTTCCAGGGTAACCTGTAGCCTTCAGCCATTAGCCTTTCCAGGGAGTACCTGAACACAGAGACTACCTTCTGCAAGGGCACATCCTTCCTGGGGCAGCCCACCCAATCACGAGTCAAGGCAGGTTTATAAAAGCCTGGCCACATTAGCCCAATAGGGATTAGCTCTGATGGGCCCTTTTAGCTTCATAAGGTTGACTGAGACCCTTGCTGGACTCCATCTCAGTCAGCTTCTCCCTCTGCCCACTCCATCTTCGTTTTCTTCCCTTCCATAGGTGTTAATTCCAAGGCACGTGTTCTTCACAACAAACTTGCACTCAGAGTCTCCTTCCTGGAAAGCCCAATGAGATGGTTTCTCATTTCTAAAGAAAATGACCTATGACAATAAGAAGGCTTGACCTCATCAGAAAACTTTTCACTGGGGTGACTGGACTGCCTTGGAACTCTTTCCATCCAAGACAGAGGGTGAGGAGGCGCAATCTCAGGGGAAGAGAAAGGGCTGGGACCCGAAGAGGTCCTGGGAATTTTAGGAGGAAGCCAAGCGAAGACAGGGCCCGTTTGCCACCACACAAAGACTCATCCCCAATACCCAGGAGTACAGGACTTAACAGGGGCTAAACTTGAACTACTTGTTGACATAATTAGTGCTGGCTCCAAGCGAGAGGTTTTGTAGCCAACTTGGCATGGGTTCGTGAATTTTGATTGGCAAATTTGAAGCAAAGTTCAGCCAAGCTGTACATCTATTTTGCAGTGTGCCTTATGCACATCCAGAGAAGCCAACTCTTCCGATAGATCTTTCAGTTTTATGATTGTTGGTAGCTGAAGATATTAGCTCTTTAAGGAGGCAAATGCTTCTGGCAGGCTGGCCTGCACTAGGAATAGGAGAAATGCCTTCTGGTTTCTTCTAAAATTAATGTAATAAGATGCATTAATCAGAATTCTATCAAGTCTACACACTTGGCCCAGGCTTAAGAAGCAATACTTTGAAACTGCAGTTGGCTAAGCTTCCCTATTCTTTGTGAATCAGAGTCAGGGTTGAAGAAGGAAAAAAAAAAAAAAAAAAAAAAAAAAAGAATAGCACTAATGTTTAAGAAAAACTGGCAACAGGAAAATGTTTAAGCAACTTTTCATTCCTTAGCTCCACCAGGGATTACAGAGGGTTAGGGGAAGGTTTGACCTTTGTATTTCCACAAACGTACTTCAGACTGTGGGATCAAAAACAGTTGGTCAGAACCCAAGCCAAGTCAGGACTGGTTTGGGCAATAGCTCAGGCCCAAGGTATTTACTTGTTTGTTTCTGTCTAATAATAACTTACTCTGGGACTTGCAATGGAATCTTGGCTATTTCTTGCCTTCAGATGTTTGTAACCAGGTGATGAAAAATTTTGGAAACTGAAATAGATTACACAGATGAGTACTTGGCATTGCATAACTTTTGACTTAAAGATGATCTTCTCAAGAAACCAAAAAAAACTGAGCCACAAAATCAGAGCCAACCCCAGTTTCTTCACAGCAATTGCTCATTTTTAGATGATACTCTACATTTTAAAGTGACATAAAAGTGTCCTGAACATTGTACTACAATTTGGTTGTGCTTTTAATGTGACACAGCTACATCTGTATTTACTATTACAACTCAGTACCCAAAAGATGAAAATTTTTAAAGACAAACGGCCAGGCTTTTGTGGAAGAAACATTTCCCCTCATTGTATCAAAAAAAAAAAAAAAAAAAAAAAAAAAAAAGAGTGGCTCCTTCTTGTCTGGTAGATTTCAGTAATTGGCAGGATTTTGAGTAAGCTCTTTTAAAAGCCCTCCATTTCTATTTTCACATTAAACACACTTGCAATATCTATTAAAAGCACAAATACTGAAGAACACACCAAGACTATCAATGAGGTTACATCTGGAGTCCTCGATATATCAGGAAAAAATGAAGTGAACATTCACAGAGTTTTACTTCTTTGGGAACTCAAATGCTAGAAAAGAAAAGGGTGCCCTCTTTCTCTGGCTTCCTGGTCCTATCCAGCGTCCCAAATTTTACATCAATTCTTTATCAGAGGGTTTATCAGAGGGGGTCCAGTTAGGGATTTAGTTTAAACAACAGATACTGGATTCTGCCTTCATTTTGGGGAGTATTTATTCACATTAAGGCAGAGGGGATTCCATGCTAGAAAAGCAGAATAGAAGCAGGAATGTTTCTGCCATGTTCTGGCTATGACCACTTGGCCTTACAGTTCTAGGGTGATTGAGCAATATCCCAGGAAGGACACACAAGGTCACCCAGGAGACTTGGGAACATCGAGAGAGAGCAGGGCCAGTGAATGGGTTGGGGAGAGAACCTCTGAGCCCTGTATATATCTTGGAAGTCACTCTCAAGTTTATATTTGGGCAGACAGAGCCAGATGTCAGCATGGACTCATAGGCAGCCAAGCAGCAAGAGGAGGGTCACTGAAACACTGGCAGAGAGGTCTGCGTACAACTGTCCTTGGCCTCAGACAGATGCATTGCAGTTCTAAAGCTCTTTTGCTCCTTTTCAGATTTCCTTAAAAGAACAGGAAGGGAAGGAAGGATTAAAACCCAGGGGAAGCAAAAGGAGCCATGGCTCAGACGAAGTTTCCTTCCAGAGAGACTCCCTCTGCCCCCATAAATGTGTGTTTTGGAGGACAGCTTACGCATTGGGCAAGGAGGTCATCATGGTCTGAGATTTCAAATTCTTGGTCAGGGTCCTGGCAAGAGGCAGATGGTACACTCAAAACGGGTAACGTAAGAAGTGTTTAGTAAAGGCACTGTTTGTAAAGGTCGGTGCAGGGTTTAAGGAAACAGCAAGGTTTCATGCAATGTACTCCAGTTAGTAACAGCAGGAACAGCTCCTGCCCTTGTCAGCTAAAATGTATGAAACCTTCTTTTTTTTTTTTTTTCTCGAGACAGAGTTTCATTCTCTCAGCCAGGCTGGAGTGCAGTGGCACAATCTTGGCTCACTGCAACCTCCATCTCCGAGGCTTAAGGAAATCTCCTGTCTCAACCTCCCAAGTAGCTGGGATTACAGGTGTGTGCCACCATGCCTGGTTAATTTTTGTATTTTTAGTAGAGATGGGTTTTCACTATGTTGGCCAGGCTGGTTTCAAACTCCTGACCTCAGACAATCTGCCCACCTCGGCCTCCCGAAGTGTTGGGATTACAGGCGTGAGCCACTGTGCCCGGCCTGGACGAAACCTTCTACAGAGGAAGGTGGTGAAGTGACACCCTGCAGGGAGCAAGCCTGAAAATTAAATTGCTAAATCCAACCAGAAGAAGAAAGGGCAAGAGAGCCAACTATGGTCAGCTTCCAGGCCAGGTGGAAGAATGTGGGGAGCACAAAGGTAGCTGGTGCACAGACCGCACGCGAGAGAGCCCAAGGGTGGTTTTGCAAGGGCAGATGACAGGACTAGTGGGGACAACGCCCACAGTTCCCCAACTTCAACCAGAAGGCCTTGGCTGTAATGTCTTATACACTGCCATGTCACATTAGTTGTTACATGAAGGCAGAACTTTTTCCCCCAAAATACCTGATTGGAAAACCTTGACCCTGGATGTCACGCTGGTTTCTCCCAGGTCTAAGGTGCATGATTCCATAGAAAAGAACCAATGTAATCCACAAAGGATACATCTTGAAATTGGATAGGTTGGAAAAGTACACAGGTGCCTTTATCCACGCCATCACTGCAACCTCTTTTGTTTTGTACATATATGAAAAGCCAACATTCTAAAGTAGAGGTTCACTTAATTTTTTTTTTTTCAAGAGAGGCTTCTTGGTAGTTTCATCACACAGTGGTTTTATTAGGGGATGTAAGGATTACAGAAACATCGTATTTTTTAACATATAGTATTTTTTGAATATGATTTGAATTAATATAGAAAAGTGCATTTTTTCCAGTTTTTTAGGGAAAAGGAGATACTTCACCAGGAGGATAAAAAGGAACAAGAGGGGAAGGGGAAATAAAAATTCCAGAAAGATGAAAAATTGTTGATGTAAGATGGAGGCACATTTTTGCCAAAATTCTCTAGAAGACAGAATTATTATGGCTTCCCAGTAACTGACTCCGCTTGCCGGCAGCGGGAGGATCTGGCCGGGTTCTGTCTTCTCCTGCAATGACACACTGTCCTGCACTGAAAACTTGAGCCACAGCCCATGTGCCTGGGCAGTATTGGTAAGTGCAGATATTCAGCAAGGAAAGAAAAGAAAACTCCTAAAAGAAACAGCAGTTGCCTTAAACCAGCGGAGATATAATAGAACCTATAGAATTGGGGGTGGGGAGACAAGCTTCAGGAAGGTTAACACTGGGGCCTCTACATTTTCTAATATAGATTAATGGCTTGCTCAGGCAAGCAGCTACATGCTTGCTAAATGTGCTGACCGCCTGAAATTAGCAAAGGTGGTGACGAAGGAAGGGAGAAAAAAAATAAAATGAGCTGAATCTGTATGTGCCCCACTCATCCTGGTCTGACATATGACAAACAAAATTAACGGCGACAAAGAGAAAGCAGTAAGTATCAGGTAGTAGAAAACAAACATCGAATGAATGTGATTGATCTCAAAGGAGGCCTTTTGTTGCTGTTGATAAGACCTTGGAGACACAATGGATACGTGATGAACACACACACAGGAGCTCACACATGCACACACACACGCACACACATTCCTGCCCACATATACATACATCAAAGCCAGACCACCACAGAATCAGATAGGCATCATTATATATCTCTCTAACCAGGACAAAATATGTGTCCCCAGAAATTAGAATAGATGATCTTGGACTCTAGCAAAACTCAGCTCAAGTATCCTCCATTCTGGTAACCACCTGACAAAAATGTTATTAATCTAGCACTTGAAAGGTATCAAGAAAAGCAGGCTTCTTGGACTTAAATTTCTGAGTGTTTTTTTTAAGGCTGTATATTTATAGCTTAGGAGGGAAAAAAAGGAAATTAAGGGGAAAAAAAATTAAATGAAAAATACTTATGACCTAAAACATCTCTGTGAGGTAGGTAACGCTATGATAGCAAAACAACAAAAATCAGAAGCAATATTAAAGGTACATTTGAGATGCTGAATTTTTTTTTCCTAAAAAACAATCAACCACTTATAGAACAACGTGTATACAAGTTGGAAAAAAAAAAAAAGAAAACATCTCACAAGTATCTCAGTATTTTCCTATAACTAGACGGAAATAAGAAATTACATGGGTTTACCTATTAAGGTAGATTCCCTAATTGTGTTTCCCCAAAGATTCATAACAAAATTCTTATATTTGATTTTATTTTTCCATTTTAAGACAAATTCACCAGTGAGTCAAAACCTCTTTTAAAAATATATGTGTTTAAGAAGATGTGAAATGATAGAAAATAAGACAGGGGAAAATATTTAAAAAGTTTGAAAACTTATAACACAAACATGGGGTCTTTAGTTTATGGGGCTTGTAAATTAGTGCTGATTCTGCATTAGTCAAGGCCTTTGGATAGATTTTTTTTTTAGGGGGTGGGAGGATGGAGTCTCATTCTGTCACCCAGGCTGCAGTGCAGTGGCACTATCTTGGCTCACTGCAACCTTCGCCTCCTGGGTTCAAGTGATTCTCGCGCGTCAGCCTCCCGAGCAGCTGGGATTACAGGTGCCTGCGCCTAGGCCTGGCAATTTTTTTTTTTTATTTTTAGTAGAGAAGGAGTTTCGCCATGTTGGCCAGGCTGGTCTCGAACTCCTGACCTCAGGTGATCCGTCCACCTCGGCCTCCCAAAGTGTCAGGATTACAGGCAGGAGCCACCATGCCCAGTCAGATATGTTTCTGTTTTTGGGTTTTTTTTAACAAATATTTTCAAGAAGTTGTTTGACATTACCCAAGAACATAAGACCTGTCATGTTAAATCGGTGTCACCCTGAGGGTCTCAAAACCCAATGGCACCAAGAGATGGCCTGTGGCTGGCTGCTGATGTCCTCTATAATGTCCACCCTCACAGAATGGGGCATTATCCTAAATATGCCCCAATCTTTGGGATGTCATCTTGTCTTTTAAAAAATTGGCAGATACAGTGCCAAGTTAGGACACCTAGTTCCTATGCATTGCCATGCATTGGTACCTACTGTATTTGGTCTCTGTGGTGGCTGGGGACTTTGGGGTTCAAAAGAGAATGAGACTTGATCCTTTTCAGAAAGATCTTACTGTGTGAGAGGGTAAACAATGATGAGGGTAAGAACCACAGCTTTGATGGTGTTATAATAGCTATAGTTTATCAAGTAATTATTACATGTCTGGCACAATTCTTTAAAAATTCCATTTATTCCTCAAAAGAACCCTAACAGGTATATCTTATTATGCTCATGACTCAGTAAGAAGAGAGAGGCTTACCAAGCTTAAGTAACTTGACCAAGTGTTAGGGACTGAATGTTTGTGTCCCTCTACCCCTCATTCATATGTCAAAGCCCTGACCATCAGTGGGATGGTATCTGGGTGTGGGACCCTGGAGAGGTTGTTAGGTTTAGATGAAGTCTTGAGGATGGGTCCCCTCATGAGGGGATTAGTAGCCTTATAAGAAGAGGACAAGGGGGCTGGGCATGATGGCTCATGCCTGTAATCCCAGCACTTTGGGAGACTGAGGCAGGTGGATCACCTGAGGTCAGGAGCTTGAGACCAGCCTGGCCAACATGGTGAAACCCCGTTTCTCCTAGAAATACAAAAAGGGGGAAAGAGAGAGAGAAAAAGGAAAAAGAAAGAAAAGAAAGAGGGAGGGAGAGAGAAAGGACAGGAGAGGAGAAAGGAAAGGGAAAGGAAAGGAAGAAAGGGAGGAAGAGGGAGATGAAGAAAGTTAATAGATACAGTAAATGTACACAGTGATAGCTTCTCAAAGGAATTCTAGTGACATAAATATACTAGTAGATATAATTCCCCGAAGTGATTTATCCAACCCAGAGAGCCTATGAATCACAGAGAGAATGAAGGATCATCAATTACTCAGCAATTGCAGAATAATACACCTATGTATGTGAGTGACCATGTGTATACAACATAAGGTAGATCACAACTAAGAATGTCACAAAACACTGATTGTTTTTCGGATACTGAATTACCAAAGTCCCTTCAGACTTTTTCATCATTTGTTCACTGCATTCCTCTAAAATCCAGACGAGAAGAGGAGTTGTCTTACTGGCACACTGCTTTCCTGTCCCTTCCCTTTATAAACCTCTGAAATACAGTGCAAGTTACTAAACACCAGAGAAGCTCTTTGATGCGTCCTCGGTTCACCAAATATGCTTCTGGCCACGGAATCCCCAGCTCTGCCTGCAGTATTTTCTAAATGTCTGAATGCATAGTCCACACAGCATTACTGTCTCTTCTGGCATTATGACAAAATGACTGAGCACTTGTCTTTTTGGATCTTGCGCTGTCATTTGTCTTTTTTAGGGAGTTTTTTTTCCCCCCTGCATAAGATGATTTGTCTCCAAAAAGAAAGTCTTCATAGAGTTATTCCTACAGAAGGGAGCAAATCTAGTTTATATTCCCACCTTCTTCCACCCTTGATACTATGGCCCGCTTCAATCAGCATTAGGCAGGCTTAACAATTAGAACCAAACGTCCTGTTCAGCGGAAGAAATAATGGGAGGTAAAATACTCCAGCACTGCAGAATTTGTCAAGGCAATCATGGTAGCAGGGAAATGCTTTAATCAGTTGTTGACTATTAATTTATTTTGTTAACAGCAAATATGGATCCAAGAATCTCAAGTGATACAGGGGGTTCCCATAATACTTCCTAGGGATGTTTTCTGAGTTGACATGTAATATTTGATAGCTTATATGAACTGCCAATACGCTGTCATTCTCAAATGTTAAAAACAAGTGTGGCTGCATGTGTCCACATAAATATACCGGCTGATCATATGAGGCAGGGTAGGTGATTGGGCAGAACATGATATTTCATAGCTAAGCTGCCATTTAACAGATCCAGGTGGAAATTGCAGATCAGCTGAGAATAAGACTGTGTTCTGATAGAAATGTTTTGAAATTTTCAGTGTAGTTTTGAAAATGTATAGGCAAGGGGTACCCGTCACTCTGAAGAAGAATATTAAAGGACCATTTAACAGAACTGTATGAGGGCTCCTCTTCCCCATACTCTTAATTCACTGGTTTAGGTCTGGAAATTTCCATCAAGGGCTGAAGGATTACCAGGAAGCATAAAAATGGAAACTTCAACATTTTTCCTTTGATGAATCCATGTTCTTGGTGTTTCTATTGGTGCTGAGATTTGCCAGATGAACAGGATACCAAGGGTCCCCTAAGGGAGACTTTGCTTTGAGAAGGTGAGTGTGGAACATGCTAACCCACGGGAGGAGGGAAAGCTCATATGCACATGCAACTGATCTGCCATAGAGGGTCATCATCCCCTGGGAACAGTGACCCAAGAGCTTTTAGGAGCTCACACACTGAACACACCGCTATCCTCCCCTTCCTTCTTCCTGTCCCAGCTAAGCTTTGAGAAATTGTCATGACAACCACAGGGTCAAACAAAGCCCACATGGCCTCATTCACACTCCCAGTCCTCTTTCTAGAAGGCATCTGGAAACAGGGGTGGGGGGCCCCTGTGTACTAGGTTAAATTTCTGGAGTTTCTGAAAAACTGATAGGAGGAGGGAAAGAAGACATGACACCAAAAATAAAGGCTAACTTCTACCTATTTGGGGCAAGTGGAAGTTGGAAAGGAATACTGCCAGAGGCTGGCAGAGTCCTCAGGGTAGAGGGATGGGCTTCAACTTTAATATTAACCTGAAAATTAAGAAGTGATTTCATCTCATTAATACATACTAGGGAAGGGAAGCAGAATATATCAAATATAATAAAAAGTTTTCATTCGAAAAATGCTTTTTTCTTCCTAGAATACCACGGTGGTTTTTTCTTTTTTTTTTTTTTTTTCAAGATCTCTATTGGCTTTGCTTTGGTTCCTGTTTCCCCCCTAAAAAAATCTAACTTCTAAAAACATTCTGCTCAGACAACCATTTCAAGTTATAGGACACATGCTCTAAAGGAAACCATCCAGGAGAAACATTTGCACAAGTTCTCCTATGACTTGAGATTGCATCTGAGAAGGGTGCAGGGGGAGAACAGACAGAAACAGCCCACTCTGTGTGCAGAACGCCGTGTGTCCTCAGTGTTTCTCGGGGCCCATAGCTCATTAGCTGCAGTTGGTATGAAGCCTGCAACCTGTGAGGCCATAAAATTCCGAATAATAATTCATCAGGTCCTGAGAATTCTCCTAAGTACATTTAGATCAAGCGCATGACATTTCGCCCCTAATAGCAGCATTGGCAAATGGCCTAACGGAATTTAGATGGCTCCACCAAGCCACACAACTATATTTTGTGTGTTCAAATGAGGGGCAGCCGTAGAGGTTGATGGGTGGACATAAAATAGCAGTTTAGGCTAGTGGTCAAGATCACACACCACGACACTGGGCAAATTAGAACCTACGCATCTCAATTTACTCATCTTTGACGTAGGATATTAATATGGAACCACTCAATCTAGTGTGAGGACTACATGAAATAAATGCTTAGCTGATGCAGGAAATTAAAGATGATGGCATGTTTTTCTGTTGGAGTTTATTTTAAACCAATGAAGCAGTGAGGAAGAGGCCTCTACTTCCCAGAATGTTGGCTACTGACTTTTCCAGTTAAGAACACCCTTCTATGACATCGGAAATTCACAAAGGTCCACATTTTTAGTAATCATCAATTAGTAAATATGTAATGATCAGGTTAGTATGGATTCAATAACACTTTAAAATGGATTTCTACTTTACACATCCCAATAGCATTTACCCATATTTGAAAATTATTTGCACCTATATCTAAGACCTATTATTTACCCTACCTAGAATAAAATACTTGCAGCATATACAGGTTTGAAGTGGCCATACAGTAGTTGTTCCTGGGTTGCAAACGGATCCATAGTCCAAAGGGGTGAATGACTGCTCTTGAGGACTAGAGGTTCAGGGTCCCTATGGGTATCACAGGAGGAGCATATTCAGAGGGGTTAAAAGAGGACATGATCTTGAGGTGGAATAACATGGGTGCCAAAAATTGAGGAGTGGGGTTGACTACAGGGAGTCCTGGTTGCTTGGGCCTAGGCCCTAGGAGAGTCTCCAAATGGGGAAGGGGATGCCTTTGAGCACAAATGTCTGTGGGGAAAGATGGGACATTTGAACTGGTTGACTTTAATTCTGGAGTGAACATGGAAAAAGAAAAAGGAGAACCAGTCTCCAAAGCAGTTAAACTGTCCGATGAAATGAAAACGTTCTGTAACCGTGCTGTCCAATGTGTTAGGTACATGTAGCTACTGAGCACTTGAAATGAGGCTAGTTAATGAAACCGAAGAAGTGATTTTTACAAATGTTATACAACTTTAATTCATTTCAGTTTAAATAGCCACATGTGGCTAATGGCTACCGTATCAGACAAACAAGCAGCTCTACAGTTTGGTCAGGCCACTTTGGAGAAGCCCCAATTATGTAACAGTACGTTGTTTCTTCTTTCTGAGAATCAGCTGATGCCCATTACAGGCTGGCGCCCTTCAATCTAAGAGAATATTTCTTTCCATAAGCCATAAAATGCTCCTAGATGAAATTGACTGGCTTCATCCCATGGCACTCCACATTTGCCACATTTGAATCAGGTTTTAGCCACTGTCGTTAATTAGAATCCATGTAGAAGCAAAAACATTTAAAATAAACCCGGGCCCTTGATGTTATAGCTGTCATTTTTTTACATGGCCTCATGATTCAGCGATTAATGGACCTTAAAACAATCATAAAACATCAAGGCCTGTGTTCAAGCTTAGAAGAACAAGAATAGTTTTACTTCTGCTCTGGTCCTCTTGTTTTAGATTCACTGGGTGTCACTGGCATCTGTAAACACTTTTAAGTATTTTGACATTGTGGTATGAGATGTTGTTAATCTGTTTCCTGCCTGACCTTCACTGGCCAGTGGCATGTTGCGACTCAGTGGAAAATTCATGAAAAACAGCAAGGATGTACTCAGTGACATAGATTAGGACACAAGAAACCTAAATAATGGCCATAATGTGCAGATTCCAATTCAATACATGGACCCACCAAAGACTTATTGAGCATCCAGTCTGCACCAGGCACTTGGTGGATGCTTGCACAAATTACAGATTTTATTTGCATAATCCTCAGCACAAATGTGGGGTCAGCATTAGTGTCCCCCATTTCATAGATGAGCATGCTAAGACCCAGTCATGTGGCTAGTAAGAGGCAGAGGTAGGATTCAAAAGCAGGTTTCCTGACCCCTTGCCAAATACCATTCTTTTCCCAATATCCCACTGCAGGACACGAACTGTTTGCTTATGTGGCAGACTGCATCTTTCAAAAGTGGCCATGGCAGTATGTCCAGTCCCACATTCTCTTCCAGAAGAGGTGGGGTCTATTTCCTCTCACTGCAAACCTGGTTGGGGTGGGTCTGACAGCCTAAAAAATAGAATGCAGGAAAACCTAGGGCTATGTAACTTCTATGGAAGGCCATAAAAGGCAATGCAGCATCTGCTTGGTTCTTTCTCTTGGGACGCTCACCCTTGGAACCCAGCCGCCATATTGTGAGGAAGCTCAGGGTACATGGAGACAATGTGTAGGTGTTCCAGCCAATAGACCCTCCAGCAAGGGTCCCACCCACCAGTCAGCATCAATCCTCAGACTCATGAGTGAACAACCTTCAGATGATCTCAGACCCTGGCTTTCAAGCTGCTTCAGCTGATGCTGGAGCAGAGACAAGCTGTTCCTCAGAGCCCTGCTGAAACTACAGATTCCTGAACAAAATAAATGTTGTTGTTTTAAGCCACTAAATTTGGGGGTGGTTTGTTATGCAACAATTGTTACTGGAATATAGTCAAACTTTAATGAAACTCTAAAGAATAGGGAAATGCTTCAATTCCCTCATCAATGATATCCAAATGGCCAGAAAATGGGTTCTCATGAAAGAAATCCTGAGAGGAAAAAGTTCAAGGTCTTGGTTGTAGAAAAACACCAAGAATTTGGAAGCCTTATTATATCAGGGAATTAAGTGAAACATTTGAAAGAAAAGAAAACAGACAGCCTAATGAATATACCACAAAGTTTAGATTTATGGGATTATATATTTATTGCTTTGACTGCTAAGATCTATCTAGAGCCTCAAGTGGCTTTGGATTAATTCATTATTTGGCTTTGAAAGATTTCTTGTCTTAAGAGGATCCTCCACTTCTGTCTCGAGATTATAGGGTGGCATTGGGTGTTATTCCCTAATGTTCAAAAGATGAGAAAAATGTTCCTGGCATGCTAGAAAGAAGACCCAACAAGGCAGAAAAAAACTCTTAATCTTTCTATATTCGCAGATCTTGGCACTGTCCTTGACAGTTTGGAGAGGAACTGAAAACAGAAACAAAAACAAAACAAAAACTGGATATCTATGGAGATATAGCCGTATAAAGAGTTAAAGGAAGTTGGCAAAGAGTGACAGTGACTTATTTTTGACACTCCCATGTTTCACCCAAATAAGAAGCTGTTTAAGTCTTAACAGTGATTAATCTAAAAATCCAAAGTAGATCCCACTCTTCTGCATCTACCTTCAAGATGCCTCAAATCTATGCTGTAGGCCGGGAGCGTCAGCTCACGCCTGTAATCCCAGCACTTTGGGAGGCTGAGGCGGGCGGATCACGATGTCAGGAAATCGAGACCATCCTGCATAACACTGTGAAACCCTGACTCTACGAAAAATATGAAAAATACAAACAATACAAAAAAAAAAATTAGCCAGGCGAGGTGGCGGGTGCCTGTAGTCCCAGCTACTCCGGAGGCTGAGACAGGAGAATGGCATGAACCCGGGAGGCGGAGCTTGCAGTGAGCCGAGATCCTGAGATGGCGCCACTGCACTCGAGCCTGGGCGACAGGGTGAGACTCCGTCTCTAAAAAATATACATATATATGCTGTTTTGGATTTGATTCTCCAGAGGCAGTGGTGAACTCATCAGGTCTCTCTCAAATACACTTTTCCTTTCTTGGTTAAATATTCTTTGCCTCCTTAAACATTTCACAATCTAGTCCTTAAATTTTGATATTTTGGTAGTGATATTCTTAATTTCATGTACAAGACCACATGCAGAAAAGTACTTTTATTTTTAAGATGGGTTGCAAATATCAGGAGAAAGGGGCATTTTGCTCATGCAAAGCTTCCCAAATACAAATGGAAACTTCCCAAATATCAATGGAAACCATCCATAGACATTGGTAGCAATATTTCAATCTTTCAGGAATTGTTAGTTTGGAGGAAATTTAGATTACTTGGGTGGCTTTTAAAACCCGTAATACTGTCATGGCTACATCCTAAGGATCACAGAATGCCTAAGGTATAAACAGGATTTTTTTTTCTTTTCTATTGATGGCTGTGAATTTTCTCTGCACACCTGAACTATCAAGGTAACTTTTGCTACAAACAGCATTTTAAAATTATCACATAAAAAACTATCAAGCACTAAATTAGAAAAAAAACAGAAATTTGAAAGTGATAGTTAAATTTATGAAGCAATTCTGCTACACTCAAAGGCTCATTGCTTGACATGTAAAACATTTTGAGCTACGTGTAAGACCTGGGTATGAATTTCCCTCCAGTGGGAGAAACCACAGTTCTCATCAGGCTCCAAATGAGAGCCACACGCAGAACATATGCGCTTCGCATGTGCGCTTGTTTGCATGACTAATGGAGTTAATATTAAAAGTCTTTTCTCATCATTTCAATTCTTTCTTTCTTTTTTTTTTTTTTAATTTGGCTGAGCGCCTTTTTTCCTACCTCCAAGAGCTGTTAATTTTGTTCGCTGCCGAGCAAAAGTCAAAGTCAGAGTCTAAACAGCTTGTAATGAGTTTTCAATGGCCCATCTCAATGAAATTGAGGGCAAAGACCAGCCGGCTCAGGCAGTGTCAGCCCTCAGAATTTATTAGTGAGGGCGCACTGTGTTCAGGGGAAGGCATAGAGGAGGGACTGCAGTTCCTGGGCTCTTCAAGAGGACCCCCAGCCCTTATTAAAAAGTTGTGACAGCGACAGGACACATGCTATCTGACCCATCTGCCACAATCTCCACTGCGGCGGGGTCAAACTTGGTTGGGAATGAAGGAGAGGGAAGTCAGATGAAGGAAAGAAGTGTTTCCATCTCATAGTGATGGGGCTGTTTCTATCTTTCTATCTCATCATCAATCAGCTAAGAAGGAGGGGCGCCTTCCTTCTTCCAAGATCATGAAGTACCACCAGGCCACCTCCCCCACCCACACACACACCTGTTTGTCTGGTGATGGTTATTTGGGAGAAACGAAGCAGTACTCAATTTTTGAGCTCTGACTATTTTATTTGTTCAATTCTTTTAAAATTCCTCCATCATGCCACTTCCAACAGATCCCCTGTGGTTTTACTTCCAAGAATGCCATTTAGGCTGGACACGATGGGTCATGCCTAAAATGCCTGCACTTTGGGAGGCCAGGGTGGGAAGACTGCTTGAGCCTAGGAGTTTGAGAGCAACCTGGGCAACATAGGGAGACCACATCTCTACAAAAATAAAAATTAAAGTTAAAAACATGTCCAGGTATGGTGGTATATGCCTGTGGTTCTAAGCTACTTGGGAGGCTGAGGCAGGACGACTGCTTGAGCCCACAAGGTCAATGCTGCAGAAAGCTGTGATCGCACCACTGCACTCCAGCATGGGCAACACAGCGAGACCCTGTCTCAAAAAAGAAAAAAGAGTACCTTTGAAACCCACGTAATACTTTTCTGCACAAATTTAAAACCTCCATATAAAACAGAATTCTGCATGAGCTGGAGAAATAAATACTACACTTGAGAATGAAGAGCAATTTGACTATAGACTTTCTGGCCAAATAAATACTCTGCGAAGCCACTACAATAACACACAAGAGCACGTGGTGGTTTGGAGAGGAAAAAAAAAAAAACTCTCACTTCTTCATAGCCACAGCTTTTTATTTAAGGAAGAACCTATGTGGTTTGTGTTAAGAACTGACTTGTTGTGTGAGTGGAATAAATCAGAACTGTTGGATCCTGAAAGACTAATTTATATATAATTGATATTAAACTATGACTGATTCCAAGACATTTTTTAAAAATAAAGCACCTACTAGATACTCTTGCACCTACTGGCCACAGTACAAGGCACCATGAATTCCATGGCAGGCCTGGTGATGAAAATCATTTCATCTTTCTTGCCACTCACTCGTTCATTTTTCTGTTTGTTGTTTTTTTTTTTTTTTTTTTTTTTTTTTCAGATGAAGTCTTGCTCTGTGACCCAGGCTGGAGTGCAATGGCATCATCTTGTCTCACTGCAACCTGTCCCTCCTGGGTTCAAGCAATTCTCCTGCTTCAGCCTCCCATGTAGCTGGGATTACAGGCGCCCACCACCACACCTGGCTAACTTCTCTATTTTTAGTAGAGACGGGGCTTCACCATATTGCCCAGGCTGATCTTGAACTCCTGACCTCAAGTAATCTGCCTGCCTTGGCCTCTCAAAGTGCTGGGATTACAGGCATGAGGCACGGTGGCCAGCCATTCAACCATTAATGCATTACTTTAGTCACTCACTATATTCACAAATATTTATTAATTAGTTGTTAAGGACAAAACTAGTGACTAAGTTTTGGGGAAAATGGTTGGTCTTTGTCCTCAACTATTAATAATTTAAGTTCTGGTAAAATTTCATAAAATTCCAGATTAATATAGTGGATTTCCAAAGCCTTCCATAAACAACTGTTTATTTAAATACACTTGCTTCCTCGGCATTTATCTTGTTCAACCTACCTGTTCAATTCCATTCACAGACCTACCCTCTTTCTCTCTGTAACAATTTATGTTCCTTTCTGTGTCCTATAGCATTGCTGGGAAAATGAAACACCCGTTAAATATCTTAACACAGAGCCTGTGACAGAAAGCCTTGCACGCATTCAGTAAACACCAGCCAAAAAAAAAAAAAAAAAAAAAACCTAAACAAACAAAATATAAAACAAACTTCGCTCTTTGTGTTGTATATATCTGGATATTTCAAAAGCACGTCTGATCTAAGAGTGAGATTCACGCACAGGCACATTCCTTGTCACTTTCACAATGACAATAATGCTAATAATAATAACCAGCAGAGCCAGGAGAAGCCACCATGGTACACCAGCCTCTGGGATAGGCCCTTTCCACACATCATCTCGGTTAATTCTCTGCAAGGCAGATTCTGTTCTTACCCCATTTTGCTGAAAAAACATTGAAAGAGGTTAAGCGATTTACACCAAATCACAAAACCAGTTAATTTTAGATCAGGACAATCGGACTCAACAATCTATAAAATATCAACATTCAGTTTAAATTGTATATCTTACACAGCTTTAATCTCCTAAAAAAAATGAAATGTCCCTTTGTCTGAAACTGAAATGTCATCAATCCATATACACTAAGGAGAGGGACAATGGCAGGATGGGGGTGCACCTGCTCGGAAGAGGTATCCACAACTCACCACTCACTTTAAAACTCTGTGGATAACTTCATTCAGAAACAAAGTTAAGGAGAGAAATTGTTAATGTGGGGTGAGAGCTCAAAAATTTGCCCAGTAAGGACTTTGGCTGCATTCAAATGCTAGAAGGATAAATATCCTCATCGGAAGCTAAAATAGCAAGGGTTTCTTTATTTTTGAGATAGGGTCTAGCCTTGTCACCCAGGTTGGAGTGCGGTGACATGATATCAGCTTACTGCAACCTCTACCTCCTGGGTTCAAGTGACCTTCCTGCCTCAGCCTCCTGAGTAGCTGGGATTATAGCACATGCCACCACACCCAGCTAATTTTTGTATTTTTAGTAGAGATGGGATTTCACCATGTTGGCCAGGGTGGTCTCAAACTCCCAACCTCAGGGGATCTACCTGCGTTGGCCTCCCAAAGAGCTGGGATTACAGGCATGAGCCACCATGCCCACCACAAAAATGGTGAGTGGTGTTTGTTTGTTTGTTTTAATGAGGTAGAAACCACTTGAGATGAGTATCACTTGAACCTGGGAGGCAGAGGTGGAGGCTGCAGTGAGCCAAGATTGCACCACTGCACTCCAGCCTGGGCAACAGAGTGAGACTCTGTCTTTAAAAAAAAAAAAAGAGGTAGAGAGAGAATGACAACAAAACTGCCCAGAAAAGTGGAGCATGAAATAAATAAACTATTACATGGGGTGATAGTTTGCATTTATGCTCACTTTTTTTTTCTGTTTTTCGAAACTTCCATTTGAGAGTTTGATGCTTAATGGTTATATTGGGGAATGCCTTGCAAAAGCTTTCTAAACTATCAGACTGAGTGTTGACTGACCACAATCTGTCAAGTGAGTGCTGGGGAGGAGATGCTATCTCAAGAGAAGTTTGCTGTGGCTGCTACATGCCTGACACAGACCCAGACACACTGACCTTAGCTAAGAATGCATTTGGGATTTTAGACAATTCCCTCATTCTGAAAAGAGGCCTGAAGTCAGGAACCCCCTAAAATGTTTTCAGTTGAATCTTTGCTGTTCTCAGCTTCCCCTTTGGCCGTCAGCTGCCACTGCAAGCCATTTAGCAAAGGAAGCGAATGGCAAATTCTATCACAGTGGGGACAGATTCTGCATATTAATTCACGTTTGCAGGCTAATTATGACCATATAGGCTTACCCCCGTTCCTAGACCTCCAAATTCGTAGGAGAAAGAAGAAGTGTGGATACCACTTTATTTGGGGCCATTTTCATAGCCAGTGACTACAGGCACCTACACAATCATAGCCTGCAGATATTATATAACGACAGCTGGTCACTCTATTCCAAGCGGAATTTTAAAGCAACATATTTGTCTTTGTGTTAAAAGCACACGGTACACATTTACAGAAAAACAGGCCCTGGCATTTGTCTGAAATACTGTGGCTGAAAAGCTCGACTTTTTTTTTTTGCCATGGAACAATGAACATTTACACAATCATTAAAATCGCATCTACCGCCATATTTTTTCTCCTTCTCAGTTTTAATACATTTTTATAATTGCATTGAAGATATTCTAACCCTGTTTTTAGTGCAAAGATAAAATTTATGAACCGTGACAAACGTATCATCTCAGAGCCAACCCGAAGGATAACAATGTGCTTGATGAAACCCAAGTGTTCCTTCCCTTCTGCCCATTTTAATGGGGAAGGAGAGAAAAAAGAGTTCATCGGAACCTCAGACCTGCAATGCCAGACGCGGGGGAAGTTCCTAACTAGTGCCTGAGATGGAGGACGTATTTCAGGGAAAAGTAGTCATTCACATAGAAATTTTTCTAAAGCTACATAACTGGAACTTTGACTAATATGCATTTAAAATTTGTATATTGGGTATAATTGGGCAGCTTCTGTCAACACAGCCAAAGATATCTAAATAAATTTGTTCTCCCAATGGCATGCCCAATTCCCCCTCTCTCCATTTGTGTACTTTCTTTAGAGAAGGTTTTTGGACAATATTAGAGAGCAGGCAGCATAAAAGAGCAGAAAGGTCAGTATGCAAAGTGCCACAGAACATGAGCTCCAAGGTTCAGGGGGCCGTCCAAAGCCATGTGACCTTGGCCAAGTCCCTCGGCTTCTGACAGCCTCACCCCTCCTCAATTCCATACGCAGAGATTCGGAGTGGACTTTTGGGGTCTAAAATGACATGTGATGACGATATTATTTAAAACAACATAAAATACCTCCAACTTTGAGACTCTATCCCTGGTGAGTAAAATCAGTTTCATAAGAAAACCTTAAATGCTGGTAAGTTCTTAAAAATCCAGCAAGCACAGACGTGTGAGCATGTGTTTGCTAACCCAGATGGACACCATACATTTTTTAAAAGTGATTTTTGTTAGCATCTACCCTGGGGTTTTCATTCCTTCTCACAGACTGTACCCTGCCCATGAACTCTCCGTTAAAGAGACGGCAAGACACAAGCCTAACTCCAGATGAACTTTTCTGCACCGTGTCCCTGTTTCTTTAGAAAGGCAGAGTTTTAAATATTTCCTAACTTCACATAATAGCCTTGCATAAGACACAAATGCCAGGAACCATAATGAAGTGGAGGTAATCTACACAATTTAAAAACACTTATTGTGACAAAATGGATTGACAAGGTATAGACGATACAAGCACATATAAATGAAATGCATCCCACCGGAAAAGCATTTTGCTCACATTGTTGTTTACGGCTCCTGAATTAATAGACCAAGAAAGGCACCACCGGCCCCAACAAAATGCCATAAAACCACTGGCAGCAAGTGGTGTCTCAAACTTTAATTCCCCTGGGGAGAAAAGGACACTGCCTAATCTGTATTCAGTCCTGACATTGGCCGCATCTGATATGGAACATTAGCTTCTAAGTCTCTCAATAGACCAGTGTCCTTCAGTTTATATTACTTTATGTTAATAGTAGAAAAATTACACACAACATCATTTATCATTGTTATACTCTGCTGTACATCCCATAGCTTATTTTAATATATTTATTTACCCCTGAGATGGTGAGAAATTAAAAATATATATGTTTCGAGAAAAACCTATATGGAAAGATCACTGTAAATCTCTTAAAAAAAAAAAAAAAACCCAACAACAACTACCTTGGGGGGAGGGAGGAATATATTGCATAGCTAAGCTTGTGAATGATAAGATGCTTTCTGTCTAAGGACTCAAGTACAGGCTGTACAATAATTTCTGGGGCATGAGTACATAACAAAAAAGCGGCATATTAATGATAAAATAGCTTTTGTTCCCGCATCGCACCAGTTTTTTCATTTGTCGATGACATCCTTGGGTTGTGTTATTAGCTTTTTTGACATCTGACCTCTAGCTAGGGAAAGGCAAGATTTTTTTCTTTTTTTTTCTCTCTCTTGAAAAGCGTCAATCTGAGCCTGACTTCTACTCTTTTTGACCCAGATTCTGGAAGCCCAAAGCATAACTTCAGTTTGGATTAAAAATAACAAGGCTATCCTTTCTTGCTCACGTTGTGGCAAAGGTGCCGTGGCTTTGGTATCATGACCTCTGCGCTCTGGTCCAAGCTCTGTCCTTTGCTCCCTATATAACATGAGCAAGCTACCCCATCTCTCTGAACCTCAGCTTCCCCAGAAACAAAAGGAGAAGACTGGATTCCATGGGCTAAGATTTCTCATAGCTCCAGTGAATTTTTAGTAGACTTTGCTTTTGTTTTTAGAGACAGGGTCTCACCCTGTCACCCAGGGTTGAGGGCAGTGGTGTGACCATGACTCACTACCGTCTTGACCTCTTGGGCTCAATCAATCCTCCCATGTCAGCCTCTTGAGTAGCTAGGACTACAGGCACGCGCCACCACGCGCAGCTAATTTTTGTATTTTTTGTAGAGACAGAGACTTGCTATGTTGCCCAGACTGTTCTCGAGCTCCTAGCCTCAAGAGATCCTCCTGCCTCGACCTCCCAAAGTGCTGGGATTACAGGCATGACCTAACGCACCTGGCCTCCAGTGGATTTTTGCCTGGAGATTTTTCTGGGATATTGTTTGCTACTTATCATAGTTCCTTGAGACTGGACGAATCTTCCTATTTTTCAAATAAGCACATGGAAGCTCAGGAATATTGACATGACTAAAGCCCCAGGTTGAAAAAGCAGCCAGACTGGAGTTGGAACAGTGCCTCAATCCTGGCTGGCACTCTTGTCTTGACTCCAGGCTGCCTCGAGAACATCTCTACAAATTAGAGCAATGGGAATGGGTCTACTTTAGGCATTTGGGGAAATGACTACAAGCTCGTACCTGTCGGGGCTGCCTTTTTATATTTGATTTTCCTTTTTTTTTTTTTTTTTTTTTTACCACTTTGACCCTTAAAATTGCATACCTTGTGTCCTGCATGATTATACAATACAGTCTTGTAATTATGTGTTCTTATTTGGGTCAGAGGTGGCTGACTTGAGATCATGTCTTCCCTTTAGCAGGTTCTCTTCATTCAGAAGCCACTCTCATGGATTATGTCATTTCTTCCACATCCAATGAGGCAGACAGGGCAGGTACGATTTCCCCACTTCTATTGATAAAGAAAGTTGGGGCCCAGCACAGTGGCTCACGCCTGCAACCCCAACACTTTAGGAGGCTGAGGTGGGTGGATCACTTGAGATCAGGTGTTCCAGACCAGACTGGCCAACATGGTGAAACCCCGGCACTACTAAAAATACAAAAATTAGCCAGGCATGGTGGCTCATGCCTATAATCCCAGCTACTTGGAAGGCTGAGGCAGGAGAATCAGTTGATCTTAGCAGGCAGAATTTGCAGTGAGCCGAGATCGCACCACTGCACTCCAGCCTAGGTGACAGAGTGAGACTATGGCTAAAAAAAAAAAAAAAAAGAAGAAGATAAAGAAACATGGGATCAAAGGTTCTTACTGACCAGCCAGAGCTCACACAGCAATGAGTGGCTGGATGGCCGTTGGGAACTGAAGAATGCTTCTGGCTCCTAGCCCAGGCAGGGCCCTTTCTAATACTTTGCAATGATGCTGATAAACAGATATATCTCTAACAAATATGGACAATAACTCCTTCCAAAAGGCAAAATAAAACTCGTATCATTTGTACAAGACCATGCAATTTAAAAGCAATATTGTAAGCAATCTACAATAGAAAGCAAGCCTGAGAAGGCAATGTGTTCACTGAAAACATTTCTCTTGCCTCCTCGAGGCATCACCAGACTACATTTCCCAGAATCCCTTGCAGTTGGTTGTGATCATGTGACTGAATTCTGGCCAATGGGAAGCAGGTGGAAGTGACCTCACTGCTTCCAGGCTTGACCTATAATAACTCCTTGGAAACTTGTACTTTTTCTTCCCCTGTCAGATGTCTGGACTTAAAGGATCCAGCAGAGGATTTGGAGGCTCCAGGGTATGGCTGAGCCCAAGATGTCAAAGTCTGGGTCAGTGAATCACAGTATGGGAGGCCAGTTGCTGAATGTCTATACTAATTGTTACTTCAGCAAGCAATCAACGACAGTTCTAGGAGTTAACAGTTAAGTCAATCCTGATTAAGGAAGAAAGTCCTGGAAGGAAGGCAAGGGGCGTTTCTAAATGTGATAGCTAGGTAGACATTCAGAGCCATTCTCTTAGCCAGTCTAAAGTATTTATTATATATACTGTCTTTGAGCAAATATTGCCACAAACTTCCTTAGTGGGTCTTAGGATATTTAAACATTCACAAAATGTTCTTTGCCTTATCTTAGACATCATCTGATTTTCTTCCTCAATTATCTTCCATTTCGTTCGCTTACTTAAACCTTATACTTTTGTTTCCACTTGACAGTAATAAAAGCCAACATCTATTGCATTTATTGGGTACTCACTATACGCTAGCCACTCTACTAGATACTTTATACTCAATATCTCATTCCATCCTCAAGGACATTAGCTAGATGTCAGTATTGTCCCCATTTACAGATGAAAAACCTGAGGTTGAGAAATATGAGACTTGCCCACTAGAATGAATCCCCAGAGCCACACCCAATGCTGACTGTGTATGTTAATAAAAAAATAAAAATTCAAAAGCCAGAATTATACATGAGTGTTCCATTAGTGAGGCGTGGTGCTCCAAGAAAGCACTGTCCCAGAAATCTGTGTGAGAAATTATACCCTGAATCCTTTTTTTCAGAATTGGGAAGACTCAGCAGTGGACTAAGAAGCCAGGTTTGATGTAGAGGATCTTGTGAGCACTCCATCTAGATGGAGGTTGAAGACAAGTACTAGTTGTAGTCCATGGGTAGCCTTCCCAATTCAAGGATCTCCTTTCCATCCTACTCATTCACAAAACAGCCAGGAAGACAGAAGCATATGGTGTTAAAGAGTCAGCTTTCAGGGGGTTGGACTGCCTGGACTTAAAATCTACCCTCTACTTAAAATCCTGAGTAAATTATATAAAGTATTTATGCCTTTTTTTCCTTACATGTAGAAAGAGAATATCTGTGAAGTGTGAATAACATAATGCCCGCAAAGCACTTAGCACAATATCTGGCACCTTTTGAACACTCTATAAATGTAAGACATTCTTGCTGTCATTATCAATATCATCACCATCACCTCCTCCACCACCAACACCACCCTCGAAAACAGGATATGCTTAAGCACCAACGTCCAAAATGAGTTGGCTGGAAAAATCGCCAGCTCAAAGATCAGTGTTAAGCCTCCAACTCCCATTACTTACAGACTTCCCAAGATGCTTACGTGATGATGATAACATTAATTTATCAACCATAGATATTTGCAGTATGCCAGGCACAGGGCTAACATACAAAAGGCAAGTCATTTCTTTGTCACTAACCCAGTCAAAGTCAGACAGGTGTCAGCAGCCACAGTTGGCAGTTCTGTGCCCTGTGTCTGCACCTTCTGCATTAGAAAGGATCTGCCTATGCTCACAGCCTGAACACATGGGTCTCCATCTTCTCCAGCCACAGCATCACTCTGATAGCAGAGCTAATAATAACAGTAAGCGTAATGACAAAGATAACAGCTGCAGGAATGACAGCAACAGCTATAACTTACCAAGGTCTTGCTATGTGTCAGCCATTGTGCTGACCACATGAAGATGGTACTTTAGTTAATTCTCACAGCAACACTAAGAGGTATTAGGGTTATTACCTCTTAGATATTATTCACCCATTTTTTTGGATGAGAAAATTGGTATTCAGAGAGTTTGGGTATTTTGCCTAAGGACACATAGATGGAAGGATTTGTCATAGTCTTTTGGGGCTTTTATGACAAAATAATCTAAGCTGGGTAGCTTTTATTTATTTTGTTTTTTGTTTATTTGTTTGTTACAAATAAGGCAGCTTCCTGAGCCAGAACAGACCGAGAGAGACTCCTGGGGAGCTTTGAAAAAAAGAAATTTATTTCTCATGGTTCTGGAAGCTGGGAAGTCCAAGATCAAGGAAGCAGCAAATTCAATGTCTGGCCAGAGTCCCGCCTCCTCATAGATTCATGGATATTCTTCTTGCTGTTTTCTCACATGGTGGAAGAAGCAAGGCAGCTTCTGGGGTCACTTTTATAAGGGCACTCATGCAATTATGCAGGCTCTGTCTTCATGTCCAAATCATCTCCCAAAAGACCCCATCTCCTAACAAATGAATGCTGGGGTGACACAGACATTCTGACCACAGCAGGATTTGAATCTAGCCTGCTGTAACCCAAAGCCTGTGTTACTAAGAACTTTGCTATATGGCATGGGTCTTTCTGAGCCCTACCTGCCCTACATCCTCTTCTATATCAAAAATTTCACTTTTTTTTTTCAAATATTTTATTTTTTGTAGAGATGAGGAGGTCTTGAACTCCTGCCCTCAAATGATTCTCCTGCCTCGGCCTCCCAACGTGCTGGGATTACAGACGTGAGCCACCTTGCCCAGCCAAAAATTTTCATTGTTTCTAACCTGGATTCCTCTTCAAACCCTTCTAGGCAATGTTTATCCCACTGCAAGGATGAGTTGCATTTGCAACATTTCTGAATGTAATTATAAGTTATTTCCATAATGGCTGAATAGTCTGAAAAAAAGTTTTTTTTGCTGTGTGCTATGTAGGCACATTGAATAATATTTAAACAATAAAGGTTACCTCTTATGTACTACAGCTGTGTTTTATGCTAATAACCAGAATCATTTAATCATTATGAGCTAATGACCTGCAAAATTTCATTTAAAAAATGAAGCCATATCTGGGTCTCTGGAAAGCAAAACTGGATAAAAAATGAGGAAAGTCAATGTTCAATTTGTATTCTTGAGTGGAGAGCAGCCGTATAGTCTGTGCAGTTCCATACCAAGTTTGAGCATTTAAACAGAGGCAGGGGCCTGGCATGGTGACTCACGCCTGGAATCCCAGCACTCTGGGAGGCTGAGGCAGGCAGATCTCCTGAGCCCAGGAGTTCCAGACCAGCCAGTGCAACATGGCAAAACACCGTCTCTACAAAAAAATATAAAAATTAGCTGGGCATTGTGGTCCCAGTTACTTGGGAGGCTGAGGTGTGAAGATCACTTGATCCCATGAGACAGCAGTTGCAGTGACCTGAGATTGCATCACTTCACTCCAGCCTGAGCAACAGAGTGAGAGCCTTTCTCAAAAAATAGATTAGATATAGATACAGATATATAGATAAGATGAAAGAAAGAAAGGGGGCAGCGGGGGCAAGGAAATTCCGCATCTTAAGGGACTTAATGGTATCACTTGAGCACCAACGAAATAAAGAGATTTCCTATTGCATTGCCATGGTTATCAAGGTTTGGGTCTGCGTCTTTCCTTCTGTCTGTACAGCACTCTGTCCTTCTAGTGTGGATTCTGTTACTGCTAAATCCCCGGGGTGAGCAGAGAGCAGAGCTGTGGACAATCAGAGCTCCCTGCTGGCAATCTTGGTGAGGATCCTGGCCTTCCTTGGCTTTCCCACCCTGAACCACTCTTTGCTTTGGCTAACCCTCATCTTAAGATTTCTACAGGTGAGATGCCTCTATAGACTTGTATAGTAAGCTCTATCCATTGTCTGCCCCAAAGGTATCCTTCCTCTTTCCTTACTAAAATAATTATAATTCTGTTTGGGCGACAGAGCAATGAATCAAAATCAATCCAAGCCAGTGTGATGTGACAAATTTGTATTAAATGGCCCTAAGTTTTTACGAACCCCTTATCCATGCCCTCTGCCGTGCAGACTTGCAGCACCTTTTCAGTCTGTAAGTGGGACATACTTCCTCACCCTGGAGTACGACCATATGATTTGCTCTGGCCCAGAATGAAGAAGCAATAGGAAGCCATCTCCGAGCTTTTTATGTTTCTGCCTGTTTTTTTCTGTTTCTACCTTTAACCATGAAAAGGATACATGTGGGAAGTAGAGGAGAGAGATCCAAGGTGGGGCTGGGTTACTCCAGCCAAGTCCAGCCTAGATCAGCCCATTCCCAGCCCCATTGCCAGACTCGTGAGAAAGATGAGCAGAGCAATGCAGGGGAGCTTAGCCAAGGTCACCTCAAACCCAGAGATGGCGAGAATCGAATGTTTATTGCTGCGGGCCACTGAGGTCTAATGGTGGTTTGTGATGCAGCAAGCCTGCGGCAATGACTAAGGGATACAGGCAACCGTCCTGCTCCCCCGCACCAGGGACAGGGCTAAGCTGACTATGGGATGTGTAGCTCAAGGTGAAATAAGGGAATGTCCAGTACTGACTTCTGAAAGAAATTTCCTCCCTTAAAAAAACAAAAAACAATAAGAAAAACTTGTGAAGAGAAGGCCTCTTCTATGTATTTTTTGTTTCTTGTTTGTTTGTTGTTGTTGTTGTTGTTGTTTTTGAGACAAAAGTTTCACTGTCGCCCAGGCTGCAGTGCAGTGGCGCGATCTCGGCTCACTGCAACCTCTGCCTCTCCGGTTCAAGTGATTCTCCCGCCTCAGCCTTCCAAGTAGCTGCAATTATAGGCAGGCGCCACCAAATCCCAGCTAATTTTTTGCATTTTTAGTAGAGACGGGGTTTCATCATGTTGGCCAGGCTGGTCTCGAACTTCTGACCTCAGGTGATCCACCCATCTCATTATCCCAAAGTGCTGGGATTACAGGTATGAGCCACCGCACCCAGCCCTTCTGTTTGCCTCAGATTCACTAACTTCAGATGGCCTGCGAAGGTATGATCCTTAGAGCAGTGAAACCCATCTGGGGAACACAAGAGAAAGGCCAAGACCACGACAGGGCAAAGTGCTGACATCAAGGAGTCACTCAGCCAGCCCTGGAACAGTCTCCTCCAAATTACGTTTCAGGAGATGAATGATGTCTCCACTGCCCATGCCAGTCTCAGATCGGCTGCTCCTGCCTGCTGAATGCTTCCTAATACATAAACCTGAGACTGCCGTTGAGTCCAGATCCACAACACCCAGCACATCACCAGACACACAGGAAACCCGAGTGCCTGGTGGATCGGAGGGAGGGTGTGTGTTTGCTTCCCATGAGTTCATGAGGCCGCCCTGTCCCGGCACCTTACGCAGATACAGCCCACATCCAGATGGTAGTCAGGAAAGCACTGAGTCACAGAGTTATTCCTCCCACTGACCTCCAACCCCCTTCTTCCCTGCCCTTCCTTCAGGGGCCCTGTGTGGAGGCTTCTGATGAAGAACAACGAAGATTTTCCTTTTTTTCACTTTTTTTTTTTTTTTTTTTTTTTGAGACAGGGTCTGGATCTGTCACCCAGGGTGGAGTGCAATGGTGTAATCTTGGCTCACTGCAACCTCCATCTCCTGGGCTCAGGTGATCCTCCCACCTCAGCCTCCTGAGTAGCTGGGACCACAAGC
The DNA here is from genome assembly GCF_000001405.40 of Homo sapiens. Lineage (NCBI taxonomy): Eukaryota > Metazoa > Chordata > Mammalia > Primates > Hominidae > Homo > Homo sapiens. Next base: position 78,790,891 of record NC_000016.10, on the reverse strand, counting down.
AAGCACCAAAACGCCCGGCTAATTTTTGTATTTTTTGTAGAAATGAGGTTTCACCATGTTGCCCAGGCTGGTCTTCAACCCTAGGCTTAAGTGATCCTCCCACTTCTGCCTCCCAAAGTGCTAGGGTTACAGGCATGAGTCACTGTGCCCAGCCAACAGTGAGATGTTACTAGTACTACTTATTTGTAAACCACAGTCTTGTTTTGATTTTCTCTGAACCTTTGTACTTGTGTTTCATGTCCAAGGCATGGGTGAAGAAAGAAAGAAAATTAATCTGCCAGAGAGAAAACAGGCTCCTCTTTTCAGTTTCTGCTTATCTCCTCCATGTTAAATAGGGTTGTCCACGGTAGTAGATACTGGTCTCTTTTGGCTGAACTCTTAAAGTTGTAGGTAGACCTTCTGACTTTTCTAGAGGAGATTTAAGTTCACTGTGTGTAGACTAAAAATAATAATGCTGAGCTGGGCACGGTGGCTCACACCTGTAATCCCAGCACTTTGGGAGGCTGGGGCGGGCAAATCACTTGATGTCAGGAGTTTGAGAGCAGCCTGGCCAACATGATGAAACCCCATCTCTACTGAAAATACAGAAATCAGTCAGGCGTGCTGGCGTGCGCCTGTAATCCCAGCTACTAGGGAGGCTGAGGCAGGACAATCACCTGAACCCAGGAAGCAGGTTGCAGTGAGCTGAGATCGCACCACTGCACTCCAGCCCGGGCAACAGAGCAAGACCCTGTCCCAAAAAAATAAAATAAATTTAAAAAAAATAATAATCCTGAAACAATAACAGTACTCGATTTTAGGTATTAAATGCTTCCTATGTGCAAGGTGTTATACTAAGAGCCTTACATGAATAATATTTAATCCTCTTGAGTGTCCAATAAGGAAAGAACAACTATTGTTAGCATTTTATAGTCAGGGAAACTGAGGCTTGGAGAGGTGAAGTAACTTGTCCAAAGTGACACAATAAGTGGCAGAATTGGAGTTTAAGTTTACAACTGTCTGATTTGGAAGCCCAAGATCCTAACCATGCTGCCATATGGTCACAGGAATTAACGAAAATATATCCCCTACAGCTGGAGGGGGAAAAACTGGAAAATGAGCTTTTCCTGCAAGTTGTATGTCATGGTGTTTGGGAGCTGGCCAACCGTGGCTCACAAGAGCTGATGACTGTTCAAAAAATATGCAAGCCAGTTATTGAACACTGCCATGATTAAAATTTAAATTATATTGATCTTAAAATTCAAATGGAAATACAAGGGACCCAGAATACCCAAAACAATCTTGAAAATGAAGAACAAAGTTGGAGAATTCACAATTCCAAATTTCAAAACTTACACAGAGTACAGTAACCAAAACAATGTGGCAATGGCATAAGGACAGGCATACAGATCAATGGGATATAATTCAGAGTCCAGAAAGAAATACTTACATTTATGGCCAATTGATCTCTGATAAGGGTGCAAAGACCATTTAATAGAGAAAGAATTATCTTTTTTAATCAATGCTTCTGGGACAAATGGATATTCACATTCAAAAGAACAAAGTTGAATGCCTACCTTAAACTATATAGAAAAATTGACGTAAAATGGATCAAAAGTCTTAACATAAGTGCTAAAACTATAAAAGTCTGAGAAGAAAATAGAGGGGTGGTTTCAGGGAAAAACTCTTTTCTGAAACCATGTTTCCCTTCTGCTCTCACACCACCATGACAATCAACACAGAAGACTCCTCTCACCAAATGCGAGAGGAGGGGTGACACCACAGAGGTAAACGTTCATGACCTTGGATTTGACAATGGATTCTTAGATACAACACCCAAACTTTTGTTGTTAAAACTTTTGTGCATCACGAGATGATATCAAAAGAATAAAAAGACTACCCACAGAATGAGAGAAAATGTTTGCAAATCATTTATATGATAAGGGTCTAGTTTCCAAAATATATAAACAACTTTTACAACTCAACTTTCCCCACATACTAAGCAGGGGACAGCAGCTGGGAGTCCTCCAATTCAATCCTGACACTGTCTACGTGGAGTTAGTTGGAGGTTGGAGGCTCAGTCCCCAAGACTGCCCCCCATACCCCCAGACACCAATAGCAAGTCAGAGACTTCAGAATGTCTGGCTGAGGGGCTTCAGGTGGAAGTTCCCATAACCCCCTCTTTGGGTTTGATTAATTTGCTGGAGCAGATGACAGAACTCAGGAAAACACTTGCTACCCCTTACTGCTTTATTATAAAGGACAGTACTAAGGACAGAGATGAAAAGACACATAGGGCGAGGTATGGGGTAGGGGCATGGAGCTTTCCAGCCCTTCCTAGGCAGCCACGCTCCAGGAACCTCCTTGTCTTCAGCTATCTGGAAGCTCCCAAACCCAGCCCTCTTGGGTTTTTATGGGAGCTTCATGAGGTCAGCATTCCTTTCCCCAGGGCATAAGGCAGGACTGACTCTCTGGGGAGGGTCTGAAGACTCACAATCAAAAAGGTGGGGAAGATTAGAGTCCTGCCTTGGGGCAGGTGAAAGAAGGACAGGAGACAAAGAGATTCTGTTTCCTGATGCCTAACACAGGCAATATTGTAACAATAGACTGCAACAAGGGCTATGAGAGTTATGAGCCAGGAACCCTATATATATCATAACACCACAGGAGTAAATGTTTATGTCCTTGGATTTGGCAATGGATTCTTAGATACAACACCAAAAACAGAAGCAACAACATCCAAAATAGATAAAGGGGACTTCATCAAGATTTAAAATCTTTGTTCATCAAAAGACACTATAAAAAGAGTAAAAAAGCCTACCCATAGATTGAGAGAAAATGTTTGCAAAGGATTTATACGATAAGGGTCTAGTATCCAAAATATATAAACAACTTTTACAACTCAACAACAAAAGCCAGATGACCCAGTTAAAAACTGGGCAAAGGACTTGAATCAACATTTCTATTTTAAAAAAGATACAAATAACCAATAACCACATAAAAATACTCAACATCATTAATCATGAGGGAAATGCAAATCAAAACCACGATACAATTTCATACCTTCAAAGAAAACAGAAAATAAAGTGTTGGCAAGGATGTGGAGAAATTGGAACCTTCATATACTGCAAGTGGAAATATAAAATGGTGCAGCCTCCGTGGAAAACAATTTGGTGGCTCCTCTGAAAGTTAAATATAAAATTGCCATATTACCCAGCAATGCCACTCCCCAAAATATGCCCAAGAATGGAAAACAGGAGTTTGCAGAAAACATAAAAACAGTACATGTATGATCATAGCAGCATAATTCGTAACAGCCAACAAGTAGAAACACAATGACCACCCACTGGCAAATGGATAAACAAAAAGTGGTATATCCATGTAACAGAATATCACTCAACCATAAAAAGAATGAAGTACTGATACATTCTACAACATGGATGAACCTTGAAAGCATGCTAAAAGCAAGAAGCCAGACACAAAAGGCCACATATTGTGTGATTCCATTTATATGAGATATCCAGAATAGTCAAATCTATAGAGACACAAAGTAGATGTGGTTATGAGGGGCTGGGGGAAGGAGGAAATGGGGAATGACCACTTAATGGATATGGTGTTTCTTTAGCGGGGGATGGTAAAAATGTTCTGAAATGGCTGCTGATTGTGGCACGATATTGTGAACGTATTAAAAGTCACTGAATTTTACACTTTAAAATGGTCAAAGTGGTGAACTTTTTTTGTTTTGTTTGTTTTATTTTTGTTTTTGAGACACAGTCTCACTCTGTCGCCCAGGCTGGAGTCCAGTGGTGCAATCTTGGCTCACTGCAACCTCCGCCTCCCAGGTTCAAGCGATTCTCCTGCCTCAGCCTCCTGAATACCTGGGATTACAGGCACCCAGCACCACACCTGGCTAATTTGTGTATTTTTAGTAGAGACAGGGTTTCATCATGTTGCCCAGGCTCATCTCTAACTCTTCACCCCAAGTGATCCACCCACCTCAGCCTCCCAAAGTGTTGGGATTACAGGCGTGAGTCACCACGCCCAGCCCCAAAGTGGTAAATTTTACATTATGTAAATCTTACCACAATTTAAAAATCCATAAAGCATGTATTAGAAACATTCTTGGCATGTAGAAGATGTTGTGTAACTGCCTGCTGTCTTTAATGATAAGCTCTTTAAAGGAAACAGTGATTGAGTGATATGACAAACTGCCAACTATGGGCACAGAGTTACTTTTACGGGGACAAAAAGATACTCTAAAATTAGATTTTGATGAAAATTACATAACCATGCGAATATACTAAAAAAAGTTGAATGTTACACTTCAAATGGGCTTATTGGAAAGTGTATGAAATACATCTCAATAAAACAATTAAAAGAAAAACATTATATAAGGTTACTATTAAATAAATCATACTAAAAAGTACTAAGTACTCAAAACTCATGACTTCTAAATTGTTTTACTACATTTTACTGTTACCTATGCTCTTGAAGTCATTGACTGTATCCTGTGTGTGGTGAAAATACTATATAATAACGTGTTCCCCAACTCCACTTTCAGTGATCTCATATTTATAACTTAAAATTGCTCAGGGTACCACTATTTACACCATGGAAATAGACATTCGCTACAAATCCAGGTGTCATTTATTGCTTTATTGATTGTCTCGACTTAAGAAAGTGGGGTAGAAAATATTAATTCAGGCCAGGCGCGGTGGCTCACGCCTGTAATCCCAGCACTTTGGGAGGCGGAGACAGGCAGATCACCGGAGGGCAGGAGTTCAAAACCAGCCTGGCCAACACGGGAAAATCTCGCCTCTACTAAAAATTCAAAAACAATTAGCCAGGCGTGGTGGTGGGTGCCTGTATTCCCAGCTACTCAGGAGGCTAAGCCATGAGAATCGCTTGAACCCAGGAGGCGGAGGTTGCGGTGAGCAGAGATCGCGCCACTGCACTCCAGCCTGGGCGACAGAATGAGACTCCATCTCAAAAAATAAAATAAAATAAAAAAGAAATATTAACTCAAATTCAAAAGTGTGTCGCTCTACAGATGCTACATTATGAGTAGCAGAAAAAAATTGAAGAAATATTTTTTGGTATTTTAAAACCATTATCCAATTCAGCAAAGAAGGATAAGTGAAGTTCTGACATATGTCTTATTTTGTTTTTGCCTTACTTCTTAATAAAAATGAAAATATCAACCAATATTCATGTCACAGCTACATACTGCAATTTTATACTGCAACAATGGTTTTGTAATGGATATAATAGCGCAGCAAAAATCAGAAGCATTTGGTAAAAACTGACTATCTCGAATTTATAAGAAACAGTACTGTGTATACTATTCTTCTTCTTATTTGTAAATTATATGCTACCCATATTTCAGAGAAATAATAAATAATAAGCTGTGTGTGTACATGTATAGGTGCACAATGTGTTTGTTTGTTTTTCAGAGAGCCAGTTGTTAATCATTTACCAGCACACCACTGGCTGCCGATGTGTGTTGCAGAGTGAGACCACCTTGGGTCCTCAAACAGCCTTAACTGAGTTTCTTCCCTAGCTGCTGCTGCCCAAGAAACATTCAGAGCAGGGTGCTCAAAGCTGCTGCTGGGAAGTGAGAATTTCTGCAGCCAAAGGTTGCACCTGCCCATCGAAGGTGGGAAGAGAATTACTGCAGCCTTATCTCCTTTGCTGAGAGCGCCTGCTAGCAAAAGACACTTCATCTTACTTTGCTTAATTCTTAGACAGCCAGTCACACTTGGTTATTGTTTTTAGTTTTACATACTAGTATTGAATTATTTTTATGGATGTTATTTCTCAGTTAGTATATTCCCTGGAGACTGCCCAAGTCTTTAGAATTTAACTTCTCCTTGGCTATAACTGCTGTTGCCACAAGTACCACCTACGAGCTGGTTTCATGTTCCTCTGGCTGCTCCTGCCCACGGGACCTTCTGAACAACTGCAAAAGGGACACCTCGCTTCCTCGTATGTGGTCATAGGTTGTGAGTATGACCACAGATTGTCAAGAGGCATTCGCTGGACACCAAGGAGAACACATAGACACCTTCAACCATGAGTATCCCTTGGGGATCCTTGGGACCGACACATGTGAGTCCTTATTATGAAGGTCAGGAGCTGACCTTGCAGTCACTGTGCTCTCTTCCAGACTGCCCACCAGGCTCCCCAACTCATCAACCACCTGACTGGGGGCAGCTAAAACAGTAACATTGGGAACCACTGACACTGACTGTGAGCCTAGCAAATGCCAAACTCTCTTCTAAGTGCTTTATATCTATTATCTCATTTAATCTTTAAAACAGCTCTTTGCGACAATTCCTATTATCAATTCCCCCTTTGTAGATGAGGAGACTGAGCTCAGAGAGATAAAATAATTTGTTCAAAGTCACAAGCCTAGCTCCAGAGACTGTACTCTTATCTAGTATATTAATAATCCCTAATGGGTAAGAACTTCACTCACCAGCGGCCTAAGGGCTCCTGGGTGGAGAAAAACTAAGTGGAGTCACAGATTTCTGATTCTTTAGTCTTCAGATACAATGAGGAGACTGAGGACCTGTAATCTCATCAGGGTCACAAAAGGAGTCAGGGCTTGACTGGCTGTCTCTTTTCTGCCTGTGAACTTGAGCTTATCCCTTCTAAGCCAAGGTTTCCTCATCTATAAAAGGAGGATAATAGTATCTACCTATGACAAGGGTTGAGTGATTGAATGATGTGCACGTTACATGGGAAAAGCAATGGCACTGACTTATAGGGTTGTTATAAGAATTTGGTGTAAATGCATTTAAAAAACCATAAGCATTGCATGGTACAAAGTAAGTGCTCAGTACATGGTATCTGTTGATATCATCATCACTATCATCATCATTATCATCAACATCAACATCATCCCACCATCACCAACATTATCACCACTATCATTATCATCATCACCAGCATCACCATCACCAACAGCACCAGCATCACCATCATTATCGACATCATCATCACCATCGTCATCACCATCATCACCATTATCATCGTCATCACCATCATCAGCGTCATATCACCATCATCATCACCACCATCAGCATCTTATCACCATCATCATCACCATCACCCTCCTATCACCATCACCACCATCAGCATTATCATACTACCATCATCACCATCACCATCATCATCAACATCAACATCATCACCCTCATCTTCATCACCATGATCATCATCATCATACTTTTATTCAGAAGACATTTATGTCTTTGTAAAAGATATGGGGTATGCCAGGCACATCCTTTGTACCACACAAATATTACTCCTTCCTCTCCTTCCCAAAGGCATAGGGCTTCAGGTCTCATACACATCAACCTCTTACAGGCCCATTCTGGCCTCTCCCAGCTCTCATTCAGAGGCCCTTGCTTTGGTACAAAGAGCTACTTTCCCTTTGCAGAAAGAGCTTACATAAAATAAAGCTGAGTTGTGGGTACAAACTCCTTCCTCTCTTCTGTCTCTTGGTCGTGTAGCTAACAATTTCCCTCCCCTTCAAGGCCTGGCCCTGTAGGCCCTCTCCATCAGCCCAAGCCTGTCTCCACTGGCCATGGCATGTTTCATTCAACTGCACAGTGCCACACACACTGTAAGGAGAGCTTAACAGGAGCCTGTTGAAATCTAAATGTCTGATGACTAAGAGAACAGTTAAGTCAAGTCTGGTGCATGTATCTCCAATTATCAGGCAGCCATTATAAATGATGGGCCATTATAAATGATGGAGATGTGCTTTTGTTTTGTTTTGGTTTTTCCTGATAACTTGATCATAGCTGCTCATTTTTGTGCATATAGGTGCATTGCTGATGCTTTCCATATTGAGTTTAAGTGATAATTAAAATGACTTCAGAAAGATCACACTAGGATTCAGTATTGTAATTCAAAATCCCTGTGTTCACAGGCAGGCATAGAAATGGCCTGATGTATGAGAAATCTATGCCTAAGTCAAAAGAGCCTTTGTAATAGATATAAAACAATACATTCTGAGAGAGAAGACATTTTTGGATCATTGTATAATTAACAATGTTCTTCGCACTCTTAGTGAAACATAAAATAACAGTACATCTTATCAATGATTGATTGCATCACATATTTATAAAATACAGCATATGAGACTTCTGTAATGATGTAATAATGTTGTCTGAAATACCTCAAATTGCATATATAGTATGATCACAATTGGAAAAATGCAAAAAAAAAAAAAAAAAGATATAGAAAAGAAAGACCGGAAAGAAAGAAAGGTAAAAGGTTAATGGAGCCTGCATTTGGGAGGAGAATAAAGATGGAATCCTCTTTGGCTGGTGGACGGAAGGGAATGCATTAATAATTTTTGGTCCATCACTCTTGAATTCAATTACCAAGTAGTTTGGATGATTTTTCCTCCCTACTCTGGGAGAGTATTTAGAATCGTTGGAATGCTGTGGAATACCAATGTTGGTAGCGTTGCCCCAGCATAAGAGAGCTCTACCTTTCTCCTAGATTGTGGGAAAGAGAAATCCTAGAAGCTGTGGCAAAAACAGTGGCCAAAGAAAAGTAGGAAAACAGAGAGGATGGAGAGGGAGCAAGAAGGTTCTTGAAAAAGCTCGTGCAGCTGAAGGTAAAGACAGCGGTCACTAGAGGGAAGACAGAAGCCAGGAGCAGAGAAGTCCAGTGGGGTCAATCGGAAGGGATAGGTGGCCTGAAGAGGAAGGACAGGGTGAAGGTGATGGCAAGGCGAGAAGGCTGGAGGGGGAAATTAAAGCCAGTGAAGGTGGTGATTTACATTTGCTGCCAAATGTAACAGCTTCATCTATTTCTCCCCGCAGCCGCCACCTACCCTTCCAAAGACAGAGAGTTCACCAAAATCTGGTAGAGGTTAAAAGGGCAGGTTTTGGAACCAAATTGCTTGTGCTGGAATCCTCTGCCTCAGCTTACTTGGAGAATGAAGAGAATAATGTTATTTATTTTACAGGGTTGTTTTTACATGTAAAGACCTGTGAACATTGCATGGAGCAAATAAGTGTTCAATGCATGTTACCTGCTCATAACTGCTACCATCATCGTCATCATTACTTCTACTTAGAAGAAAATATTCATGTCTTTGACTGACTAATTTTATTTGAGATGGAGCCTCGCTCTGTTGCCCAGACTGGAGTGCAGGGGTGCCATCTCAGCTCACTGCATCCTCTACCTCCCAAGTTCAGGCGATTCTCTTGCTTCAGGTAGGATTAGAGGCATGAGCCACCAAGCCCGGCCCAATATTCATGTCTTTGTAAAACACTGAATAACTTTTGGATAAAGTGGGGGTGGGGGATAGATAAACATGTTTTAAATAGGAAGCACACAAAAGCAACAGGTATTAACCCATCGCCCATTAAAGGGTCATAATGTCTATACCTAGTAATGCCAGCTGATAAAAGAAAAGCAGTTCTTGAAATGAATGCAGCCTCCTTCCTGGTGAGGATGGTAGAGGGTGGGCTAGAGGTGGGAGGGGGTAGTAAGACTGACGGAATACCAGTGGTGGATAGCAAGGTGGGGTGCAGATTTCTGAGATCTCAAACACAGCTCCCCTTTCCTGTCCTTCCAACTTTTTAGAAATTGAGGTGCAGAATTTCCAAAATAGCTCTATTTATAGCTGAGTGCCCAGTTCCAGGCAGACATTAAAGAATTCCCACCCACATAGGCTTTGGAACAAGCCAGGGGTCACAACACACCCCATCAACACTTCAGTTGTGGTGAATGTGTCATCATTTCCCTGTCTTGATTTACCTGTCAGAAACAACAGCATTTGTTTGGCTCTAGAAAGCTACCTGGTAATTAGGAGGCTTCTGTTTTGAGGTTGCAGCTGCAAAACAATCTTCCAAATGTGGAGAGGTGGCAGAGGAGTCACGGCACTCCTTCGGCCACACCAGTCTGCAGGCTGGCCCCAAGGTGACAGTCCAAGTCATCCTGCACACTTCTGCTGCTGCTCTCTGAACCCATGCTCCCCAAGGCAGCCAGACAGATCTTTAAAAAACATCACTGCCCTGCTTAATGCCCTTCAGTGGCTTCCTTTCTTCTTTTACAGTGAAATCCTAGCTGGTATCCACCACGATCCCCTATCCCATCCTATGCTAGCCATACGGGCCCCTTTCTTGTTCTAGCTAACAAAGAGGCTGAGCTCCTTTCTGCCTCAGGGACCCTGCACTTCCGTTCACCTTGCCTAGACTGTTCTCCCCCATGCAGCGCTTGCACTGTTTTTGATTCTTAAGTTCAAACATCACCTCCTTAAAATGGTCTTCCCTGTCTTTCCTCCTCCCCCGAAGTTGCTTCCACAAGGACCAGTTTAATTTCTTTAACTCCCTCATCACAGTTTCTATTTATCTTGTATATTTACTTGCTTACTTGCCTATTGTCTTCTTCCCCCGCATCACGGAAGTCCTGTTAAGTCAGAGGCCTTTTTGTTTTTGACTTGTTTATCATTTTATTTCAGCACTCAGCTCTGCAAGACATCCAAAGGATGACATGAATTAATTAATTAACCAGTGAATGAATGAATTAATCAACCAGTGAATGAATAAACCAGTCAATTCATGAGTGAGTGAATGTACCCTTAAGCTTCTTGAGTCGGGGAAGACAAGAACTTTATGGATCTCCCTCTCCTGACCCCCAGCTTCCAGAGATGTTAAGAATGGTATGGGTGTTTTTTCTTGGAAGGAGAAGAGAAAACCAGGTGAGGGCTGGAGAGGAGGGGATGCAGGTGACCATAGCATTACCCCAAGTTGTGTAGGACCCCAGGGGCTCACAGGGACCTGAAGTACGAGAACCATGGCCACACCATTAATTTATTTCAACACTTGAGAAAAAGTATCCATATGGCTTCTACTGGGTACTGCCATTGACTATGTTCCAGAGATGTTGACACAGAAGACACAACACTAAACAAGAAAGGGCTTGGTCTGGTAGCTTTTCATTATTGATTTGTGGCTGCAATTCAGAGCTTCTGTTTTAATCTATAGCAGGAAGAGTAGAGGTGGCAGAAAGTGTTACATCCACCCAGTCCCAAAGGCCCTTCTCCTTCCCCTTTCCTTCCTTGGGGCCAGAGAGGGTACAGAATGAGAGCCTCAGTCTAGATCCCACCTCTGCCACCAACGTGCTGCCTAGGACAAGAATGTCTCTCACATCCTGGTTAGGAGAACAAGCTTCTGAACCAGATGGGCTGTGGTGATCCCAGTCGCATCACTGATCAGCAGTGTGAACTGGGGCCCTCTGCTACGATTCCCTGAGCTTCAATTTCCTACTTAAAATGAAGTGGGTAATATACTCTATTCATAGACTTGTGAGGGTTAAACAATCTGTACAAAGAGCTGAGCACAATGCCTTGGACAGAGTGAGCAACTAATAATGTCAGCAATCCTCTGCAGTGGCAGAAACACTCTTTTCTGAGCCTTAATACCCCACTTTAAAAAAGAAGAAAGGGGGGCCGGACACGGTGGCTCTTACCTGTAATGTCAAGCTGAGGTGGAAGGATTTCTTGAGCTCAAGAGTTCAAGACCAGTCTGGGCAACACAGCAAAACTGCCTCTCTACTAAAAATAAATAAAAGTTAGCCAGGTGTGGTGGCATGCACCTGTAGTCCCAGCTACTCAGGAGGCTGAGATGGGAGGATCCCTTGAGCCAGGGAGGCAGATGTTGTACTGAGCCAAGATCATGCCACTGCACTCCAGCCTGGGAAACAAAGACCCTGTCTCAAAAACAAACAACAAAAAAGACAAGTTGGAGTCACATTTATGTTTTCCAACACTGAGATATGTAGAAGAGAGAATTTTAGGCGATAGAGTGATCTCTATGAATCCCTTCCGGCTATAACATTCCACAAGTAGATTAAGCTCATTGGTTTTATTCAGACTGGTCATCCCCTGAAATAGATGGAGATCAGAAGCAGCATTTGGAGTGAATCAAACAGATTATTGCCAAGGGGTGAACAAGGGGCGACATCCTATCCCTATCCAGCACCACCTTATGGGAAAATGAACACTGCTGGGTCAATGTGGGTGTTTCTTCTAGGAGGAGACGCCGGGGCTTTACGAGCTGGCGAACACAGTTCCCTTTCCATGAAAAGGACAGAAATGGCTCAGGGTTGGGGACGGCGGTGTGCTCTTTGGTTTGAGTTTTTCAAGAGAAGTCTTCCTTCAGGCCAATCTGCAAACCTTCCCTTGAACTCAAACAGGAGGTGAGTAGATGGTAAGTGATGTTCCCATTTCACATACTGAGAAAACACAGCAGAGAAGCTGTAAGATAAAATGACTCTGAGACCACACCTTGAATTTCATACCTTGAATTTCTATTGCGTCGCTCTTCTGAGAAGCTTGGAACACTCACCCAAATTGTGAAATGACTTGGCCCCGTCCTCACAGTCATACTGAGACCAGGATTACAGCCTGAACATGTGACATCCCAGTCAACAACACATGCATCAATCATACTGAGGTCCGACATTATGTCAATACCGGCATATTTATTAGTTTGTGGTCTTGCTGTCACCTCGTTCCTTTACCAAGTGGTAAATCAGTTACGTGAAACCTGCCTTCCACCCAAGCGTGGACTGCTGGCGGCGTATCAGTGGTTACCAATCACCAGAGTATTGCCAAGAGCTCCACAAAGGAGACACAGGGGATGGGAGGTTATTCAAGAAATAGGCTGCCTGGTATGGCTAGGAAATCAGGCACACCCTGATTTAACTATAAAGCTAACTGTGTGACTTGGGGTGGGGATCATCACCAGTTTGAACTTCAGACTTCCCATCCTTGGGATAGGCAGCCATAGCTACAGTAAAGATAAAATGTAAATGTCTTTTTTTTTTTTTTTTTTTTCAGATGGAGTCTCACTCTGTCACCCAGGCTGGAGTGCAGTGATGCGATCTTGGCTCACTACAACTTCCACCTCCTGGGTTCAAGCGATTCTCCTACCTTAGCATTCTGAGCAGTTGGAACTACAGGTATGTGCCACCACACCCAGCTCATTTTTATATTTTTTGTACAGACAGGGTTTCACCATGCTGGCCGGGATGCTCTTGATCTCTTGACCTCATGATCTGCCTGCCCCGGCCTCCCAAAGTGCTGGGATTACAGGCGTGAGCCACCAGGCCCAGTCGAAATGTGAGTTTCTATGCAAAGTGCCTATCCTAGTATCTGGCACATAATAGGTACTTATAAAATGATTACCTTTTTAGGTAAAGGCTTGGAACTCTGTGCTGGGGAGTCTGCCCTGAGGTCTTTTTTGACTATTGCAAAAATTAGCTTTCTCAGCACCCTGTACATGTCTCTGTGTTAATGCTTATTATACCACGCTGGGACTGTCAGTGTAAACAGCTGACCACTCAGTAGGACCAGGGGCCTCTTAGCAGCAGGCACGGTGTCTTTCTACGTCTGTATTTGCAATGTCTACTCTGTGCTTTCCAATACGACAGCCACTAGACACATCAGCTACTTAAATTATTTAAATTACAAAAAATTAAACTAAAAGTCCAGCCCCTGGTCATACTAGTCACGTTTCAAGTGCTCAGTAGCTACATGGGGCCACTGTCCTGGACAACATCATCAGAAAGTCCTCCCTTTCTTTGTACAAATTCCTGTTGGATGGCATTGACACCTGAGAGGCACAGAGGAAATGTCACTGTCTTCTAAGTAGGAAGGAAGAGATGGGAAAAAAAATACAGCCTCTGAAATACAGCCATTGAAATACAGCCATTGAACAATGGCATGTTGGACCCTAGAAACCAAGAAACAATGATTCTGAAAAAATAATCACTGAAACTTTTCTGACCTAAACTTCATTCCCAATTTTCCTCATTTTCATCACATTTATCCTAAAATGTCATGCAAAATCTGAAAACACATATACTCTGTAAAAACGAGATGCCATGAGTGGTATGGTTTGGCTGTGTCCCCACCCAAATCTCATCTCGAATTGTAATACAAGCTGTAATCCCCACATGTTAGGGGAGAGACCTGGTAGGAGGTGACTGGATGATGGGGGTGGTTCCCCCATTCTATTCTTGACATAGCGAGTTCTTACGCGATCTGATGGTTTTATATGTGGTGGTTTCCTCCCTCCCTCTTTCTCTCTCCCTCCCTGCCCCTCTTGCCTGCCGCCATGTAAGGTGCACTAGCTTCCTTTCCACCATGATCGTAAGTTTTCTGAGGCTTCCCCGACCATGCAGAATTGTGAGTCAATTAAACCTCTTTTCTTTATAAATTTCCCAATCTCGGGCAGTTTTTTATAGCAGTGTGAGACCAGACTAATAAAGTGAGCTAAACATCCATCCTCACTCCAAATCTGTTCATTCCATAAAGGTAAGTATGGCACACACTGCTGCTGCTAAACAGGTCATCATGTCAAGGTTTCCTAAACACTTTTCCAGGTGCTATTTATGTATCGTCATATTTAATTCTCATAATAACCACTGGAATCCCCATTTTACAGATGAGAAAACTGACGAACAGTAGGTATGAGTTGACCCAGGTCACACAGTAAGCAAGTGTCACAGAGGCAGGACTCCAGGCAGAGGGGCTTCGCACGAGATGCCAAGGTCCTATCCCAGCCACTGTGCTTACTGCCCAGTAAGAGCCAAACCATCCCAACCACCGAGCCAAGCCAATGTAGCCTGTGCTGCTGTTGTTCACCCACAATCCTTAGACACAAAAGTTGTTTCTAGAGAAAGACTGGAAAACATCCTTCTGAGATGAATGCAGAATCATTTTTTTAGCCCAAGCCATGCATTCCCTTCTCTCCCTTTTACTTCCCAGTATCTTCTAAGTTTGGAAGTTGGAATAAGGTTTTCTGAACTAGCCATGGTGTTATACTCCTATAGGTTTAAGACCATCTTTGGAACACATAGCTGTGTCCTGCAGAGAAAAATAAATAAATGAGAAACCTAGTAAGTGTCAGTCATCACAGGGTCTTACGTTTAGAGTAGTGATGGCCACTGACTGACCTTGTCTTTGAAGGATTCAAGCTCTTACAGGGGCTCATGATATACTGTTTACCAACATCCAATAAGACAGGGTTAAAACGGAGGATCACATTCACTCATAGATTCAGTCGAAAGTAGTGGGCCAAAAGCCACTGCTCCATTGGCTAAAGGAAAAATAAAGTCACTAGCAATGATGCTAATGATTATTATAATAATACCCACCATTGAATGAACACCTGTCCCCTATGTGAACCATTGCTCGCACCATATTACTAAGGCTCCTGTCCCATCTATAAGAAAGACATTTTCATCCTCATTGGAGCAGGGTGAAGTTGTGGGGAGAGGTGGGGGAGTGAAACACCATGCCCTCCAAGGTTGTAGACGGGATGAGCAGTTTCAAAGCCCATACTCTCCCTTGATACCCCACCCCCCGGAGGGCGCTACAGTGACTTCTCTGTTTCAACAAGAGATGAGAAATGAGTCTGGGTATCTCAGTTCTTGGAGTAGACAAGCCACAAAAGAACATCACTTTGGGGTAAAAGTCAGGCCCTGTTTTACTCATCGAAAAGTTGCCCAAAAACTACATGTTCGTGGGGGTGGGGAGGGGATGACACACTGTGATTCTCAAAGGCATTGCTGTGAACAGTCAAAACACTCATAAATTTCAAACCCACAAGATATTTTTGTTTTGTGATATTATTGGCCGGGCTGAATACAGTCCTGATAATCTTTCAGTTCAATGAACAGGCAGAAGAGAGGAGAGGAGCCAGGCAGGCAAAAGGAATTGAGGTATTTCAGGAACCAGACACTTCTAAAAATACAGCCACATTTGATGGAGTGAGTTGGTGACTCTGTCACTCTTCTTCTCCTGAGCCTGAGATGGCTCCCCACCCTCAGGAGTGAGGGCTGTGATGTCTCTCGCCATCTGCCCAACTTACCTACCTTTCTAGTTCTACCTGCAGCCCCTCTTCGAGCATACACCACAAATATCTGCTACAGGGGACCCCATGCTGTCCATGAGTGCTATGGGCAACGGTGACGTTCCATCTGTCTTAGTGCTCTGCGGTAAACATCTGCTCAATAAGGGGATGGACTTGCAGAATGGGCATGTGATAGGAAGCACAAGATCTCCTGGGAGCACCTCACAGTTCAGAACAATGCCATGTGCCAGGAATTGCCTTATGCTATCATATGTGCCCATGTGTGTGTATGTGTGTGTGTTGGGTGGGGACATGTACAGCCTCCCCTCCCCCCACACAGACAATGAGTCTTTCAAGGAACTGCCCGGAGCCTGGGAGCACCTCATGGTTAAGAACAACGCCATGTGCCAGGAACTACCTTATGCTATCTTATGTGCATATGTGTGGGGGGGGAGGGGGACACGTACAGGCTCATGCGTGTGCGCACGCGCACACACACACACACACACACACACACACACACACAAAATGGGTCTGTCAAGAAACTGCCCGAAAAAATGACATGAGACACACCAACGTGGATTCCAACACCTATCATCATTCAGAACTCTTTCTTTTTTTTTGAGACATTGTCTCGCTCTGTCACCAGACTGGAGTGCAGTGGCGCGATCTCGGCTCACTGAAAACTCCGACTCCCTGATTCAAGCGATTCTCCTTTTTCAGCCTCCTGAGTAGCTGGGATTACAGGCGCCTGCTACCACGCCCAGCTAATTTTTGTATTTTGAGTAGAGACAGGGTTTCACCATGTTGGCCAGGATGGTCTCCATCTCCTGACCTCATGATCTGCCTGCCTTGGCCTCCCAAAGTACTGGGATTGCAGGGATGAGTCACTGCACCCAGCCTAGAAGTAATGTTTAATAAAAATCTCCAGCCCTTCTTTCAGAAGGACCTAGACGGGCTTCCTTCAAGGAACATGAAAAAATTAAGTTGATGTGTGGACACCAACATATGCACATGCATCTTTAAACAGTGTGAAAGAGTCTCATTTCAGCCACATGCTTTCAGAGTCATGTTTTCAAATTCCATGAAGGGCCTGGGAAAACTGTGTTAAATTCCAATTCTGGATCTCCCATACAAGTATGCGAATGATGCCAACAGAAGTTAAATACAATAATCGTTTTGCAGCCAAGCTCCCTGTTCAGAACTCACATGCAAAGTACTGCCTGATCCCAATTAGCTCAAACTTGTTTTTGCTTCTCTTTGTTTGTCGCCTCCTGCCCACCTTCCAGGGACTCCTCATTTTGGGTTATTTGTTCAGACTTCAACTCCAGACACACCACTGTGATTTCGTTTTTAATAAACACTATCCAGTGAGTAGCGGAAAACAATGAGAGGCACCTGCACTCTATTATAACTTCTCATTCCACCCACGAGTGCGGAGCTATGAATAAGTGAGAGCCCCACTAGTCTAAGAATAGTAACAGCGTTTTCCCATCAACACAGCATCCTCCAACTTCAGCTAACACAAGGGACAAAGTACCCTGCTGCCCGCCTCATTGTTTTAAATGAGGGAGGAATGTCCCGAGGGGAGCCAAATGTCTGCGCTCTGCAGCCAATGACTTACCCATGGGTGGGACCAGAGGATGGTCCATTCCAAGCTAGGAAACAGCTGAACATTCCTGAAACCTTAGGGATAGGGAGTGCTAATGACTGACAGTCCAGAAGCCAGAGCCAGAAGTTGTAGTAGAAGGAACATGGGGTGTGGAATCGGAGAACACAAACTCGGGCTCTACTTATTAATAGAACAAATATATATTAACTGCCCAACAAATGTTTAGGCACTGTTCTAGCGGCTTAGGATACCGACAAAATCGTCAAAGTCCCCTGCCCTCATGAAGCTTACAATCTAGCCACTCACTAGCCACTGAGCAAGTTACCTAATTTCTTTTTGTTTGTTTGTTTGTTTCTTTTGTTTGTTTGTTTTGCTTTGGAGACAAGGTCTGCAAAACAGACCTTGATGCCCAGGCTGGAGCACAGCGGCATGATGACAGCTTTCTGCAGCCTCAGCCTCCTGGGCCCAAGCAATCCTCCCACCTCCACCTCCTGAGTAATTGGGACTACAGCCATGTACCACTGCACCCCATTATTTTTTTGATTTTTACTTTAAGTAGATACAAGTTCACGCTATGTTGTCCAGGCTGGTCTCAAACTTCTGAGCTCAAGCAATCCTCCTGCCTAAGCCCCACAAAGCGCTGAGATTACAGGTGTGAGCCACCGCGCCTAGCCAACTTACCTAGGTTCTTTGAGCCTCTGTTCCCCTCCTGTGGAATGAGCTAAACATATGCCTATGCCCCAGTGGCTTGAAGCCTGGAATTAGCTAGTAGTAGCCATGCTGGTAATAACAATCACCACTTTTTTATTTGTTTGTTTAATCTCTTCCAAAGTATTTGTTACCTACAAAAGGGAAGATAATAACTTCACACTGCAGAACCCAGAAGTCATCACATTAACCAAATGATCAAGATTAACATTTCCAAGAAGAATTACACGTCTACTGGAATCAACCTAAATGTCCACAAATGACAGATTGGATTAAAAAAAAAGTAGTGAATATACACCATGGAATACTATGCAGCCATATAAAAGAATGCGATCATGTCTTCTGCGAGAACACGGACGGGGCTAGAAGCCATTATCCTCAGCAAACTAATGCAGGAAGAGAAAATCAAATACTGCATGGCCTCACTTACAAGTGGAAGCTAAATGATGAAAACTCAAGGACACAAAGAAAGAACAACAGACACTGGGGCCTGCCTGAGGGTAGAGGGAGAGAGGAAGGAGAGGATCAGAAAAATAACTATTGGATACAAGGCTTATTACCTGGGTGATGAAATAATCTGTTCAACAAACCTTTGTGACATGAAGTTACCTATATAACAAACCTGCACATGTACCCCTGAACCCAAAATAAAAGTTAAAAAAAGAATTACAGGTCCAATTAACATTTCCAGTAAGAACACACATATACACTAATAATCCCTTGGTAAAATACACTGAGAGGGAAGTATCATTTTTGTACTATTCTTTTCAAAAAAATGGTTTTTATTGTAGTACAATGTATGTAACACAAAATTTGTCATTTTAACTTTTTTTTTGTGAGAGAGCTAGACTGAACTCGTTAAAGCTCACCTTTGCTGTGATCCAACTCTTATTTATTTATTTATTTATTTATTTATTTATTTATTTATTGTGAGACAGAGTCTTACTCTGTTGCCCAAGCTGAAGTGCAGTGGCACAATCTTGGCTCACTGCAACCTCCACCTCCTAGGCTCAAGCAATTCTCCTGCTTCAGCCTTCCAAATAGCTGGGATTACAGACACCCACCACAATGCCCGCCCAATTTTTGTATTTCTAGTAGAAACGGGGTTTCACCATGCTGGCCAGGCTGGTCTCGAACTCCTGACCTCAAGTGATCCGCCCATCTCAGCCTCCCAAAGTGCTGGGATTACAGGCGTGAGCCACCGCACCCAGCGCATTTTAAGCATTTTTAAGGATACAATTCCGTGGCATTAATTACACTCATGATGTTGAACAACCATCACTTCTATCTCCAAAACTCTTTCATCACCTCAAACAGTAATAACCACCTTTGAACATATATTTAGGTTGGGCATGCATGTTCTTCAACCTCAACAGAAGCTGGGGGTTGGATCACTGTGATAGCTTCCTAACTGGATACCCTGTTTCAGTCTTCACCACCTATCCCTTACCAATCCACTCAACACAGCAGCCAGAGCGATCTTTTCAAAGAGTAAGTCAGTTCCGGTCAGTTCTGTGTTCAAGACTATCCAAATGGATCTCCATCCCTTAAAATGCGTGCTCTGGCCAAATGCTAATTCTCTTCCCTTCATCCACACCTGCTGTGTTGCAGCTGGCTTACTTGCATGCCATGCCGGCTGACCTGAGGGCCTTTGCACGTGCGGTTCCTTCTGCCTAGAATGTTCTGCCTCCAGCAATCCCTTCCTTCATGTCTCTGCTCCAAATGTCACCTTTTTAGAGAGGTCTTCCTTGTACAGTCTCTATCAAACAGCACACATAATAATTCTTACGCTCCTCGCTCTGCCTATTTTCCCATAGCACTGATTAGCATCGGTGCCAACCGTCCACAGATGACGTCTCAGTACCAGGCACATTTAGCATTGCTCGGCTTGGGAGGAAAGAAGAGTTTCCCCTTTGCCAGCGGACGCCATGTCCAGCTTCGCCAGTAGAGGGCGCTGCAGGGACACTGGCGCAGACGGGTTCTGGTGCGAAGCTCCCATAGGGGCATCTCCCTGTGGGCGGTTCACTTCGGGGAGGGGGGGAGGGGGCGGGAGTTTCCCGGCACTCCACCCCTGCAGGCTGATTTCCAGAGACTTCCTTGGTAGGCACCTCCCACAGACGTCCTTCCCTGGCACCACAGAGAGCGGTTTCCCAGTGAGTCCCACCTTTATGGGGGCTTCAGTGAGAACCTTTCTGCCATCCAATGGGCCATGGCCCAGTCCAGATCCCAGTCCTGGCCCGTGGGGACCCCAGATTTGCTCTTTCCTGGGTGTACTGCCCCATCCCCCATTGGTACTGGCTGCTCCCAAATCTGTATTCTTGGATTCTTTAGAGTTAAATTTTTTTTTTGTTTGAGACAGAGTCTCACTCTATGGCCCAGGCTGGAGTACAGTGGTGCAATCTAAGCTCACTGCAACCGCTGGCTCCCGGATTCAAGTGATTCTCCTGCCTCAGCCTCCCAAGTAGCTGGAACTACAGGAGCACACCACCAACCCCGACTCACTTTTGTATTTTTAGTAGAGACGGGGTTTCACCATGTTGGCCAGGCTGGTCTCGAACTCCTGACCTCAGTGATTGGCCCACCTCGTATTCCCAAAGTGCTGGGATTACATGCATGACCCACCATGCCCGACCTACTCTTTTTTATTTTATTTTACTTAAAGACACGGTCTCACTCTGTCACCCAGGCTGTAGTACAGAGGTGAGATCATAGCTCACAGCAGCCTCAACCTCTTGAGCTCAAGCGATCCTCCTGCTTCAGCCTGCCAAGTAGCTGGGACCCCCACATGCTCCACCACACACGCCCAACTACTTTTTATTTATTTTTATTTTTATTTTTTTATTTTATTTTTTATTTTTTGTAGAGACAGGACCTCCCTATGTTGTCCACACTGATCTCGAACTCCTGGACTCAGGCGATCCTTCCACCTTGGCCTTCCAAAGTGCTGGGATTACAGACAGGCATGAGTCACTGTGCTCGGCCTGATTCTCTTTACCCTTTAGTAGCCAAAACCCTGTTGTAGCTAATAATTCTTAATATTAAATCTTCCCTGTTAAAATTATGATATAGTTTCTGTCTCCTAACTGGATCCTGACTGATGGAGTAACAGACATGGTAAAAATAAATAAATAAATAAATAAATAAATAAATAAATAAATAAATAAATAAATAATGTGGGGGGTGGGTGGGAGGGATTACATTTGTTAATTACCCATTTTATCTCCATCTGTCACAGAATGCAAGCAAGGACTTTGCTTTGTTTACCACGATGTCCCCAATGGCTACAACATGTGCTTGACAGGTTACAAGCACTGGATAGGAAGGAAGGAGGGGAAGAGAGGGGGCGGAGCAAGAGACATTGTGAAAAAGAGAAAGGATGGAGGGAGGCAGGATGGATGGATGGATGGACAGACGGATGGACGATGGTGACTCCCCCCAACTCCCAGGTGGCATTACACGGGCTGTAACAGCGCCTGGTATATAGTAAGCACTCATGAAATAGTCATATATGAATCTCTTTGCAGCCCTTACATAATTTCCATTTAACCTTTCCATCCTTCCACCAATTATTTGGAATACCAAAATACCTCACTATCAAATGCCAGAGCCTTATAAAGATGGCCTTGTGGCCCCTGCGCCTACCCAACCCCAACAACTCTCTTGAAGAAAAATAACAACAAATTGACCAGAGACTGAAAAAGGAAAGCATCTTTGAACCACACCTTCTGGTGCTTGGTTTTATTCTGATGCTCAAAACAGAATGGAAACCGTCCTCCTCCCCTACACCATGGCGCAGCGTCAGCTTCCTGCTTACAAACAACGGCATTGGCGGGTCATGCTCTCCTTTCTCTTTGACTGGAAAGCCCTTCAGGGTCAGTACCTCATTTCTGGTGTGAATATTCACTTTCTCGTTCCACAAAAAGACCCACCAGCAAGCTGTGAAATGAGCATTTCACAAAAGCATAAAACACGCCGATAATTAAAACGCTGGGCAATTAGAGTGACAAACTACACTCCCCAATCTACAGAGTTAATTTCACAACCTCTGAAAATTATAAAGGAAATCTATTTAGAAATTAGGAAGCTCCAAAGCCTTTTTTTTTTTTTTTCCTCGAGATGAAGTCTCACTGTGTCACCCAGGCTGGAGTGCAGCGGCGCAGTCTCCGCTCACTGCAACCTTTGCCTCCCAAGTTCAAGTGATTTTCCACTCTCAGCCTGGTGAGTAGCTGGGATTACAGGCGTGCGCCACCACACCTGGCTAATTGTTGTATTTTTAGTAGAGAGCGGGTTTCAACATGTTGGCCAGTGTGGTCTCAAACTCCTCACCTCAGATGATCCGCCCACCTCAGCCTCCCAAAGTGCTGGGAGTACATGCATGAGCCACTGCACCAAGCCAGGCAACTTTTTTTTTTTTTTTTTTTTTAACTCATCTATCACTTTTTGGCTTGCTTGAGATTTCACTCTCCAACTTTTTTCTACTGTGACCTAGTTGCTTCAGAATCATACTGGCTGTACTTCTTTGCTTATAAAATAACCGACCCCCCCGCCCCGCAGCCTAAAAAAGGGACAAAATCCAAAGCCAAGAATTACAATTACCCGGTAAAACACATAATAAGAATACAATACAGCTAATGAAAAAGCACAGGGGGTGGAATACCAACCTCCCCAATGTAAACAACAACTGTCTCTTTCAATTACCGTTTTCTTTTTACCTCAACTTCTAAACAGTACTAGAAGACATTAGCACAGTCCAAACTCGTGGTGCTGGAAGGTTATCATTAGCCAAAAGAAAGCAAAAATAGAACCAAAAAGCCATGTGAGTATCAAAAATGGATGTTACTTTCTCCAAAGAAGATACACAAACGGCCAGTAGGCACGTGAAAGTACGCTTAACATCATTAGGGAAATGGGAATCAACACTGCAGGGAGGTAACACTTCACTCAGATGGCTATTCTATTTTTTTAAGTAAAATAAGTATTGGGTAGATGTGGAGCAACTAGAATCCTGATGCACTGCTGGTGGGAATGTAAAATGATGCGGCTGCTGTTGAAGACAGTTTGGCAGTTTCTCAAAAGGTTAAGCACACAGATACGAAACGACGCAGCAATTTCACTCCTAGGTATACATGCAGAAGAATCGAAAGCAGAGATCTGAATAGATATTGGTACAATGTTCATAGGAGTATTATTCAAACACACACACACACACACACACACACAGACACACACACACTCACACAGAAACATTATTCAGCCATAACAAAGAAATTTTGTGGCAGGTGTGGTGGCGCAGTCATCTCAGCGCTTTGGGAAGCCCAGGCGGGTGGATGACCGGAGCACAGGAGTTCAAGATCAGCCAGGGCAACACGGCAAAATCTGTCTCTACTAAAAATAAAAAAATAATAATAAAAATAAATTTAAAAAGCCAGGCATGGTGGCATGCACCTCTAGCTCCTTGGGAGGCTGAGGTGGGAGGATCACTGAAGCCCAGGAAGTCAAGGCTGCAGTGAGCTTTGATTGTGCCACTGCACCCCAGCCTGGGCAACAGAGTGAGACCCTGTCAAAAATGGAAGGAAGGAAGGAAAGAAGGAAGGAAGGAAGGGAGGAAAGGAGAGAGAGAAGGAGGGAGGGAGGGAGGGAGGGAAGGAGAGGAAGAAAGAAAGAAATTTTGATATATGCTACAATATGGATTGACCTTGAAAACAATTTCATAGATGCAGAAAGTAAAGTAGGGGTTACCAGAGACCACAAGCTTGGGGAAGTGAGGAAGGGGCAGTTATTTTTTAAAAGATGTGATGAAAATATTTTAGGTATAGGTAATGCTGATGGTTACACAACATTGTGAATATATTTAATGACTATGAATTTTACACTTATAAATTAAAATGATAAATACTAAGTTGTGTACATTTTGCCAAAATAAAAAAAGTAAAGGTCACAAAACCTGAACATTAAAATCTGTGGAAGAGCTTGATCTGCCCTTGCTCTGAGCCTGTTCAGGCCCTTTTTTCAAACAAGTCTAACAAACTTGATTAACTGAATTCCTTGTCTTAAAAACTTTGGAGAGAGCTAACTCACAAGGCCTCTGAGCATGTTTTTCTTTTTTAGAGACAAGGAGACAAGCTCTCCCTCTGTCGCCCAGGCTGGAGTGCAACAGCACAATCACAGCTCACTTCAGCCTCCACCTCCTGAGCTCAAGCAGCCCTCCTGCCTCAGCTGCCTGAATAGCTGGGACTACACGGAGGAGACACGACAGCCGGCTAAATTTTTTTAAGACGTGGGGTCTTGCTGTGTTGCCCAGGCTGGTTTTGAAGCCATAGCCTCAAGCAATTCTCCCACCTCAGCCTCTCCAAGTGCTGAGATTACAAGTGTGCTACCATGCCCGGTCTCCTCTGCACATTTTAATAAGGCTAGCGACACACAGGAGAGATGACGAAGAGCAAGGCTTTCTACCAGCGCTAGGTGATTCAAGTTTACCTGGTGGAATCCTTTTTTGAGTAGCCCAGAAAAGGCCAAGGCACGCAGTATGTCCTGCCCCTGGCAAATGGAACCTGACCCAGTTCCCACCGACTATCAGGGGACGGTATGTGTGACCACACCTCTGACCACAAATCATTCACCCCGTCCCACTCCTTTGGAACTGCTCATGTCATCTGTGTGCCTGGGCTCTGTAAACCTTTTCTGTGCAGACTTGGGTCTCTCCAGCTGTATTTCCTGGATCTAGTCATACTTTTGTTATACTTTCAAGCCACTGGGATCCCTGATCACCCCTCACTCCTCACACCAATGGGCATGGAAGCCACGTAAATTTCTGCCTCCGCAATGCCTGTGCCACCCACTCTGTCCTCTCTGTTCCCTTAGGCTCCACCATCCCAGGGCAGGACAGAAATAGTGCGATGAGTTCTCTGACAGAGGTTGTGATTTTTGCCTCTGTTTTCTCTCCATGCCAGTCCCTCCTCGGCACAACTGCCAGAGTGAACTCATTAAAGCTCACCTTTGCTGTGATCCAACTCTTCTTTTTTTTTAGACAGAGTCTCACTCTGTTTCCCAAGCTGCAGTGCAGTGGCACAATCTCGGCTCACTGCAACGTCTGCCTCCCGGGTTCAAGCAATTCTCCCACCTCAGCCTCCCGAGTAGCCAGGATTACAGGCGCCCGCTATCACACCTGGCTAATTTTTGTACTTTTAGTAGAGATGGGGTTTCACCATGTTGGCCAGGCTGGTCTCGAACTCCTGACCTCAGGTGGTCCACCCGCCTCAGCCTCCCAAAGTGCTGGGATTATAAGTATGAGCCACCGTGCCCGGCCCCGAATCTTACGTGGAAATTTCAGGGCCTCTCACCTGCTTCCTGAAGTCAGAGCAAAGCCCTCACCCTAGTGTTCAACGCCTCTACCAGAAGGTCTCATCACTGTCCCTAAGCCCATCCTCTACTGGGCTCTTCTCATTCCTGACACTTCCTGGACTTTCTGCCTTTGCTCGTGCTGGATCCTCTGCCAGGGATGCCTTTGTTGTCACATATCCCACCCCAATCCCCACACTGTGGGGCCACTGTGATCTGCAGCATCCTTCAAGGACCATCACCCTACCACATCCCCGCACAGCCGCCACCCATCCTCTCCAGGCACTCATTTCGAGATGCTGAGACTTCCCTTCCACTGTCCTGTTGGGCAGGGATCTGGGTTCTTGTCCTGTTCCTTCCTGCATCCCTCAACCATATCTTAAGTTTTCTGAAAGCTCAAAAAATATTGTAAGCAGATGTGTATGCCCTAAAGGCACAATGCAGATAATTCAACACTTGCGTTTTTAAAAGTTATTTTAAAAAAGAACAAGTGTTATATCCATAGTAAACTCAACAAACCTTTGCTATGAGCAACAATATCAAATGAGATCAGACCTAGGTAAGTTGTTTACCGTGTTCAAGACACTGTGCTAGAAACTTTGCAAGCAGTACCTCATTGAATCCTCACAGCCTTAGGAAGGAGGTACTAGAATTGCACCCATTTTGCAGATGAGGAAACTGAGGCTTAGACTGCCACTTGTCTTGGTTATCAAAGGTAATGTTGGAAAGCCAGGAATCAAACCATAGCAGCATGGCTTCCAAACCCACCCGGGGCACGGCACATGTGAGCGAGTAACAGATGAAGGCCAAAGGAGAAATGTCAACACAAGAGGCAGAAAGCAGAGAACACAGGTTCTAGACAAACAGGTAACTGGTTTGGATGAAAACAGTCTTAATTTTACAAACCCACTCCCAGAAGAAGCACCTCCCTACCATACCAATTTCCCTTCCAACAAGAGGACAGAATGCCTCCAAGTGGGCCTGGAGGAGGAGGCGGCCTCCTGTGTCAAGCTCACAGGGAATTAGGACTTGCCAGGTTCTGCAATGCTGACCAAAAGGCCATACTCACTGGACTGGGTGGCAGCTCCTCCCCACGGAGAAATTCTGGCAGGAAGGCGGAGCCGTTTAACAACACCCGGCCGCACTTCAAAACAGGGTAGAGCCGGAAGACTGAGAACAATATGGCACCCTGTAACCTGCTGAGTACAGGAGAAACACAGTGACTTTTCGGCAAAAGTGGTGACACGATTTTTATCCTGGAGCACCAGCTGATCCTACTCACATCAACCCTTCTGGATCTCTCTGAGCAAATATTTCACATATCCTACGCAGCTGGTGCCACTCCAAGCATGATCTGGGCAGAGGCCCAACATGTATCCCAGCCCACAATAGATGTGGGGCAGAGGGAGAGTGGGGCTTCTTCAGCTCAAGAGTGCTAAAGGAAATAGAAGAGGGTTTTGGGGCATTGGGGTGTACACAATTGCATACAGACTCCCCAAAAACTCTGCAGGGCAATTAGAAAGAGGAGAGCCAGCTCTACTATGCTGACAATTATGCTTCGGCTAGGTCTTAACTGAATGCTGGAGAAATTAAGTCAACATGAGATGGGTGAAAAGAAGAATCAAAAGGAATTGAGACAAAACTCGTGAATACCAAATAACAACTTCGTGGAACAAGTATTTAATGAGTACCTAATATGTTCAGGGCACTGTACTAGGTGCTGGGCATACAGTGGTGACCAGGACAGATTTTGTTTCAATGACAGCAACTCGGCAGTGAAAAATACCTTAAGAATCAAAGAACCTGAGTTTGAGAGATTTGGAACAGAGTTTCATACTCTATGTAAAAAATTGCATTCATGTTTCTCTCCCCCAAAAAGTGCCTCTATCCCAAAGAGCCAATGTCTTTTTGGACTATAAACTACTTGAGGTCAGAAGATGTGACCAGGCCACTGCCTGGTAGATAGCAGGTATTCAATGAGTTCTGGATGAACAGAAACAAGTAAATGCTGTAATAAACATGTGAGGGTCGAAGAAGAAATCACATGGGAAATTGGAACATATTTTGAATTAATGAGAATGAAAATACAACATACCAAAATTTGCAGGATGCAGGTAAAGCAGTACTTAGAAGGAAAAGTATCGCTTTGTAATAAACACAGATCAAGCCATACGCCAACTGCTTGAACAATGGTTTTCTGGCCCTTGACTGTAACGCTTTCAGTACTTCAGCTCCCTATCTCCACAGCCTACAATAGTGCTTTGGCACAGAGTAGGTGCTCAGGAAAAATCTGCTTTATTGCAATATGAATGTTCTAGTGTAAGTCCCAGAGTCGTACTCAGTTACCCCTCTGCATATGGAGATCTATTGCTCATCTGGTCCCCCCACCAGGAAAATCTTCCCCAGCCTTTTGTTGTGATTGTTGTTTGTCGTTCTGTTCTCAGCCTTCAATAATAACACTTACCAAACTGGGTGTTAACTACCATGAGTCCTTCAAAGTAGCGTTGCATTTAATATGCCTTAACAAGTAGGTGCTTTTATGATTCCCCATATTACAGATACAGATACTGAGGCCAGAGAGGTTAAGTAACTTGCCCCACAATACACAGCTGGGATGTAGTAGAATTTGGACTTGAAACCAGACAGTGCAAATTCAGAGCTGCTGTTCTCAGCCACAGTGGATTCCTGCCTCCCAATTAGCTTAGGAGTAAGCTCCAACGGGCAGTCTCCCTGGGAAGCACCCCTCCTCTGTGCCCCGAGCCCCCTGTGCCCACTGTTAGTACTGTGTCACCTCGACTCATGGCAGCAGTGTGCTGCCCTATGCTCTGAATTTTGCATTACAGGGGCTGGGTCGTATTGTCTTTGCAGCCTCACCACAGGCTGAGCACATAAGGAAGGCTCACTTAATGTCTATTCGACTCAGTGGGAAGTGGGGGCGGTGAGCAGTTCCCCTTCTAAAGTACACACGAGTCACCAAGAGACTCTGGTTAAAATTCAGACTCAGCAGGCCTGGGGTCAGTCAGGCCTGAGATTCTGTACCTCCAGCAAGCTCTCAGCAGATGCTGAAGCTGCTGGTTCATGGACCAAGCTTTGAGTACCAAGAGGGTGGATGAAAGGGCACAGTCTTAAGACACAGCTGCTGTATGCTCTTGGCTGAGGAAATTCCTGGGTCTGTGATTTTGGTCAAATCAATTCACCACTTTTGACCTTGGTTTCCTAATCTATAAAATGGAAATGATTAGCCATACCTTACAGGATTACTGTGGGCAGTTACATCAGAGAACTTCAGTGAAAAGGCCAGCACAGAGTTGACACCAAATAGGAGTAATATTTCTTCAATCTAAGAAATTCTCATGATATTTACTTGTTGATTCATCCTCACTGCACAGTTTCTCAAACATTTCCTAGGTGGTCTTTGTCTTATGTATATAATTGATCCCCTCACACACTCACACACACAAGGAGATAAAGCACTAATGAACTAAGTTAGCACTAATGAACTAGTTAGTTTTAAGTTAGTCTATGTCGGGTCAGCTTTACTGCATGATTTCTCTCCTAAGTGTGTTGACAATTATCTTTCTCCTCACACCAAGGGGTTAATACCTAAATCCAAAAAAGAATGTGGGATTTCAAAGAGGACCTTGTAGTGCCACAAAGGAGAGCTTCAAAGCCAAGGAGGTATTAAGTGTTTCTTGTCAGACTCAACCGGGTGGCCCAGATGTCACAAAGAACCCAAACATGTCAGACGCCCCCACAAACCAATCTCCTCTAGACCAGCGAGAGTCCTGAGGTCAAGAGCTGTGAGCCCACCACAAACCACAGGGAAACTATCAGGGTAGATGAGCAGAGAAAGAAAAGCAGCAGACCAACCACTACAGATTTCAGCCAACACAAATTTCTCCCCGGTGACAATGGTGAGTTTGATGGTCTGGGAACCGAGAGGGCACTAAACAGGTAAACAAAACTAAATTAAAATGTAAATGCTAAAGAGTTCTCCCTGAAAACTCATCATGTCTTTTAAATTTGTGAGTAAATGGGCCAGGAAAATCCAAACAGATTGATAAAGACAAGCAGATCCGACTTCTTGGAGGCCGTGCTTTCTGAACTCTTTTGCTTATGGTCTACTACAAACCTAGTCCAGAAAAGATGAGGCCATTAACTATATTTGGAAGAAAAAGAAAATGCAATAGTTCTTATAAGAACACAACAAGAAACAGCCCCCGCTCAGTCATTAGCCTGTAATATGGTTTGGCTCTGTCCCCACCCAAATCGCATCTTGAATTGTAGCTCCCATAATTCTTACGTGTTGTAGGAGGGGCCTGGTAGGAGATAACTGAATCATGGGGGAGGGTCTTTCCTGTGCTATGCTCATGATAGTGAATAAGTCTCATGAGATCTGATGGTATTATAAAGCGGAGTTTCCCTGCACAAGCTCTCTTCTGTTCTCTGCCACCACGTGAGATGCGCCTTTCCCCTTCCATTATGATTGTGAGGCCTCCCCAGACATGGGGAAATGTGAGTTCATTAAACCTCTTTCTTTTGTAAATTGCACAGTCTTGGGTATGTCTTTATCAGCAGAGTGAAAACAGACTAATGCAGCCTGTAATGCTCTCCAGGCATGAGAGGTATTCTGCCTCAAAGAGTCTCATGTCCCACAGCAGCTTTGCTCCCGGAAATCAGCAGCTTGAGACAAGCCGTCTGATGCTGACTGTAGGACTTGGCTGTGAGCTCCAAAGACAAGGGCAAGTACCTGTTCTTGGAGGGGAGACACAGACACAAAACCCCAAGTGCATTGTGGGCATCCTCTCCTGACTGTGTGATTGGGAATAAGCTTAGGTTTGAGGAGTGTGTTGGGCTGAGTAATGTTTCTTGCTGAAGGTGTCTAAGTCCTAATCCCACCTGTGAGTATGCTACCTTGCATGATAAAATCAAATGCAAGTGTGATTAAGTTAAGGACCTTGATATGGGGAACTATCCTGTGATATGGTTTGGCTGTGTCCCCATCCAAATCTCATATTGAATTGTAGCTCCCATAATTCCCACATGTTGTGGGAGGGACCCTGGTGGGAGATAATTGAATCACAGGATCGATTTCTCCCATATTGTTCTCATGGTAGTGAATAAGTCTCATGAGATCTAATGTTTTTATAACGGGAAACTCCTTCACCTGGCTGTCACTCTCTCTCGTCTGCTGCCGTGTGAGATGTGCCTTTTGCCTTCCGCCATGACTGTGCACCCACCCTAGCCACATGGAACTGTGAGTCCATCAAATCTCTTTTTGTTGATAAATTACCCAGTTTTGGGTATGTCTTTATCACTAGTGTGAACACAGACAAATACATCCTGGATGAGCCTGGTGGGCCTAATGCAATTAAAAGGGTCATTGTAAGAGGGAAGCAAGAAGGTCAGAGTCACAGAAAAAAGAAGGGATAGTGAAAGCAGAGATTAGAGTGCTGTGGCCGTGAGCTGAAAAATGCCAGCAGCCTCTAGAGACTGGAAGATGAAAGGAATGGACTCTCCCCTAAGGCCTGCCAACATTTTGATTTTCACTCCATAAAACTCACTCTGGAGCGAAACCTTCAGAACTGTAAGATAAGACATTTGTGCTGTCTTAAGCCTCTGCATTTGTGCTAACTTTTTACAGCAGCCATAGGAAACTACAACAGGGAGCATACAGTCTCATGTTCAAATTCCAGCCCTGCTTCTTCCAAATGGATGATTGTAGGCATGCAGTTTAACATCCCTGTGTTGCCATTTCTCATCCACAGATTGAGAATTCTTTAGAGGGTTAGTTTAAAGGATTCAATGAGTACCTAGGTTTGTGCCCGAGATATGGGCAGGCTCACCCACTGCTCCTTGATGACACTGTATGTCAAGAGGCTTCAAGGGCAAACACCACCAAAATCCTCACTGGCTTATTTTAACTCAACAGGCTCTCACTGCTTCAGCAGCAGTGAGAGAAG
Organism: Homo sapiens; assembly: GCF_000001405.40. NCBI lineage: Eukaryota > Metazoa > Chordata > Mammalia > Primates > Hominidae > Homo > Homo sapiens. Next base: position 78,759,401 of record NC_000016.10, on the reverse strand, counting down.
AAAAAGCAGAGAGAGGGTAGAATAGAAAAAGAAACAGAAGAATATTTTCTGTGCCTTGCCTGGCTCTTTATGGCAGACAGTGCACACTTACGAATTCATTTCTCACCAAGCATGGCATCCTGTTATTTCCCTGCCATGCCCACCTTCAAAACATCTTGGCATTCACCTGAAATGGGTTCCCAGTTGATTACCCTGTTCTAACACTTCTCCGTGTAATCTTCCCATAGTCACCACTAAGCACCACATATAACTTCACTGAAAAAATTGCACAGATCAGCCAGGAATCCCTAACTGGCACCCATATACAACTTGTACTACCTTAAATCAAAAGTGGGAATATATTGACCCACAAAAATAGAAAGGGAAGTTCCAGGTTCCTGCTAGACATCAGGAGCTTCGAATTAAACACACCTAAAATATGCCCTGGGTTTTGTCTGTGAAGGTTTTTTGTTTTTTTTTTTTTTGTCTTTTGTGGTTTTTTTTAATGCAAAATATAAAATGCTGGCTTGGGAAGAAGATTCTCTTCCAAATCTTGAACACAAAATCTTCAAATGGTTAGTGATACAAATATGGCAACTGAGATACATCCTCCTTATAGCAAATGCTAATGTCTTGTATACATCATTGCCCTTAACCTTCTCACCACCCCAGTGAGTATAAATTTTTAACTCCATTTATCAATGGGCTCAGAGAGGTCAATCAATAACACACAGGGAGGAAAGGGGACACGATTGGAACCAAAGCCAGAGCTCTTAACCTCCATGCTGTAGAACGGGAAGGACAAGCTAAAAAGAAACCATCCACGGTTGATAGTTTCTGCCATGCAGAGGTAGCACTTGGAATTGTGTTGAAAAGTATAGATAGTGGCGTTACGACACTGGCATTACAAAGGGAAACACACTTGGGGGAAGCCTGCTTCCAATCTGTGGTAATAAACATGCCTAACCAATTTATGGATGATTAAGGTGGCTCCTGGACCCTGCATTAAATAATTTTGGTGACATAGTTATTATTCCCTTTGTCTTGCCCAATTAATCTACTTGCAAAAGATCTTGCTTTGGTTTTTAATACCTCTCTACAAGTGGCTCATCTTCCATTTGCCCAAAGAGAACACAAGCATTGGGCTTAGAGTATTCTCTGGTAATAATAGCTACATGGAATTACTATAGTTCTATTTTCTTTGTATATAGGTTTATCTTCATCTATATGTGGCAAATCATATTGATCTTCCCTTTACGATGGAAATAGAACATTTCCTTTTAAAACAAAGTTAATGAATCTATGAATTGATTTAAAGAAAAATTTCAACATTAATTAGATCTTCAATATTTTAAATATTAATAATAATAGGGGCACATTGTGAAGGTGGGGAAAGATTGACAGAAGTTTGAAAAAGAGCATCCTGGCTGATCTGATAGAAGGTCAGTGTTGTGGAATCAATGTGTCCCCCCAAACTCATATTTGGAAACCCTAATCTCCAAGGTGATATTATTAGGAGGGGGAGCCTTTAGGAGGTACTTCAGTCATGAGAGTGGAACCCTCATGAATGAGACTGGTGGACTTGTCAGAAGAGGCTGAAGAAAGATGATCTCTTCCTCTGTCATGTAAGGACATAGCAGGAAGGTCGCTATCTGTCAATCAGAAAGATTATTTATAGGAAAATTTATTTACTTATATAAATAAATAAAAATGGATTTATTTATATAAATAAAATGTGTTTATGTGAATAAATATAATGTATTTATATAAATAAATAAAATGTATTCATTCATATAAATAAATACAAATGTTTTTACATACGTCTTTCAAAATACACCACCTGCTTTAATACGGCACTTATAGAAGAGTTAACTGGGTTAAATGGTGAAACCCCAACTACCTGTAAAATTTAGCTGTCTCAACAAGCTCATGCAGCCAGGGTCCTAGATGGTATTTGTCAGGCAAACACATCACACCACTAACTGATGAGGCAAGAGGTACAGAAGCAACAGACAGTGTCCTATGTACCTTTGCAAAAGCGCAGCTCCCTCTAAATGGTGGTCATGCTGGGGTGCTGGGGTGCTGGGGTGCTGGGGTAGGTGGTAAGAAAGTAACAATTAACTGGTTTTCTTACCTAATGCTGAACAGTTAATGGTTTAGACTCTTTGAATGGGCAGTTATCCACTGTTGTATAACAAATTATCCCAAAACTAAGTGGGCTGAAACAATAATTAACTTTTATTATCTCGCACAAGAATTTCTGTGGTGCAGAAACTTGTGAGCAGCTTAGCTCGGTGGTTCTAGATAGGGGCTCAAATAAAGTTCCAGTCAAGATTGCAGCAAAGGCTGCAATCACCTCAAGGCTTAACTAGGGCTGCAGAATCAACTTCGAACGTGGTTCACTCACATGGCTGTTGGCAGGAGGCTCAGTTCTTCTACACGGGTATGCTTGAGTATCCTCCCAACATGGCAGCTGGCTTTTCCTAGAGTGAATGATCCACATCAGTAAGGCAGAAGCCTCAATATTTTTATGGTCTAGCCTCGTAAGTCACATGCTCTGATGTCTGCAATACCCTATCGATTATACAGGTCAGTAGTATTAGGTGTCCGAGAAGACTATGCTGAGACATGGCTACCAAGAACTGAGAATCACCAGAGGCCACATTCCCCAACTTAGGTTTGATTCTTTGTCCACCACCTTAAAATTAGATATGGTAGTTGCTTAATGGTAGTTTAACGGAAGAATGAATGAACAAACAGGGTGAAACAAAGGAGTGTAAAAATGCTAGAATTTACCCAATCAGTACACAGCGTCAGTAACCAATGAAACTCTCATAGGAATATCAATAAAGCATTCTCAGAACACTAAAAATAATTCCTTCTTCCAACTTTTCTCGTGTTTTTCAGTGTGTTCTGGCTAAAGTCCATCTCCTCATGGTCTAAGGTAAACTATTGCCTAATCAATCTTTTTCTGGAATCCCAGACTGAGGGAGCTTCAGAGCTTCCTGAATAATGTTTAAGAGTCCTCTGGAGTTCTGTCCTATCTCAACCGCCTTCACCCTGGCTCCCAAAGCTGCTCATTTTATTGATTTTTTTTTGTTTGTTTCAAATACACATTAGATAAACCCAGTTTTGACAGTGAACAAAACTGTCTGCCAACATGACATCTACTTCTGCCACTTTAAGCAACAGGGCCAGCTGGAAAGGGAGAAAAAGCGTATGTGTCAAAGATCCCTATTAGCCAGAGGCAGTACATACTAGAAATTCAAGTCTCTAGGATCCCCGTTCGTGTTTTATATACTCTCTCCTCCCCTTTCCATCATTCTTCCCTTTTTCAAATAAAAGACTGAAGATGGGGTGAATTCTGAGCCTTCTCATGCCTCAGAGTTCATACATGAGGCCTTGTCTCCAAGAGACTTGGTCATACAAGCAAAAAGCCATCATTTCTTACAGGCCTCTGATTTGCCAGAAAACTGTCTCCTTGGCATATGTTCTTCTCATCATAGCGTCCTGACAAAAATCCTATGAAGTTACAGTAATTCTTGATATGACTGGTGCATAGAGGAGGAGAAAAATCTGGGGTGGTTACTTGTAGACCCAAAGCTATTAAATGGCGAAAGTGAGAGTGGAACCAGGTATGTTTTTGTAATTATCCCCATGCCCCTTTTCAGGAATAATATTCGGCATATTTAATAGCGGGTACTGAACTATCAAAATGGGTATTTGTCACATGGCCCTGGTGCAGGGTCCTGAGGCTTCCTCTCCCCAACCAAGGCAGGTGATGTTCCTCCAGGTGACAAATCACACAGGAATCCCAGTGGGTGTGTGGCACTGAGAGGCTTCGGGCAGGGCTATTTACTAAATAATGTAGAATTATTTGATATTACAACACCAGGATACAGCCACTCTGGCAGGTACTGACTCAAGAACATCTTTGTTCCTCCCTCATCATCATGCAGCCTTAAATTAATCAGTATCACAAGACCCCATCATCCCAACATGTAATATCATGGTCCAGGGGAATAGCAACAAGGCCTGCTTTACCTGGACCAGGAGTCCTGGGCTACCCACTGCATTTTCTATATTGCCTTCTCGAAATGTACAAGACATTCTCCAATTCCTGGAATTAAATCCTTCAAGGAAGAGAGTCTCTTTTTTCCGGTGTTTTCTTTTTCTTTTTTTTTTTTTGATGAAACTTTTTTTTTTCCTTTCACTTTAAGTTCTGGGATACATGTGCAGAACATGCAGCCTTGTTACATAGGTGTACATGTGCCATGGTGGTTTGCTGCACCTATCAACCCGTCATCTAGGTTTTAAGCCCCGCATGCATTAGATATGTGTCCTAATGCTCTCCCTCCCCTTTCCCCCTACCCCCAGACAGGCCCCGGTGTGTGATGTTCCCCCCTCCCGTTGTCCACGTGTTCTCATTGTTCAACTCCTGTGTATTCTTTTAATAGTATAAATGGCTGGCTCTTTGTGGACAGCATTCTCTTCCCTGGGGACAGCAGTACCACCCCTGCAGATAATGGACAGTGCAGGACACAGCACAGACTGTGAGTAAGTTATCACCCACCAGCTGAGGTAGTACAGCTCCCAGGCCCAACCGTGCAGATCTATAAGTAGAGGCCTTAGAGGTCATCTCATTCACACTGTCAAACTCAGCAACTCTGGTGATGGAGAAGAAATCTTTTTTTCTTATTTCAAGAAAACCAAATAAATGCACTGCATAACCAAAGCCATGCCTTTATTTGTGTCAAGGCTGTACTTGCTAATTAAAATGCCCAGTTTCCATGCTTTTTTTATATAATTAAAACATCCAAAGACTGCAACTGGTTGATAAATGAGAAAATGAATTTTTATTTAATAAATACCATTTATTTGGAGAGAAAAACAAAAACAAAAAACCTTAAGAGCAGGAAATCCAGGAAGGTGAGGAAAAGAAAGCGGTAGGTACTAAGAGAACATTGGCTTTCAAATCCGGTGCCAAACTCTTCAAAACCCTGATCTACAAATTCATAATGACCTAGTCATTCATTCATTCACCAGTTCAATAATAAGACACAGGTACATACTAACTTGCACACTGACCTTAGGCTGTCTGAAATCAGCCTGAATGCCTTCTTCCTGAAACTCACTGATTGCTCATCAGTGGCCCTTAAGGAAGAAGGAAGCAAGAATCTCAGGAAGAGAAGTGAGGCATCCTAAAGTCCATCCTCACCGAGTGAAGACAGAGAAGATGGCATCCCCAGGGACCAAGTTCTCTAGAGAAAGAGCTGCCACAGAGCAAAAGAGAAATGCCTGGCGGAATCCATTTATAATCACAATCTAATAATACTTAGCAATGCCCAATGGGATAAGCCTAAAGAAAATTATGAGAGTAATTACAAGAGTTCACATTAATGATAATTTAATAATCATTCTCTTTGGCATATCTCTTTTCTTGAGATGGATAAATTGGATTGTGTTAGACAGAATTCCCCTGTTTCTGCCACTTAAAAGTCATGTGACCTTGGAATAGCCTCTTCAATTCTATGCTTCCTTAAATTTATATATACATATACATATACATATATATATATATATATATATATATATATTTTTTTTTTTTTTTTTTTTTTTTTGATATAGGGTCTTGCCCTGTCACCCAGGCTTGACTGCAGTGGTGTGATCTTTGCTCACTACAGCCTTGACTTCCCAGGCTCAAGCAATCCTCCCACCTCAGCCTCCTGAGTACCTGGGACTACAGGTACATACCACAATGCCCAGCTAATTTCTGTTTATGTTTTGTAGAGATGGGATTTCATGATGTTAGCCAGGCTGGTCGCAAACTCCTGGGCTCAAGCAAACTACCTGCCTTGGCCTCCCAATGTGATGGGATTACAGGCATGAGCCACTGCACCTGGGCAAGTTTTATTTAAGAAGGCTATAATGCACTAAAACTCTGCAGTAATATTTGCTGCAACAAAGAAAACTGAGAAGTATCTTAAGACACAGGGGTGACTGGTCCTCCCAACCCCAATACTCTTCTTACTCATTGTCTTTGTACCTGGATAATGAAATGAGAGTTGCCTAAGAGGTTCTTTCTTTCTTTTTTCTTTTTTTTTGAGACGGAGTCTCACTCTGTCGCTCAGGCTGGAGTCTGTCGCCCAGGCTGGAGGGTAGTGGTGTAATCTCGGCTCACTGCAAGCTCCGCCTCCCGGATTCACACCATTATCCTGTCTCAGCCTCCAGAGTAGCTGGGATTACAGGCGCCTGCCCCCACGCCCGGCTAATTTTGTTTTTGTATTATTAGTAGAGACGGGGTTTCACCATGTTAGCCAGGATGGTCTCCATCTCCTGACCTCAGGTGATCCACCCGCCTCGGCCTCCCAAAGTGCTGGGATTATAGGCGTGAGCTACCGTGCCCAGCCCTAAGAGATTACTGAAATCACTGCCTCTATCCTGGAAGAACCAGGCAGACAAACGGCCTAGAATTATCCCCACTGATATTTAAGCTGGAGTGTGCCGTTGCTGCTGGTGGCACCCAGCCAAGATGGGACCAGGACAGATTTAGATCAGGAAGCCTGACTCCTGGAATTCCTGGCCAGCTAGGTAAGGCGGCTCGCCAGGCCATTTAAGTAATTATGTGATTAAATTTATTGGAGACTACTTATTACATAAAGTTGTGGTGAAGATTAAAGAAGACAGGGCATATAAACTCATTAGCACAAAGCAGGGCTCCATAAATGCTAAACCACTCTCAGGGGAAAACAGAAGACAAATGTTTATCTTAAAGAATTTTATCATGATTTGAAAGTGAGTTTAAAAATCTGCTGAACCTGTTAGCTAAATCATATTAGAAAGAATATTCTTGGCCAGGCATGGTGGCTCACACCTGTAATCTCAGCACTTTGGGAAGCCTGAGGTCAGGAGTTAGAAACTAGCCTGGCCAACAGGGCGAAATCCCGTGTCTACTAAAAATACAAAAATTAGCCAGGTGTGGTGGTGTGTGCCTGTAATCCCAGCTACTCAGAAGGCTGAGGCAGAAGAATCGCTTGAACCCAGGAGGCAGAGGTTGCAGTAAGCTGAGATCGCATCACTGTACTCTAGCCTGGGCAACAGAGTGTGAGACTCCGTCAAAAACAAAAAGGAAAGAAAGAATATCTTTGTTTTAACCTGATAGTCTCTAACACTGACAGACAAAATATTAAAGAACATTTACCAATATTTCAAGTCACTCAACTACTTAAAGGTATATTTTCAGTACGCATCGAAGTGAATCACTCAAAAGCAGACATTGTACAAGAGATACTCTTTTATGGATTGAGACAACTGACTGATTATTTAAAACAAAGACAAAGTTTTACCAATGTTAGAATTTATGTTCACTTCTGTGAGTGAATTTTGTGTCGTCTCTCTCCTCATCCTCCTCCTTATTTAAAGAAAAATGCCAATTCTCTTTAGAAGTATTGTGGCAGCCCACTTCCACGTGGAGGCACCAGAAGAAAGACACAGTTGGGTTATTCATTTTCATCTGGGTGACCACTCTGCCTCCAGTCTTACTCTAAAATGGGAATTAATTTCTTTCTTACCTTCCCTCCCTCCTTCCTTTCTTTTTCTAGAAAATCCTTTCTCTTCCTTTTCTCTCTCTCTCTTTCCCTCCCTCCCTCCTTCTTCCCTTCCTCCTTCCTTCCTTCCTTTCCTTCTTTCATCACAACATGTCTACGTGTTGGTAAGGAACTGAACCTACGTATTTTTTAACTCTGCAGAAATGGCTTTCTTGGAGTATTGTTTAATATCAAACTCTATTTTTGTATCTACATAAATATAAGGCATGCATGACTGATGGAAGAATGTTTTGTTATTTTTAGTAAACTGTTTTAAAATGCTGTATCACCTTGTCTTTTTATATGAGTTTTGGGTCTTTACATGTATATTTATATACAAACATATGCATATATATATATATATATATATATATAAAATCTGATAAATATATATATAATCTGATAAATATATATATATATAATCTGATAAATTCTTACAGTTATGTTGCAGGACAGAGGTGTGTTACTATACACCTCTGTTTCTTTTTTTTGGTTGAAAACTCTTTGCTTTTGACTCCCAGGAAACCCAGCTAAATTTAATGCTAGATGTCAGAAATAATTCATAAAGTTTCCAGGTATATTTATCTCATATCTTCTTCTAACTAATTTCTGATATGTAGTTCGAAACACAAATTAAATACATCTGTCTTTTATATGTAGTGTACTATTCCCTTTTGAGTCAAATTCTTTTTGGAAGTAGGAATGGTTTCAACTGTTTGAAACAGCACTCTTCTCTTTTCTCTGCAACCTTGTCCCTATGAAAAATAAATTGGAGATTTCTCAAAGGTCTAAAAATAGAATTACCATTTGACCTAGCAATCTTATTAGTGGGTATACATTCAAAGGAAAATAAATCACTCTACTAAAAAGACACCTGCACTCACGTTCTTGGCAGCACTACCCACAACAGCAAAGACATGGAATCATCCTAAGTGCCCATCAATGGTGGATTAGTTAAAGAAAATGTGGTACGTATACACCACGAAATACTACACAGCCATAAAAAAGAAGAAAATCATGTTCTTTGCAGCAACGTGGATACAGCTTGAAGCCATTATCCTGAGCGAATAAATGCAGAAACAGAAAACCAAATACCGCATGTTCTTACTTACAAGTCGAAGCTCAACACTGCGTACACATGGGCATGAAGACAGGAACAATAGACTCTGGGGACTTCAAAAGGGGGGACTAGGGAGGGAAGGAGAAAAGGATTGAAAAACTACCTATTGAGTACTATGTTTACTAATTTGGGTGATGGGTTCAATTGAAGCCCAAATCTCAGTATCTTGCAAGATATCCATGTAACAGACCTACACATGTACCCCCCGAAACTGAAACAAAAAATAAAAAATAAAATAAAATAAATCCCAGTTTACTTACACATGATAAATAAATGAAACAGCACTGTTCTTTCTTTACTTTTTCTAAGCCAACTCACACTTCCTGATCCTAATGGAAATCCTTTCGGGTTCACAACTAGGAGTCCTGGTCCCATTCTTACAGACCACAGGAGGGGCAAGACAGCTATGAAATTTTGTGCCTCTCATTTCTGTCCTGCAGAGAAACTGAGCCTCTGAATAGGAGTTCAGTGGAGATCACCCACCAGCTGACCTGGGCAGTGGGTTTTTCTTCCTGTTTTTGAATAAGGCAGCAGCTGAACTGTACAAACACCTCTACTTTCACCGAGGTGTTGCTCACTATTTTATTTTCATTTCTCTTCTTCCTTGTTTTTAAGGTGTGAAAAAGACTTTCAGCAATGCCTTCCATATGCTGTCTTATTTTATTTCTCCTATTTTTCCCTGATAGAGTCTATCTACTACTGAACGACAAGAAGGGATTGTTGGGGGGAGCTGAGAGTCACTCTGCCAAAAAGCATCTGACTTGTAAACAGTGCAAGACTTTTAAAAGTCTACTCTCTGACCTTCTATTTTGAGGACCCTCAAAGTGAAGAAAGTCAAACTTGGTATTAAATAACCACCCAGGATGTGGTTGTCAGCTTGAGGTGTTAAGAGGAACAGTTTATAAAAAGCCTGGTTAAATATAGGAAGTACAGTTGCATTTCAGGTAACTCGAGATTTGAACATCCAATACGGCTTTAACGGAGGCAATCTATTTGGCCCATTTTCACAGATATATATTAAATGACACCTATTTTGAGGTCTATAATTTTTCCTCCTTAGCTAGACCAGAAAACACTTCCTCCACCCTAATTCATGCTTCCTTATCCTCCAAATGTATATCCTCCACTTTTTTTCCCCACTGAAATAAATACATCCTTAAACTACTTTGCATAGCCCTAGGGTAAAACAACAATTGTAACAACAACAAAACATTAAATGCTTCATTATGATTTAATATTCTATCACCAGAACCCAAAACCTCAGTTTGACTATTTTGGGTCTCTCTCTTTCTCTCTTTTAAACTATTATTAAAATGGTAATTTTAATGCAAAAGGCTGTATTCAATTTTAAAACATTGTTTTGTTTTGAATTTCAGCTGTCTTGAAAGTCCATTTTTTTCCCCTTTCCTCTCTGTAGGGAAGAGGATTGAACTTCTCTCGAGCTCTGTTTCCTCATTTGTAAAATGCAGGATCTACCTATGATGTAGGTGGTTAAACAGTAGTCTGTGTGTGATGCATGGCACACAGGTCACCCCATGGCAGTGCATGTTTTATCTGCGTACCCATGCAGACAGCCCTTGGTCATGGAGGACTATGCCACCATAGCCTCGGTCCACCAACCCCTAAGCACTAAAACACATCCAGACCATGTGATCAGCAATTGATAATTTTAGAATACACTTGGCTAATTTCTCTGATCCCACTGCTACAAATAAACCTTGCAGTCGTTGATTTGGTCAGGTTCAAATTTCACCACGGCCCTACGGGCATAAAGATGAATTATTTGATTGCAAGGAGAAATAAGAGACCATGTGTCAGGCTGCTTTGCAAATCAATTCACCTCCCCTGCAAAGATGCTCCTTCCTACTTAAGATATATGGCTTTACAAGGATTTGGGCAGCATCTGTGTTTGCCGTGTCAGAGGGCAAGACGCATGCAGATGTAATATCACCGAGCAGTGTAATCCGAGTGTGCATGAAAAATAACTGCAGAGGGAATGAGGGAACCCTTTGCCACGGGCCCTGACAGCACCTCAAATAAGCACTTTACCTAATCTCCCTTGTTGATTCCTATCTGGGCCCAGTGACTTCATGCAGCTGCCATCTGCTAACCAGTTAGGGCATGTTGATCACGGACGTATTGTAATCAGAGCTGAGGTCTCCAATGGTAAAGCAGGCTTGCTGCCAAGATGGGGCAAGACCCTAATAAGAATGGCAGAAAGGAGCCGAAAGGTGAACTTTACAGCCAGCATGCCTGGATTAAGCTTCTATTTTATTTAACTCTGTATCCCCAGGGCTTGGCGTGGAAAAATGCCCAGTAAATACTGCAGATAGAAATGAGTGAAAGACTTTCCATAAAAAGTGAAGCACTTCCACCACTGGGTAACAGTAATTATTTGCATAGAGTCTTTTGAGCTATTTTATAGTAGATTAAAATGTTTATTTGTGGTGAGCTATCTGTGGTAGACAAGGTTCATTCATTCATTCATCAGATATGTATTGAGTGGACACTGCCCTAGCTTTGGTGCCTGTTCACCTTTGTAGCTCAGGAATTCGGCAATGACACGGGGTGCAATGGATAAATGCGAGATAGAGGAGTGGAGGGTCCGGTCTGGGAGAGAAAGAGCAGAGTCTGTGAAAAAACTAACAGACAGGGGACACTTCTGCAGATCCCAAGTGCTCTGGCCAAGTTCAATACTCTTCGGCGCAGATGGACTTGGAGTTTCTTAGGCTGCTACGCAAGAGGACCACTAAGAAGCATGGTTATTTCGGCTGCAGGATGCTGAGTCTAAGAAAAACTCAGGCATCCAAGAGCATGCCCCTCCACTGACAGGTGGAAAAACTGAGGCAGAGAGAAAGATTATAGTTTATCCTTGATCATGGAGCAGCTTGGAGACAGAGGTAGGACTAAACTCTGGTATGTTGAGCAATCCATGCTCTGCCAAGCTGCAGCATCTCCTCTGTAGGCTGGATAAGCTCATGGGCTGACGCTCTAGGGAAGAAGAGGCAGACAGTAATCGAGGAAACAATTGTATACATATTCAGAAAGTGGTAAGTGCTCAAAAGAAAAGAAACAGAGTGGGTGAGGAGAGGCAGGGTTTGAATTCGACTCCACCATTTGCTAGCTAAGTAACTCAGCTTGCCAAGGCTCTCTTAGCCTCAGTTTCCTCATCTGAACATTACGAAGGCTCATTGTAATGCCTGTCTCCTAGGGTTGTTGGGAGATGCTAAGAACGCTGGCACATAATGAGCACTTCATAAATGATGGGTATTTTTATTTTATTATTGTTACTTAAGTAGGATGGTCAGGGTAGGCCTCTGAGAAAGTGATATTTAAACTGTGTTAGAAAGATAAGAAATTAGACAGGTGTGGTCGCAGATGCCTGTACTCTCAGCAATTTGGGAGGCTGAGGCTAGAGAATTGCTTGAACCCGGGAGGCAGAGGTTGCAATGAGCCGAGATCGTGCTACTGCACTCCAGCCTGCATGACAAGAGCGAGACTCCATCTCAAAAAAAAAAAAAAAAAATGGGCAAGAAAGTGCCCCCCACCACTCTTCCCAGGCAAAAGAAACAACATGTACAAAAGCCTTGAAGCAGATATAGGCTCTGTGGGTCCCAGGAAAAGAAAGAAGACTAGAGTGGTTGCAGGATATTGGGAGGACATTGGGCACAGCTACTTGAGGTAGGAAATAAACTGAGAGGCAGGCAGGAGTTCAGGTCTTCAGGACATGTAGACCCTGGAAAAGAGCGTGTATTTTTATTCTAAATGGTATAGGAAGCCACTAGGGATGGGGAGTGGTGTATTCATCAGCTACTGCCAAAATACTGCCGCATAACAAACAACCTCAAAATTTCAAGGGTTCACAAGATCAAATATTTATTTTCCTCACTCACTAGTCTAAGAATTGGTTGAGGTTGGCCTGATATTGACTGGGTTTGCTGAAAATGGCTCCAGGGTATAAGTCAGATTCAGGTCTGTTTCATCTATCTCATTCTGCAGCCCAAGCTGAAGAAAAGGCATTGGCTATGGGAAAAATGCAGGAGTACAAAGCCAATCATGCAAGCACATCTCAAGACTCTGCTCACATCATGTTGACTAATATCCCATGAAAAAAAAAAATTACAAGGCCAAGAGCCAAAAATCCAGGAGCAAGAAAGTTCATTTCACTGCTCATGAGGCCATGGCAAGGGTGCTGATATCTAGTATTACTACAATGCACTTTAGCAGGCCTAAAGTCCTGGAGTGTACTGGAGTGTAGTGGCATGATCATGGCTCACTGCAGCCTTAAACTCCTGGGCTCAGTTGATCCTCCTGCCTCAGCCTCCCAAGTAGCTGAGACTACAGGCATGCACCATCATTCCCAGCTAATTTTTAAATTTTTTGTACAGGCAATGTCTTGCTATATTGCCAAGGCTGGTCTTGAACACCTGGCCTCAAGCAATCCTCCTGCCTTGGCCTCCCAATGCACTAGAATTACAGGTGTGAGCCACCATGCTCAGTCCTGTTGTACTTTAGACCCAACTACGTCAGCTTTCTGCTGACCCTGCTTTGACAAATGCCCAAACCACCCATGGTTCATCATATCAAAACGATGTCCTTGGACAAATCACATGCTGGTTTGCACCATCTTAGCTCTGGCTTTCCTGAGCATTTTGGCTTCTTAGAGTAGCCCCCCTCCACCTCTCCTTGTGGATGGATACAGATTATGGCCCTTCCCAGTAGCCTTCTGAGACGTGGTGCAGGGTTCCAGTTCATAGCAGCTGGAGTCAGGGCTGGAAGGAGCAGCGGGAGTGTTTTCCTTGGCAGGTTTCTGGCATGCACACGTTCCTAGTATTAAAATACAATGTGCTTTTTCCAAACTAGATGATCTACACCAACCATTTTATCTGTAAACTAGCCCTCTACCCACCCACCCTCAACTCTGGTCTTGGAACTATTTGAAGGGGGGGGAAAAAGAGGAGGAAGAGGGAGGAGGAGAAGGAGGAGGAAAAGAAGAAATCTATGAGGGGGTGTGGCAGTGAGGGGGTGGATGTCTATGAAAATTTATGTGCTGAAAAACAGCTGTAAAATGTTTAATGTTTCAATGAACGTTTTATGTTTACCATAAAAAATCCTCCAGCCAAGAAGGGCTTTAAAATGTTACATTTCCAAACAGATCCACAGAAAGAAGCAAAAAAAAAAAAAAAAAAAAAAAGGATTTCCACAAACCCCTCTCTATGGAGTGACCCCCAAACGCTAAACATTAAAATAGGGTCCTTCTGACCTAGGTCAATGTTGAGGGAGAAAAGAATAACAGGCATGACACAGGGAGAGGCCGGCAAGAAGAATGAAAAATATGCTCATGTTTTTCAAAGCTAAGTACTCATGGCAGAAAGCCTTGGAAATTCAGGCTTTTGAAGGCAGAGGTGGAGGAAGGCGGGGAAGATGCCCAGCTCAGCCAAAAGCTTGCTGAAAGATTCAAATGTAATCAATCAGTCCACCAACAGGAAGAACTAATCAAGTGCCTTAATACTGAGTTCTTCCAGGAAAGATCCTGGCTGAAGGGACACTGGCTTTCACAGACAGAGGCATGTTCATATTCAAACTCCACTCTAAACTAGTCTTGGCTCCTATAGTCAGTTTTTTTTACCTCTTGAGATCTCCATTTCTTCATCAATAAAATGCAGTGGCAGGCGTCACTGGCCAACACTGAATAAATGGTATGTGCTGGGAAGCAGGGACTGGGGAAGCCAGGAGTCATGATGAAGTCAGCTTAGCGCAGCCTGAATCAGGTAGGGAAATTAAGACCTGACATAGGAGGAAACAGAAAACGTTGAAGCTTGGAGGAAAACTAGAGTGTTGCTCTTCTTTGCTTACCCAATGACTTTAGTGAAGTCACCATGTGGGTCTTCAGGCCAACCAACCAGTTTTACTTTTTAATCTCCCTTGTAATTAATATTTTCCACACTGTTTTCGGGTAATAGAAATGCAGTGCAGGCTGGTAATAGAAATACACAGTGGCTCACGCCTGTAATCCCAGCACTTTGGGAGGCCGAGGCAGGTGGATCACTTAAGGTCAAGAATTCAAGACTAGCCTGGCCAACATGGTGAAACCTCATCTCTACTAAAAATACAAAAATTAGCCAGGTGTGGTGGCAGGTGCCTGTAATCCCAGCTACTCGGGAGGCTGAGGCAAGAAAATTGCTTGAACCCAGGAGGCAGATGTTGCAATGAGCCAAGACTGTGCCACTGCACTCCAGCCTGGGTGAGAGACAGATACTCCGTTTCAAAAAAAAAAAAAAAAAAAAAAAAAAAGCAGTGTGGACCATGGGCCCTTCCTAATCTGGCCCCTTCAAGCGTCTTCTGCATATAATGATCATGCAGTCACTATAAAAAAGCAAACAAATAAAAATGAAACGTCACATGTACCTTCTGAGACACACCTTGCAGTTATAGCCTATGTGTTTCTAAAGTCCTGTGCCTTCAGCTTACTATATCCTTCCTTAAGCCCTGTCTTTTCACAAACTCTTACCCAGCTCTCAAAACTTAGTTCAAATACCACCTTTACGGACCTTCTGATCTGTATCAAATGCCTGTTTACTGTGTTCTCAGAGCACACGCTGCTGTGGTGTACCCCAATACTCTTCATACCACATCCAGACATTCATTATGTTACTGGAGGAGGGCGTCCAGGTTCTTGGCGTTTTGAATAAAGAATTGGACAAAACGCATAAACAAAGCAAGGAAAGAATGAAACAACAAAAGTAGAGATTTACTGAAAAGGAAAGTACACTCCAAACGGTGGGAGCAGCCCAAGCATAGAGGCTCAAGAGCCTGGTTAAAGAATTTTCTGGGGTTTAAATACCCTATAGAGGTCTCCCATTGGCCACTTGGTGTACACCTCATGGAAATGAAGTAATGGCCCACAATCAGTCAGATTGGTTGTGGAAAGAAGTTACACTCCTATGCAAATGTCTGATAGGTTGTGAAAAGCAACCAATCAGAGGGTGAAGCGAAGTTACAAAGTTACAGCTCCTATGCAAACGGCTGAATGGTCGTGGAAAGCAACCAATCAGGGGTACTTTCAATTTTCCATCTGCAACTCAGAAAAGTGGGGAGGGGTTGCAGAGGGAGTAGCCTCTGGTCCTTTTATAACTTAGTTGTGGAAAGTTGGTGTTTTCCTTTTGATTTAATTATACAAAGTCAACGTGAATCAGCCTTAGATTCCCTGCCTCCAGATCCTGTTCTCCTGCCTCACTTACTTTTCTAATTTCTTCTCTAAATGATGCTTCTTGAGGGTAGACACCGAATCCTCATCATCTCAGGACACAGTACAAAATACAGCATGAAGCAGATCCCTGGGAAGATTCTGTTTGAGAATCAATGAGTTAAGAAACAAATGACAGCAAACACAGTCTTCTTTCTAGATTGGCAAATGAGGGAATACTGGTCTCTGAGGGATACACAGGGCCAATCTCCTCACTGTCACCTTGCACTCAGAGAGATAAGATGGCTTTTGCTCTCCAGTGCAGAAAGAGTGGCCTCCTCTGCCAGCATGAACCTTGCCTGGGAACTGATATCAATAACGGCTGCAGCACACAGAGAAAGACACTCAAGTGTCTCCTCCAAGGAGAGAGACGGATGTTTCCTTCGGGGGCTGATCGGGTTCACTTCCTGTTCATGAGCACGGCAGACACCTAACCTCCCGGCTGCAGTAAGGGTTGGGACTGTATGTGGGGAGTTGGGGTACTGTGCTTGGGAGACATTAACGAGGCCCCTCTTACTCTTCCACAAGCCAGGGCCTTCTCCTTCCTCTTTTTGGGAGGCCCAGGAAGTGGCCCTTTCCTTGACCAGACCCTACACTGGGAAGCCCCCGGCTCTGACCATGAGACTCGCAATGGCTGTTCACTGGACAATTTCAAGTGAATTCCCGCAAAGTTTCCCAAGAACATCAGATACAAAAGAGTTGATGGATGGAAACTCACACGATAAACCAAAGTGAAAACAAAACTGTGTCGCCCAACCCCATGTGAACTGAAACCGCAGGGCAGAACGCTCTGACTCCGCAGACATAAACAGTTTTAGCCCCGAGTGAGTCACCAGCGCAGCCAGGGCAAAGCTGGAGAGAGATTTCTCGTGATGCGCTGGGGATCGCTGTGCGTTCCTTTCCCTAGAAACTGATTTGTCATTTGAGTCAGAGGAAAGAACATTTCTAGGGCACCTAGTACATACCAGAGGCTCTGGTCCACGCTGTAGATAAATACTTCCAACCTGTTTTCACAGTAACCTGCATAGGTGCTGACTATTATCTCCATTTGCACATGAAGACACAGAAGCCAGGGCGCTGAAACACTTAACCTGAGCCAGAGCTAGAAGTGGGGCTCTGTCCTGCTGCTGCCCTTCACCAGAGGACACCCTGAAGCCCTGATGGGTCACATGAGTCTGCGTTTTCCCTGTCCTGAGTGGTCTCCAAACTGCCTTGATCATGGACTATTATCAGTAAAAATAAGTTTTGAGCACACTCACCCCTAGTATTTGTACACTGATTTATCGACAAACGATGTACAATCTACATGTAATATTACAAAACATTGCAAGGAAAAGACATTTAAATGGGTTGAGATAAAAGATAAAGGTAAATAGGGGCTACTATGTTTTCTATCCATATCCTAGTGCTGAGGTCACAGGGTTGCCAGGTTGAAACTATACATAGACATCGTAGGGGGTGGGAAGAGAGGATAGGAGGCAGGTAAGGAGGGAGAGAGACAGAGATAATGTCCAGTTAAATGTGGAACATCCTTTTGCTAAAAAATTATCCATTGTTTATCTAAAATTAAAATTTACTTTAACATCTTACTTTATGTTGTATGTATGTATTTATTTGAGACAGCGTCTCACTCTGCCGCCCAGGCTGGAGTGTAGTGGCACAGTCTCAACTCACTGCAACCTCCGTCTCCTGGATTCAAGCAATTCTCCTGCCTCAGCCTCCTGAGTAGCTGAGACTACAGAGCACCCGCCCCATGCCCCACTGATTTCTGTATTTTTAGTATAGACAGGGTTTTGCCATGTTGGCCAGCCTGGTCTTGAACTCCTGACCTCAAGTGATCCACCCACCTCAGCCTCCCAAAGTGCTGGGATTACAGGCATGAGCCACTGTGCCCAGCCAGATATTTTGTTTTTGAGACACAGTCTCACTCTGTCGCCCAGGCTGGGGTGCAGTGGTGATCTTGGGTCACTTCAACCTCTGCCTCCCAGGTTCAAGTGATTCTCCTGCCTCAGCCTCCCGAGTAACTGTAATTACAGACATGCGCCACCACGCCAGCTATTTTTTGTATTATTAGTAGAGATGGGATCTCACCAGGTTGGCCCGGCTGATCTCGATCTCCTGACCTCAAGTAATCTGCCCACCTTGGCCTCCCAAAATGCTGGGATTACAGGCGTGAGCCACCGCGCCTGACCAGCATCCTGCAATTTTATTTGCTAAACATGGCAATGCTAAGGAGTCAGTAAATGCTTTCTGTTACAGGATTATAATAAAGATTCTAGGCTTTGTGGGATAAATGGTCTCTGTCACAACTACTCACTCTCCTACTGCAGTGTGAAGTGGCGCTAGGCAGTTCCTAACCTAACAGGCATGACTGTGTTTCAGTAAAAATTTATTGATAAAAACGAGTGGCTGGCTGGACAGGGACTTTGCTGGCCACTGCCCCAGTGGATCATCGTGGTGTATCCCACTTAGGAGACCCATGGCCTGTAAGAGAAGGGCTTGTATTTGCACAGTTCTCCAACAATGTGACATAGTGAAAAAATAAACTCTTATTTTTTCTGTGAGGGTTTCTGGTGGGGGCTGGTGAGTAGACAAAGGATGATAATGGCAACTCTTTTTATCATAGGAGTTATAAGAGGAGCAAAAGCATCTCTAAGACACGCTCATGCACACACGTACACACACAGAGTGCTGCAACCAAGATATCCACCAGGGTGGACCTGCATTTGGTGTGTCAAATTGAATGCTTCCCTTGCCCCAATTACTAGCGCTTCAATCGGCCAACTGGCAGCCATAACAACACATTAACCTTTTTGCCAAATCAATTTCACCAAGTCCCCTTCCAGCACTAGGAGAAATGAAACGGCGCCCCATGCCTGAAAGACGAGTGCTCTCTGCACACCACACACTGTGGAATCCCCCTCTACACGTGGAACTCTGAATTCTAGCTCCTAAACAGGGATCTTCTCATGGTCAGAGGGCAACGGAAATCAGTTTTCCAAGGCTGCCTTCCCTCCCTTCCGCAGCCAGCCGGGGTCCAAAGGTCCAAGCCAAAGGACGCTGCCAACCCTATTAGCAGAGCCATCTTCACAAATCACGTCAGCATTTACTGTGCTTCAAGAGAGGCTGCTTGATTTAACTCTCAGGAGCCCCCCGACGGGTAATTTCACTTAGAAGCACAGAGGACAGTGCAGGCAGCCGTCTGAGTCGCATCAGCATTGTAAGAACGCCTGAAGACTCCAGCCTTCCTGAGTCCCATTTCTTCAACTTCAGGCTGATGGTGCTGGAGCTCACTCTCTAAGAAATGGAGTTTTCAGGAGATGCAATTATTTTCAAACTCAGCAGTGCTACATGGCATGGGGCGAATGCAGAGAAGGGACCAAAGCAGGGCAGGTGGCAAAGGTGACCACAGTGGGGTCAGTTAGGTGGTCAAATGTGGTGACAGCAGGAGGCACACCACAGGGCTCGACTCCTGAGGCAATGTCTCCACCGGTGAGATAATTTAGAGAGAGTAAGTTGACTGAGTTCAATGTGTATATGCATCCTAGCAATAATAAATGCACAATTCTCTGACCCAGATTATTCAAAAACATATTTCCTGCTTCTTCTTCCATAATAAGGAATATCTGGGGTTTTTGTTTGTTTGTTTGTTTGTTTTTTGAGATGGAATCTCTCCCTGTTGCCCAGGCTGGAGTGCAATGGTACGATCTCGGCTCACTGCAACCTCCGCCTCCTGGGTTCAAGCGATTCTCCTGCCTCAGCCTCTGCAGTAGCTGGGATTACAGGCATGCACCAGGAAGCCAAGCTAATTTTTGTGTTTTCAGTAGAGACGAGGTTTATCCGTGTTAGCCAGGCTGGTCTTGAACTCCTAACCTCAGGTGATTTATCTGCCTCAGCCTCCCAAAGTGCTGGATTACAGGCGTGAGCCACCATGCCCAGCCAAGGAATTTCTTTACACTCAGCCCAGCCCTCTTCTTACCGACCTGTTGTCACCCAACCCAATTCCACAACCCTTTCCTAGAGCTTGGAGGAACCGAAGATGTGTAGTGTGCCTTCTGAAAGCACATGACATCCAATCACTGTTGGGTGCCTCCAAAATTGTTGGCTAAACATGATCCTAATGCCCTCTGCTGCGAGTGTTGGGAACGTCTGGGCACCAAAACCCAGTATGACCATCTTGCTTTGACCAAGCTGAACAAGCACCCTTCCATGAACCACAAACAACATGGCCTCCAGGATCACACTTTCATTCGGCAAACACAATTTTAGCCGGGTACTTAAGAATCCAGGGGAAAAGTCATGGTCCTAGCTCTGGGAACTCAGAAGTCACTCAGAGGTTACCACTGGCCTGCTGCAAGCTTCCTGTGACTTTGCAGCTATGGGGCACAGTGAGGAACCCTCTATTCCTTTATTCTGGTGGCAGAGGAAGTCTATCCAACCAGGAAACCATGGCTTCTAGTTGTTGAATTCTATCCTATCACCTACGTCTTCCTAGGGCCAGGACTAAATTGGCAGCATGAGAAGTTGCATTTAGGGGACCCCAGCAATGAAGGCAAATGATCAGCACTACTCTAATGGGTACAAAAATATGAAGAATGGAATGTGGCTTAAGGGACAATCTCTATCTACCTCCTACCTCTTAATATTAGGACTAGGAGACTGTGGCTTTGTGGTCAAGGCAATGGCTCTAGGGTTGCACAGCCCTGGTCTAACCAGCTGCAGCCTCTGTTCGCATTCACACCTGTCAAATGGGCACAGTCTCCCCGACCCGTCTCCTACACATTCTAGCCAGGAGAAGCAAATGCGATCAAGGAAATGAGGATGATTTAAAAACCACAAGCGTAACAAAAATATAAATGGCTGTTCAGGGACTAGATAATCCAGCAGTTGTTTTGAACAAACTTGCACTCTTCTAATAAAAGTGAGAAAAATACAGATATATTTGTATTTTAACATATGCCAATACTCCCAAAGGAGTGGAATTCTCATTATTTCAAAATTCTCTTTTTATATCGTGACACTTCATTGGCCACCTGAATCCAGATTTTCCTTTGTAAAACCCAGCATCATACACAGGGAGAATCTTCAAATGGCACATTACACATAAATATTGATTTTATGCCTAATTATTACCATACTGAAAAAACAATCATTGTGATTGCTCTGTTTCACCCAGACACAAGAGCACACCTAATATATAATATTAGAAAGGGGAAAAATTATCTACTCAACTCCAGCAGCTACTGAAATCTTAAAATGACTGCAGTCTCCTCTCAGTAACAACCTTCTGAACTTTTATGAGTCGGACACACACAAGGGCTTAAAAAATGTCACTTTACCTAATTGAACTGTTTTTCAGGAAGACATAATTAGAACCTCTAGCTTTCTGGAAGTGGGCAGCTGCCACTTAGGAGCCCACCTTGACTTGCTTATGGCCACAGAAGTCCACCGGGCTCTGACAGGGAAACCCCTGCTATGTTAAAACACATGGACTCATGTTGGTGCCTTTCTCTTGGGATGGGGAAAATTGATTAAAACAATAAATACTGATATAGGGAAATGACTGACTGGGAACTCATGGCCTTTGGAAGGGATCGGTGAGGGAATAAAGTGGCCCAAGGACAAACCACCCAGGACACACTCCAGAGTTTACAGGCTTCTCTTCTGCAAACACTCTGTAAAAGTTTCTGCCAGATGGGGGAAATCAGGTGAGGAAGAAAAAAATGGGACTCAGCAAAGGACCAGGACATCATCCATGATACCTAGATTCTTATACCCCTTTTCCTCTTTTAATATAACCCTGTAGACTGGGAGCTAAACTATGAGGATGCAAAGGCAGAAGAATGATACAATGGACTTTGGGAACTCAGGGAGAAGGGTGGGAGTAGGGTGAGGAATAAAAGACTACATATTGGCTACAGTATACACTGCCCGGGTGATGGGTACATCAAAATCTCAGAAATCATCACTAAAGAACTTATTCATGTAACCAAACACCACCTGTTCCCCCCAAACTTAATAAATACATATATAAGGCTGGGCATTGTGGCTCACACCTGTAATCCCAGCACTTTGGGAGGCTGAGGCAGGCGGATCATTCTGAGGTCAGAAGTTCGAGACCAGCCTGATCAACATGATGAAACCGCATCTGTACTAAAAAATATATATATTATATACATATATATACACATATACATACAAAAATTAGCGAAGTATGGTGGCGGGCGCTTGTAATTCCAGCTACTCAGAAGGCTGAGGCAGGAAAATAGCTTGAACATGGGAGGTGGAAGCTGTAGTGAGCCGAGATCATACCACTGCACTCCAGCCTGGGTGACAGAGTGAGACTCCATCTCAAATAAATGAATAAATAAATAAACAAAAATAAAGACAGATGAGCAAGGAACGACCAAAAAAATAGACATATAACCCACTAAATGTAATTATTTCAAGGGCCCCACTCATCACTCTGCAAACCTAGTCTCTTTATTGGAATCTGTTTTTTATGGGCTTCTGTGACTAAGGCAATAACGCAATACACAATAGCTATATGAAAACCATTGTGGGCCGGGCACATTGCCTCATGCCTATAATCCCAGCACTTTGGGATTCTGAGGCAGGGGAATTGTATGAGCCCAGGAGTTTGAGACCAGCCAGGGCAAGACGGTGAGACTCAGTGTCTAAAAAAATTTTTAAAAATTTAGTAATTAGTCAGATGTGGAGGCATGCGCCTGTAGTGCCCTCCCTACTCAGGACGTTGAGGTGGGAGGATCACTTCAGCCTAGAAGTTTGAGGCTGCAGTGAGCTAATATCACGCAACTGCACTGTAGCCTGGGGGAAAGAGACAGATCCTATCTCAGTAAAACAAAACAAAATAAAACAACAAAACAAAACAAGAAAGAAAGAGAAGAGAAGAAAAGGAAAACATTGTGTGCCATGGATACTCATGAATTTGATGATATGTGTGTTGTCACATGTGAGACTTTGAGACACCAACGGTGGTCAGGAGAGAGCAAAGGTGACTTTGGGAAGAAGCAGAAGCTGTTGGTGGCCTGGTCAGATCCCCTTTTAGCAGCTGCTGTGCCATTTCCTAGCTTTTGTGACCTTCTCTGGAAAATTTCACTTTGCTGGCATCCTTGTCCACCTTGCCCAAGACACCTGGCAACATACAGGTCCCCATGAGGATAGCCTATGACTGTCCGACACGAAGGTACCACAGCCCGGCCTTCTGGCCTCAAGCGGGTCAAGTTTGAGGTGTGATTTTTATTCCAGAGCCCCCCAAGGATAAACCTGAAGCCAGACTTCATTTGAGACCACATCTTCTCTTCACTTCTGTCTCCTTTCCTATGTTGTTTTCCTCACCTGTCACACATTTGTCCCAAGAACATTCCCTTGATAAAGCAAGCGAAGCCGAATCCCTGTCTTCATCTCTAGTCTGCACCACTCAACAAAACACAGGGTTCAGACAGTCAACAGAGGCCAGAATCGCTTGAGGTGGCACACTAGTTTTCTCACAGGTAAATTGGGAAGGCCCACCTATTCGGAGGTGAGAGAAAGAGAACACTGGGTATACGGTTTCTGGATAGACAAGAAGGGACTCAGATCCCTGGCCCTGTTGCAGAGAGCAGAAAGGTGTGGAGCATCCCCTGATTCACAAAGCCTTGACCAGATCCTCCACCTAAAGCAAGGCAGGGGGCAGGGGCCTTCAGTCAACAACATTCTAAAGTTAGAGTCCATTGGTACCATCATTGACATAGAACTAGTACTTGAGCCAGGCATCACGGTGGCCGTGGTGACGCCAGGAGAAGATGAAGAGGCCAGCAGCAGGGAGAGGAACTGTCTGCTGTCTCCTCATGTACAGGGCAGGCCCATGCCTGCAGACACAAAAAGTTGACTTGTGCAGGTATGCTCTGAGCATCTGTATGGCTGAGTATAAAACAGGAACACTCAGAGTTAACATCGGCATAAGTCCTCGAGTTCAAGCACGTCAAAACAGGATCTTGCCTCTGTATTAGTCAGGGTTCTCCAGAGAATCAGAACCATATTAGTGTGTGTGTGTGTGTGTGTGTGTGTGTGTGTTTGTGTGTGGTGTGTATGACATCTCTTATTGGTTCTGATTCTCTGGAGAACCTGATGACCAATGGATTGATAGATAGATAAAATAAGAAAAAGTCTCAAGATCCGCTATAGGCAAGGTGGAGAGCCAGGAGAACTGATGTGTAGTTTCAGTCCAACTCCAGCAAGATCAAAACACAAGAAATGCTGATGCTTCAGTTCAAGTCTGAAGGCAGGAAAAGACTGATGTCAGGCCAGACGTGGTGGCTCACCCCTGTAATCCCAGCACTTTGCGACGTCAAGGCAGGTGGATCATCTGAGGTCAGGAGTTCGAGACCAGCCTGGCCAACATGGTGAAACCCTGTCTCTACTAACAACACAAAAGTTAGCTGGGCATGATGGTGGGTGCCTGTAATCCCAGCTACTCGGGAAGGCTGAGGCAGGAGAATCGCTTGAACCTGGGAGGCTGAGGTTGTAGTGAGCTGAGATTGCGTCACTGCACTCCAGCCTAGCCAACAGAGCCAGACCCTATCTCAAAAAAAAAAAAAAAAAAAAAAAAAAAAAAAAAAAAAAAAAAGGACTGAAGTCCCCACCTGAGTCATCAGGCAGAAGGAGTTCTCTTTGAAGTAGGGTCAGTCTATTTGCTCTATTCAGACCTTCAGCTGATGAGACGAAGCTCAGGCACTTGAGAACAATCTGCTGTAATCAGGTGACTGATTTAAATGTTCACCTCACCCAGAAACACACTCACAGACACCCCAGAGTGATGTTTGACCAAACATGTGGGCACCCTGTGACTGGGACCTAATCAAGTTGAAACAGGAAACTAACCATCAGGTTCAGTTACACATAAACCAGCTCTGCTCTCAAGTTCAGTGAGGTCCAAGGTCTGAGGTCCCAGGTAGGTAAAGAAATGTCTCCCTTCACTAGAAATGTCAACCCGCAGACCGTAAGATTTAAGGACGCACAGGTTAAATAGGTTGATTCATGCAACAAACATTTACTATATTCCAATTAGGGCTATCATAGGGAAGGTGTTAGGGGCCAAACAGCGATATAAATATTGATGATAAATTCAGGACTCCTAAGCTTATATCTGAGGCTACCCTCCTGAGATGCATGTGGGGGAAAAATACTCCCTTTTCAGGTATCTTGCAATCCTTGCACTTATAAAAAAAACCAAGAGTCTCATTTTGATGTGTGTCTTTAACACCTAACATTCCAATTTCAGTCACTGGAAATCCTAAGTCTCTAACTAGAATTTAATACTACTCTTTTGCTTTAGTTTTCATTTTACGTGTGTGTATGAATAGATGGACGGATGGACGACTTATTTAGTTTTTTGTGTTTTTTTTTTTCCAGACAGGATCTTACTTTATCACCCAGGCTACAGTGCAGTGGCATGATCATGACTCACTGGAGCCTCGGCTACCTGGGTGCAGAGGATCCTCCCGCCTCAGCCTCCCAACTACCTGGGACCACAGGTGTGCCTCTATGCCTAGCTGTTTTATTTTTTGTAGAGATGAGGTCTCTGTACGTTGTCCAGGTTGGTCTCGAAATCCTGGGCTCAAGTGATCCTCTTGCCTTGGACTCCCAAAGTGCTGGGATGGCAGGCATGACCCACTGTGCCTAGCCTAGTTAGTTATTTTATTTACTTATTTTTTGAGACGGATTCTCACTCTGTCGCCCAGGCTGGAGTGCAGTGGCATGATCTCGGCTCACTGCAACCTCCACCTCCCAAGTTCAAACCATTCTCCTGCCTCAGGCTACCGAGTAGCTGGAACTACAGGCACACACCACCATACCCGGCTAATTTTTTTTTTTTTTGTATTTTCAGTAGAGATAGGGTTTCATCATGTTGGCCAGGCTGGTCTCGATCTCCTGACCTCGTGATCCGCCCACCTCGTCCTCCCAGAGTGCTGGGATTACAGGCATGAGCCACCATGCCCAGCCAGTTATTTTTTGAGACAAGGTCTCACTCTGTTGCTTAGGCTGGAGTGCAGTGGTATGATTGTAGCTCACTGCAGCCTCAACCTCCTGGGCTCCAGCAATCCTCCTGCCTTGACCTTCTGGGAAGCTGAGACTACAGACACACAACATCACACTCAGCTAATTTATTATTTTTTGTAGAAACAGTGATCTCCCTATGTTGCCCAGGCTGGCAGTATATTTATTTTCAGGGATCCTTTGTATTTATGGCAAATGATATTGCTCTTCTATTTACTTTAGTATTATAGAATCTTCTTTATAAATAGCTGTGCATAAAAACATAAGTAAATATGAACGTAATTAAAAACAAATGATGTAACAGCGGAGCAAATGGGACAAAAAAGGCGGAAGTTTGGGGAACATGGTTTTACATTATTAAAATGTGAAAACCGTAAAAGCAAAGAGGGGTAAAGGAATGGGTCCTGACAAAGACTAGAAAAGAAAAGACGAGAAGGAAATAAAGAGCCATCCACTCGAGCTCAGTAATGCTGTGACAACAGAATAAATGCCACTTCTTTACTCTTGCGAAACACAGCGCTTATTCTCAAGAAAGAAAGAAGTCAAACCTAAGGGAGATAATTCCTAAGCCCTGCCTAAGAGTTACAGAAATAATTACTTCTACCTGCCAGAGATTCCAAAACCATAAGAAAACAGTCCAGATAGGAGTATGCAATTTCCCCTTATTTACTTTTATTTTATTTAAATTAACCAAGGGAGTTGAGTCAAATTTCGGTGAATTCATATATGCCTGCACCTATCTAGGTGGTTAGTTAAGTATACAGTTTTAATTTCTGATAAATCTTAGCTAAGATTATTGATTAGAGCATAGCCCAGTTACCACATCTTTATCAAATTACCCAAAGACTTTGAAGTGTAAATCTACCACATGCGCTATTCATGAATTCTGTGGGTCAGCAATTTGAATATGGCACAAAGGGGACAGTCAGCCTCTGCTTCACAGTGTTTGGAAACTGGAATCATCTGAGGGCTCAGTTGTTGGCTTCCTATCTGATGACTGAAGCTGACTATGACTGGCGGCCTCAATTCCTCTCTATTTGGGCCTCTCACGGTCTTCCTACCTACGCTAGATTGAGTTTCCTCATGGCATGGTGGCCAAATTTTGAGGGTAAGCATCCCATGAGTGAGAGACACAACCAGACGGAAGCAGGATCATCTTTTATGACCTAACTTCAAGAGTCTGCAGCGTCACCTGTACCATATTCTACATAGTAATAAGTAAGTCAGTAAAGGTGGCCCAGATTCAAGTTTTGGGGTTGGGGGCTCACACCTGTAATCCCAGCACTTTTGGAGACCACGGCAGGAGGATCATTTGAGGGCATGAGTTTGAGACTAGCCTCACCAACATAGCAAGACCCTTTCTCTACAAAAAGTGTTTTGTTTGTTTGTTTTTTTAAATTCACTGGGCATGGTAGTGCATACCTGTTGTCCCAACTACTCAGATGGCTGAGGCAGGAGGATCAATTGAGCCCAGAGTTCAAGGCTGCAAAGAGCTGTGAAGGCACCACTGCACTCCAGCTTGGGCTATAAAGCAAGACCCTGTCTCTCAAAAAAAAAAAAAAAAAAGAGAAAGAAAAAAAATTGGCATTGGGGAGTGCTATTAGACTTTAGTTTTTGTTGCATGTTATAAAACAACTGCAGAGTGGATTCATGACAGGGAACTACTGCCCAGTCTGCACCCTGGCCTTATCCGCTTCTTCTTACAGGCTTTCCAGTCAATAATGATCATGACGATGCTTGATCATACACATGAGTACTTGAATGCAAAGCTGAAGTGCTTCATGCCATCTATTCTGAATTTCAAGGTACTGATCTTCACAACCGAAAAAGCCCAAATAAACGAGGAAATAAAGAAGGTAAGAAAGGGATAGATAAGAAGGAATGAAAGGAAAAAGGAATTAACAAAGGGAAACAAGAAAGAACAGAGGCTTATATTCCTTCTCTTTGTAACAAGTCTATGTTGAAACACTGAAGATTCAAAGGGATCAGTGCAGAAAGATTTCCCAAGGAGCCGTAGTATTAGTGTGCATCTTTGAAGTCATGCAATCTATAAAAAGGTGCGGAAATCATTCAGCCTCTACCTGAAAAAGCAGAGGAATTGGCAGCTTCATGTGAGCGTGCCTCTGTGCTCTAAATTCTTACCTCGGGTCTAACCTTGGACACATCACACTGCCATGTCAAGTACCAGGCCCTGTCTTTAATTAATACAGATAATGAAATATTAGCCACGGTCTCAGTTGCCCAAGAAGAGTTAGAACTCCTTGGCTTACACAGCCCAGTTAAACCAGATTCACTCAAAAAACAAAAGCAAGCAATTTCCCACCCATGACATCAAATAAAATCAACATTTTCTTAAATCAACACTAAACATAATGTGTTGGATAGTACGGTAACATCAATATCAATGGCTCTGCAGTTGATTTGATACTGTAAGTTGAGTTACTTTGTTAATGATAATAATGTATTATTCTAGGGGAACAAACAAAGTGATCTGAATTTTTAAATCACTACTCAGTTTCTGCATCTCCTGTGGCTGCTAAGTTGCCAAGATTCCTGGTGGTTCCCTAATGGAAATGACTCTCCACATTCCAAGTGATAAGCCACAAGAGAAAACTGTGTCACTTTTTTTTCCTAAAAGATTTATTTCTCCTGAGGCTGGGTTGGTGGTTTATACCTGTAATCCCAGCACTTTGGGAGGATAAGGAGGGAGTATCGCTTGAGCCCAGGAGTTCAAGACCATCCCGGGCAACACAGCAAGACCCTGTCTCTACTTAAAAAAAAAAAAAAAAAAAAATTGCCGGGCGTGGTGGCATGCACCTGTGGTCCCAGCTACTTAGGAGGCTAGGTTGGGTGGATCATTTGAGACCAGGCGGTTGAGGCTGCAGTGAGCTCAGATGGTGCCATCGCACTCCAGCCTGAGCAAGACTCTGTCTCAAAAAACAAACAAACAAACAAAAGATGTATTTCTCCTGGACTCATGTGAATGATGAGTCCTAGGAAATATCTTACCTATAGAGCTAGTGTGCCTGGTACATCCCAGCACGTGGCTTATATGATAATGCTGGAAGGAAGGAAATGGGAAGAAAAGGAAGGAGGCAGAGAGGGAAGGAGGCAAGGAAGGAGGAAAAAAGGATGGGACAGTAAAATTGAGGTACTAACGTCGTTCATAAGATCATCCTGACAGAGACGCTTTTTGGGAAGCAACTTGACCATATGTAACCAGAGCTTTAAAATAAAATAGAACAAAATTTTATATTCTTGCCCAAGTAGTTTCATTCCCTAAAGCTAAGGAATCCTTAAGCGTTTATAGCAAGGAGTAAAACACCATCACCACCATGTACACAACTAAAAAATGGATATATCAAAGTCACTGTTACTTATCATAAGAAACAACTGGAAGTAACACAAGGATGATGTTGCAAGGTGGCAGCTTCGAGGGATGAGGAAACTATGACCTTCGATTGCTCTGGATCTGGCATTGCACTGTGTCTGTTTACATTCATAGTCTTGTTTAAATCTAAATAGAGCCCTGTGGGTTTGGGACCACAGTGGTTTCACTATCAGGAAGAAAGCACTGCATAGCAGGTTCAGGCCTCAAAACTGTAGGTTCAAATCCTGTTTCTGACCCTTAGCAGCTGAGGGACTTCAAGCAAAGCCCATTTGCATTAGTTTGCTATGTCTGCTGTAACAAATTACCACAAACTGGGTGCCTACACACAACAGAAACTTGTTCTTTTGCAGTTCCGGAAGCCAGAAGTCCCAAATTAAGAGTTAGCAGGACTGTGCTTCCTCCAGAGGCCCTGGAAGAGATCTTCCAGTATCTCTTCCAGCACCTGATGGCTCCAGGCATATCTGAGCTTGTGGATGCACAACTTCACCCTCTGCCTTTATCTTTGCATGGACTCCTCCTCTTCTGTCTTTCTCAAATCTCCCTCTGACCTTCTTCCATAAGGATGCTTGCATTCTACAAAGGCACTTTTTCCAAGTAAGGGCATATCCACGTGTTACAGGAATTAGGATGTGCATGCATATATATATTTATTTTATTTTTATTTTTACTTTTTTTTTTTGAGGCAGGGTCTTGCTCTGCTGCCCAGGCTGGAGTGCAGTGGTGCAATCATAGCTCACTACAGCCTCAATCTCCCAGGCTTAAGCAATCCTCCCACCTCAGCCTCCCAAATAGCTGGGACAACAGGCATGCACCACGATGTCTGGCTAATTTTTTATTTTTTTTACGGATAAGGTTTCACCATGTTGGCCAGGCTGGTCTCGAATTCCTGAGCTCAAGTGATCCGCCTGCCTCAGCCTCCCAAAGTGCTGGGATTGCAGGCATGAGCCACTGAAACCAGCAGGATGTCTTTAGGGATATCTTTGGTGGGGCGGGATATCTTTAGGGGGATGACCCTACAAACCACTACACTTTTACTAAAGCCAACGTTTCTCACTTAGGAAATAAAGTCCATCCTAATCCTCTATCTCTCCACACCGTTGGAATGACTAAATTAGGTGATCTATGCATAGTTTGTTATTCTTGTGACCTCCATGTAACAAGGAGGAAACTCCAACACAAGGTTTAAGTGACATACCTGAGGTCCCATAGCATATTAGCAGCTGAGTGTAGACAAGGACACAATGTCACTTAACTCTCTTTACAAGGAAGATTGTTTTCCCTCTTGGAATCATAGGATGTGAAAACTGGAAAAGGCTATACAGATCATGTAGACCTGTGGTTGTCAAAGTGCAGTCAAGGGACCCTCAGGGATGTCTCTGAGACCCTTCCAGAAGCTCTGTGAGGTCAAAGCTCTTTTCATCAGAATGCTAAGGTGTCACTTGACTACTTACTTGTATTCTTTTACAACTAGACAGCGGAGTTTTTCAGAGGCCACATGCCATGTGATATCACAAGAGACTGAATGCAGGAAAAGAAGTGAGAATCTGGCTGTCTTCTAGGGAACCAAGCACTGGAGAAGAAATGTAGCACAACGCCACTTTTCTCTTTGTTTGAAAATATGGTTATATTTTATAGAAATGTTATCCATGGCCAGGTGTGGTGGCTCCTGCCTATCATCATCCTAGCACTTTGGGAGGCCAAGGCGGGAGAATCGCTTGAGCTCAGGAGTTCAGTTTGAGACCAGCTTGGGCAACACAGTGGGACCCCATCTCTACAAAAAATACAAAAATCAACTAGGTGTAGTGGCATGTGTCCGTAGTCACAGCTACTCAGGAGGCTGAGGCAGGAGAATCACTTGAACCCAGGAGGTTAAGGCTGCAGTAACCTGTGACTGGGCCACTGCACTCCAGCTTGGGTGACACAGTGAGACCCTTTCTCAAAAAAAAAAAAAAAAAAAAAAAAAAAGGAAGGAGGGAGAGAGGAAAGAGGAAGGGAGTTATCTATGTTCACTTGTAATAGGTTTCTTACTTATAAACGAATTAATAAAGAATTTGACTATTTCTATTTTAATTT
The DNA here is from genome assembly GCF_000001405.40 of Homo sapiens. Lineage (NCBI taxonomy): Eukaryota > Metazoa > Chordata > Mammalia > Primates > Hominidae > Homo > Homo sapiens. The sequence continues at coordinate 78,727,947 of NC_000016.10, read as the reverse complement.
CTAGTATGATAAATATCAGTAAAAATGACCCAGATAAACAAATGCTATTTTGGGTCCTGGATAACTACTAAGAGTTTAGAGTCCTGATACCAAAATATCCAAGAAGCACTGATGTAGAGCAAGGCAGGCACATAGGTAGGACACACTCTACCATTCCCTGTCTCACCACCAGGGAGACAAGGAGCTGACCTCTCCCATGGAGTCCAATCCCCAAGTCCAAAGTCCTCCCCACACAGCACTACTATTAGCCTTTCAGTTGTTACTGAAAGAAGCTTGACATAAGGGAAAAAGAAGAATTTAAGGGAAAGGTATGAGAGAGTTCAAAGAATCGAAGGGAATGTTTCATGAACTACAGCAGTAGCACCAGGGCCCCCACGGACTGGAACTCAGGACCCAGACCTTGTGTCCCTCCTTTCTTTCTCATCTCTGCTTTCACTGGGACTCGCTATGGGCTAGGAAACACGTACCCTGGCAGTTCTGTGGTGATGTATTCAGATCACCAGGACCAGAGGACAGTGTCAAAGGCACGCTGATGAGGACCCTCATTTGTTTTGTTTCGCTTTGAGATGGAGTCTTGCTCTGTCACCCAGGCTGGATCTCAGCTCACTGAAACCTCCGCCTTCCGGGTTGAAGTGATTCTCCTGCCTCAGCCTCCCTAGCAGCTGGGATTACATGCGTTTGTCACCAAACCCAGCTAATTTTTGTATTTCTAGTAGAGACAGGGTTTCACCATGTTGGCCAGGCTGGTCTCAAACTCCTGACCTCAAGTGATCTGCCCACCTTGGCCTCCCAAAGTGCTGGCATTATAGGTGTGAGCCACTGTGCCCCACTGGGCCTCATTTTTCATATTCCATGGATGCATTCTGCATGGTCTGCCAAGGGCACTGGGACTGGCGATGCCACGTGCTGGAATAAGGCAACTTACACCACGGAAGATGTAGAGGGCTGCTCTCAGGAAAAAGGAAAAGCACATTGGGATGACCAAAAACACAAAAGCTCAGCACTGTGCAGACAGCCCTAACAGGTTAGAGCCACCCACGGAAATGATACCCAGTGACCATTTCAACTCCCGACTCAGCTCCCCTCAACTCTCATTGTACAGATGAAGAAACTGAAAGCCTCCTATTTCCATAGAACTATTCTGGACTACCTCCTCATTGCCCCATGCAACTCTCACCACAGAGGGAAATTCAACCACAGCATCCCCTGGCAAAAAAAAAAAGGAACAAAACAAAACAAAACCAACCAACCAACTAACCCTAGGGCTTTACATAAAGCCCTAATAAATTGTTTAGTTGACTCCCTTCCTCCATTAATTGCTCAAATAAATTGTTTAGTTGACTCCCTTCCTCCATTAATTTACCTACTATCCCATGGGGGAACAAAAAGCACTACTGTGTATTGAATTAAGATAGGCTGGGTGCAGTGGTTCATGCCTGTAATCTTAACACTTTGGAAGGCTGAGGGAGGAGAATCCCTTGAGGCCAGGAGCTTGAAACCAGCCTGGCCAACACAGGGAGACCTCCCCGCCCCGTCTCCACAAATAATTTAAAAATACGCCACGTGTGGTGGTGCATACCTGTGGTCCCAGCTACCCGGGAGGCTGAGGTGGGGAAGATCACTTGACCCCAGGAGGTTGAGGCTGCAGTGAACCGTGATCATGCCACTGCACTGTAACCTGGGTGACAGAGCAAGACTGTTTCCAAAAAAAAGAAGAAAAAAGGAAGGAAGGAAGAAAAGAAGGAAGGAAGGAAGGAAAGAGAGAGAGAGAGAAAAGAGAGACACAGAAAGAGAAAGAGAGAAAGAGAAAAAGAGAGAGGGAGAGAGGGAGGCAGAGAGGGAGGGAGGGAGGGAGGGAGGAAGAGGGAGGGAGGGAAGGGAAGCAGGGAGGAGTAAAAGTAAGAAAGAAGAAAGGAGGAGAACTAGAAGGAGAACAAAGAGAAGAAGAAGGAGAAGGAGGAGAAGGAGAAGGAGGAGGAGAAGAAAAGAAAGGAAAAGGGAAGAGGAAAGAAAAGGAAAGGAGAAAAAAGAGAAGAAAAGGAGTAGAGACAGAGAGACCCAATGTGAATGACATGCAGCGACAAAGGCAGATTGGAGTGATGCACCTACAAGCCAAGGAACACCAAGCACCGCCCGCAATGCCAAAAGCTAAGACAAAGGCATGGAGTAGATCATCCCTGGAGCCTTCAGAAAGAACGTGGCTGTGCTGACACCTTGATTTTGGACTTCTCACTTTCAGAACTGTGAGATGATACATTTCTGTTGTTTTAAGCCATCCAACCCTAAGAAACCAATTTTATTACTTTGTTTTAATGCTGCTGATAAAGACACACCTGACTTTGGGAGGCTGAGGCGGGTAGATCGCCTGAGGTCAGGATTTTGAGACCACCGTGACCAACATGGTGAAACCCCATTTCTACTAAAAATACAAAATTAGCCGTGCATGGTGGCAGATGCCTATAATCCCAGCTACCTGGGAGGCTGAGGCAGGAGAATCGCTTAAATCCGGGAAGTGGAGTTTGCAGGGAGCCCAGATTGCACCACTGCACTCCAGCCTAGGCAACAAGAGTGAAACTCCATCTCAAAAAAAAAAAAAAAAAAAAGAAAAGAAAAGAAAAGAAAAAAGGAAAAAAAAAGACATACCTGAGACTGGGTAATTTATAAAGAAAAAGAAGTTGAATGGACTCACAATTTCACGTGGCTGGGGAGACCTCACAATCATAGTGCAAAGCGAAAGGCACATCATACATGGCAGTAGGCAAGAGAAAATGAGAGCCAAGTGAAAGGTGTTTCCCCCTTATAAAACCATCAGATCTCATGAGATTCATTCACTACCCCAAGAACAGTATGGGGGAACCACCCCCATGATTCAATATTCTCCCACCCGGTCCCTCCCACAACATATGGGAATTATGGGAGCTACAATTCAAGATGAGATTTGGGTGGGGACACAGCCAAACCATATCACCAATAAAGTGCATTAATGCAACAAGCACCTGTAAAATACCTGCTACGTACCTGGAATCACTACTAGGTGCTCAGCCTCCAGAGATGCAAGGAAAAACAAAGCAACACAATTGCCCTTGAGGAACTCTTAGAGGTAAGAATCAGATGGAGATATGTCTGAAAAACTACACACACACACACAACTTCATCAAATCATCAAATCACTGCTCCCCAGAAAATGTCTCCTTCAGGGTTCAGGAGATGGTTAATATTTATTCAGAGCTTACAGAGTGCGAGCTTCAATCTCAAGGGTGACGAGCTGATTTTGATGTAAACTGAGAGGGAATTGCATGGAAATGTTTTCCCAGCTCTGGGGATTCTTGTCATTTCACTAGGGGACTACACATAAGTGGGTCAATGTCCCCAAATTCCCCTCCTAAATAACATAAGGACTGTAAATAATGGACTGTAATAATGTCGATAAAGAACTATAATAATATCAGTAACCGTAAACATTTATTATAATGATAATGCAATGTGCTAAAAGCTGGGGGTGCAATGTGCTAAAAGCCATTTACCTTAACTTCTTCTGGAACAAGGAAAAGCAGGAATGAAGGAAAAAAAATATTTTAGGAGTTGTTGCTAAAGGTCACATCAATGAAAACTGTCTCTTTTTTATGCAAGTTAATCACAGAGATAATGAATCCAACTACTGTATTTTACCAAATGGGGCTTTTTTCATTGCTGGTAACCAGAGGCCCTAGAAGACTGCTCAACCTGTGACAGGTACTCACTAAAGATTTAATTACAGGTTATAAATGACGGAGTGAGATATGAACCGGGATGTGGCAAAGACTGGCTAAATAGTCACTACTCCCATTTTCCTCCTCGTCCTGCACATCCTGAATTTTTGCCAAGGTAAAGAGGTTGGATCTGAGATATGCTGCTTCCAGTCCTGGCCCAGAAAACATGTAGTCCTATGCATCCTCTCCCGCTCCTGCTGAGCCTGAATCAGAGGGTACCATGGAGGCCATGGGGGGATGGATGGTGAAACCACTGTGCAGGTGAAGTCTAGGTCCTCAAATAATCCAAACTAGACTGTCTTTGGGGCTATAAACAAATCCTCATTTTTTACAGATTAAATGTGAAATCACTGAAATTTGGGGGTTATCTGTTACATCAACTGCTTAGTCTGAGTGATACGAGAACAAGAAGCAAGTTCCATTTTTGACCTTGGCAGAGGTGGGAAAGCAATAAAGAACTGTCAGGAGTGAACCCAGAGAGCACTCCAATGCCCGGATTAGCAGAAAGCTTTCCAACATTACAGGATGCTCTCAGAATCCCGAGAGGTAGAAAAGAAAAGAAAAGAAAAAAGAAAAGAAAAGAAAAGAAAAGAAAAGAAAAGAAAAGAAAAGAAAAGAAAAGAAAAGAAAAGAAAAGAAAAGAAGGCTGGGAATCAAGGTAGAAGAAGTGTGGGAGTAGAAGAAGGTAGTAGAAGATGAGGCTGGAAAGAGAGAAACATGCAGATAAGAACAAGGTAGCAGACTTCTGTTGTGGCTTCAGTTCATTTATAATAATAGCTTGGCACCATCAGGGCATCTTGTGGTCACTCCGCCTTCTCCTGCCTCACTTCTCATAGGGGAAGGCTCTTTAGCAAAAGCCACGTTGACAGACACTGACCCCAAGGCAAGAGACCATGCTTCATGATGCTGGGAGTTTTCAAAAGCTTCCCAGGTGATTCTAAAATGTTGCAGTGGCATAAACTTATAATATAAAGAAGAAAATAAGTATTCTGTAGCTGCTAAGAAAGCCTGACAATCAGAGGGAAATGTTCTATTAACGAACACAAGCGGCAGGCCAGCAGTTGACGGGATGATCTTTCACTTTTACTCAATCAGCCTTAAGGTAGTTTAATCCAGGTACTCATCATTCCTGGCTTCCTCACATCATTTTCTTTTTTGAGACAAAATCTTGCTCTGTCACCCAGGCTGGAGTGCTCCAGTGTGATCATGGCTCACTGCAGCCTCTAACTCCTGGGCTCAAGCAATCTTCCTGCCTCAGCCTCCCAAGTAGGTGGGGCTACAGGCGTGAGCCACTGCGCCTGGCTAATTTTTATACTTTTTGTAGACATTAGGTTTTCATTATGTTGCCCAGACTGATCTTGAACTACTGGGCTCAAGCAATCCTCCTGCCTTGGCCTCCTAAAGTGCTGAGATTACAGCCATGAGCCACCACACCCAGCTCTTCACAGGATCTTCTATTCCTTTGTTTATTTAGAGGAAAAAAAAAAAAAAAAAAAAAAACAGAGACAAACTACAGTTCCTTTAAATCATGCTCCAGTTACATCCCTCTTCTACTCTTGTTAGTCTTTCCATTATACCTACCAGGGGATAAGCTCACATAGTCATCACACAAATTCTACAGCTACTGGAGGGGCAGAAAAACTCCTCGCTTTGTACTCTTACTGAACTCCATGAAATAAAATATGATCATAATCACAACAGATACCACTACTTACTGGATGCTTCCTATGTGACAGGAACTATGCCAAGTACTTGACAACTGCTGCTCATTTCATACGGTCACTTTTCAGCTATTTTCTCCATCACTGAATCCTTAAACACACCCATGAGTTAGATACTGCGATCTCCATTTTACAGATGAGAAAACTGAGACCAAGAGCCTTGAGTAAAGATGCTCAAAGTCACTTGAGAAAACTGGTAAGCGCCAGAGCTAGGACTGAACCCCAAGTCCGTCTGAACCCGGAGTCAGTGACCATAACTACTACAGGAGCTGCGGTCATCGTGCCTTGGTGTCCTCTACTGGACAGACAGGGAGTGAGCCACGTGCTGGTCATTTCCTTGGTCTCCTTTGGGACTGGAATGTCAGGATCATGACCTTAATCAAGGCACGTAAAGCAAAATATAATACAAAGTCTTAGCTTCTTGATTTAAGCAAGTATTAATATGCAAAATACCACCTTCTAGAAAAAAAGAAAGTGCCTGGATGCTAATTTAATACTTTACATACATGGCTGCTTAATAGGCAAAAAGTAGCAAAGGAAAGTCACATTTACAAAGTTGGGTTTCCTGAGATTGTGACATTATCGACAATTCCAGCTCCTACGCACGTGTGCGTTTGCTCTGCCAACCTCTTCATATGGACAAAAAGTTGGGCCTCTTTATTCGTAGGAAAGGAAGTCGGGGGTATCTTCGGAGCACCTGCTATGTACCTGGCCCTGTGTATGTAATCTCTCATTCGATTCCCAGAAAAACTCTGTGAGGATGCTACTGGCCAGCCAATATTTCCGAGAGGCTCAGGCAGGTCAATTTATTTCTTTAAGGTCACACAGCCAGTGACGGAGGAATCAAATTTCAAAGCACATGTCCTGCTTTATAAAAAATATTTCTAACACAAGTGGTTCAGGCTGCCCTAGGCTTACCATTGATGACTTCTAAAGAAGAGCAAATACTCTGGTTCCCCCAGCCCACAACCCCGCCACCAGCAATAGAGTTTCTGTCTGATGGCTGAACACTTTAGAGAACACTTTGTCTGACAGCTGAATACTCTCCAGCCGACAATATGTTCATACAATAAGAATAATTGTTGTCACTACACAGATTTTTAAATACAGACCTAAAAATTAAACAGTAAATGTAAATGGTATTATGATATCTTTAAAGCCTGAAGAAGAAAAGGGGGAAATAGAATAATGGAAAGAAGTAGTTCATCACCTTCATCATGAAAGCTACTTTTTTTCTTAGACATGGGGCATATCAATTAAAGATACTGTAGAAAGTATAATGGCCTATAATATATTTATGGCACTTGCCAATTGTGGGACATATCCCACGTGGTATCCACATCATGAAAAACAGTTTATGGAGATTCTGGGCTAAGAGATTTATATAAATATATATCTACAAGTGATCACCAATAAACGACCTCAATCTTATAGACTAATAAGAATGCAGGAGTTGGCAATAGTAAATTCACCAGCTGAAAGGCAACTCTCCAGGCACGGTGGTGATTAGCGTCCACTTGGCTCCCCTGATGATGGAGAAGTGCTCTTGGTTTCATCCTGAGGATGGGGGAGGAACTTATCTTTTAGTTAGGACCAAATTAATTTTAATCCATCTTTGTAGCTCCTGTCTAATTTCTTCTCTCCCCAAGAAAGTATCTAATGTACTTTTGGAGGAAGGCACTTGGGCACTGCTTGTATAATAGAGTTTGAGAATAACCCTAAATTCTAGAAGAGACAAGCAGAGACCGGTGGAAATTTATAGTGTAAACCACGCTTGCAGAATCATAAAACTCGGGTGTTTTCTGTTATATAGTCAGAGCCTCATATTCAATTCAAGGGTCAAGAATGTGAAATGCTGGCAGGTTTCCTAGGACAAATATGGTGGTCTGAAATCCTGAACATCTGGCTCTGTCTCTCACAGACACATTATGATATAAAATCCTGAAAGAGAGTAACTGGGTCCTAAGGATTTTTTCCAGAAGAAAAGTGTCATAAAAAAAAAAGAAGAAAAAAAAATAACATTGCAAATTGGGAATTTCAAAATATAAAATGATGTATAAGTTTTTAGTTTTCGTGTTAACAGATCTGACCATTGGCAAGCAAAATTTCTTGTGAAAAGAAAGAAAAATAATTCTTTCTTGTGAAAAGAAAGAAAAATAATTCAGAAAGATCTATATAACCGTCAGGTTCAGATGATTAAGATTCCCTTGTTTCACACACGCGCACATAATCTTCAAGTCTATCAGACGAATCACAGTGGGCCTTAAGTCTTACTGGTAGGGTCTAAAAGAAGCACATCAATTTTCAAACACTCACCATTTAAAATTAGGGCAAGAAGGAATATTGTCAGTAAGACCAAGAAGCAAGAGTGAGGCATTTCAACTTGCAGAATAACAATACGATTAAATTGAAATCGTTGTTTTCTGAAAACAGTCATTTCATAAAATGTACAGTAACGCTTTTATATGTAAATTATCTAAACTGAAAAAAACCTTCCACTTTAAATTGAATTGAGACTAGCTTAGAATAGAACACTTTGGTGAAAACGTGCTTAAAATGAATAAAACTGCAAAGGGAAACAAATAATATTTTGCAGAAAAATACTGCCAATAAATGCTGGGTTTTCTTTCTTTCCCGTCATGTATTTGTTTGTTTTTGATTGGTGTTTGTTATAATAAGAGAAAACATAATACCCCTGGTTACAAATTCATTCTTAACTTGATGAAGCTTAAAGTTAAGTGATATTTTCCATTTGGTAAATTACAAATGTTACTAATACATTTCAGAGGAAATAAGTATATATGAAAATTACTAAACCAGTGTAAGACAGAGCAATCTAACTTACCTGACTAGCTTATTAAAAAGGCTCTTCCAAAGCATTGAGGGGTCTCTTTTCTTTTAAGGTAACCTTAAAGTCCCCCTTCTCCTTCTTAATTAACGACACACTTGTCTCCTATTTATTCGCATTTCATCTAGACACTCCTCCTTCCAGGGCCATCATAACATTTCTCGACTTTTTCAGTGCACATGTGACAGTCCACCCGAAATTGTGCATGCCTGTAAGGCAAGCTTCTGATTATTGTTTCTTCTTGGATCCCACATCACCTGACAGAAGATTTAGCAAATGGTGGTCTCACGGGAGGAATGAGCAGGGATGGTTAATGGGGCTTCCACAGGGAAGGCTCCCCAGAATAACCCTTCAGCCATGGTCACCCGTTTTGTGTGGAAGTTCGTATGCCAGGCTGTGTGCTAAACACATTACCTGCACTGACTGTTTCTGTTGATCAGGTTCAGGCAAGAAAACAGGCTTTGGGAAGAAAGAGATCACCCACAATCACACAGATGATACATGATGGGCTTGGATTTGAAACCAGTTGTGCGTCATGAGGGGCTCATAGTCTTCACCAATACCCTTTAGCTCTGTTGGAACTAAGTTCTACTTGTCCCTTCACCCACCTAACCCCCCTGCTACCAAGAGTGCCTGGGATCTTACAGACTCAAAAAAATGTGAATGAGTGGTTAGTGCAGATTATTTCAAGAGAGCCCCAGATGCCATGTTCTTTAGGTCATGAGTCAGCCCCATCCACCCCTCCCCAATTCTTCACCTTTACCTCCTCAGTCACATCCATGCCTTTATTCATGTCTCCTCCAAAGGAACCAATAGAATAATTCCTGGCATATATTAGTGTCTCAATAAATATGTGTCACCTAAATGAATACTTCTTTTAAAAAAACATCCTTCAGAAACATTGGAACTCTCCTAAGCTATCTAGGTAGTGTCTCACTATGTTGGCCAGGCTGGAGTGCTGTGGTGTGATCATAGCTCAGGGTAGCCTCAAAATCCTGGGCTCAAGGGATCCTCCCACCGTCACCCTCCAGAGTACCTAGGATTAGAGGCATGGACCACCCATGCTTGGCTCAGTGTATTAATTTTCTAAAAGATAAATTTTTCTGACTGGCAAATTCATTTTTATTGAACATCATGTGTTCTACTCAAATATGGGAAAGAGAACCCTCCTATTCAGTTATAAAGTTTGGCTCCAACTCAAGTGAGCAAAAAAACATTAAATTTATTTAACTCCAAATACTATAAAAACACAATGATAACTTCTGAGCTAGTCGTTTTTTTAAATTTTTTTGGCACCACAATAATTCTTTTATGATGGTATCCAGTGAGAATCCCTCACGGACTTTTCTCTTAACATGGAAATGCATATGGTCTCTGTGGTACAACAGCTGTGTAACTACATAATTGTTTACAAATGTGCAAATTAAGTACCCAAACCAATAAAAAATAATAACTTGGGCAGCCATAAAAAAGAGATACTATAAACATGCAATGGCCCATACTTTCTCTATAAATAACCGTTGAGGCAAAAATACAACCACCAGAACCCCTTGTTTGAAATCCCCTTCCATAAAGCAAATAACGTTTGCAGTCTGGCAGGCTAATACCATTGTGCTTTCCCAAGCAAAAATGCTTATTAACATTTATCATTTAGATGCCATTAAAGTAACTGTAGTAAAAGTGGATCCATTTACAATAAGACACTTGGTGTTGGGTCCACTATGTCGTGAATAGGTTTCAAACCAGTACACAGCTCCTTCCTCATCACCAAACAGGTGGGAAAGACAGAGAGGGAAATATAAATAGCAGGAAGGAGAAAAACCACAGGGCATCCTTCTAAATATGTTCCCACCTACCTCCATCCTAATCCTCGATTAGATCCATCAGAGTCCAACCCAAAGGAAGCCGGCATTGGAGTATCAAAGAAGCAATGAAGTCTTGCCCTTCAGTGCCTCTTCTTGGAAAACCCCTCTTTCATTCCATTCTGTCTCCTCCGTGTGTCTGGGGAAACTCCTATTCATTCATCAAAACCCAACTCATTAATCTCTTCCACCAGGAAACCTTCTTTGTCCACCATCAAAGAGAGCAAATCACATCCTTCACAGCAGACCCTTCCAACAGTTCATATACTTAATACACATTTGTTGACCACCTACCAAAAGCCAAGCACCACTGTTCAAAAGGTGCTAAAGCCATAGCAATGAACAAGATAAGGAGCTCAGTCTATAAGTCAATGAATATATACAGTGTAATATTAAGCAGGATTGTATTACATTATTTCAATTACATTATTGCAAGTTCTGCACTTATTGTAATTATTATGCTGTCTCTCCCAGTAGGCTCTTAACTACTGGATCTCTATATTCCATGGTTTTCCAATTTAGCAATGCTTAATGAATTGATTTAAATTAAATTTAAAAAACACACTTACTCTTGGTATAGTCTAGGTCAACCACTAAGCCTGGGGAGACAGACTAGATTTACACAGAGCACCTCTGTTCTCAGGGAGCTTACAGCCATCTCTTGGAATAATCACTGTCATCACCATGTGATGAAGCCATTTACCCTTTTAAACTTTTCAGAGAAAACATTACTTTCTGTTGTCCTCACAGACAACCATGGGAGGTGTTATTAGCCTAATTTTACGACTGAGAACATCAAGACATTCCTTATCCTCTGATCTTGGGAAAGGGGGCAGGATATGCCCTTTTGAAACTGAAAATAAGATAATAAACATGAAGCCAGTGAGATCAGGTAAAGCAAACCTGGCTGAAGCTGCACACAGCTGTGGTTGCGTAGGGAGGGTAAGCTCAGGCTATGGACCAAGACAATGCTGGGCCACGTTTCTCCAGGACTATAAGGAAGATCCTGCAATTCGAATAGAGACGCTTTTTTTTCTGTTCCACACCTCTAAGAAAATCTCTCTGGAGGTGGTCCCATGATTCTCCTTGGGTGTGATGTCACCCAAGGAGCAGCACAGTGAGAGGAGCGTTATCACAGAACCTATAGAGATGAGGGTTATCACAGAACCACACGAACTTGCCTGGCAGGGGCTGGGAAGACACTGGCATGGAGTACACACAGGTGACATAGGGACCCAAAAGTGAGGGCATCCCCTAAAATAAGCAGTGCATCATCTTCCTCTGCCAAATAACACTCATCTTGAAGGGCAGGCAGCATTTGGCAGGAGCATTCATCCCTAGGGTTGCTGCAGAAAGCTACTGCACACTGGGTGGCTTAGAACAGCAATGTACTCTTTTGCAGTTGCGGAACCCAGAAGTCTGAAATCAAGGTGTCAACAGGGCCACATTCCCTCCAAAGGCTGGAGGGGAGGATGCTTCCTGCCTTCAGGAGCTTCTGGCAGTCCCAGACATTCCCCCGTTCATGATAGCACAATTTCAATCTCTGCCTCTGCCTCTACACGGCCCTATGTTTTTCTTCACATCATCTTCCCTCTATCTCTGCCTCTGTCTCTGTGCCCAAAATTCCCCTTTATGTGCATATTGGATTAGGGCCTATCTTAAGGACCTCATTTCAATGTGACTGTCTGATTTTTTTTTTCCCCTTTCCTTTAGACATTCCTCTTGATGATAATGATTATCAGAATGCATCATCCCTGGGACCACCATAATTTCTTGCTCAAACCTCTGTAATACCTCTGGTGGTGGACATTTAGGTTAGAGGCCCTATCAGCCCTTCCCAAGGCTCTACCTCTGGCAGGCTTCCATCGTATCCCAGCATTCCTTGCAGCTCAGGGGTCATGTGACACAGCCCATGCCAAATAGACACATGCAGAAGGGAGTTGATAGATTCTAGAAAAGCTTTTGCTTTTCCTGATAAAATGGTCAGACACGGCTGGGCACGGTGGCTCATGCCTGTAATCCCAGAATTTGGGGAGGCCAAGGTGGATAGACCACCTGAAGTCAGGAGTTCGAGACCAGCCTGGCCAACATAGTGAAATCCTGTCTCTATTAAAAATACAAAAAGCTGGGTGTGGTGGCATGTGCCTGTAATCCCAGCTACTCGGCTGAGGCAGGAGAATCGCTTGAACCCAAGAGGCGGAGGTTGCAATGAGTCAAGATCACACCACTGCACTCCAGCCTGGACAACAGAGTGAGGCTTCATCTTAAAAAACAAAAACAAAAAACGGTGGGTAGGGGTGGGGGTGGGGTGGAGTCAGACCCAGCTGGTAAAAATTCCTACCCCTCTTTCCACAGTGAACCTGTGGTGGCCATCTACGATCCCAGAAGAATGAATAACCTAGAGAATCACAAAGCTGGGGATGAAGAACTTTGACAAATGTGCAGTTGCTGAGCCGGCTGGACCAGTGACAGCAATTGCCTCCCTCTCAGCTTCTTATTCAGCAAGAAAAGACAAAGCTCTGTGTGTTACAGTTAGCTTTACTTGTGTTTTCTTTAACTTGCAACTGAACTCTTTTCTCACTGATAAATCTTCTAACTGATCTCTGTGTTTCCAATCCTAATTCATCACAATCCATTCTCTTTTTTCTTAATAGAGATGGGGTCTCACTATGTGGCCCAGGTTGGTCTCAAATTCCTGGGCTCAAGCAATCATCCCACCTGGAGCTCTCAAAGTGCTGGGATTATGAGCCACCACACCCAGGCCATGACAATCCATTCTCTACCGAGCAGTTATAGTGTTGTCCTCAGCCGCATGATATTATATCACAATCACGTCATCTATCATTTCAAACATGTCATTTCATATATCACACCATATCATTCCATGTCTTATCAATCTCTCTCTGGCTTAAAACCACTCACTGGTTCCTCACTGCAGCTAGAATAAAATCTTAAGTCCTCACCTTGGTTTACAAGGCTCTGTGTGATCAGACCCATGCACACCTCTCAGCCTTCACCTTGAATCTTCCCTTCATTTATTCCGCCCAAGTTCCATTGGACTTCAGTGTCTCAAACATGCTACACTGCTTCTTACTACCAGAGGTCTCATTTACCGTTTCCTCCGCCTGGGACACTCTGCTTCCACACTTTTAAGTAACTGACTTTTTGCCATCCTTTATGTCATACCTAGAATAGTGTCTTGAATATAGATGGCTGCCAAGACATGATATGGTGTGTCTGTGTCCCCACCAAAATCTCATCTTGAATTGTATCTCCCATCATCCCCACGTATCATGGGAGGGACTCGGTGGGAGGTAACTGAATCATGGGGGCAGGTCTTTCCCATGCTGTTCTCGTGACAGTGAATAAGTCTCACGAGATCTGATGGTTTTATAAAGGGCAGTTCCCTTGCAAAGGCTCTCTTGCCTGCCACCATGTAAGACGCCCCTTTGCTCCTCCTTTGCCTTCCGCCATGATCGTGTGGCCTCCCCAGCCATGTGCAACTATGAGTCCGTTAAACTTCTTTCTTTTACAAATTACCCCATCTCAGGTATGTCTTCACTAGCAGTGTGAGAATAGACTAATATAGGACATATATGTTGAAGAAATGACAGTACATCTAACACTTCCTAAGCACTGTAACGTGAGACGGACTTATTCTAGAAGGGGCTTCACAAGAGAGCTTTGGGTTCATCAGTCTCTTTAAGTCATCATTTTGCCTTCTTTTCCCCAGTTCCCTTACCTTCCCCCCAAATGCAGTGTCACGGAAAGAGAACTAGAGTACACACAAGCCCTCGTAGCCAATTGGAGACAGAGCCAGGACTACAGACAGGTTTCCTGTTCCCCAACGACAGTCCTCGGGTGTTTCTGTTCCATCACCCCAAATCATATTCAGATCAGGACCCTGGCGGAGGTATCTGTTTCCCCAGAGAATGGGACTGTATTATCTACAGGGGTTGCCATAAGAAAATGTGACAGACTAGGTGGCTTAAACAACAGAAATTGATTTTCTCACAGTTCTGAAGGCTGCACATTCAAGGTCAAGGTGTCAGCAGGTTTGGCTTCTCCGGAGGCCCCTTGCCTTGGCTTGCAGACAGCCACCTCCTCAATGTGTCTTTTGCCACTGTGGTCTTTCCTCCATGCATATGAATTCCTGGTGTCTCTGTGCATCCAAATTTCCTCTTTTTATAAGGACCCAAATTAAACTGAATTAGGGACCATCCAAGCAACCTCATTTTAACTTAACCATCCTTTAAAAGGCTGTATCTCCAAATAGAGTAACATTATGAGGTACTGTGAATTAGGGCTTCATCACATGAATTTTGGGGACACATAATTCAGCTCCTAACAGATACCAAATAATAACAGCATCAAGACGGAGCTCTGCTGGTCCTGTTACCATGAACTAGTTGTCTACTCCAGCTCACACCATGCCCTGTCTAGAAGTTTTGGGGTGTGCTACTAGCTTTTTTTTTTTTTTTTTTTTTTTTTTTTGAGACAGAGTCTCACTTTGTCACCCAGGCTAAAGTGCAGTGGCACAATCACAGCTCACTGCAGCCTCCACCTCTACCAGGCTCAGGCAATCCTCCTGCCTCAACCTCCCAAGCAGCTGGGACCACAGGTAGGCACCACCATGCCCAGCTAAGTTTTTAAATTCGGTGTAGAGATGAGGGTCTCCCTATGTTACCCTGGCTGGTCTCGATCTCCTGGGCTCAAGCAGTTCTCCTCCCTCAGCCTGTCAAAGCACTGGGATTACAGGCATGAGCCACTACACCAGGCCTGATACTAGCTATTTCTAACTGCTATTCTTGGCAGCCTGCCTCTTGAGACCTCTGAATAATATTTTCTTATGAAAAATTTTCAACATACCCCAAAACAGAGAACCTAATTAAATGAACCCACAGTCGGCCAACAATAATTTAACATGAACATTTTCCAATCTTGAATTATTTACGCTATTACTCTAACAGTTTTTTCCGCATTATTTTAAAGCAAGTCTTAGTTATCATATCATTTCACTTGTAGATTTTTCGGTATGCATCTCTAACATAAACTCAATTAAAATATTATTATACTTTAAAAAATGAAGGCTACTCTCTTAATACTATCTATTAGCTACTCCATATTCAAATTTTCCTATTTGTCTCAGAAAAATGTCTTTGAGAGCAGGTTCCCCTAAATCCAAATCAAAATGAGCATCACACAATCCATCTGGTACTATGTGTCTTAAGTCTCTTTTAATCAATATAAGACTTTTTTTTTTTTTTAAGATGGAGTCTCACTCTGTCACCAGGCTGGAGTGCAGTGGTATAATCTCGGCTGACTGCAACCTCCGCCTCCTGGGTTCAAGCGATTCTCCCGCCTCAGCCTCCCAAGTAACTAGGCCTACAGGCACACAACACTATGCCCAGCTAATTTTTGTATTTTTAGTAGAGACAGAGTTTCACCAGGTTGGCCAGGATGGTTTCGATCTCTTGACCTCATGATCTGCCCACCTCGGCCTCCCAAAGTGCTGGGATTACAGGTGTGAGCCACCGCGCCCAGCCAATGCATATAGCATTTTGTCTACAGCCGTACCACCCTGAATGAGCCTATCCCACATAACATTTCGAAGTCAATTGAACATTGGCTTATTGGTCAGAGCATTTTCTCACTCAAGACATCACAAAGGATACAGGAATGGATATAAGACATCTATAATGAATATAAGATATAGGAGACCAAGAGCTCAGGCGCCCTATGATTGGGAGGACGTTGGGGCTTCTTTGCCGAACTAGCACAGATTATGGAAGATTTAATGTCCAAGAGGGAAGCTCCTGAAAGAGATGCTCTTTCCTTTTCCAAGAGAGCTTTGTTCTGAATTTGGATTAATTTAGATGGCGCGTGCACTGAGGGAATTTGTAAGATGTGTTTACGGAATAATTGTGATCAATACTCGTGCATTTACAGTGGGAGAGTGTGTGCAGGAGGCTTTGAGAAGGCTCCTGTGCGCTCACTCTTTAACACTGGTCAATACTCATAGTAAAGCACTAACATGGGAATTGGAGGGAACACTTATATTCAAACTGTGCTGCGTCCCCTTATGGAAGGTTCTTTCATTTGGCCTGTTCGTCTCAAATACATTTATCAGACGATGTTATATAGGAATGGCACTATAAAAACACATTTTTAAGCGTTAAGGTTTATCATTCCGTCATCTGCTCACACTTTAATCACCACAATCTTTGCGGCTGGCCTTTCAAACTATTATTCTAGAACAGCTGTATGCTCTAAAATTGATAGTCTTCTTAGTTGATACATTCACAAAAAAATGTTAAATATTCAACAAGATTCTGAGTGGCTGCAGCCACCTAGTCTTCAAGTTCCCTCCAAAGCATATACAGTGGCCAGATATGAGCATCATGTTCCTATTTTTTGAAGAACTATTCAGCCAGGCTGTTGCTAAACAAACCATAGAAATAGTAAATGTCTTCAAAAGGGAAAGTGATATTTTTTAACGTATATATACATCCACATCACTTTGAACATTTCAAACAATTTCCATGATGCACACTTAGAGGCTTCCAGATATATCTGCTTCCCTATTATACAAAGGCCAGACTAGCAAGAACAGAGAGGACACAAAGAAGGTCCCACCTAATTTAGCCAGCAGGCTTTAAAGAAACGTGTTGGAAGTAATCTCTCTTTATAACTTACACCCTCCACTTTCTAAGATGCCTGTCGGGTGTTGGTTAGGTCCTGAAATCTGGCCTTGACAAACATGTAAGTTATTTGTGGTCCAGATTTCAATAAATAAGCAAGCACAAAACAAAATGTGAAAAGAAAGGAGAAAAAATTCTAAGGTCCCTTAGGCTTTGGCATGGTGGCTCACACCTGTAATCCCAGCACTTTGGGAGGCCGAGTGAGTAGGATCGCTTGAGCTCAGGAGTTTGAGATCAGCCTGGGCCACAAAGGGAGAGATCCTATCTCTACAAAAAATTAAACAATTAGCTGGGCACGGTAGCATGAACCTGCGGTCCCAGCCACTCAGGAGGCTAAGATGAGAGAATCAGTTGAGCCCAGGAGGTTGAGGCTACAGTGAGCCATGATCACGCCACTGCACTCCAGCCTGAGTGACAGAGCAAGACCCTGTCTCAAAAAACAAAATCTATATATACACATATATGTATATATTTATATATATTTTATATATTTAGATATATACTTGCATAAATATATAAAAATATATAAAATATAAATATTTTTAAATATAAAATATATTTATATAAATATATATATATATATATATATATATGAGATCCATTAGCTTTAATTGCATCAACAGAAGGGATAAATTCTTGCATCCCACTGGTGTGGCCAATGCTGCATAGCAGATGCGGAAGGCTCTGGAGGGTTAGTGCGCACTGGGAAAAGGAAGGATGGAGCGGCTAGAAGCAGCTGCCGCATTTCTTGAAGACTACTTTCAGAGACAAATCTCCCTGCAGTTAACTGTGTGTGGAAAGTAATGACTCTCAATGCCATTCAGGAAACCAGTCCCCAGGTGCCCCAAGTGTGCACGCCACTGGGTGATTTGAACGGGGAAAGCCTGTTCTTAGGCCTCTAGGTGGTAAACACAAGCAGGTCAACATGAGGCAGACATCCCTGTAGGAGTATGTCACTGCCAGCAAAAAGAAACACACGAAATAGCAGAAAATAAACAACTGCTCCTGGCCCAGGCTGGTAAGAAAGGCAACTATCGGCCGGGGGCGGTGGCTGACGCCTGTAATCCCAACACTTTGGGAGGACAAGGAGGGTGGAACACCTGAGATCAGGGGTTCAAGACCATCCTGGGCAACATGGTGAAACCCCATCTCTACCAAAAATACAAAAATTAGCTGGGCGTCGGGTGGCGGGTGCCTGTAATCCCAGTTACTCGGGAGGCTCAGGCAGGAGAATCACTTGAACCCAGAAGACGGAGGTTGCAGTGAGCTGAGATCACACCACTGCACTCCAGCGTGGGTGACAGAGAGAGATTATCACAAAAAAAAAAAAAATGCTTACTGTTGCTTTGGAAGAAGAGGCCCCAACACAAAGCCAATTTCACATGCATCAGCAGACTTGGAATCACAGGGCAGTTGGTTTTCATTCCCTGTTAAAAGGCCTGAAATGTGAAGGTACCCACAGCACGCTCACCTGAAAACCCCTTAGCAGGGCAGTGCAGACAGGCAAGTGTTCAGGAAGATGTTCTAATGAAGAGAAGAGGCACACCGTCTATCAGATTGAGAGGGCCTGTGTCAGAGATGAACAGAATACCCTGGTAATATCCCAATCTCACCAAGGCTGATCTGACAGAGCCCGATTACTTGCAACAGGCTGGGCCCGCTACCCAGGCCCTGTGAACCGGAATGGCCGAGAATCGCGGGCTTTCCTTCAGCCAGACAACTCCAACAAGCTTCTCTCTGTGATCACTACGTAAGTTAAATGAGTTAATCTTGTTTTCCAGATGAACTGTTATTTTGTCTCCCGCAGGCAGAGATTACGGGATAAAAGCATTGTGTTAACAGGAGGGCTGGGGGCTTTCCAGAGCCACATTCCACACACACAGAACCCCTCTCTCCAGTTCTTCCTCCCATTTCTATTTTTTCATGGATTTAGAGAACGAGGAGGAGAGTAGGGAACTTCAAAATGACACGCAGGGCGATAAACCTTTCAGATGAATGATGTCACTTCATAAGGGGTCAGGGGGCCAATTTATTTTCACGTTTCGAAACATAGTTTATGAGCCTGATAAAATTTAAAACACTTCTAGGGCAAAATGGATGTGCAAGTGACACTGAGTTTTGAACTCTTTCCCTGCCTTCTTTTTATTTTTCTGACTTACTCTTGAAACACATCAGTCAACAACCAGCTTATACTGAGGGTCCTTTGCATACAAGCCCTTTGCTGGGCGCTGTGAAAAATAATTTTTTTATGGCCAACACCTGGTTTCTTCCCTCAAGGAGCCTTATGCCTCTGTCACTGATTTCAACGTCATGTATCTTTTTAATTTTTTAAAGCCATTTTGGAGTGCGGACAATAATAAACGCACTTGGAGGCAAAGCCACTGAACTCACTGGGTTCTAATCCCAGTGGTCCACCACAGTTCACTGTGAGGTCTTGAGCAAGTTACTTAACCTCTCTGACCCCTAGGTTTTTTAATCTGGAAAGGGGTAACAAGTACACCCAACTTTCAGGGCAGTTGTCATGATAAGCAACAGAGTATGCAAAGCTTTCAGCAGATGGTAAACGCTTGATACAGAGTCATTTCCCAAGGTAGTGTCAGAATCACAGGAGGAAAGATACCAAGACCCTGTGACACAGCAGGGCAGAAACAAAAAGATGTCACAGGTAGGTGCTACGTCTAGCAAATAAAAACACAGGATGCCGAGTAAAATTTGAGTTTCACATAAACAACAAATCATTTCTTAGAAGTATATCCCAAAGAAAATTTTTAGAGTATATGCTCCAAATACTGCATGGGATACATTTTTAAAAAATATGTTATTTACCTGAAATTCACATTTAACCAGGTGTCCTGTTTTTGTTTTTGTTGTTTTAAGACACAGGGTCTTGCTCTACCACTCTGGCTGGAATGCAATGGTGCAGTCATAGCTCACTGCAGCCTCAAATTCCTGGGCTCAGGTGATATTCCTGCCTCTGCCTCCCAAGGTGCTGGGATTATAAGTGTGAGCCACTGTAACAGGCCAGGTGTCCTGTATTCTATCTGACAATCCTAGCCATGGGATTTCAGGTCAGAAGACCAAAGATCAAGTGTTATTTACTATTCCATTAAAAGTAATGGCAAAAACCACGATTGCTTTTGCACCAACCGAATAGCATTGTGACTTGGGGACAGATACTTTATTTATTTATTTATTTATTTATTTATTTATTTATTTATTTATTTATATTTTTGAGACAGAGTCTCGCTCTCTAGCACAGGCTAGAGTGCAGTTCTCCTGCCTCAGCCTCCCAACTAGCTGGGACTACAGGTGTGCACCACCACACCAGGCTAATTTTTGTATTTTTAGTAGAGATGGGGTTTCACCATGTTGGCCAGGCTAGTCCTGAATGCCTGACCTCAAGTGATCCACCCGCCTTAGTCTCCCAAAGCCCTGGGATTACAGGCATGAGACACCATGCTGGGCCTTAAAAAGATTGAATACTGCAGATTTTGAGCATCTGTAGCCTTTATTTCTGACTTCGGTTCCTGATATGGCAAGAGAGAGCTCAGATGCACAGACTTTTCCAAAGCAAACCTTGCAGAATGAGCTGAGAAGGAAGCTATACCAACTAGCCCAAGAAGATGTCCAGAACCTCTGATGCTTGTGCATAAAAAGGAGCAATGCTCCTGGTGAGGTGGCACAGACAAGGACGCATGGCCAATGTCTTATACCTTGCACACTTCTTTCCCTATATTTAGTGGTTACACAATTGTTGAGAAATGTAGAGATTTTTGCATGTACGTTAACTTCTGCTTCTATAGCTTTTTAATATATCTGAGGAATTATTTTATTCCCAAAAGACTGATGGTGCTCTGATGGGAGTAAGGGGTGGTAAAAGAAGGTAGAAAAATAAAAATAAACCCTTTAACACTAAGATTATTTGAGTGATCAGAATCAACACTATAGGAAGGCTCTGTGATAACCTGGATGTCAATTATTCCAGCACTTTGTCCTTGAAGGGGAATACGTTCTTTTCTGCTTAAAATATTCCATGGTTTACATGGATCATGGTCTCCTTAGGCCTACTAGGCAACTGACTGATTCACTTCCAAAGGCAGTTTGTGCCAGGCATGACGGCTGATGCCTGTAATCCTAATACTTTGGGAGGCCGAGGCGGGAACACTGCTTGGGCCCAGAAGGTCAAGGCTGCAGCCAGCCAGGATTGCGTCAATTACACTCCAGACTGGGTGATAAAGTGAGATCTGTCTCCAAAAAAAAAGGTAGTTTGTATCCTGAGTCAGTTGCAAGGGTAGCTGTCAGGAAGAACCATCTGAGGTGCCAATTGCGTCAGTACCATGTGTACCCACAGGTCAAAAGGGAAACTGCAAGGATCGAGAAAGAGCAGCTGAAAGAGCCTTTCCTCTCCTGGATAAGTTTTCAATGTTGCCATAATTGGAAAAAAACTATTTTCTTGGGACCAATTACCAAGCCAGAGAGACTGCACCAAGTGTGCTGAGCTCTCTTGTTCCTGCCTGCAGCTTCTTTGTAGTTGACGAATGAAAGAATATAAAGGGAAATGAAAAGCTTCAAAAAGAGGAGAGGAAGAGCCCCAGGAAAGCAACAGAGATGGAGCTCTTGATTACAGAAAGAAATCTGAAATGGAATCGGGAAGGCTCAGGATGCCCCCAGAGAGATTCCTGGAGAAGGCATCTAATTTAACAGCAGAGAGAGAAGATGGCAAGGGTGCTTTAGCCTGGCTCTGGAAAGAAATAAGAGATGTGTTGAAGGATGTGTGTGAGACTGACAGACACAGACAGACAAAGTTTATATGGGTCAAATAAGGAAAAAGTGAATCTAAAAAGCTACACATATGCACGAAAACTGTTTTCTTTTTTGATATCCTTATTAAATAGGGGGCTTGATAAGATGGAAATGCCTTAATTAAGAATGATTTTTATAAACATGCTGTGATCACACTTGCCATCAAATATGGGTGAATTTAGTCAAAAAAAAAAAAAAAAAAAAACCTGCCATAACTCTGACTGGAGACAAAGTATGTGTCATTAGAATGAAAGCTTCTTGAGAATACACACCTATCTGAGTCACTGCTGTACGCACAGCATCTAAACCACGTTCCACACTCAAACATTCCTTAGTGTGTAAATAAACAGATGCTTATATCTAGCAGGTCATATTCCTTACTCAAGATACACTACCACCACCTTGTGGCAAAGTACCAGAATTGTAGGAATAGGAATAGGGTTTTTGTTTTATTCTTGTTTTTTCATTTTGTTTTCAATGTATGTGTGCACAAAAGCAGTATGTGCTCTGATGGTACATACAGCATTACACAAAGTCACCAAAGGCATAGAAAAGGAAGTAAAAAAGCAAATAAATAAATAAATAACTAAATAAACAGTTTTACATGGGTGATCATACAGCTACAACATCAGCTTTTCCCCAGTCCTTTTCTGTTACTTTAAGTATTTACTGCATGAAACCCTCCCAGAATTTTTAAGCTGCACCACTGCAGGCTAAGAGCAGAGCCAGCACTTCTTACATTAGCAAACGTGTGAGGCGAAGGGAGGTTTGATTGACAACTGACAAACTGATGACAGAACAAAGAAGGAGCCTCCACTTGGGAACACAACGCATTTTTACAGCCACTTTCGCCTTGGCTTGTTTTTATATTCTCCCCAAAGAAGTCCCTTTGACTCTCTTATGTGTTGTTTTGTGTTGTTTTTCATATAGACCATGTTGTCAGCTAGGTCCGGAAGCAACAATGAATATAAAGTACTGGGCAGGACAACATTTGATAAATGTAAACAATATGCATAGAGAAAACCTCTCAGATGAAAAATCCACATACATTTTTAGCGGCCGTCAGACTGAATGCAAATGGCTTTGGAAAATATAAGTGGTTGGCTTTTTAATATCAAAGAAAATCACAGCCTTTTCTCTAACACTGAAAACACTGCGGCACTAAAAAGGAATAACTAACTCAATAAACCAGGCAGCTCATTTTCAGCATGCAAAAGTCATGGTCCTTGCCCTTACCTTAGAAGCAATGTTGCACTTCTAGAAATGTTAAATGGCGGACAGGTTAAGAAAACCAAGACTGTCGCTGGTTTTTAAGGCTTCCTCCTCTTTAAAAAAAAAAAAAACAAGTTGTATTTTAGAGGAAGAAGCAGCAATTAAAAAAAATAAAAGAGTTGGGGTGGCCCACAAAAGAAGCCACGTAATGTCAATGCTCTGAAACTGCTCAGCCTCAGTTGTTTTCCAAGTCAACATGCTGGCTGTCTTGCCTGAAAGAAAGGAGTCAACAGGGAGAAAATAATAGAGCATTTCCAGAATTCACCCAGCAGCTCGGAAAACTGTCTGCTTACTATTACACAGTTTTAACATGTCATAATCATTTTCACAGTAAAGATACCCTTCCTGCAGTTTAGACCAAGAATGCATGACTAATTTTAACCACTTGTGCAAATCTCCTAATGGAAATTTCAAACGGCTTTTATGGATTAGAGTTTCGTAAACTGTATGGAGAGCTGCAACAGATACTAAGTCTCGTTGTTGCTCATGTCAGCCCGTCAGTGCCTAATGAGTTACTGAAGATCCGTGGGCAATCATACACTACTTACAGAAACTATAATTCTTGTTGGCACTACATGTATTGTGCATTATATGTATAAAAGATAAAACCAAGCATTGTGAAAATGCAGATGAATGAGAAGGGAAGGGAGGTAGGTCATGTGCTGACATCTTAAGTTTCACCAGAACGTAGTCAAGATGAGGAAATTTTGGAGATACCCGCTATGGGATCCAAGTTGAGATCATCAAATGCTAAGGTAGGTTGCACTGTTTCCATTTTATAGACAGATGTTGAGGCTCAGAGAGGTTACATAGTTGCCACAGGGAACACAGCTGCTGGAGGTTAAAAAAAAAAAAAATCACAGCCTGCCCCTTTCCACCATGACGTGCTGGGTGGAACAACATCTAGTGAATTGAAACAGATGGCTGGGAGATTTAAGAATCAAGTTCACTTGGAGATGGATAGGGGTGATGGTTGCACAACAGGAATGCCCTTTTATGCCACTGAATTGTGCACTGAGAAATGGTTAAAATGATAAATATTATGGTATAAATCTTTTACCAAGTTTTTAAAAATAATAAGTTCCAAAACTCTTTCCCACTGAGAGATTGAGAAGATCAGAGTCATAGTTCAGAAAAATGTTCTGTCATACCCAGTTCTGTGCCCACAGCAGTACCAGCAACTCAGAGCATAAAAATCAAAATATTCTCCCTGTGAAGTCAAAATCAGTGAGGTAGTTGGAAACACATTTTGGGATATTCTTCCCAACCCAAGAAATTCAAGCATTTGAAATTTCCGAGTTACCCATCTTTTTTATGGTGATTCTTTCTTTTTCCAAAAAAAACCAAACAAACAAACAAAAAAAAACAAAAACAAAACAGCATCTCACTCTGTTGCCCAGGATGAAGTGTAGTGGTGAGACCAGGGCTCACTACAGCCTCAAACTCCTGGACTCAAGGGATCCTCCTGCTTCAGCCTCCCTCTGAGTAGCTGGAGCTACAGGTGCAAGCCACCATCCCCAGCTAATTAAAAAAAAAAATGTGTAGAGACAGAGTCTCTATGTTACCCACACTGGTCTTGAACTCCTGAGCTCATGCAATCCTCCCACCTCAGCCTCCCAAAATGCTGGAATGACAAGTAGGAGCCACCATGCCCGGCCTTAACTCCCATTTTGTTAGAAATTTTCACAGGAAAGATGGGAGAGAAGCTGACTTATGAGAGAAACAAGGTAGATGGGCTGCCGGGGTGAATGTGGGTAGTTATGACACACAGAGAAAAGAGACAGACTCTTGTCAGGAAGGAGCGGAGAAGAGAAGGAACATCATAAAAACTCACGACCACCCCTCCCTCTCTTGGCTCTTGATTTGCCTCCTGACTAAAAGCAAGGTCCCTGCAGCCCTCTACCTAACATCCCATCATCGGAGGAGCCTTCTCTGATCCCAACAAGCACTGCAAGATTCCATAATTACTTTTTAGATCAATTTTCTTAGGAAAGGGAGCGGAGAGTTATCCTATGATGATCTACAAGAGCAAGTGTGGGAGTTCTGGAAAAGGAGGAGAGCTCCCAAGGCATCTGTTTCCAGAAGCTCCTATATAATCCCCCTCTCCTGCAGTGAGCAAAGCAGGATTTAACAATGGTGGAAAAGGACAGTTGTTCCAGTTATGTGTTTCCCTCGACCCGCAGCACACAGAGCTTCTCCAAATACACATGCAAGAGGTGTGCAGACAAATCTGCTTCCTCTGCGATCTTTCCATTCTCAATTCATGTTCTCTTTCTAACCTTTGGCTTTCTCCCTACCAGTTACATCATTTCTTTTTTTTTTTTTGTTCTTTTTTTTGAGACAGAGTCTTGCTCTGTTGCCCAGGCTGAAGTACAGTGGTGCAATCTCAGCTCACTACAACCTCCACCTCCCAGATTCAAGTGATTCTCCTGCCTCAGCCTCCCGAGCAAGCATTTGGGATTACAGACATGAGCCACTGTGCCTGGCTAATTTTTGTATTTTTAGTAGAGATGGGGTTTTATCATGTTGGCCAGGCTGGTCTCAAACTCCTGACCTCATGGGATCTGCCCACCTCAGCCTCACAAAGTACTGGGAATTACAGGCGTGAGCTACCATGCCCAGCCTGGTTACATCATTTCACCAGCTTCTCTGTCTACAAGAAAGCACTACTGGCTATTTCTTCCTTTTTATTTTATTTTATATTTTATTTTTGAGACAAAGTCTCACTCTGTCACCCAGGCTGGAGTATAGTGGAGTCATCACTGCTCACTGCCGCCTCGAGCTCCCAGTCTTAAGTGACTCTCCTGCCTCGGCCTCCGGAGTAGCTGACACTGCAGTTGCATGCCACCATGTCTTGAAAATAAATAAATATATATATATATATATATATAACTTTATAGATATAAATATAAAACTTTATATATATATAAAACTTCTGCATTATTTTATATATATATATATATATATATATATATATATATATAATTTTATGTAGCCCAGGCTAGTCTCCAACTCCTGGGCTCAAATGATCCTCCCATCTCGGCCTCCCAGTGTTCTGGGATTACAGGTATGAGTCACTTCACCAGGCTTCCTTTGCCTTTTATTACTGGGGCCTTTTCCCTTCTCACTCCATAGACTGCTTTACGCTGAGAGCTGCGCCATCATGGAGAGAAACTCAAGATGTGTCCCCAGATGGCAGCTCAGCAGACTGCATCTCAGAGCAAGGGCCCACTGCTTAACTGGGTCCCAAAGAACCCCTACTGCAGCTTCCCAGCTTTGAGGGCCTGCCTGGCACCTTTGCATGCTCCCTTCGAGCTCATAGACTCTTGGTTTCCAAGCTCTCCCTGCAGAGGAGAGGGAAAGAAGGAGTGTGGGGGAGGCAGGTGGGTGGAGGGAGAGGGAGATATATGTTGAGTATATCGGGGGGAGGCTGGGAAAAAGAGAAAAGTAGGGAGAGGGAGTAGAGACAGGTAGATAGAAGAGATAGAGGTAGAGAGAGGTAAGGGAGGAAGGCCTGGGTTCAAATTCCAGCACTGCCACCTATGTGGCCATCGGACCTTCAACCTCCTGTCAGATGGAGGGGGTGACTTCAGAAGATCAAAAAGAAGGTAAGTAGGCCAGGAACAGTGACTCAAGCCTGAAACGCCAGCACTATGGGAGGCCAAGGCAAGAGGATCACTTAAGCTTAGGAGTTTGAGATCAGCCCAGGAAACATAACAAGACCCTGTCTTAATACAGATATCCCTAGTTCTTTACATGTACATGTAAAGTAGATAACTAAATAACCACAGCAAATACCCACTGATACTCACTGCATGCCAGGTCCTGTTATAAGTGCTTTATGTATCATTATTTCATTCTCACAGCTACCTTGTGAGGTAACTATCACTAGCCCACCTTTAAAGAGGAGAAGATTAAGCACAGAGAGGTTGAAAAACGTGCCCAAGATCACACATCTACATCTGGCAGACCCTGGATTCAAACCTAGGCAGCCTAGCTCCAGGACATTGTACTTCCTTCCCCCTACAACACCCACTGAGAGCCCTCAATAAATATCAATTTCTTGCCCTCTGCCTTTTGAGATGATTTTCACCATAGCCCTTTGGGTTGGTTTTCAATAAACCTCAATCCTCTGGGTGTTGTGCTATTCAGCTTTCTTCCATTAGTTGGAAATCATTCAATAAATATTCACTAAGCACCCGCTCAGTGCCAAGCACCATGCTAGCGATGGCTGTTCCTCCAATCCCTGGTTCTAGAGGCTGTGGCCAACAAGACTATGAGGTGGCCACAGGCTCACTGCAGGCCCAGGAATGCCACAAGACACACGATATGGAAGTATAATATGATGGCACAGTGAGGAATGGTCCTATGACAGGAGGTAACAGCTGAGTGCCCCTTCCTTGGACCTGGTGGGTTTCCTGCCTGTGAAGGCTGCACTGACAGTAAATTGGGGCACACCTCTGTGCACGTGGTTGGTTCATGCTATGGACTGAATATGTTCCTCTCTCTTCCAAATGCATATGTTAAACTAGAACACCCAATAAGATGGTGTTTGGAGGTAGGGCCTCTCAGAAGTAATAAGGTCACAAAGGTGGAGTTCTCATGAATGAAAGACACACAAGAGAGATGGTCTCTCTCTCTCTCTCTCTCTCTCTCTCTCTCTCTCTCTCTCTCTCTCTGTCTACTAAGTGAGGACACAGCAAGAAGGCAGCTGTCCACAAATGCAGAAAAGAGCACTCACCAGAAACCAACCATGCTGGTGCCCTGACATCTGACTTCCAGCCTCCAGAACTGGGAGAAAAAAAAAAAAATCAAGCCACCCAGTCAACGGTATTCTGTTATAGCAGCCTGGACTGACTAAGACAGTCCACGTAACTAGTGTGGGTTGAAAAAAATGACCCTAGGACAGTATCTCTTACTGAGGGTGTAGCCAGCATCAAGAGCCAGGACATTTCTATGTTGTAAGTATCCACCCACCGCAGGACCCTCTGCGTCCCCAGCCACCTCCCCTCCCCAAGACCAAGAGTGCCCCAGTTACCTTGTGAGTACTAAAAATGCCATTCCCAAATGTCCCCCTCATAGGGACGGGACAATGCCAGTCTCCATGAAAAACCATTATCTTAGAAGATGCAGCTACAAAGAGAAATACCCTGATATTACATGGATATAAATTAACAAGAATGCATAAATTCCATGAAGTTTAAAGGTGATTTAGAGTTGGCCAGAAGATCATTAGAAGAGCCTGAAAAAAGGCAAACCTCAATTAAGTGAGGTACCATCTGGTAGAGGCTGTAGATATCAGCGGGCAGAAGAGGGAATAGCTGACTCTCCTTTTTAAAATCACAGAAGCATTGATAATCATTGATTAACCAAAAAATAATGCTGCTGTGTTAGCATATATTCACGTATGTGGTATCTCATGAACTTGTTTTTCTTTCGTTTTTCGGTTTCTTGAGACAGGGTCTCACTCTGTCACCCATGTGGGAGTACAGTGGCACGATCTCAGCTCACTGCAACCTCTGCCTCCTGGGCTCAGGATATCTTCCCACTTCAGCCTCCCAAGTAGCTGGGAGTACAGTCACAAGCTACCACGCCTGGCTAATTTTTTTTTTTTTTTGTATTTTTTGTAGAAACACGGCTTCACCATGTTGCCCAGTCTCAAACTCCTCAGCTCAAGCGATCCACCCACATAAGCCTCCAAAAGTGCTAGGATCACAGGCGTGAGCCATCACACCGTGCTGCATGAACTTGTAATGTTTAACTGAGTTAGGCCTTCCAAAGCAGAGGTTGGGAAACTATGGCTGATGGGCCAAATGTGGCCCGTGACCTGTTTTTATAAATAAAGTTTTACTGGAACACAGATGGTGCATTGATTTGTGTATTGCCTATGGCTACTTTCATACAAAGTTAGAGCTGAACAGTTGTAACACACACCATCTGAACTGCAAAGCTAGAAACACTATCTGGCATTTTATTTAAAAAAAAGTCTGTCAAGTCCTATTCTAGAATAACACATTGGCCTAACAGTTTCTATTTTAAATGTACAAATGATAATCATTACAGAATGGTGACCATAAGTTGAAATACTACATTTATAAAAGTGTCAGAACATTAAGAAAACTTAAGGTTTGTTTGTTTTTAGAGACAGGGTCTCACCATGTTGCCCAGCTGGAGTGCAGTGGCTAGTCACAGGTATAGTCATAGCTCATTGCAGCCTTGATCTCCAGGCCTCAAGCAATCCTCCTGCCTCAGTCTCCTTAGTAGATGGGACTACAGGGGAATTCCACTGCACCTGGCTTAAGAATACTTAAGGTTTATCATATGGATATAACAAAATTACATTCTTGGGAAGTTTGTCAGGAAAAGTTCCTAAATAAGAAAGCAAGATATTAATATTAGAAATGTAGCATAATATTTTTAAGGTCTGTACCTAAATTCAAAAATGAGATGAAACATTATTCTAGATCTCCTCAAAACGACTGCTAAAATTTGTCAGGTTTGTAAACAGAATAATAAGAAATGCAAGTTGGAATTAAAAGCTTAAAAAGGAGCTAGGATTTAAAATCTGTAATGCGAATGAAATGAATTTTAATTTTCAAAATGTAGCGAAACCTCTGTGCTCACAAAGGCTGGAAGATACCCCAAAAATCCCATTAACCATCTGTATCTCTCATCTCCCTTCGTCTGCACACTGATGGGGTCAGTGGTAAACCTAATTGAAAGTACTCAAGAACCTCATCTGAGTCTTCACTGTCACCAGTGCCCGAATCCAAACTCCATCTGTGTTGTCTGACCTTGTTCAGAATGTGTCTCTCTTTGACAAAGGGGACCATCCTAGGGCAAAGAATTTCATAGAAGAGAAACCTCAAGATGCCAATGAGAGAGTTGAAAATATATACATGATGACAACAATAATACCACTTTACATCATTTTAAGTAGCATTTATAATTTATAAGCCCTTTGAAACACATAGTATATCTTGACCTACTAAAACAGTATAGCAACTCAGTTGTTAACAGGAGTTTTGAAACAAGAAAAACCTGGAGTGATTCTTGCTTACAGGTAGCATGGCCTCAAGCACATTACTAAACCTCTTAGTTTTCTCAACCCTAAGCCAGGGGTAATTGCACCTCCTTCATGGGGTATTGTCAGGACCAAAACAGATACAGATGCTCCTCAACTTAGGATGGGATTAAACCCTATACCGAGTTGAAAATACCATAAGATGAAAATGCATTTAACACACCTAACCTACTCAACATGATAGCTTAGCCGAGCCTACCTTAAATGTGTTCAGAACACTTAAATTAGCCTTTCCCTGATCATTAGTGATGTTGAGCATTTTTTCACGTATGGTGGTCATTTGTGTATCTTCTTTTGAGAACTGTCTATTCATGTCCTTAGCCCACTTTTTGATGGGATTGTTAGCTTTTTTCTTGCTAATTTGAGTTCCATGTAGATCCTGGATATTAGTCCTTGTATAGACGTATAGATTTGTATAGATTTTCTCCCACTCTGCGGGTTGTCTGTTTACTCTGCTGACTGTTCCTTTTGCTGGGCAAAAGCTGATTAGTTTAATTAAGTCCCACCTATTTGTTTTTGTTGCATTTGCGATACCATCTTACTCCTGCAAGAATGGCCATTACCAAAAATGCAAAAAATAATAGATATTGGCGTGAATGCGGTGAGCAGGGAACACTTCTACACTGCTGGTGGGAATGTAAACTAGTACAACCACTATGGAAAACAGTGTGGAGAGTTCTTGAAGAACTAAAAGTAGAACTACCATTTGATCCAGCAATCCCACTAATGGGTATCTTCCCAGAGGAAAAGAAGTCCTTATATGAAAGACATACTTGCACACGCATGTTTACAGCACAACAATTCACAATTGCAAAAATGTGAAATTAGCCCAAATGGCCATCTACCAACAAGTGGATAAAGAAACTACGGTATAAATATACAATGGAATACTACTCAGCCATGAAAAGGAATGAACTGATGGCATTTTCAGCAACCTGGATGGGACTGGAGACCATTATTCTAAGTGAAGTAACTCAGGAATGGAAAACCAAGCACTGTGTGTTTTCACTTATAAGTGGGAGCTAAGCTATGAGGATGTAAAGGCATAAGAATGATACAATGGACTTTGGGGACTGAGAGGGAAAGAGTGGTAAAAGGGTGAGGCATAAAGGAGTACAAACTGGATGCAGTGTATACTGCTCGAGTGATGGGTGCACCAAAGTCTCGCCAATCACCAGTAAAGAACTTACTCATGTAACCAAATACCACCTGTACCCCCCCCAAAACAGGTGGAAATTTAAAAAAATTAAAGAAAATATAAAAAAGAACACTTACATTAGCCTACAGCTGGGCAAGGTTATCAGGCAACACCGTGCCTGGTAGAATATCGATTCTTTGCCCTTGTGATCACTGGGAGCTGCAGCTCGCTGCTGTGGCCTAGCATTGTGAGAGAGTATCCTACCACGTATTACTAGCCCAGGTGAAAAAAAA
Source organism: Homo sapiens (assembly GCF_000001405.40). NCBI lineage: Eukaryota > Metazoa > Chordata > Mammalia > Primates > Hominidae > Homo > Homo sapiens. The sequence goes on along the minus strand of NC_000016.10, from coordinate 78,696,476 downwards.
AAATCGAAACTCAAAATGTAAAGTTCGGTTTCTACTGGATGTGTATGGTTTTCTCAGCATCCCAAAGGTGAAAAAATCTAAGTCAAACCATTATAAGTCAGGGACTGTCTATAGAGTCTGAAGTCACTTAGGACCCTGCCTGGTACTCAGGTGCAGCCTAAATCTCAGCTGCTATCACTGTAACCAATATGAGCTGTAGAAAATCCCGTGATGTGGCAAAGACAGGAAGGCAGGTATTAGTATCACTCTTTGTTAAGGAAGTTGCCAGGCAGAGAGAGTTAAAAAGACTTGCCCGGAGGAATGTAGCCCCTAGGTAGGCAGGGACACCGTATTTCTGATTCCCACCCCTAGTGGCTTCTCTCCTATGTTTCCTGCTTCTCCTGCTACATCTCAAACTTGACCGTGTATCAGAATCACCCAGAAAGCTTAACACAGACTGCAGCCTACAGGCTCCCACTTCGTCTCCCTCCCCACCAGAGATTCACATTCAGGAGGTCTGGGGCGGGGCCCAAGATCTGCATCTCTAACAAGTTTCCAGGTGATGGTGATGCTGCCGGTCCAGGGACCCCACTTTGAGAACCCCTGGTCTAATTCAGTGCAGCCCCTTTAAGGAATGACATCTGTCCTTCCACAGCGTACCTGATGCACACCCATGGGACATTAAAATATTGGGCACCTGGTCAATGCTCAATATATGTTTTTATTGGTTTTCGTTTTTGTCACAGGTTCCCTGTGTCTGGCTCTTGGTTCTCTTGGCTGACAACTTGATCCTTCATTCCTTTGATCCATTCCTGCATTGCCCCTCTGATTTGGAATACACAGTTTTATTTCCAGCTGTGACCTTGGCTGCTTTCCACAAAGACTCCGACTTGCCAGCATGGCTCTGCTCTCTCTGATCCAGCCCGCTGAACTCTCCTTGGCAGACCATAGCCTCACAGGTGGGATCTGCATGCTACTCTCTGATGAAGTCAGCTAACCGCCCCCATGACCTACTTCTATCATGAAAGACAAGCTTCTCTGCTCCAAAAGAAGGGTATCAATGTGCTCCCGAATCACAGAAAAGAGACACGGCAAATAGGGCAAGAGGAGCAAAAACTCATTCATTGTTTCCTGCTTAAAAAATGAGGGAGGGACATATGGGAGGATTCAAATTGGAGTGAGAGAAAAAGTGGGGGGAAGCTGCTTTGCTCCCCACAACCTAAAATATGTGATTGCCTGTGGATGTAAACACAATAATAATAATAATAATAGAATAATAACAAAAGGGAACTAATACTAGCAGGGTTTTCATACCTTAACAGTACTTTGACAACAAATGTTCATATTTCATTTGAAATTTATGAAACCTTTGTGCCTGTAATCCCACGAGTAGTAACATGGTAAATGAAAGTAGCAGGCAGTCTAGATCAATAATATTTTGCTTCATATTGGAAGAGCATTTGAAAGAAGCAGCTTGCTTCATCTATTCCCTGTGTTTACAATCCTGGTATTGGAATAGACTGGGGCTTCTAAGACTGGCTGGGAAATATTCATAGATGTGTTATTAATTTATGGGAAACTGAAGGACCTACCTCAAGGTTTAAGTAGGCCATTTAGAAAGTGCAGGAAGCAGATGTAAAGATACATAGCAGAATGCAGCGGAAAAAAAAAAAGAGTAGTGGGGTGATTCAGGACTTAAATCAAGAGCAGGAAGAGTAACTTCAAAAAGCTGTAATAGTTGATATTCCAATAAAGCGTTCTTATGAGAAAAAGCAATCTGTTCACATATGAATTCTGCCATATGCTTCTGTCTTTTCATGGTCTAGAAGGCCATGTCAGTAATTTCCAGTATTTACATGGGCATGCAGAATGCCTTTGCTGGTTAATGTGAATAAATGGGCTGGATTTACTGTGTTTCTAGTGTTCAATATACACACCATGCAGGCTGCTACCAGAGGCAAAGTGGAATTTATGGGTTTGCACTGAATTTCAAATGGATACTGGAGCAAAGCAATGGAAAGCAAGACTGACGTGGTGTCTGACGCTTCTCAGTGGAGGCTGCTTCTGCCTTGACAATGGGAAGGGCATTGTTTCAGGAAAGGGAGGAAAAGTCCAGCTAAGAGTGTGGCCCTTTTTGTCAAGTATTTGCAGAAGCAGTAAAGACCATGGTCGCAGCTTGTAGACAGAACCACACTTTCCACAGGTCTCTGGGGGGATCGCTTTGACCCGACCCCTAACCTCTGACTGTACCATTTCTAAATCCATTTTATTTTATTTTATTTTTTGAGACACAGTTTCTCTCTGTTGCCCAGGCTGGAATGAAGTAGTGCGATCTCAGCTCACCGCAACCTCTGCCTCCTGCCTCAGCCTACAGAGTAGCTGGGATTATATGCACACACTACCACGCCTAGGTAATTTTTATATTTTTAGTAGAAACAGGGTTTCACCATGTTGGCCAGGCTGGTCTTGAACTCTGACCTCAACCGATCCACCTGCCTCGGCCTCCTAAAGTGCTGGGATTACAGGTATGAGCCACCACGTCCAGACGTCTAAATCCTTTTTACATCTTGATTTTTTTTCTGTAATGTTGCCGAGTCTGCTTAACTCTGAGAATCTTACAACCACAACTTCAGTGGGAAAAGAGAGGGTATTCACAGCTTAAATAATAATTTACAAGCATGAAGAATGAAATCACATCTTCCCCTAGATCAACAATTCTCAGCCTTGGGGCTGCGCATGTTTAGAGCTGCATAGTTCTCTGTGGTAAGGGCCACCCTGTGCAATAGAGGGCGATTAGTAGCACACCTGCCCTCCATCCACTCGATGCCAATAGTTATGTCACCGCACCACAACCAACAATGTCTCCAGACATTGCCAAATGTTCCCGACAGGTGACATTGTCTCCACTGCCCTAGAGGAGGGCCCCCCACCTGAAATACTACTCTATGACTATTTGGTTCTGTGTATATTTTAAACAAACATAATTATTTCTATTATATTTGTATTATCATGGTTAGGGATTATGTGGAAAAAAATAGAAGCTGGAAAACTGGGACTAAATAGGCATATAGGGTGGCTGACAGAGCAGGCAGCATATTTTTGCAATGGAACTTAGAAGTAATAAAGGAAACAGAGAGAAAATTAACTGGAACACTGAGAAATTCCTCTGAGATATGCAGAGGGTCCTGTGGGTAGTGGTGGGGACGGGAAGCATTCTCTTTGTAGGCTAGACCTCTAGAACCATAGTAAAAACCATGAGGTGGAGATAAACAATGCCCAGCCAGAAATACAGAAAGGCAGTCAATATCTGAGTTGAACAAGAGATGGGCAAATAATTGCTTTTTAAATATACATTGTCTGCAACAAAGCAACATACATTTACAAGCATCTTGCTGAACCTTCCAAGGAAAGAGATCTAAAAGGTTGCTGGCAAGCTCTGGATGGCAAATAAAAATGAATAATATGATGTCCATATGGTTGGGCTTTCAAACTCTTCCGTGGATGCAACCCCATAGCAAAAGGCATCCCCAGGGAGAGAAGGGTGTTTAATAACTCAAGTTTTAGCTTTAAAACACCATGCAAACGATATCTTCTATTACAGAATATTCATGTTTGTTTTTACTATAAACAACATGGCCTATTCACCAAAAACAGTTGTCTCTTTAAGAAAATATGCCTTGGTTTCCAATGACTTCAAATGAACTCTGGTATCAGTACCCCCAACAGGGAAACCTGGGGCCACTCATACCCCAGTTTAAGAAGCATGAAATTAAGAGGGTCTTCTTGTTTCACAGGGATCATAAACAACCTATTTATGGGACTCCACTGGTGACCCTAGTCCTTCAATTCATTGCTTCCACAATTGTTAAGTTTTATAAACATGGGGGTGAGAGATTCAGGCATATGGCCCTTACAGTCAGAGAGGAACGTCTATAAATCTACAGGTGTTACCCATAAGAGCTCCTTGGACGTCTTAGAACCCAAAGGCAGGCATTCTTAATGAACAGATGTCAGCCAGGTGTGAGCCACTTTGAAGGGGGCATCACTCTTCTGTAATTCCTTGTAAATGGGAGGGATTGATGGAAACAAATCTCCTTAAAGGCAATGTACACTTTGGTAAGGACTGAAGCTTTGGGAACTGGTAAGGAAGCTATGGTTTCTTTAAGTCCTTTCAGAAAACCTTTCAAATGTTCAAAAGGAATTGGAAAACAAAAGTTGTTGCTTCTCTTCCATTTACTATTAGATTGAGAGAAATGGACTAGATATTAATAAAACCTTAGGAGTTAGACAGTTCCAGGTTGAAGTACAACCACACTCCCTTCCTAACACATGGATTTCCTCACTGTATTAGTCCGTTTTCACGCTGCTGATAAAGACATACCTGAGACTGGGAAGAAAAAGAGGTTTAACTGGACTTACAGTTCCACATGGCTGGGGAGGCCTCAGAAACATGGTGGTAGGCAAAAGGCACTTCTTACATGGCAGTGGCAAGAGAAAATGAGGAAGAAGCAAAAGCGGAAACTCCTGATACACCCATCAGATCTCATGAGACTTATTCACTATTATGAGAATAGCATGGGAAAGGCTGGGCCCCATGATTCAATTACCTCCCCCTGGGTCCCTCCCACAACATGTGGGAATTCTGGCAGATACAATTCAAGTTGAGATTTGGGTGGGGACACATCCAAACCATATCACTCACCTATAAACTGGGAGCTAATAGTAACTCTCTCCTACAGGGATACTGCAAGGGTAGAGAGAGACAGTGCTTTATTATTTTTTTCCTTTTGGAGACACGGTCTTGTCCTGTTGCCCAGGCTGGAGTACAGTGGCAGCAACACGGCTCACTGCACTCTCAACCTCCTAGGCTCAAACAATTTCCTTGCCTCAGACTCCCAGTTAGCTGGGACTTCAGGTGCACACCACTATACCCAGATAATTTTTTTTATTTTTTGTAGAGACAGGATCTCACGTTGTTGCCCAGACTGGTCTCGAACTCCTAGGCTCTAACCATCCTCCCACTTCAGCCTACTTCAGCCTCCCAAAGTGTGGAGATTACAGGTGTGAACCACCATGCCCAGCCAGATGTTTTCTAAAGCACCCTGTAGGCCAACTTAGGAGATTTCCTTTCTGTCACCTTTGTCATAAGATAAAGCTATGTTGAAAATGAAATAATTGTAAATCTTTTACAAGGTAAGAACTCACCAAAGTCACTGACAATCAGAAGTGACCTCCTTCTACCAGGCAGTCTGAAACCTGGAATCACAAACAAGAGAAGCATAGCTAAAATTCTAGGCGCTGGACCTACATCTATTCTCTTATCGCACAAACACTGGGGGAAATACTGTGCTTTTGCTTTTATGAACTTCTAAAGCAATAACGACTGGTATTCAAAGCACTCTTACTTTCAAAAAGAAGTCATTAATACATTTTATGAAGTCAGAACTCATTAGTGAAGATGTATCGAGTATGTCTGCTTAGTGGAGATTATCAAAGGGGGTCTACGAATGGCGTTGGACATATAGATTGAGGCCTGGTTTCACAAATGGATAAACACTACAGAAACCTCAACACAAAGGCTTCGGCCACCTGCAATATTTGAAAACCCCCAGGTATTGATACGGTGCTAAGAGACAACATCAAGCCATCCTGGGTAGGCTGCTGGAGCTCTTGAAACATACGCATATGCCATTCATTTTACTGAACGGTTTATATAGAATCACTGGCAGTGCTTAAATAATTCAGGGACTTAATGGTAGAAGTTTATTCATACATGCATCCAGGCTGTGACTGGAAAGCACCCAGATGGAGGGACAAGACAAAGAACCAGGTTGGGAGTATCCTTCTGAGTTTGCAACTGTGAATATATTCATGTGTGTGCCCTATTTCCACCAAATGCTTTCATGTCTTCATTCAATAAACATTTCTTCTTCTTTTTTTAATTTTCAGACAGGGTCTCATTCTGTCGCCCAGGCTGCAGTACAGTGTCACGATCATGGCCCACTGCAGCCTTGACGTCCAGGGCCCAAGCAATCCTCCCATCTCAGCTTCCTGAGTAGCTAGGAATACAGGTGAATGCCTCCGCACCTGGCTAAGTTTGTTTATTTTTTGTAGATACGGGGTCTCACTGTGCTGCCCAGGGCAGTCTTGAACAATTCAGCTCAAGCAATCGTTCTGACTCAGCCTTCCAGAGTGCTGGGGTTACAGGCATGAGCCACCACGCCTGGCCAACAAACATTATTTATGTGTTCACCATGTGCACTATATCCGGCCCTACACAACACATGGTCCTCAAAAAGTTGGCAGTGTGGAGGGGGGGTTGTTAAAAAGTTATCCTGGCCGGGCTCGGTGGCTCACACCTGTAATCCCAGCACTTTGGGAGCCCAAAATGGATGGATCACCTGAGGTCAGGAGATCGAGACCAGCCTGGTCAACATGGTGAAACCGCATCTCTACTAAAAATACAAAAATTGGCTGGGCATGGGGGCGGGCACCTGTAATCCCAGCTACTCAGGAGGCTGAGGTAGGAGAATCATTTGAGCCTGCGAGGCAGAGGTTGCAGTGAGCCAAGATTGCATCACTGCACTGCAGCCTGGGCAACAGAGTGAGACCCTGTCTCCAAAAAAACACACAAAAAAAACAAAAAACAAAGTTACCTTGACATTTGTTAAAATGGTAAGGAAGACTTTATGCAGGATTATTTCAACAGGGGTCAAGGCTGTTGCAATAGGGGAGAGAGATAGGGCTCAACTCCAAATATAATAAAGACAGCTGGAGATTTATAGTCAAGGAACAGAGTAGCAGGGGAGTGGGAGGGTCAGTGGATGCAAATTACTACAAGGAACCACAAGGGTAGGAGTATTCCAACTTAACCAAGTTAGCAGGATTTTTGCTGAAGGCAGGCAAGGGTGATCAGACATGAAGGGTGAAGGGATTCTCTCTAGACTGACTTAGAATGACTCTTACAAAGACTGGACTATGAAGATCCAGCAAGGAGAGAGGAGCAAGGTCAAGGTCTAGTTGAGAAGTGGGCTCTGAGGAGCTGAGCTAAAGTTTGGTCAAGGATTCTTTGCCAGAGGGAAAAGGGAAGACAGAAGTTGCCCCAGAACATTATGGGACTCAGCCAGAGTTTCTTAAAGAGATATGATGTCTGGGGTGTTTAGAGAGCATGAGCAGGACTAAGCAAAGAGAAAAATACAAGGCGTGCAGACAGCATGTGTGTGCAAAGCACAGTTTGGCAACCTTCCAATGGTGACGTATGGCTTGAACAGCATTTCTCAACAAGGTCACTACTGCCATTTTGGGCTGAATCATTCTTTGTTGGTGGGGTGGAAGTAGAGGGTGGGAGTCCTGTGTGTTTGGAGATGTTCTGCAGCATCCCTGACTGTATTAGTCTGTTCTCATGCCACTAATAAAGACATATGCAAGCCTGGGTAATTTATACAGCAAAGAGATTTAACTGACTCACAATTTGGCATGGCTGTGGAGGTCTCAGGAAACTTACAATCATGGTGGAAGGGAAAGCAAACATGTCTTTCTTCAAACGGCAGCAGGAAGGAGAGGTGCCAAGCAAAGGAGGAAAAGCATCGTATAAAACCATCAAATCTTGTGAGAACTCACTCCCTACCATGAAAACATCATGGGGGTAACTGCACACATGATTCAATCACCTCCCACTGGGTCCCTCCCATGACACGTGGGGATTATGAGAACTACAACTCAAGATGAGATTTGGGTGGGGACACAGCCGAACCCTATCACTAACCCCTACCCACCAGATGCCAGGAGCACTCTCCCTCAATCCCTTGCCCCTTCCCCAAGTTGTGACAATTAAAAATGCCTCAGACATTATCAATTATCCCTTGGGGGAAAATTTGCCCCGGTAGAGAAGCAGTGGCTGGAAGGATGGCTGCAAAACTCCTGCAGGATGGAGGGGGACAGTTGTCTCCGCTGAGGAGGGCACCTGTCCTGGGGTGTAAAGGTGATATAATGAAGGCAAAAGTTTCTATTCTCTCAATATGGTGGGTTAATATGCAATAGAGAGAGGAAAAATAGAAAGAAGTGAATGAGACTTAGTGCATCAGGACCTGAAAAAGTAGGATTTGTCAGGATCTTTTTTTTTTTTTTTAAAGTAACTGATATAGTGACTCATCATGAATGATCTCGTGAATTTTCTCTCAGAAAATTTTCCTATTTCTGATTAAGATCTAAGGATAAAGACGATGCAACAAGAAATAAAACCAAGCTTTCTACAACTTAAATAAATCACTGCGTTTCAAAACATTTGGACATCTTGTCACTTTTATCTACACAATAAGGCCTCACATTTTTTTTTTCTAGCTTATATTTGAAATGCATTTCTATTGCAGAAAACTTTAAGATATATAGAAATAATAACCATTCCTGGTCTGTGAATTTGAATTGTGGCCTGTGACATTCTAAGAAGATTTCAAAAATTATTTACTAATTTAAATAACTCCTGTTTCGGCAGCAATTGGCAGCAAACCAAGTAGCAAGTTCATTTGTACCACACTAGATCTGACCTCACTTGCATTTTCTTTTTCATTTCTAGCACAATTAGCAAAAGAAAGGGAGTGGGCCATTTAACATGCGTTTCTAGCTAATTTTTAATCTGTTCTAATGCATGAATTTAAAAACGCCTACTTGAGAGCTTCAGGGATTACTAAATAATAAGCCCTAAAGGTTCCAAAATCTGGTTAATAGTCAGACCTGGAGAATATGAAATACAGTGTTAATTTAGAATAACATAATGCCTAAAAATGAAGCAAGTTAGATCTAATTGAGCTATGAACTGCTTGCCTAGTACTGTGTAATAGAGGCTGTGCTAACCAAGGGTTCCTGAGCTATAGATAACCATTACTCTTAGAAAATATGTTTATTGGGGTCTCTCTCTCTTCATTACCCAACCTCATAAAGTATATGTCTGCGTATTCCGATAAAACATAGAATGGCAAGGCAGAGTCACAATTAGGACGCCCTGAGAAGCTGCATCATAAAATGGTGTCTGTCTCCAAATGATTGTTCACTTAACCGTGATAAATATTTATCAGCATGCAATAGAACAAATCCTTCAACAATCTCAGGCCACACTGAAAATGAAGGACTTTCGCATTTTCGATTCTCTTCTTTCGATAGGTACAATGCTTTAATCTAAAATGTAATTTGATGAGATTTTGATTTTAAATTAGAATTACGACATGGAGATGTTAAGAACATATTGGGTTCATATTTCCAATATCTACTTAAAGCAACTTGGATTTACTGTTATATCATGAACAGAGACAAGAGAACTGTGTTGAACAGTGTAAATATGAAACACTGCTAATTTGGGTGGTTATTCAATGTATAACCTTTTATGTCATCAGTACTCTCATTGGAAAAAAAAATGTGTTTTAAATGATAAAATAAAGATGAAAATAAACTCCTTAATGATCCCTACTCTCTTGTTGGCCATGATGTGCCAACTGGGGAAACATAAGGAAAACTGAGATATAGATCGTGATGTTCCACTTAACTTGCAAGGCACAAGCCTTAGCTGCTTGGATATGGAAACTGTTTATTACTATGTGGCTTCATGCACAGTCAACAGAAAAATGCCTTTTGAAAAGAAGAACACTGCCTTCCTGGGTGAGTTTCGAAAACGAAGCCTGTCTCCTGGCCAGAGAAAACAGTTTCTGCAAGTCAACTCTGTCTCTGTTAGATAGCTACAGAAGGCATATGGAGTGCAGGGTGGAGTTGCTTATAAACATAAATGCCTACTGGGCCTTTCCTAAAACAACTGGATTCCCGGAAAAATGTCCTTATCATTGGTTCTCAAACTGGAGGACTTCCGAAAAAACAAATTAAAACAGGAGTTCCTCCAAAAACACAAATAGCTGGGCCCACTCCCCTTTAGTGTTTCTTATTCAGGATTTCTGGGGTGAAAACAGAAAATATGCATTTCTAACAGATTTCTTTTTTTTTTTTGACAGGGAGTCTCGCTCTGTCCCCCAGGCTGGAGTACAGTGGCACCATCTCTGCTAACTGCAAACTCCACCTCCCGGGTTGACACCATTCTCCTGCCTCGGCCTCCCGACTAGCTGGGACTACAGGCGCCCGCCACCACGCCTGGCTAATTTTTTGTATTTTTAGTAGAGGCGGGGTTTCACCGACTTAGCCAGGATGGTCTGGATCTCCTGACCTCGTGATCCGCCCGCCTCGGCCTCCCAAAGTCCTGGGATTACAGGCCTGAGCCACCGCGCCTGGCCTTCTAACAGATTTCTGAGTGATGCTGGTGTTGCTGGCCTGGGAGCCACACTTTGAGAACCAGATTCCTATAGCCAAAGAAGGATCCAGAAGGAAAAAACTTCCAGTGAACATCTGGTCCTGACTGTATGAATGTCTTTCCCCAATCTATAGATCCCAAATCTACTTGCACTTTCTTTTCCTTTTATCTCATTCTCTTTATTTCTTCCTTTCCTGCCCTTTTGTTTTATTTCCATTTCAAATTCCCTATTTCTATTTCTCTTCCCATTCCCCGTGGGTCCATGTCTCTCCTCCCTCCCTACCCACCTCTCTTTTTTCTTTTTCTTTTTTGTTTTTTTTCCTCTCTCTCTCTTTCCCTTTCTTGGCCCTGCTCTCAGATCTTTCCCTCAACAATAATCAGCCTCCCACCAGGCTCTCAACAGTGACCGAGATTACAGATACACCACACATGGGAGAAACACACAAGCCAAGATCTTACTCCTTGGCAAGCCAAATGAGGGGCAACTGTCGGAATAATTTCAAAGAGGGAGGACAGGAGTTCTGTGCTAAGCATTCAATAGCAGAAGCTTCTCTGCCTTTGCATTTAGCACCACACAAGCAAAACATATATGGCCATGTGAAATATACACAGAACAGTTATGTACGTACTGCTGGCAGATTGACTAGATTCTCAACATTAATTTTCATTTTGGGGGCTATTTTTGCATTTTAGGATACATAGTCCCCAGGTCTAGTTTTAAAATGCACTTAACTCCCATGCTAGGTGAAGATTTATAACAAAAGTGACTATTAGGAGAACATTCCCAGGTGAAGATCTACCATAGACAGACTTAGCTCTTTATGGCCTTATTGTGTCAGACTCTGAATATTAGACACATACAAAAAAAAATCACAGAATGAAAGTTATTAGGCTGCAGAATAGCTTCCCAAGGGACGTCCCCAGGCCTCATCACTTGAGTCATTAGAAACAAGACCAAACCAAACACTTGACTCTACCATTAGGGAATACTCCTGCCCTGGCTGAGGGTGGACAAGATGACCTCACAGATCTCTCCCAGTCCTCCCAGGGTCATAAAAACAGAATGGAAACTCTGACTAGACATCACGCTGCAGAGAGAAGTGGAGATACCAGTAGACTGAAAAGCAAGATCTCAGAGGGTGGACGATGTTACAGTGAACAGCACAGAGAAAAAATAATCCTGAGGATTGTGGCCAAAGGACACCCCAGAATAAAAATCACATTGAGAACACTCCCCAAAGAGGCCCACGATGCAATTTTGCAGACAGAGCTGTAAAACAACATGTGTTCACTAGTTTCTGATACATACTATGAGTGTTCCTATGCTCTGACTATAAAAGGAGTGATGAATTACAAGTGTATTTCCTGGCTCCCTCTTTTCTGAAGCTATAACTGCTTCACTGAAACATATGGGAACAAAGAGAAGCTCAACTAGGTGACAACTATGGTGCTTCCATAGTTCAGTATGATGCGTCCCACTAAAAAGTAGAGTTTAAAGCAGCTGAAACCAAGATTAACCTGGAAGAAGATAACAGGTCCCCCAACCCCATCCATGAGGGCAGAGTCCTTTCTCAGCCATTAGCAGGGACGGTGGAGTGTTCTGTGAGGTCCCACATGGCTTCTCCACCCCAGGGATGTTGCAGCTGTGAGGCACAGCCTGAGCCAGCGGGCATGCTTGCATCACATCCAGGTCCCGTAATAAATCTGAGGGAACTGCAAATGGGTGGGGTGGAGAGGAATTCTGGACTTGATCTGACTCAACACGCCACAGCTGTCATTCCAACTCACTTGGCCCTAAACTGCAAAACCAGTCATCCCTACCCACTGGCACTCCCTGCTAAGGAAAACCCTCATGGTTCATAGGTCCTTCTACTTAGGTGGGTTTTGTATTACCTGCCACCGCTCCCCTTCCCCACTCTGAGTACACCTGGACAGACCGCAGGTCCAATCATACATGAGCCAAGGGCAAATCTGTCCAGAAGTTTGCTCTGCAATCTACCAATGGGAAAGATGACTCATGCCAGTGGATTTCTGCGCTAGGGAATTGGGAAACCAACTCTAAGCCTGTTGCAGCAGGGACAGCTGATAAAAAGATGCCATGAGGTTGAGTTGAACTGCACGGCCATGAGCTAAAAAGGAAGCATGTGCGAGCCAAAACTGTGAGGGAGAAGAATGAATAAATCCAGCAGCAGCAGAATCAGCTAGTCAGAAAAAGAGAACGCCACAGTTGTGCAGGAGGGGATCGCAAGAGACAGTTACCCAAAACTGCCTCCTTTCCTCAGCTTGCCAACATTATCTCTTACAGTAAACCTTTTTCTTAGAAGAGGTGGCACAAGTAAAACTCTGTTCCTTGTGACCAAAGACGCCGAATTAAACACTCAGAAAATCTGAATTACATACATCTTGATGAGTGAGCTCTTCATGCCCTAAATCACGACTGTTGGATATTTAACTTGAAAATGCCCACAAGTCCCTGAAGACCACAACTTATCAATGGTATTGAAAACAAGAGGTGAGGCGTGGCAGCTCGTGCCTGTAATCCCAGCACTTTGGGAAGCCGAGGCAGGAGGATCACGTGAACCCAGGAGTTCAAGACCAGCCTAGGCAACAAAGCGAGACTTTGTCTCTATTTTTCATGTAATTTTTTTTTTATTATTTTTATTATTTTTTTTTGAGATAGAGTCTCCCTCTGTCAGCCAGGCTGGAGTGCAGTGGCACAACCTCGGCTCACTGCAACCTCCACCTCCCCGGTTCAAGTGATACTAGTGCCTCAGCCTCCAGAGTAGCTGGGATTACAGGCACACACCACCACGCCTAAATTTTTTTTTAATGTTTTTAGTAGAGATGGGGTTTCGCCTTGTTGCCCAGGCTGGTCTCCAACTCCTGAGCTCAGGCAATCCACCCGCCCTCCTGAGCTCAGGCAATCCACCCACCTCAGCCTCCCAAAGTGCTAAGATTACAAGTGTGAGCCACCGCGCCCACCTCCTTGTCTCTATTTTTTAAAAATAAAAATGAATTTAAAAAAAATTTTAAAGACCAAGTAACACTCAGTGTTTTCCTTACCTGCTCTTTTGGAAACTGGAAATCGATTTTAGGAATATTTCTGGGATAGAACAAAACAAGTCATCTGGAGTCAGAACCCAGGTTCTAAATGACGATCCTTCCTACCCCACCAAAGGTATCCATCACAGCAGCCTACAGATTCATTTATTGAAATCTCACATCTTAGAAGTGTTATCCTCACAGAATCATTCATTTACGCGGGGAAATCACTCACTTGGAGCTTATGATGTTTAGTCACGAAAGTATGTTTTTGCAAAACACCTACAATGCATTATCTAAAGCTGCTAAGCACCACTGTTCTATTTGCAGCAGGCATTAAGGCATTATCCTTTGTCCCATGCTGTGGACAAATGAATGGTGCAAGAAGTACTGGCTCCAAATTACCGTGAAGGGGAGAAATACCTTTCTTTAAAATTTTATTTTCATTTTTAATTTTTTAATAGGGTTGGGATCTTGCTATATTTCCCAGGCCAATCTCAAACTTCTCAAGCAATCCTTCTGCCTCAGTCTCACAGACTGCTGGGATTACAGGGGTGAACCACCACATGTGGCCTTCTTGTATCTTCAGAGACAGGGTCTCGCTCTATCACCCAGGCTGGAGTGCCATGGCATGATCGTAAGTCGTTGCAGCCTCCAACTCCTGGGCTCGTGGTATCCTCCTGCCTCAGCCTTCTGTGTAGCTGGGATTACAGGTACACGCCACCACCAGACCCGGCTAAAGGAAAAATAATTCATTGAAGACTGGTGCCAACTACCCACATGCAGAAACATTCATCCTCACTGGTACAAAAAAACTGAGCTGAAAGGTGTGAGCCATCTTTCAGTGGCTCTACTTAAACTATTAAACTACCAAGTATTTTAAACTATTAAGTTTACTAGTTTAAATAGAAGATTGTTATTTCATGACAGAAGAGTGGCATAGTGGGTTAGGCCCAATTTTCAAATATCAAGCGATTGTAGCAGATCCTGATTTGTAGGTGTAAAAAATAATTAGTAAAAATAAAATAACAGTAACACCAAAGGCCATTTGCTGAGTGTCTACAATGTCACCAGCTGCAGACTTTACATACATGCATTTTCTCAGTCGTCACAGTCATTTGGAGCATGGAGAACAACTCTTTACAAATGAAAAGACTTTTAAAAATCACTGCTCCAACTGTGGTCTGAGAGCTGTAAGCATCAGTGACATCTGGGCGCTTGCTAGAAAAGCAGACTCCTGGGCCCCAACCCAGAACTAGAGAATGAGGGGCTCTGCGGGGTGGGGCCCGAGACTTGTGTTTTTCTAACCAGCTCTCCAGCGGAGTCTCACACCAAAGTTGAAGAAAAGAAGCCCTGACTTAGAGAGTAACTTTCCAAGGCCAAATAGATAGTACGCCACAGAGTCACTGCGCACGCCTTTGTGCTGAGTATTGGAAACTGTCCCATTCACTTCAGGTAATTAACGAAGAGCTGGGCTGGGGATAATCAGGTTAACACCTGTAATTCAGGATTCCCCTGAGATCAGGAGCAGGAACTCTCAAACCTCGGTCTGTCCCTAGAGATTCTAATGGGCAGAGCCCTGTATTGCCCCTTTGCTTCTTCCCTTTTTCCTTTTTTTTTTTTTGTATATGGAGGAAATCTTGGGTGGCACGAGCCCTGTTTTTTGAAGTCATAATTAAAAGGGCTCTGATTCAAGTGTCTAGGATGTTTCCTTTATTGTTTTATAGATGAATGTGGAAAAAAAATTGACCTTTGTTTTGGTTTTTTGAGACAGAGTCTCGCTCTGTCACCCAGACTGATGTATAGTGGCAAGATCATAGCTCACTGCAGCCTCTACCTCTGGGCTCAAGCCATCCTCCCACCTCAGCCTCCCAAGTAGCTGGGACCATAGGCACATGCCACCACGTCCAGCTTATTTATTTATTTATTTATGAGACAGTCTTGCTCTGTTGCCCAGGCTGTGGCATGATCTCGGCTCAATGCAATCTCCGCCTCTCGGGTTCAAGTGATTCTCCTGCCTCAGCCTCCAAAGTAGCTGGGACTACAGGCATGCGCCACCACGCTCAACTATCTTTTGCATTTTTATTACAGATGGGGTTTCACCATGTTAGCCAGGGTGGTCTCGAACTCTCGACCTCAGGCAATGCGCCCACCTCGGCCTCCCAAAGTGCTGGGATTACAGGCGTGAGCCACTAAGTATGGCCTAAATTTTTTTAGTTTTTTGTAGACAGAGGGTCTCACTATGTTACCCAGGCTGGTCTCAAACTCCTAGGCTCAAACTTTCCTCCCACTTCATCCTCCCAAAGTGCTAGGATTACAGGCATGAGCCACCATGCCTGGCCAATAAAACTAAGCTTTAACCATCACAGCAGGTACTGTGCCCAACACTGGGCTAAGTGCTCCATACCCAAACTGTGCAATGGGACACTCTACTGTCACGGAAACGTTCTTTCTGTATGTGCTACCCACAGTGGGAGCCACTAGATGTGTCCGGATGTTTAGCACTTGTAATGTGTGAGTGAGAGATTGAATCTTTAATTTTATTTAAAATTTAATTTAGCTTGAAATGGCCCCACGTGTCCACTGGCTACCTTCAAGTATTGGATAGCCCAGCTCTACATGGCTTTTTGTTTGTTTGTTTTCTTTCCTTTGAGACAGAGTCCCTGTAGCTCAGGCCGCAGTGAAGTGGCATGATCATGCCTCTACCTCCCGGGGCTCAAGCGATCCTCCCACCTCAGCCTCCCGAGTAGCTAGGACTACAGGCACGTGACACCATGCCCAGCTAATTTTTGTAGAGATAGGTCTTTTTACGTCGTTCAGGCTGGTCTTGAACTCCTGGGCTCACGCAATCCTCCCACCTCAGCCTTCTGAGTAGCCAGGACTGCAGATGCATGCCACCACACCTGGCTAATTTTTGTATTTTCTGCAGAGACGGGTCTCGTTATGCTGCTCAGGCTGGTCTCGAACTCCTGGGCTCAAGCTATCCACCAGCCTCAGCCTCCCTCAGTGCTGGGATTACAGGCGTGAGCCGCCACGCCCAGCCTAGATACCTTTTCTTATTTAAACTTCACTCTAAGCCTGTGAGGGCTGAAGCTAATGTTATCCCTACTTTACAGATGAGAAAACTGAGGCTTGCAGAGGTAAAATAAAGAACCGATAGGAGCGCATGGAGTCAGTTAGTGGTAGGGCTGGGGTCCTAAGCCAGGTCTGCTCTGACTAGAGGATTTGCAAGGCACAAAAGCACTCAGCTGCCATTGGTTACGGAGTGTCTGGGAAGCTGCTGCTCAGAGCCCACCTAAGCAAATGCGGCAGCAATGACAGCATGGCCCCTAAAACAGTTGACTCTGAGTGTCTCTTTCTGCAGGCAGCAAGAGTGCTGCTGTTCTCTTGGCAGCCATCAATGAGAAGATGTTTGGACATTATTCTCATGTTATTAAATGTGCATTTTCCACTTAAAAATAAGGAGCTTCTGTCACAAATGATTTATATGAAAACAATACTTCTCCTGGCAAGGAAACAGGAATAGGAGCTTGTTACTGTTCCTTTCAAGAATTAAAAGAGGTGGGGAGAAAAGCCTGTGTCTGTATTATATTTATTTTTTATTTATTTACTTATGTTTTGAGATGGAGTCTCACTCTGTCACCCAGGCTGGAGTGCAGTGGTGCAATTTTGGCTCACTGCAACCTCTGCCCCCCGGGATCAAGTGACTCTCCTGCCTCAGCCTCACAAGTAGCTGGGATTACAGGCCCACACCACCATGCCTGGCTAATTTTTGTATTTTTAGCAGAGACAGGGTTTTACTGTGATGGCCAAGCTGGTCTCGAACTCCTGACCTCAGGTGATCCACCCGCCTTGGCCTCCCAAAGTGCTGGGATTACAGGCGCAACCCACTGCACCCAGCCACCTCACCCATCTTTCTACCTCTACCTCAACGCCATCATGGTAAGAAACGGGTTCTAGGATCTCGGGCACCTGTAATCTATTCTCTACCTTTCACAAAGCAGGTCACTGGGGGACACAATCCTCCCTGAATCCATCCCTAGGTCCAAGACGCTGGTGTCTCCACAGAGTAACTGCACCAGCCTCAGCTTCACCAAATGGCATCCTTGAGATTCTAGAAACAGGCTTGGCAATTGCCCCCTTCCCTGCTTTCCTGTCTCTCCACTGGGGGCAATATGGTTGTGGGAGGAAAAGGGTCTAGGGCCAGGCTGAACTGATGCCGTATGCCAGGCCCACTCTGAACAAAGTGTGCGGTGCCAGCCTGGGTAGGTGGCTTAACCTCTGTGAGCCTCAGTCGTCTCCAGAGTAAACTGGGAAGCACAGGGACTCTTTATGGAGCTGCTCTGAGAAGTCAATGAGGGGATGCATGTAAAGCACTTAACCCCAGGCCACGCACAAGAAGAGATCTGAAAAAAGGTCAGTTTCCTATCGTTCCTCCCTTCCAGCCCTCCGTCAAAATCTTGACCCTCTTTTAGGTTTATCTCAGACCCAATCTTACTCATCAAGACTTCCCTACCCTCCAAGACTCCATGTGTTTTCCTGTTTTCATATTTTACAGATCTGTACCTATGCCTATTGTAGTTCTTTATACAATTATCACATCTTGGCATGGACTCAGCTTCCTGAGCACTGGATCTCCGCCTTGCCCAGCTTTTCCTTCCAGGTTGCAACCAGCACGTGGCCCTGAACAAACAGGTGCTCAAATGTTTGTTGAATTGAGTTTCTATAAAGATTGAGGCCAAACTAAAATAATCCATTCATTCATTTATTCACTCAATATAGATAAATATTTTTAGACAGAAGGTCTCGCTCTGTTGCCCAGGCTGAAGTGCAGTGGCCCGCTCATACCCTACTGCAGCCTTGACCTCCTGGGCTCAAGCGATCCTCCTGTCTCAGCCTCCTGAGTAGCCAGGATTACAGGTGTGACCCACCACACCCAGCCCATTCACTCACTTTTCATTAAGCATGTAATCTACCAAATGCCACGTAAGGCCACTGGTACTCAGGACCCAGGAGAGACCAAGGCAGACAAAACCTTAAGCCTTCATTCACTCTCCAGTGGGGAGGGGGAGGGCAGTGAGACAATTAGCAAGTAGACAGATTAAACAGAGAAATGATGTCTGCTAAGGAGAAAAATAAAGCAGGGTAGAGATTCAGGGACGGCAGAGTTTGGAAAGAAATTTGCTATTTTAAACAGTGGCTAAGGATGTCATCCCTGAAAAGGACATATTTGGGCAAAGATTTGTAGGAGTGGAACGGGCTACTTTTTAGAAATAACATTAATTTGGAGGCAGGAAATTGTACGCCTAAGAAATGTTTGGTTCTGTACTCAGAAGGACACCATAAAGGAAATACAATGTGATGTCACTGACCACCCTCAGTTCCCATGTTTCCTCTGTTTTAATACCAGCTAGTGTTTTCTGGACATATCCTATGTGCCAGGCAGTGCCCAAATGCTTTATAGACCTGAGTTCATCACAAGAGATAAGATAGAGACCAGAGATGGAAAAAGTCACCACATGCATGCCCCAGGCAGGTATCATAAAAGGTGAAAGTCAGGTGTCCCACACTGTAAACAACATGGAGTTTTGGGGGTTGCATGTCTGAAAGGACCCATAACTATTCCTCCTAGAGCAGAGGCTGCTAATGAGTAACTGACCACAGAACAGGCTCAGGATGTTTGACCTGTGTTTTTGAAAGAAGCTGGAAATCCGAATTTTTTTTGTGAAACTTCTCAACTTGAAAACGTTGGCAAGCCATTGCAAGTTTTCAAAAACAGGATGCAGGCCAAAATTTTATTTAAACAGTGTTTTCAGGATGTATGTAATCTCAACATTGAGTTTTCAACCTCTGGCAGAGTGTACGTAATGAGTAGACAGAGAAACCAAAAACATTTGCAAGAATCCTGTCAAACAGCTGCCTGACCCCTATACCCTGAGGCCGGGTATAATTCAGGTTTGAGAAGAGCCTGATTGCCTGGGACCCCCTCATGCACCTGCCCAGGGGACAGCAAGCTTTGGGGTCTGTAAACACTGTGTCCTTATGTGTAGATGCAATATAATGCCTACGAGAATTTGAATGCAAAAACAGCTCATGGTTCATTAAAAAAAAAAAGTACGCTAGGTATTCATAAAAACTGCTTTTGTTGCTTTTTTAAATTTGCTTACGTTCTACCAATAAAAATGCATTTGGCAAAATAGTCCAGAGGAAACACCGTTTTTATTCAAAACTGTTTTTCTTCCCCTTTCACTTGATACTTCTAAATTAACTTATCAATAATGTATTAAAGTAATACTCAAAAATGGAACAATACTGCACCTTTAAGAAAATATTATTTTTCCTGAGGTCCTATCAAGGTAAAGTTCATCAGTATTCAAAGAATGAGCAAAGCACTTCAACAATTTATTTCAATAAAAGAAGACTTAGCTGAAACGAGTATAAATGATGAGAACTTGCTTTAAACTGATTTATTCCCTGCAGCAATAAAAGCAATGTTTCTTCACTCAGCTGTTTAATATGCAAATATGCAGAACATCCAGCCCCTGACAGCACATCATTAATAAAACCTTGCACTGAGCAGAGTGCCCGATATTTCATCCTGATGAAAATACATGATGATGATTTTAGACTGTAGACTTTGAGTTGGAACAATGTGCTTTCCTGGTGATGAAACCCACCAGTCACCAAAGGTGGGGGTGGGGAGCTTTTTAGGTAAGTGATCCAATTTCTGCAACAGGAACTCCCAGAGTTAAAAAAAAAAAAAAAAATAGTAAATATGGAGGGCTGTTAATAGCTCATGCTACCAAGGCCTAAGTGACAAGATCTGAATGGAGGGCAATGCAGGAACAAAAGGGGACAAAGTCTGAGACCCTCGCTTCTTTAGAGGATGGTAGCAGGTTAATTTTCTGTGTTTTGTTTCGGACTCTGTAGAGAGCATCCCGCTTCTTCTGCTTGATGGTAGCTTTATATCCAAATAGAACAAGACAGCAAGCTATAGAGAAGACACGGCGCTCAGGAATTTGAACCCTTGGGGGCTCTCAGTCTGGTTGTCTGGTTGTCTGATTACTGTCCCAGATTTGCTTATGGAGTAGTAACGTCTGGATTACTCTGAGATTCTTAAACAAGCAGCGGAGAAGAAGCTAAAAAAAATTCTTTGTACTAGATCATATGCTTTCCCTTTCCACTAAAATCTTGGATTGATTTAAATGGTTTGTGGTGGGACAGAGAAGGATTTAAATTTTTTCCCACTTCTTTATGACTTCTTACATTTTCCAAATTTTCTATAATGAGTATGCCACAGGTATGATCAGAAAAGTCATGATTTAAAAAAATATATATATTTTCTTTTAATAATTTTTTAGTACAGACAAGGTCTCGCTATGTTGCCCAGGCTGGTCTCAAACTCCTGGCCTCAAGCAATCCTTCTGTCTTGCCCTCTCTAAGTGCAGGGTTATAGGCATGAGCCACTGCGCCTGGCCAGAAAGTCATGTTTTTAAAAATTTAATTTATTTTTTTTAAAGACATACAGATGGGCTAGTGCCCAGGGACATCTGAGGTTGCGAGCAGTAGGGCGGGAGTCTTTTCACTGCTCTGTGGAGCCATCACATAAACCCCCGTGCTTGCTCTCAAAATAAATATTTGTGAAATGGTTAAATGAGTCACTAGTTGTAAGTGCTTACAACCGTGCCTGGAACATGGCAAGGCCCATAAAAGTATTTGTTAAATAAATAACCAATAAATTAGATTAAATATTTAAAGTACTTTAGTCTGCAGAGATGAGTTTCTGTAAATATTATTTATTTATGTAGATGAACGATATGAACAGTTTTTTAAATCTTTACATTAATCTTACTACAGTGTACGGTTCTTGTCTCAATTACAGCTGTAGCTTAAAGAACTTCTGAATTAAAACCCCAGCTTCTCTGCTTGATTCCACGTGATCTTGAGTGAGTCACTCACCTCCAGAAACCCCATTTTCCTTACCTGTTAAATATACATAAAAATAATCCTACCCATTTTGATGAACGTTTTGAGGATCCAATATGAGGATCCGATCATCTATGTAAACATTCAGCACAGCGCCTTGCCTAGAGCAAAGACTCACATGTACCATTTACTTAGCACTTACCATGTAATGTACATATATAATATTAACACAAATATTTAAGATAACTCTTCAAGGTAAGCATGGTTAATCATGTTTCACTGAGGGGATAATAAGGGTAGACAACTTGAACAAACCCATGCATACACCTTGGTCTTGAACTTGGGTCTGTCACCAAAGACCACATTGTATACTGACTTTATCCAGATCTGCTCTTTCTTCCAGAAAAAAAAAAAATGAAAAATGAAAAATCAGATACAGTAATTGTTTAAAAATATATGGGAAGAGTACATGTCCTTCCATTACTCCTCTTTTCAGTTGCAGTCATAGTGAAAGATTCTCCATTTGTTCTTGTTTATTTTTCTTTGTTTAATAAGTATTTTAAAACAGGTTAGGTTATGGGGCAGGAGATAAAGGCAGGTGGCCAGAAGTGTGGAACCTAGTGGTTAGGAGAAAATAATAAGAGTAAACTATGAAGTTCTGGCTGGGTGCTGTGGCTCAAGCCTGTAATCTCAGCACTTTGGGAGGCTGAGGAGGGTGGATCACCTGACGTCAGGAGTTTGAGACCAGCCTGGCTAACATGGTGAAACCCCATCTCTACTAAAAATACAAAAATTAGCTGGGCATGGTGGCGGACGCCTGTAGTTCCAGCTACTCAGGAGGCTGAGGCAGGACAATTGCTTGAACTTGGAAGGGAGAGGTTGCAGTGAGCCAAGATCGCACCACTGCACTCCAGCCTGGGGAAAAGAGCAAAACTCTTTCTCGAAAAAAGAAAAAAAAAAAAAAAAGATGAACTGGTTGGAACGAGTTGGATGGGGAGTGCTTCCCCACATCTCTCTTATGCACCCTATGTTCCTCCCTCTGTCACAAGTGTTCTCTTCATCCAACCAAAACAATAAGTCTCTGAGCCAAAGGAAAGAGAGCTGTTGGATTTTATTTCCAAATATTTCAATTATAAATCAATCACTTAGCAAAATTCCATGAAGTTTGCGAAATTTCTCTTTGAGTCGGTTCCCATCGAGAATCCAAAAAGTCTTGGGGGCAAAATTTCAAGCGGTCTCTTGCAGGTTTTAGTAAACTTCTCCAAGCTAGTACTTTCCATGTTTCTGATTTTATGTGCTCAGTAATACACCCTCATAACTCAAATGGGATGAACCAATTAAACATTTCCCTGTAGTCTCTAAAATAGCTGCTCTTGGCATGTTTTTTGCATGGCACAAACCTCTGCGGGAGGATACGATAGAAATCTTGCACTATTTAAATATAGAATTGGGACATCAAAGAAAGGGTTGTATTGAAATAACATGGATAATTAAGGAAGTGGAGAACAGTAATAACTGATTTACATAAAATGCTAATGAGTCTCTTGACTTGTTTGGCAATTTGCACTTTAGGCTTCGTAATGGTGGCTCCAAATTTATGATCTAATTTTTATCTTAATATTTTCTTTTAGCAAGTCGTAACCAACACTAATGGGTGCCTGCCAACGTCTAACTCCTTTCCCCTTCAACCATCCAGAAGCTTCTCTTTCCAATCAAGTATGCAAGGCTTGGGGATGTAACTAGTCTGTGAGTTTCCTGGAAGCCCTGTTTTAGAGGGGTTTCGTGTTATGGTGCTGGTGTCATTACCGATGATCAACAGTGTTCAAAATGTTCACAGTTGGCTAAGATAACTGGGCTGGAGAATAAACGTGGTGTTAGAGAGGCGAAGAGTTTCCTAGCACAGCCAGCTCTCTGCTACTCAGAGAAAGAGACTGGGGCAGGGCATCCTCTCTCTAAGGCTAGTGCTTATTCTGCACCATTCTCCAGTGCCTTTCACTTCCAAGAAGAAATTACATGCTCTGAAAATTCCTGTTTTATTGTACTCTTCTACTGATCTCACCTCACAGGGCCGCAGCCTCCCGTGAATGAGAATGAGGACTTGAGCTGTTCCTTCAGGACATGTCTGCACGTTGACCTTCAGCGTACCCTATTTCCCTCTGAGCCCTCTAAGCATGATCCATTGCTTTCTCAGGCCATTCCCCCTTCACCCCATTGACGGGTTTCAAAGCTACTTAAATTTCCAAGTTCTGACACACGGCGGCGGTGGCCGGGGCTCTCAGCCTTGCCCTCTTATGGATTGCACAAGGTCACCGCCAGAGAGACGAAGGAGGAAGGCACAGCATTTATCAGGATGTATTGCTTTACTTTTTCTATCCATCACCAAGGCGATGATTCTATTTTAGTGAAAATCCATAGAACTCCGATCAAGTCAGATGGCTGTTATCATTGGAAACTCAAGAGCTGTCAGGCCATAATCAGTACAAATGCCAGACCCTAAAATGGGGGGCTGCAGACCAGTAACGGTCCTCTGGGAATCTTTTTGGTCATTCCCGTTTTTAAAATTTCATCCGATCACTTTTATTTAAGTATCTTTTCAGCTATTCTCCTTGCAAATGGTAAGATCTGGTTCTGCAAGTTGCAAAGAACCCATTACAGGCAATTTAGGCACAGTTTGGAGATGCAATGACTTCTCTTGCCATGCTACACTGCCGACTCTGGGCCTAATGACCTGGCTACCCATCAGGATACCTGTGCATGCCTGAATGATCACAGAAACCGGAACATGAGGAGTGCACACACCCACATTCCAGTCTTAGTCAAAATCACCAATCCATACACTATTTTCTGGTGTCTTCAATGTATGTATTTTCTGATCATCGCACTTGGCTATAGAGTGCAAAGTTAACAAGCACTTCCGCCTTGAGAGCTGTATTTTCATGATGAATGCCCCTGCTTGCATTTGCATGTGGTTGGGACAGTTTTATGCTACGGTTATCACCTTGAACATGGAAAAGGAAAATTCTAAAGCTCCCTGAAAATTTCCTTTGGGTTTGTCTTCTGGTCATGGATTTAATTAAATCTGACATTTAAATAAAATCATTTAAAGGTATTTGCTGCCCTGCCGGTATCCTAAACTTTTACAAAAGTGGAGAGTTGTGAAGTAAGATAACAGAATGCTTTTTAATCATGATCCTGTAGCTCAAAGTGATACTTAACTCTTAACTACCCAAAAGCAGATGATGTTCCTGCTTTTGCGTAGTAGACTGCCAAGGATCATATTTTTTCCACTACCCAGTTGAAGGCCAAATCCTAACGGGTTGAGATGAGAAGGAATGAAGTGAGTAGTGCCTGTGTGTCTACCTCACCACTTTTTAAGATGTAAATCCATTTAATTGACATGTATTTTTCTACTTTACAATCCATATC
This sequence comes from Homo sapiens, assembly GCF_000001405.40. NCBI lineage: Eukaryota > Metazoa > Chordata > Mammalia > Primates > Hominidae > Homo > Homo sapiens. The sequence goes on along the minus strand of NC_000016.10, from coordinate 78,671,818 downwards.
TTGATCCCTTTTTATTAGCAAGGCAAATTGAATACTGATGGTGCTTTCTTAAATATACTTATGTTCTAAATAATAGCATTCTAAATAGTAAGGGTAGCTATTTATTGGTCACTTACTCTGAATCAGGCACTATGCCAAATGCTTTACATACACTGTCTCATTTGTGCCTTAAAATCACCTCCAAATGAGATAGGGAATCTCTACTTTATAGGTAAGAAAATCAGGGCTCTGAGAGTACCGGCAATTAATGAGGTTATCATAAAAACTAGAAGGGGCAGGGTTGTTGTACTAAATAAGCTAAACCATCACAAGTTATCTATACTGGTTTCCTAGGGCCACAGGCAAATTGTCTTAAAACAATAGAAATTTATTTATGTTTTATTTTTTAATTTTTGAGACACAGTCTCATGCTATCACCCAGGCCGGAGTGCAGTGGCACAATCTCAGCTGACGGCAACCTCCACCTCCCAGGCTCAAATGATGCTTCCATCCCAGCCTCCCAAGTAGCTGGGACTACAGGCATGCCCCACCACACCCGGCTCATTTTTTGGTATTTTTTGTAGAGACGGGGTCTCGCCTTGTTGCCCAGGCTGGTCTCGAACTCCTGGGTTGAAGTGATCCACCTGCCTCAGCCTCCCAAAGTGCTGGGATTACAGGCATGAGCCACTGTACCTGGCCCAACAGCAATTTATTCTTTCACAGTTCAGGAAGCCAGAGGTTTGAAATCTGAGTGTCTGCAGGCTGAGTCCCTTCTGGGGGTTCTGCAGGAGAAATGCTTGCAGGCTCTGTTCCAGCTTCTGGTGTAGCCACAGCCTTGGCATTCCTTGGCTGGTAGATGGCACCACTCCAATCTTTACTTCTGTCTTGGCATCACCTTCCTCTCTCGGTGTCTCTGTTCTGTCTCTGCTAAGGACATTCTTATTGGATGTAGGGCCCACCCTAAACCAGTACGATCACATTCACATCTCTATCTTTATTTCAGTTACATCTATAAAGACCTTATTTCTGGGTAGGTGGAGTGGCTCATGTCTGTAATCCCAGCACTTTAGGAGGTCAAAGCAGGAGAACTGCTTCAGCCCAACAGTTTGAGACTAGCCTGGGCAAGATGGCAAGACTCTATCTCTGTTTTTTAAATAAAAATTTTTTTTTAATTAAAAAGGCCTTATTTCCAAATGAGGTCACATTCTGAGGTTCCAGATAGACACGAATTTGGGGGGACATTATTCATCTAGTACAGCAACCATCTGTAATCCAAACCTGGGGCTGGCTGGACTCTGAAGCCTGTGTACCTAGCCATTTATCCCATAACCCACATTCAGAGGGTGACATGATTTCCGATCACACACCACTGGTAAGTTTCTCAGAGATCAGCCCTAATAGTTCTCATAACGTAACACACCAATGCAGCATGTGGCACTGCAATGCTCATAATGCTTTTCCTGCATATTTCCGGGATGAACCAGGGTCACTGGGGAGCTTGGAAAGGTGTTTCCTTCCAGAATCACGGGAGGGTCGGAAAAGACAGATGCACAGAAAAACATCCAAGGATATGACCCTGGGTAGAAGAGTGGCTGGCATTCAACACACGCTGCCTGGCCTTCCTAAACTCCAGCTGTGGTTAGAGCTGGACCTGCTGGTGAAAGGGAACCAGAGAATAAGGGGTGAATAAGAGCTCAGCTGGCCTCTACTGACGCAGAGAAGCCCTCACAACAAAGATGGAGCTTCCGGGGGCGGCCGGGAACAGGAATTTAAAATTCTTGGCCACCATTCATTCCCTCTTCCTGCCTCTGGAGGAAAAAGAAAAACGAGCCAAATAACAGCTCTACATTACTGGTGGGGGAGGATGAAGGGAGAAAAGGCAACCATTTTGAGAGGACTTGTTCTATTAATAAGATTGTGCTTATGAAAAAGCAGTACATGTGCAAGAAAAAAACGTAACGTGGAGAGAAACTTTATTTTTCCTTCTCCCTAAACATCTTATTAGAGATTATTTTGAATAATGAAGTCTTCTGAGTCACTGAAATAATCAATAGGGGTGCCATGTGGGATGCATGGATGCAAATTTCAAGGGAACACATATTGAAGGGATGAAAGGCAATTATCCAATGAACTGTAACTAGTTTTTAGCTCAAACAAAAATTATAATACTTTTGGAACAGAAACAAGTGACGTATTTGTGTTGGATATCTGAAACTGACTCATTTAGTTCCTGTTCACCTTCCAGCTAGGTCACGTTTCTCAACCTGGGCACGTTGACATTTTGGGGGTAGGTAACTCTTTGTGGTAGGTACTGTCCTATGGATTGTAGGATAGTCAGCACCATCACTGGCCTTGACCCATTAGATGACAGTAGCACTTCTTCCTGCTTCCAGTTCTGACAACTAAAAAATATCCCAGACATTGTAAAAACATCCCCTGGGGAGCAATGCTGCCCCTGGATCCTACCATTCTAGTTGAAGAAGTTGGAGTTAAAACTCCCTTTCCAGACTCCCTTGCAACTTTGTTTATAGACACAAATCCATCCCACCAATTGCTTAGGCACTGCCATGGGACACTTGGGACAGCAAATGTGAGGGAAGGGCCATATCCAGCTTCTTTGGGGCTTCTCCTCTTAGCAAGGGAGTGTGTGAAGGAAGTTTTTTGTCTTCCGGTTCTGGGGTCCCTTCTCCAGCTTCCTTGTGGTGGAGATGGGGCCACAGCAACGGAGGTGGTTTTGGCTTATCCATCTGCTTAGCTCCAGTTGTAGCTTCAGTGGAAGGGCCTTCCTGGAGGGTCACTTCTGTATTATTCAGGAAGCCGTTCTGAAGGTCAACCTCAAAACTACTCTTTTAGCTCTTCTAACAATTTTTAAGTACCAAATTGCCTTTATTAAATCTCTCCCTTTTAAAAACATGAAGAGGTTCGCATACCCTATGTGGAGGCCCGATGAAGAGAACCTGCCAGGGAGTTATCAAGTGAACACCACGTGTCTCATCAGGAAGACTCAGACACGCTCTGAAGGTGCCCATGTCTGAGCTGCTGTACCTGCTATTCCCTCTGTTCAGAATGCACTTTCTTCCTTTTATTCCCCATCACTCAACTTCCAGGGTGGTCTACCTACAAACACCCATGTAGATTCCAAAGCCCATCTGATGCCTGCTCTTCTCAGGGGTAAAGCTTCCTCCTTCTTATCCTCACCCCCTGCTGTCACTCCTTCACCTGTTCCCCGCAGATAACAACTCCTGTCTCTCACCTACCTCTCTTGGTAACTTTGTCACGCCCCTTGCCACACTAAATGTTCTAATTGTTTGTTCCTGCTTGTTCTTACTCAACTGTTCCCAGGGCCTAGCCCAGAGTAAGAATATAATGAATGATGAGTGGATATACAAAGGAAAGAATGGAATCTTGGAATGTCATTCCTGGTTACCTTACGACATTTATCTTGTGGTCCTTGCCCTCAAAGTACTTACGGAATTCCCAAGAGGAGTCAAGTCGAACAGGAGAAAAGACAGGCGTGGGGGTATGAGAGTTAAGTTGTATGTTTTTTGTTTGTTTGTTTGAGACAAAGTCTTGCTCTGTCACACAGGCTGGAGTGCAATGGCATAGATCTCGGCTGACTGCAACCTCCGCTTCCCAGGTTCCAGTGGTTCTTCTGTCCCAGCCTCCCGAGTAGCTGGGATTACAGGCATGTGCCACCACAGCTGGCTAATTTTTTGTATTTTTAGTAGAGACGGGGCTTCACCATGGTGGCCAGGCTGGTCTTGAATTCCTGACCTCAAGTGATCCACCCGCCTCGGCCTCTCAAAATGCTAAGATTACAGGTGTGAGCCACCGCACCCAGCCAAGTTGTATGGTTTTGATGGCTAGTGTATTTAAGAAGAGCTTTGGCTGAGAGCAGCACAGAGTGTGATGTGACGGGGCAGAGGGCACATCCTAGAAACAGATAAGGAACACACACAGAGGTATGGGATGGAAAAAATGCAACACTGCCTGGTAACCACTGATGCCTTATAGCATAGGCAAACAGATGCAAGCTGATGCGAGAGAAAGACAGAAACAAAGGAGAGAGCTCTCAAATGAGTTCATTTGAACAATGAGCAGAGTAATGGGTGTTCTCATCAATATTCTATTATTTTCATCATTATCTTTTTTTTTTTTTTTTTTTTTTTGAGACGGAGTCTCACTCTGTCGCCCAGGCTGGGATGCAGTGGCACGATCTTGGCTCACTGCTACCTCTGCCTCCCAGGTTCATGCCATTCTCCTGCCTCAGTCTCCCGAGTAGCTGGGACTACAGGTGCCTGCCACCACGCCTGGCTAATTTTTTGTACTTTTTAGTAGAGACAGGGTTTCACCGTGTTAACCAGGATGGTCTTGAACTCCTGACCTTGTGATCCACCCGCCTCGGCCTCCCAAAGTGTTGGGAATACAGGCGTGAGCCACCACACCCATCATATCATTTTTAATTTTCTAAAAAAAGTAGGATGCAAAAAAGTAGATATATATTGAGATAACCCATTCAATAAAAATGTCAGCCTGTCCAAGCTTGAAAATGGTGTTAAAAGAGACTTACAGCTCTGCTTCTAGAAAGATAGTCTGCTACGAGGGGCAGAAACCTAAAATTTAAATGCCAAAGAGTTGCAGACATGTTCACCCATAGAGTTTCATGGAAGCTACTAGCAAACACATAAAGTGGTGTGGAGAGGAGGAGAGTGAAAAGTACTATTTAAGACGTGACTGAATTTAAAAAGCAAGTACACAAAGATCCGATACTCAAAACTCCTCTGACCATTATGTAAGAGACTTTTAATTCAGCCAGCAGTTGGGTTTTAGAGTTAGAGATAAAAGGAAGACAACTAAACTTCCCCTAAACCCTTTTAACCCCCTTTTGTGATGGAACTGTCACCCCCTGGACATCAACAGTGTCTTGGGAGAAGCTGCCTTCTGACTTATGTCTGAATTTAGTATGGAGCCTCCTTAGGAAGCCTTCGTAGAACGCTGCATGGCATGAAAATTAAATGTAAACTTTTATCTCTTCTTTCTAGATCTCCTCCTTTCAATCACTAATCTCTCCAGGAAAGAACACAACCAAACAGTCCCATTAGGAAAGAGGCAGATGGAACTGATGTAAATCCCCCCTGAATTAATGGACCTGCTCTTTACTGCACGATGGCCCTTCCCAAGATGACCTTGCCAATCAGCAGATCTTGTTTTGTCTGCATTTTCCAGTGACTCCAGGCCCACATGCGACTGAAGGAATCTGCTTTATTTCTTAAGGCAGTACCCCAATCAAATGGTTCTAGAGAGTAAATAAAATTTGCTGACCTAGGCAGATCTTTAAAACAATTTTTTAAAGGCAAATTACAATATTCAAACTTTGTAAAAATAGGCTGTAAGCATGTAATGGCGTGACACACTGGGGCTTGGGTTGTTCTGATGTGTAAAACTGGGATCCCTCTAGGCATGCCGATGGCAGTAAGGAGCCAGGTTATGACACAGTTACAAGTAACCCCCAAATCTCAGTGTCTTTTTAATTTATTTATTTATTTTTAAAGAGACAGTGTCTTGCTCTGTCACCCAGGCTAGAGTGCAGTGGCAGGATCACAGTTTACTATACAGCCTTGACCTCCCGGGCTCCAACAATCCCCCTGCCTTAGCCTCCTGAGTAGCTGGGACTACTGTGGCACACCACCACACTCGGCTAATTTTTTTAAATTTTTAGAAACATGGGGCTCTCACTATGTTAACCAGGCTATTCTCAAACTCCTGGCTTCAAGCAATCCTCCAGCCTTAGCCTCCCAGAGTGTTGGGATTACAGGCATGAGCCACTGTGCCTGGCCCCCACATCTCAGTATCTTGGCCAGGCGCAGCGGCTCACGTCTGTAATCCCAGAGCTTTGGGAGGCCAAGGTGGGCAGATCACTTGAAGTCAGGAGTTCAAGACCAGCCTGGCCAACATGGTGAAACTCCATCTCTACTAAAAATACAAAAATTAGCCGGGCATGGTGGTGCATGCCTGTAATCCCAGCTACTTGAGAGTCTGAGGTAGGAGAATCACTCGAACCCAGGAGGTGGAGGTTGCAGTGAGCTGAGATGGAATCACTACACTACAGCCTGGGCGACAGAGCAAGTATCTTAAAGCCACATCAGAGAAGCACAATTAATGTTTCCATGTGTGTCTTGGGTCAGCTCAGGATTCTTGCTTTTGTCCTACCACTAGGACCCACCCTGACAGGGCAATCGGAATCTGGAATACTGCCAGTCAGCGTGGTAGAGGGAAAGGAGATTATGATGCAGCAGGCTGGAATCTGTTAAAGTTTCTGCCTCAAGGAGACACACGTCTCTTGCCCCCAGATTCCACTCGCCACAGCAAATCACATGTCAGGAAAGTACGGCCTTCCCATGTGCCCAGATGGAGAGGGAAAACTCAATAGTTATATTCAGTAACTCAATAATAATAATTCAATTATTTAATAGTTATATTCAAATTCACAGTTATGAATATCCCTACTGAATCCACAATGGGTAAGGCAGTGTCATGCATAACTGAAAACTCTCTTCTCTACACTCCCTTAGGATGTGCGTGGCAAGATGTGGCAGTGCCGGAATTCAGCCCGTGACTCCAGAAGCCCGCGTGCCAACTTGGAAATCTGTTGCCCGTCATCACAGCTCCCTACTCCAGGAACCCGGACCACCACAGAAAATTCCACAAAGCCCCGGGCTCTGCTATCTTTTGTCCCCATCGCATTTACCTAATAGATGATCCTACCAATTCCCATTGGCAGCCCTTTGTAGTGTAATGAACAGGATGCAGGCTGATGAATGCAGCCGCTGCACAGAAAACGTCAGTTCTTTCATTAAGCAAACCTTCCCAAGTTCATTGTATTGAACCAGGGTTTAGGCTATTAGGCTGACACATGACAGAGCCAATTCCAGTCACATTGTAAGTGCCTATTCATGTTTGGCAAATTCCGTTTTACGCACATGCACACATTTAGAATTGGACTCTTGTTGCCTGCAAATTTTTTCCCCTTGAAATCTATTTTCCTATTTTTAACTGTTAATAATTAAGAAAAATCCCACTTTAATAATTGAGCCTCAAGGAGCCTAATTCAGGGAGTACATAATGGATGGGCACACAGAGTTTCTACTCTGCTGGCCGTTCGGCATGCTTGGTCTTCCTAGACACACTGATACGGATACACCGGGCTCATCTGGAAAAGGGAAAATCATAAAACATCTGGACACAGAGTTTTGACACTGCCAGCTCTTCACTCTGCTCACATTTTAAGTGGGAGACTTTATTTACAAGCTTGGAATCCCTGCTAGTGAGAGGGGACAGGACTAAGGGCATCCTTTGAGGGTACAGGCTGGTAATGATCCAGCCTGATCGAGGAAGAAGCTCAAAGCAGCCACAGCAGCCAGGAGCTGTGACTGCTTTTTCTCCAACCTGCCACTTCCTACGTGGGCAGTCATTCCACATCACTCACGCAGCACACATAAACTGGGTGCCTCCTGGGTGGCCAGCCCACACTGGGAGTCAGGGTGTGTACATGAAGAGTTAGGGGCTTGTGGTCCAGTGGGAGGGAGACACGAAAACTGACAATTACATTTGAATATGCTCAGTGTGGTCATGTTTCCTGAATCCATCCTGTTTTCTCTATCTCCATTATTGTCACCTGGTCACCTTAGTTGCTCTCTTTAACTCCAGGGTCACCTCCCAGCATATCCTTTAGCTTTCACTCCTGCCTCCTACGCATTGTCCTCCTCATGGCAACCATGGCGTCTTTTAAAACCATGATTCAAATTATGTCACCTGTTTGCTTACCACCTCCCAATAGTGATCACCATAAGTCAAGGAAAATCCAGACGTCATACAGTGGCTGCACATGTGTGGTTGGCCCCCCTCTTGATAGCGTTGTCTATTATCCCTGTTGGCTCCAAACCCATTCACCACTTACTCTCCCTTGAACACATCGAGTGTGTTTCCACCCCAGGGCCTTTGCACTTGCTGCACCTGTGCTTGAGATTTTCTTTGCTGAGGTCTTTGCATGGCTCTCTTCATTCAGGGTGTAGTTCAAATGTCACCTCCTCAAAAGCCATCACTGATCACACACACAATCACTATCTGTTTTCTTTCCCTACTTTATTTTTATTTAAATGATGTCAGACATGTCAAGACACATCCTGGATGTCATAGACATCACTGCTAAGACATGCCATAAAGAGATATTGGAATGAAAATAGAAGTCTGCCCTAAAACTTGTATATGAATGTTCATAGCAGCATTACTCATAATAGAAATCAGAAGCAACCTGTGGCAACGCTTATAGAAGTGTTACCCATAAGAGCCAGAAGTAACCAGATGTTCATATCGCAGTATTATTCATAATAGCCAGAAAGTGGGAATGACATGAACTGTGAATGGATAAACAAAGTATAATATATTGATAGAATAGAATATTATTTGGCCATACAAGGGGATGAAGTATTAGTTAGATTGGTTCAAAAGTGATTGCACCAACATAATATTAATACATGAAATAACACAAACCTTGAAAACATTAAATGAAAGAAGTCAGTTGGCCACGTATTGTATGATTCCATTTATATCAATTACCCGAAATAGGTAAAGTCATAGAAACAAAGTCAATGAGTAGTTGTCAAGAGATCGGGGGTATAAAATAGGGAATGCTGGCTGAAGGGTACAGGGTTTCTTTTAGGGGTGATAAAAATGTTCTGAAATTAGATAGTGGTGATGTCTGCACAAGTTTGTGACTATACGATAAGCCAATGAATTGTCCACTTTAAAGGGAGACTATTGCAGTACTGAATAATCTCAGTCAAAAAACCAAAGCGATAGGATGTGACTTCCAAGATTAAGTTAAAAAAACACCCTGGCTGCGGTCTCTCTCACCAATTCTTGCACTCTCACCTTCTCACTTGGACAAAAGTCAGCTGCCACGTTACAAGCTGCCTTTTGCAGAGGCCCATGTGGCAACAGCCAACAACCAACAGCCAAAAAGCTGAGTCCCAGAGCCCAGGAACCACCAAAACACTACATCTTGCCAACAACTGTGCAGCTTGGAAGTGGATCCTTCCCGAATCCAGCCCCAGTCAATGACCACCCTCAATTACAGCCTGCAAGAGATGCTGAACCAGGCTCAATTCTTCATCCAAAGAAAGCAAAATGATGAATGTATGTTGTTTTATGTTTTTTAAAAAATAGTAAAATAAAAATCAAGCCCACGACTGCCTGGTGCTCCTTCTGTTTTCTCACATTGCCTTCCTCATCCTGCATCCTTGCAACTGGTCCAAAGGGCCTGATAGTGGTATCGGGATGAGCACCTACATGGTAGGTGCTCAGTGAGGTTTTCTTGAACTGAGTAATAATTTCCAATACTGTTTTCTCCACATAAAGCTAGAAAATTCTCTCAGTGGGAAACAGAACAAACGAAAGAGAAAAAAACTAGATGTCTCATTGCGCTCTCTTATTTTCCAGTCCTGTATATGCAGATGAAATGCTGACCAACACTCTCAGTGAATCCTGGTGACCTTGCCTTGCCTCTGACTAAAACATTCTTCTATGTACAGATAGCAGGAGGTTCTAAGATCTGGCCTCGGTTATACAAACCTCACTTATTTACTAGGCAATTCATCCTCAGAGTAGCTCCCCACTGTGCCTCACTGTGAAGCACTTAATCCTAGCTTACTGCAAACCCCAAAGTCAGGGCATTCACTACTACTACTACCACCACCACCACCACCACTACTACTACTACAATTATTATCATTATTTTGAGACATGGTCTCGCTCTATCATCCAGGCTGGAGTGCAGTGGCACAATCTCGGTTCATTGCAACCTCCATCTACCGGGCTCAAATGATCCTCCCACCTTATCCTCCTGAGTAGCTCAGACCACAGATGCATATCACCACGCCCAGCTGATTTTTTGTATTTTTTGTAGAGATGAGGTTTTGCCTCAGGCTGTTTGCCCAGGCTGGTCTCTAACTCCTGGACTCAGGCGATACACCGGCCTCGGCCTCTCAAAGCACTGGGATTACGGGCGTCAGCCATTGTACCCAGTCTATTAACTACTATTATTAAAAGATGGCATCAGTCCAGAAACAATTTGCACTGCCCTTCCCTGAAGCTTTTCCCCCCATTCCATGCACAGAGCCCCCACCCCCTCCCCACCTCTCAGCAACACATCTCTTCCAAGAGACATTTATTACAGGGCTGTCAACACAATCCTACCTTTACGGAAAATGATAAAAATAAGAAACACCTTACAAGAAGATGCCGCGGTGAAAGCTAAATCATAAATGTTTAATAAGGAATGATCAAATCCAGACAAATAACTGTTCAATCCCACTTTGTATTAAGCAGATAAAGTCATACAGAAAATCAATGTGATGTATTGAAAGGGGAAAAAAAAATTGCCCAGCTTAGGGATTGGACTACACAGTGTTATGAAGTGGTCGCTTCAGAAGAACCTTACGATACAATAGCAACATAAATTTTAAAAAATGGCGTGCTGATTGCTGACTTGTGGGACCTGTCAATGGCATTCCAGTCCTCTCTGTTGCTGCTGCTGGAGATAATTTCTGGGGGGCCACAGGCATTCTCACGTGTGAATGGTAGAGAGGAAATTGGTTTAACCATTCTAGAGGACAGTTTAGTAATTTTGGTGAAGTTAATTGTTTCAAAGGTGTACACAGTGCCTTTGTTCCACCACTTCTGCTGCTGGAAATCCTCCCTCCCAATATCCTTGCTCAAGCAGACCAAATATACATGCAGGAACATTCATTACTAAGTCATGTGTAATAGTAAGACATGGATCTAACTTCAATGTCTATAAATAGGAATGAATATATTAAATGACACCATGTGATGGCATATTATCCGTCATGCAGTATTAGGAGGTTGAGCTACATGTGCTGGTACCAAATAATCTCCAAGATACTATTAAATGGAAAAAGTAGGTAATAAACAAAACATAGCCAATAGTCTCAGTTGCATGCATTTTTTGAAAAGGCTATCCATATCTGCAACTGATGCTAAATGCATAGAACGTTTCTGGAAGAATCCATAACAAACTTTTAATGATGGCTGCCTCTTTTGGAGAGAGGTCTGGGAATGAAAGAAATTTTACTATCTTACTGAAAGGTCTGAAACGTTTATCCTGAGCTTCTATTCCTTTGATGGGTTATTTTCCCCCAAGTGAGTAGGGAGCTGGTGGCAAGCAAAACAAGCAGAAACAACACAAATAAACAGTAAACACTTTTGCAGGACCAGGAGGCCCTGAGTTGTTTTGTGAATTCTCTGAAAAAAAGACAGAAGGAGCTTTGAATGTTACTCATTATATGCCCACCCCAGCTCCTCTCCCACTGGCAACTGAAAAATGAAAGCTGTGTTAAGTGGCCCCTTCCACCTCTCAGGAAGCATATCAATGTCTCCAATTTCCTTCTGTTTCCCCAAGCCCACAACATACCTCCTCAAATAAAATGAACCACTGTCTGCCAGGGAAGAGGGACCTTTAGTGTACGGAAGTGCATTTTAGTGATGGGCTCACAGTGGCCAGTCCGCATCTACCACTTATTCTTTAAGGTAATAATAACCTCCCTCCTGCTGACAATATTTTATATAACCTGTAATTAAAAACAAAAAAAGCAGCACAGTCCACAATAGTAAACAGATGGGAAAGGCCCTCTGAAACAGAGGATCCAAAAAGCTTGCTAAAAAGAGCACACACTTGCACAGAGAAGATAAACAACTCTGGTGTCACTATGGTGAATGATGTGTTTGCTTTGAGGTAAAATAATAGGAAATGAGGATCAATTAACAATGTACTGATGAGCCCTACAATTACTGGGCTTTTTTTTGCATGCACTAACAGCATGTTAAATTTCTGGTGGTGACAGCCCTTGGGATGAGAAGGCGGCTGATAGTTGAGCCTGGGGACCCGGACTTTGCTCTTCCGAAATAAATGTGTAAGGAGAGTCATGCTGTGTGTTTAAGTAAGAGTGACTTGTAAAAAAAGAAAATGCTGTTCTCCCTTTATCTTTGACATGACACTTTCTATCTTCATGTGGGCAAATATATGAACATTGTCATTTTTCTAAGACTTTTGGGCACTGGTAAAATGGGAAGGAAAAGGCTCCTTTAGAAAAGTAAACACAACTCTCCTGAACTCGCTCCGATGGAGGCAGAGATGAGTAGTACAGTGCTTTGCAAAGCAAGTGCACTTTGGAAACATTTGATAATTGATTCAAATGATGTCTCGAAAGGTTTTTTTTTCTTATCTGGCATTTTTGATCAGAAGTTCTCAAACTTTAGGCACCACAGAATCCCCTGGAGGGCTAAAACTAGATTGCTGAGCCCTACTCCCAGAGTTTCTGGTTCAGGAAGTCTGGCGGGGTGGGGCGAGCCTGAGGGTGAGCACATCTAACAAGTTCCCAGATGACCCTGATGTTGTCGCTTGGGGACGAGCCTTTGAGAACCCCAGGCGCGATGGTTAGGAGCTCAGGCTGTGCAACTGAAAAAACTGGGCTGAATTCCTGATTCTGCTACACGGTTATCTCTGTGAGTCACGTAGTTATTGAATCTGTCTGTGCCTCAATTTCCTCATCTGTAAAATGAGGATAAGAATACCACGTGCTCATACTGGGTTAAAGAGCATTTCTTCCAAATTTATGTGTGCACCAGCATGTGTTTTGTTTTTTTTTTGTTTGTTTGTTTGTTTTTTTTTGAGACGGATTCTCACTCTATTGCCCAGGCTGGAGTGCAGTGGCACAATCTCGGCTCACTGCAACCTCTGCCTCCCAGGTTCAAGGGATTCTTCTGCCTCAGCCTCCCAAGTAGCTAGGACTACAGGCACGCACCACCATACCTGGCTAATTTTTGTATTTTTAATAGAGAAGGGGTTTTGCCATTTTGGCCAGGCTGGTCTCAAACTCCTGACCTCAAGTGATCCGCCTGCCTCGGCCTCCCAAAATTCTGGGATTACAGGCATGAGCCACCGTGCCCAGCCCTAGCATGTGATCTTATTTAGAAATGGAATCTTCACAGATGCAACTTGTTAAGGTAAAATGAGGTCATCCTGGATTCCAGTGAGCCCTAAATCCAATGACTTGAGTCCCTATAGGAAAAGGGAGCAAAGACAGAGAGTGAAGATGGCCATGTGAAGGCGGAGGCGGAGACTGGGGTTCTGCTGCCACAAGCCGACGAATGTCAAGGATTAATGGCAGCCACCAGAGGCTGGAGGAGAGGCACGGAGCAGGCTTTCACTGAGAGCCCCGGGAGGAACCAACTCTGCCAACACCTCGATGTCAGGTGTCTGGCCTCCAAAACTGTGAGAGAATAAATCTCTGTTGTTTCAAGCTATCTAGTCTATGGCACGTTTTCAAGGAAGCCCTGGGAAACTACACTACATTACAGAATTCTTGTGAGGATTAAATTAGTGACTACATGGCAAGTGTTTAGAGCAGGGCATGGCACATAATGACCATTAGTAAAGTAGTAGTTTATATTATTATTTGGGTCTTATTAATACTTTCTTGTTCATTACTTTGCTATTAAAAATACTTTCTCATGGAAAGAACCAAAACTGTAAGAGGATAAAGCAGGGGTTCTCATCCAGGGGTGATTTTGTTCCCCAGGGGTATCTGGCAGTATCTACAAATGTTTTTGGTATTTTGAGACTTGAGGAAATAGAAGATGCTACTGGCATCTAGTGGGTAGAGGCCAGTGATGTTGCTTAATGTCTTGTAACTCACAGGAAATCCCCCCCAACAAAGAATCTCCTGGCCTAAAATGTCAATAGTGCCAAGGTTGAGAAACTCCAGGATAAAGTGAAAAATCAAAGTCACTTGGCCTCTGAGTCCACTTCCCAAGGTGAGAACAAAAGTAATTTATTGAGTATTACACTATACTTTCTAATGAGAACAATCACCGCCAGGCTCTGCACACTACTCCAGCCCCCGAAAAACAAAAAAACAAAAAACAAAATAACACACACACAAAAAAACAAAACCTGTTTTAATAAAAAAGGACAACAATGAAAATCCAGAGTCAAGCTTGGCCCAAGAGAGGGAGCCTCAAGCAGTTATTTGCGCCACCTTCCAAGCTAGAAAAGGCAATGTGACCTCTTGTCCACTGAGAATCACTTCCATCACATCCAAGGAAATTCAAGAGGGGACTAAAATCTGTCATCAGAACCTGACTGCAAGAAACAAAGGTCCAGTAGGCTGTGGGCCTCTGGCTTCAGTCCCGGCCAGGGTCACGTCTTTAACTAGAGGAGGGGTTAGACTCTGGGTCTGCTGATTCTTCTGTGTTCTCCTTTTACTGACCCCAGCATGCATCGTAGTGGCAGGGAACCACCTGGACCCTCACTGACAAGCTTGTCCAATATTGTTCTTGACATGCTGCAGGGCCCTGGGAGTCGGGAAGCACAGGCTCCTTTACAGGATGGGGGAGAACTATGAGGAAGCAAGAAAGTCCCCTTCCCCCCACCTCATTTTCTTCCCATCTGTGGGTTAAGGGCATTTGGAAGGGTGGAAGCCAGAGAAGAGCGTCTTCACTCACCCCAGGCAAGGGTGGCAATGAAAACAAAAGGGGTGATGGTGGAGATGATGACAATGGACAGACTCAGAGTAAAAATGACAAACCTCAGTGATGAGCAGGACACATTGGGTGGTGGTGAAGGTGACGCAGGGGCCAAAGTGGCAGCCTGGTGTGTGAATTGCGCAATTGCATGAATGATGGCACCACTCAATTAGCCAGAAAGCCCTACAAGGGGCTGCATTATTTTCAGAAATAAATGAGTACACGAAGCAAAACGCTCATCCACCATGTGCCCGAAGACCCTAACACTCCAGAATCTGAGCATGGACCAGACGCCATGATGGTCAGAGCAGCGGTGTATCGACAGCCTTCCCTAAACAGAGCGGCTGTGTATCTACAGCCTCCCCTAAATGTCTTCCTGTTTCCCATGAAACACATCAAGTCTAGAACTCACCAGTCTTCTGTGTCAGAGCAATCTGCCTAAGGATTGTGGCGCTTGGGTTTGGAAGGAACCCCTTGTAAGGAGAGCCAGGAAGATCCACGAGGATGTGCTCAGTGGGTGCCGATATGGTTGGGATTTGTGTCCCAGCCAAAATTTCACATCAAACTGCAATCCCCAATGTTGGAGGAGGGGCCCGGTGGGAGGTGGTTGGATCAGAGGGCTGATTTCCCCCTTGCTGTTCTCATGACAGTGAGTGAGTTCTCACCAGATCTGGTTGTTTAAAAGTGGGTAGTACCTCCTCCTTCGCTCCTTGCCTCCTACTCCAGCCATGCAGAACATGCCTGCTTCCCTTTCATCTTCTGCCATGATTTTAAGTTTCCTTAGGCCTCCCTAACTGGGCTTCCTGTATGGCCTGCGGAACCATGAGCCAATTAAACCTCTTTTCTTTATACATTAGCCAGCCTCAGGTAGTCCTTTACATCAATGTGAGAACAGACTAATACAGGCACCAGGAGGGGACAGAGAAAGGACATGCATGTTGGAGTGGGTGATCCCAAAAAAGGCCTCATCAGATAGCATTGATCTACCACCGAAGGATGATGGGGAGACTGAGGCACAGAGAGGTGATCCTACCTTTCACACACACCCACCCACCCACACACACACAAATGTTATGAGAAACAACAGAGCATAACTTTCATCCTCATGTTGACATAATAATTTTGATTCTTCCCCATCCCATACTGTACTGAAGCAAATCAGAAAGAGAGAAGAATAACCCACACCCCCATTTCAAAACAGACCTTTGGTATTCACCCTAGACCTCACTCAATGTTGTGTTTCTCTTTTTTTCCCCCTGGCAAAACCAAGGCTTCTCCCCAGGCTGTGCATTGTGGATTTTAAGATGCACAAAGATAACCACGCTCGAATACAGAGCTGGGGTACTGAGAAAAGGAACACACACAGACAGCCCACAGGGTCTGTGAAAATCAAGCCCACATCACCTAAATATAGACTAACTTCTAAATAAGGCTTCAAATCACAGATTTGTTTACTTTCATTTGGTGATAATTGTTCACAGAAGAACATATCAGAAAATTCTATAATAGGAACCACAGCCAGGAAATAGTAAATAATTAATCACCCTCCCTCCCAGCCCCTTGCATCTCTGTTGATATAAATGACCGTATAATTCCAAACCCAATTATCACTACTTAGCCGTTCCATTTTGTAGTTAAAACCCCACAAAATTAAAGTGCATCAATTGTTAATGGTAATAGACCAAACAAGGGATTAAAGATTATTTTAATGTTTATTTCCTGTCAAGAGATCTTTTGGCAGGAAACACAGCAGACAAAAGGCTGCACACTCAGATGAGATTCATATATTTAAATCTTCTAACTTCTAAAAACATTATGGATCTAATTACTTGTTTAATTTACTTGTTCCCTCAAGACACAGGCTGAGGAGATCAAGCCAACGTTATTATATCAAGTTCTCAGAAAGGACAGGCACTGCTCGGTAGCATTTTGTAAGCTGTTGTCTCTAAGTGATCAAATCAAATTAGTGCCCACGCCCCACCACCCTGAGAAGCCAGATGAGGCAGAGACGGAGAGCAGACTATGAAGGGAGTGAGACCTCAGTTTCACTCTCAGACTGCAGCCTAGGGCACCTATGGCCACAGCGAGTCCCCGAAGCTAGTTTGAGCCGAGTTTCCTTAACTGTAAAATACGGTTGATAAGGACCAGGATGCAGGCCAGGTGAGAAGGTCACAGAAGACTTGGGGAAAGGCACAGAGTTCTGCCAAAGCAAGTACCGACACAAAATGTAAACTCAGACATTTGGATGTGGTGGTGCTCATTTTAAATGTGGTCACATAGATGATCAATGTTTAATTAATCTTTCTAAATTATCAAGATACTCATGCACACACATACACATATGCATCCCCCCCACCAAGAAAAAATTTGACTGCTGCATTGACGGGACCTTACGACCCTACTGAAGAATCACTGGTCTATTTCCAAAATTCAAAACAACAGTATGTTTCATCACAATGTCAAATCAAATAATTAGGATGTAGGTTAAGAAAGGTTAAAAAAATTCACAGGCCCCAAAATCTTATTTTTAGGTTTCATACTGGATATGTAATTTTATACACACACACACATACACACAGAGAGAGAGAGAGAGAGAGAAAGGTATAGATAGGTAGGTACATTAAAAACAAGTGATCACCTAAAAAACTATTTATATCACGGAGAAATCAGAATCTGAAAAGAACGTGGGCCTCTTCTCCAAAGAGCTCAGTTTATTGTTTTACCTATTTCTTTTCTGCCACTTTTATTAAAATATAAAAACCATAAGGGTAGAGATAACATCTGTTTTGTTCATTACTATATTGCTAACATTTTCAATAGAGCATAGTACACAGCAGTTAGTTGATAAATACCATAAATACCGCTGGTGTGAAGGAACACGATGATGAGGATGACGATGATGATTGTAAGATTATTTTATATTTTTACAAAGGGATTTATGTTTCATAATTCTCATATCACTAAGCTGACTTCATTTACCAATAAAGAATCTGAAAACCAGGGTTTTCAGGGCTGTGAGCTCTATTCAAATCGCCCACCCAGGTGAAGAGCCGAAGGCAATTTGAACTCACACTTTCTGATTCTAAATCCTGTGCTCATCTTGAGTCCAGACCCTGGCCTTTGAGAGTTTCTCTCTACCTGGATTTAGGAGAAGGCATTTTGCTTTAAGTAGCAATATGACGACTTCAGAAATTTCTGCAATAGTTGGGGTTCCCAAAGCTGGATACGACCTTGAGCAGATCTTAATTTCTCTGGATCTCTGCTTTGCCTTTTGTAAGAATATCTGCAGTGTGAAATGTGAAGACGTTTGCTCAGACCTCTCGCGTGATTAGAGATGTGTCCTGCTGCATGTAATAGACAACGTGATTCAAACCCAACTCAAAATATTAAGTTGGTGCTAAAAGTTACTGTGGTTTTGGCCATCACTTTCAATGGCAAAAACTGCAATTCCTTTTGCACCAAACTAACAGCTTATTTCATGACCAGTGGAGGTTCGGGTTAGGAGGCCCATAGGACAGCTGAATCAGTGGCTCTAAAATGCCACAATGCACCCAGGTTCTTTCCACTTGCTCCTCTGTCCTACACAGGGTCATTTTCAACTAAGGTCGGAGGTTGTCCAAACCCAAGCTGGCAACTGCTAGTCCAGGCTGCGCCAGTGTCCAGAGGAAGCAGAAGGTCTCTCTTCCTGTGTATCTCTTTTAGGAGTAGGAAACCTTCCTCATAAGCACCCTCCATATCCATTGGTCAGAACTGGGTCACATACCTATTTCTAAACCAATCACTGGCAAGGAACACAGCATTATGGGCTTAGACTAATCATTAGAGGCAAAAGGATTTTGGGGAGTCATCTATTATTACTGCTCTGATTACTTTTACAAAAAGTGTAAGGCAAAAATAAATAGTAAAATAAGCCTGAGTTATTTTTTAAAATAGTGTCCAAATTATAAATGGCCTAGCTATCCAACACTAGGGAATGGTTACATAAAATACAATTCATTTACATGGTGTAATCTTAGGAAATTACTAGTATGTTTTTTCAAGCAATGTTTAATGACATGAGAAATTCTTGTTTTTTTAATTATATATCTATGTGCCTATATATTACGAGCCCAATTTGTTGAAAAAAATGCTATCACTCAGAAGAAAGAAAAGAACATGCAACAAAATATTAAGAGTGATTATCTCATGCTAGTGGAATTAATAGAACATTTTCATTTTCCTCTGTCCAAGTTTCTAAATTTTTCTTCATTTTCTTCTCCTTCTACCATGTATATTATTTATTACCATAATCAAATAACAAAAGTTCATTTTTCAAAGTAACAAATGATATGTGAACTCCAGAACTGTGATGGGCAAGGGGGAGTCAAATCACGTTTTATGCCTGGGTCCAATCATATAATTTACTTATATGATGAATAAGGAAGATGAATAAATTCACAGTCTAATATATACACGTATTAAAGAAATATCTGCTTCTTTACCAAGTCTATTTTTATCACAGAAGAACCTAAATCTGAAAAGAACAAATTTGGCATCTTTTCCACAGCCCCCAATTCTTGAGGATGATAAATCCAGAGTCATGGGTGGTCGAGGAATCTTGGCTGTGTGCTAATGATGGCAGGAGCTGTCCAGGTAACACAGGGAGACCCCGAACACGCTGAGAAATACCTGGAGCACCAGAGAGGTGAGTCAACTGCTGAGGGGTCTGCATAATTTATTACAACTTTTTTTATAGTCCTTTATAGAGTCCTCAATTGTATTTGGAATTCATGGGACATGGCTTCCAAACACCTTTTTCTTTTTCTTTTTTTTTTTTTTTTTTTTTTTGAGACGGAGTCTCGCTCTGTCACCCAGGCTGGAGTACACTGGCGTGACCTTGACTCGCTGCAACCTCCACCTCCCGGGTTCAAGTGATTCTCCTGCCTCAGGCTCCCGAGTAGCTGGGATTACAGGTGCTCACCACCACGCCCAGCTAATTTTTGGATTTTTAGTAGTGACAGGTTTCACCATATTGGCCAGGATGGTCTCGATCTCTTGACCTCGTGATCTGCCCACCTCAGCCTCCCAAAGTGCTGGGATTACAGGTGTGAGCCACCACGCCCAGCCCCAAACATCTTTTAAGTGACCAGGAGCCCTGGTCTCAAGCTGGCTTCTGGACATCTGGCTTATCATGAGGCCTCATAGGTACTTCCTTTAAAACAGTCCTAGGAATGCCAATAATACATCCACCTTATACCTGATCTAGGTAGAAAATAATCCTCATAATAATGTAACTGATAATGGCAACCATCCCTGTGCCTGCCATTGCATTTTACTTACACTCTCTCTCACTCCCTATGGGAATAGCTAGCAATACTCCCCATTCTACACATGACAAAACTAAGGCTCCGAAAGAATAAGGCATGAGTCCAACCAATCAGTTTGTTAGAAGCCAGATTCCCATCCAACAGTGTCTCGTTCCAAAGCATAAGTTGATACGAAAGAGGTTCTTCATCAAAGATTTGGGCTGCTGCCCTCCTACTCCTCAGTTATGTACTGATGCTTAACACCTGCACAGGTGGGAGAAGGGGAGGCAGTGGTCATGGCCTGGGGACATGAGCTGGGTCTGTGTGAGCAATAGCACTGAGGTTCTAGGCAAAAAGCAGGAACGGCTAAGCATGGAACAGGTAAAGGCAAGAGTTTAGCCCTAGACCTCAGGTGAGCATCAAGGATAGACTCTGGCCTCATGCCAGCCCATCTTTGATACCATTTTAACAATCTGCTCACACTTCCAGGGACCTGCATGGCTTCTGACCTCCAGGGGACTTGTTCTCCTGCCAGAGTAAAACACTGAATAGCTGCTTGTATTCAACCTGACATCCACAGATATTTAAGAGTCTAATTCAATCGTTATATCTTTTCTGTAGACACAAAGGAACCACAGCCTTCTGGCACCTCAGGGCTCTCTCGCTCGCACTCACTCGCTCTCTCTCATTTGCCTTTCTTGTTTAAGCATGCCAGGGATGCACACACGTGAAAGAGGGCAGATTAAGTAAAGATGCTGTACAGTGGTGCTACTTTGATGCTTAAAATATAAGAAAACTTTGTGGCCTTCTGATCCCAACTGAGGAAAGCCAGGTACCTGGGCCTTGGGTCAGGGGTCTAACCTCCTCGTGAATACAACAGTTGAACAGATGGGCAATGGCTTCAGCAGTCAAGGAGCTATCAATCCAACAGCAGAAAAGCCAAATCTCTATCAGTCCTAAGCTTACGAATCCCTCTGTTAAGGAGAATCACATTACGATAAGGTTTTAGGACATAAACCAAACAGCCAAGCCACCTTTTCTCTATTCCATTTCCAATGGAAGATGTGCCAAGTAAGCAATAATATAAATCCGAAATATTCTGTCTACATCAGCGTGGCTGGCTGGCAAAAATCCACAGTGGAACCTTTGCAGGCCAGCTGAGATTTGTGGGACAGGGGGAGACATGGCATGGAAACCCATTCCATAACCTTTCACCACGCATAAAATTTACTGTGAATGGAATTCCTAAAAGTCCATGTTGGCCTCTGATTTAAAAGTATTAAATCTGGTTTCCTGAGAACACCTCCATTATAATAAATACATCACTATGACAACATATGCTAATTACATAATCTCAAAGACCAGAGTGAATAACCTATACATGAAAAATGCATTTGCAGGCAGGTGTCCTGGATTCATACGACTCGGGCTTTAGATTTGGGTTGAGTCACAGGGCAAATCTCAAGCATTGCATGGGCAGGCTGATGTCATGGTGGACAGCCTAGGAAGCAAGGCACACGGACACCAATTTCACACAGGTGACAAAATGAATCTGTATTCATTTGAAACAGGGGCAGTGTCTCCAGCTTATGGAATTTAAGAGAGAAATTATCTGTATTTTTACAGACAGCAGTATGTTATTCTGAAAGACAAAAAGCGGATACACATACTTCTTCATCTTCAAAGTAAGTCCTGAAGAAATTAGAGAAACACTATGGTCACTGTATGTAGTAATGTGTTACAAAGAAAAATGAGATCCTTTTTATGCAAGTTAGCCAAACACTCTTTTTTATTTTCCTTAATCTGCGTTCATTTGTCCTGCTTTTCTCCCTTTTCTTCCCTCCTTCCTCTGACATTTCAGCCAGTCCTACTAGCCTCTAGCTGCTACGACAGTTACACAGATAAAGTACAATAGGCTTCCAATATACAAATAATACTGTAATTGAAAGAAAAAAATATACAATGGAACCTCCCTCCATAGAATTACAGATAAGAGAAATGAATCAAGATGGTGGCCAGGGCTGTTGATCCAAACACAGACACAGATTTGGATCCTGCTTCCACTACTGTGCCTTATACCATATGTGGAAGACAAGGTCATTTAATTCCTCTGTATGCCCATCAATCAGACCTGCAAAATCAAGGCTTTGAGTATTTAAGTGTAAGGTTTTCCTAAGGGTTAAATGAGATAAGTAAACCCAAGTTATACACTGTAGACTTAACACATGAAATAATAACATAACAACAGTAACAAATAATTTTAGCAGAGGTCAAAAGGGGGCAGAGTCATAAGTAAAGGACAGAAGGGAAAGTAAGCAAAACCTAAGAGGTGGGAAAGGCCAAGGTCATGGTATGTATTAACAAACGGGGGAAGAGCCTGGGGAAGTAGCTCAAGCCTGTAATCCCAGCACTTTGGGAGGCCGAGGCAGGAGGATCGCTTGAGGCCAGGAGTTCAACACCAGCCTGGGCAACAGAGTAATACCCCACCATTTTTTTTTCAACAGCTGGGTATGGTGGTACCCACCTGTAGTCCCACCTATTCAAGTGGCAGAGGTGGGAAGATCGCTTGAGCCCGGGACCTACAGGCTGCAGTAAGCTAGGATTGCACCACTGCACTCCAATCTGGTAAACAGTGTGAAACTCTGTCTCTAAAAAAATTAAAAACAGGTCAGTCACGGTGGCTCACGCCTGTAATCCCAGCACTTCGGAAGTCCGAGGCGGTTGGATCATTTGAGGTCCAGAGTTTGAGACCAGCCTGGCCAACATGGTGAAATCCCGTCTCTACTAAAATACAAAAAAAACCAAAAAAATTAGCTGGGCTTGGTGGTGGGCGCCTGTAATCTCAGCTACTTGGGAGACTGAGGCAGGAGAATCCCTTGAACCTGGGAGGTGGAGTTTGCAGTGAGCCAAGATCACACTGCTGCACTCCAGCCTGGGTGACAGAGCGAGACTCCCTCTCAAAAAATAAACAAATAAATAAGCAAACTAATTATTAATTAAAAACAATCAAAGAAACAAACAGGAAAAGCCATGTGGGAAAAAATTAACCTAGTGCAAAGCTAGTGTAAAAATAAACAAAGGGAACCCAAATAATAACAAATAGAGGTCACTTATTCAGAACTTCCTGCAGCCAGGCAGTCAGCCACCATCAGTTGTGTTTGGCAGAGGCTCAAAGGAGGTGGAGAGAAAGAAAGCTTTATGGTTAAACAAAAAAGAAAGTGGATGACTTCCAGTATGCTCCGATTGGAGGCTGTGGACATGGGGAAGCCGGAGGTGGGCTCCCTAGACCAGGACATCCTGTATGATTGGTTTGGGGAGCATATGTGGCTTTCTCTGGTTGGTCCTGCGTTGGAAGTGGGGACAAAATTTAGCAAAAATGGGCATTACTGACCAAGTCCTGACCATTCTGAGTTGACTGCTCCAGAGCTTGTGGGTCGGCATTCTGTGACAAAATATGGTCTGGCCATTGTCCATGTGTATCTTTGGTGTCTCATTAGCAAGATATCCTAGGGACCAGTGACTGTTTACCTTACAACCATCTGCAAAAATGATCTTGACAAAAACTCTTCCCCAAAGCAGTAAGTGCAGGGGAGCCGGCTGGCTCCTGATGAAGGAGTGAGCACCCACCAGCGTTTCCTTACAACAAGGGCCTCGCATTCTCAGAGGGCCTCCAGACTATCTAAAAACCAGCCCCTCACCACCTTGGGTCTTTGTATAGGGATATGCATGAATTAGAGAGGAAAAAGGTGGTTTGACGTCCTAAAGAAATAGCCGTTTTTCATTCAACTCCTGGGAGGTGGTAATGTATTCAGTCACCTTTCAACATAATTCCTGTCTGACTGATTTTCTCTCTGGCTTCATCTTCTCCAAGGTGGCACACACCTGTTCTGGGTGAATAAGAGTAAGTGTGGGGTACAGATAGGGAGGGTTCAAGAAGCCAAATGAATAATGGAAAATACTAAGCGAAAGCAAATGAGAAAGAAAAGCCCACCGTTCATATGAAATTTTTGGCAAAGTTGATTACTAATGTTGCCTTTTAGAAAAATAGCAATAAAAGCCTCTAAATACTCAGAGTGAGAGAGAAAAAAAGAGCTGGGATCCCCCAAAGCCAGAAATATTCCACTTGACATAACCAGACTTAGCTAACACGTTTGTGGCTTCTGTTCTAGAAATTTCTGTCTTGGGTCCAGTTAGATCTGGGTTTCATCTCTGGATCTGCCACTTACCAGCCAGGAGCTTCTGAGTCACCCTGCAGACTATTTTGAGGTATAAGAAGGTGATGGTCTGATGTTGATGTGCCTGTCAGCACTCAGTATGCCCTCAGGAAATGGTAGCTGTTATTTTATAGAATGGGGAGGAATCTGCCCACCCTTACGGGACAGTGGCAGTGGAGCTTTGAGAAGATGGAGATTAGGCTTAGCATACCTCAGACATCCATTCCCTTCTCTAACAGACCCCAAGGTGCTTTGCAAATGATTTCATTGTGTACTGAACGGGTCCATGATCATGGAACCGTGTGCTAATCTGTGTAATGATAGAAACCTGGAGACCCACAGAAGCAATGAGAACCAGCAGCCAGTCTCCCAGGTGGAAGGAGGGCTAAACAATGGTCTGCAGCTCAGTTACTCCTCATCCTCGCCTGGGCCGGGCCAGCATCCACTCCCCTTCCTGTAAAGCATTTGGATTTCCTTGGGGAAACAGCCCTGCCCTCTGTCCTGATCCATGTGTTCTGAGATCTCACAGTAGCAAGTGACTCATGTTGGTTCAGTGATTCCCAGAGGCTGATTCAAGGATGTCCCCAGCTAGACCCAGGATGGTGGACTCCAGATTGGGGCACTGGGCAGTTTCACATCCTCAAGGCTTGGCCATCATCGGGGAAGGAAGTTGCTGGGTCACAAAGGGAGAGCTGGGCTCAAAAGGAAGAGAAAGACTCTTGATGACATCTGTATATCTGGGCCCAGCAGAGTCTGAGCCAGTTACGTGCCTAGAGTTGTCACTTCCACAAGGCATCCCCCCTCCAACCCACCTCGCTTCAGCTAGTTGGGTGAGACTTCTCTTACTCACAGCCAACACAGCCTAACACAGCGTGACACAGCAGAGTTAGTTTCGGCTGATGGGAGATAAAAGGAAGGCGATTCTAGGCATGGTCCCTGACTTCAGAGAGCTTATGTTCTAGTTCTAGAAGGAGGCAAAACCAAGTAAACTGAAAAATAAAATTTAAAATATATACGCCAGGCACAATGGCCTGTAATCCTATCACTACGGGAGGCCCAGTAGGGCGGATCACCTGAGGTCAGGAGTTTGAGATCAGCTTGGCCAACATGGTGAAACCTAGTCTCTACTAAAAAGACAAAAATTAGCCGGGAGTAGTGGTACATACGTGTAATTCCAGCTACCAGAGAGGCTGAGGCCAGAGAATTGCTTGAATCCGGGAGACAGGGGATGCAGTGAGCTAAGATCACGCCACTGCACCCCAGCCTGGGTGACAGAGTGAAACTTTGTCTCAAAAAAAAAATTAAAATATATAAATTGCGTTGAGTGTTAGGAGGCTAAGGAAAGAAGGGCTAAGATGGAGGATGGAGGGACCTTACTTTCTTTAGTTAGGACAGGATGGCAGGCAGAATAATGGTGCCAAAAGGCCAAGTGTACTGGCTCACACCTATAATCCCAGCACTTTGGGAAGCAAGAGGATTGATGGAGCCCAGGAGTCCGAGATCAGCCTGGCAATAGAGCAAGATATCATCTCTACCAAAAACAACCAAATCAAAATCAAAAGGCATCCATGCTCTACCCTGAAACCTGCAAAGGTGTTATTTGGCATGGCAGATGGGACTTTGTAGAGGGATGTAAGTTCTTGACATGAGGAGAGTATGCGCAGTTACCCAAGGAAGACCAATGCAGTCACAAAGGATCTAAAAGGTCACAAATAAACCTAAAAAGATGACAAAGGGGGAGAGGAGGGGGAGAGAAGGAGCAGAGCCAGGGACAGAATTGAAGACGCTGCACTGCTGGTTTTAAGGATGGAAGATGTGGCCACCAGCCAAGGAACACAGGTGGCCTCCAGAAATCGAAAAAGTCAGAACAAATTCTCCCCAGAAGCCCCCAGAGCCCAGCCCTGCCAACACCTTGATTTTGGCCCAAGGAGACCCTGCTATAGTTTGGATGTCTGTTGCTTCCAAATCTCATGTTGAAATTTGATCTCCAATGTTGGAGGCCGTGGCTGATGACAGGAGTCTAGGTTACGGGGGTGGATCCCTCATGGCTAGATTAATGTTCTCCCTCTATTTGTTCCCAGAGAGTTGGTTCTTTTAAAGTCTCTGGCACCTCCCCTCCCCTCTCTTGCTCCCTTTCTCCCTATATGTTCTCTGAACATGCTGGCTCCCCTTCACTTTCCACCATGAGT
Organism: Homo sapiens; assembly: GCF_000001405.40. Taxonomy (NCBI): domain Eukaryota; kingdom Metazoa; phylum Chordata; class Mammalia; order Primates; family Hominidae; genus Homo; species Homo sapiens. The sequence goes on along the minus strand of NC_000016.10, from coordinate 78,645,547 downwards.
AGAAGCTGCCTGACGCCCTCATCAGAAATACATTGGCACCATGCTTCTTGGACATCCTGCAGAAACATGAGACAAATAAATTTCCTTCCTTTGTAAATGACCCAGCTCAGGCATTCCTTTATAGCAACACAAAAGGACTAAGACAGACCCATTTTGGACTTTTGACCTCCAGAATGGTAAGAGAAGACATTCATGGTATGTAAGCCACCCATGGGTGGTCATTTGTTAAAGCATTGATAGGAAAAAAACACAGATGGTCAGGATGGGCCTCTCTGAGAAAGGAGCATTTATACTGACAACTAAGCAATGAGGAGGTGGTACCCTCCTCAAGGGTAGAACAAGACCACGCAGGAGAGAAACCAGTACATGGAAAAAACCCTTCGATAGGAAAGAGCTTGACAGATTCTGGTAACAGCAAGCAGACCATTGTAACTAGATTGTATATTGCTTAGCCTTGGGGTTTAGAGAAGAATTTAAAGAACTTTAACTATGCAATGCAACCCAACTTTTGAAGAAAAGAAAGCACTATTTAATGATTTCCTTCATCTTAAACTCATTGAAGAGTAGAACCAAAACTCACCGTTTACTAATAGTAACGAGTTCAAAGAATTCCACAAAAATACAATTTTCCTTAGTAATTCCTATCTATATTCCTAACATGCCGTCCCGATTTTCTACATCTATCCTCTTCTACATGCTCTCCTGCTGTACCTACTAGTGTATTCTTAAGCCTGACTCATAATAGTCACGAAATAAATATTTGTTGGATAAAAGTGCCGAGGTTTGGCTGGGCACAGTGGCTCACGCCTGTAATCCCAGCACTTTGGGAGGCAAAGGCGGGCAGATCACTTGAGTTCAGGAGTTCCAGACCAGCCTGGTAAACATGGTGCAACCCCATCTCTACTAAAAGTACAAAAAATTAGCCAGGCGTGGTGGCAGGCTCCTGTAATCCCAGGTACTTGGGAGGCTGAGGCAGGAAAATCATTTGAACCTGGTAGGCGGAGGTTGCAGTGAGCTGAGTTTGCCCCACTGTACAGCAGCCTGAGCAATAAGAGCAAAACTCTGTCTCAAAAAGAAAAAAAAAATAAGGGCCCAGGTTTTTGGTTTGAAAATACGCTCCCTGACGCTATATATCCCACATGACTTGCTCTCCTAAGTCATTCTAGAAATAATTAAAATTTTTGTTTGCATAGAGGAGGGAGGTGACATATGGGGTAGGTGTCTGTCCATCTGTCCACCAGCACTACCTGTCTGATCAGATGCTTAGGGTGGGGAGGACAGGGAGAAGTAGTATTTCATTCATTCATTCATTCATTCATTCATTTTTGAGACAGAGTTTCGCTCGTTGCCCAGGCTGGAGTGCAATGGCGTGATCTCAGCTCACCACAACCTCCACCTCCCAGGTTCAAATGATTCTCCCGCCTCAGCCTTCTGAGTAGCTGGGATTACAGGCATGCACCACCATGTCTGGCTAATTTTGTACTTTTAGAAGACACAGGTTTTCTCCATGTTGGTCAGGCTGGTCTCAAACTCCTGACCTCACGTGATCTGCCCATCTTGGCCTCCCAAAGCGCTGGGATTACAGGCGTGAGCCACCGCACCCAGCTGTGTTTTTTGTTGTTTGTTTGTTTTAATAAAGTATCATCAAGATATCAAGGGAGCTGCAGGTTACTAATTATGGCAACTGTCTCAGGCTGGGAAGAAAGTTTTTTTTTTTTTTTGGAGTTAGGGGGCTTTCCTCCATCCCATTTCAACTGCTGAGCAAGCAAAGAGTGATATGAATAAACTCTACAGGCACAAGAAGTCTAGGGCTTCCTTTTAAATCAGTTCCTAGAAGGTAAGGAACCCGTATATCATAGTGAGACAATCATTTACAACGGGGCCATTATTAGGAGCCAAGATATAAAAATCATACATGAAACAGCCTTATAAGCAGATTCAGCGCGTGGCTGATTAACCTCCCTCTCCTACAGGGGGCTGGAAGGCTCTGGGGAGTGCTAATGAGATGTGGAAGTCATTTGCCTTGAGGTCACAGGTTTAAAGCTGGACATGTTAGAAGTCGCCTAATTGCTACTCATGGGTGACTTGGTAGCACACCTTATGAGCTGGGAGACACAGAGACAGGGGTTCAAGCCCCGGCACTGTCCCTGAACTAGCCACTGGAAATTTGCAACAGTTACAGATCCTCCAGAAGCCTCAGTTTCATTACTAATAAAACCTTGTCACGGTTGATTTTGTTGTTTTCGTTAGCCAAATATGACTATGCTTGGCACATGGTAAAAATTTGATAGATGATAATTATTCATGTTTTCTAGGCATACGTGTCCTTTTTTGACTTCTTAGACATTAAGAGGGCAAGACATGCTGCAAATATTACAAGTTCCAGAGCTGTCGGATCCTCTTGGGTCTGGATAGCTGCATAGAGCTTTTCTGCCTGTTCAGGTAAACAATGGAGAGCACCTTATCTTGGCTTATCTAGTTGGGGTTAACAGCAGCAGGGATAATAGTAGCACTAACATTTACTTTGTGCCAGGCACAGTTTAAGTATTTCATCTCCATGAACTGATTTAATCCTTAGAGAATCACCGGGAAGCAGGTCTTATTATTACTATTATAAGCTATCATCCCAGGATTTTACACCAAGTAGGATGAGTGCCATAATTTGGCAGTAGGATTCCAGAATTTGGTTGATTATTAAAGTATTGCCTAATCCTAAAGAGCTGGACAGTTAGAAAAGAGATGTTTTTCCTGCATCTGTCATGAGTGTGCCTCACGCCCTGAGTTCCCCACTGAGGTATCCTGATGTGCACCCACACACAGCCTCAGCAGAAGCAAAAGAAATACCATAGCGGTCGAGGTGGGAACTGCCATGGACACCAAAGAAGGGAAACATGAAAGGGAGTCTTCATCCATATCTCAGCTGGCAGTAGCCCACGACAAAAACATGGAGACTCAACTTGCCCGGAAATCTCATCCAACAAGTGGCTCCTGGTGGCGCGAAAATCACAGGAACAAATAACTGAGGACTGTGGACCTAGGCAGCATTGAATCTGACCTGGTGCACATACATGGAGCTCAGTAAAGTCGACAGATTCCATCAGGGCCGAAATAAAAGCAGGGAGCCCAAAGAGAAAGAAGCAAGGAGAGAGACTTTGAGCAAAAAAGGAAAGTCAGCATAAAGGGACAGAACAAGGAATCTGGAGACAGAAGCCCTGGGTTCAAATCCCAACTCTGATTCCTAGTCCTATCCTTTATCCTCCACCTCCTCCCTACATTCTCCACCCATTTCCTTAACCTTGCAGTAAGTCAACACCTTCTTGACAACATGGGATGCTATAGAATGGATATTCACAAATTATCTCTGGATTAGGGATTCCAATTCAAGTATATATAAAAGTGCCATATATTTTCTTGTTAGATGGAGAGAAATTGTCAATTATTTGGGGGACAGACAGTCTCCTACACAGGCATGTCACACTCAATGTACTGGAGTATTTAAGTGTTAACTCTCCAATAAACTCGTTGCTGTTTTTCTTCTTTTTCCCCCTCTTTGCATTTTCCAAGGACTTACGGCTCTTGATAAAAGGGGAGGAATAATCCTTTTTTCCGTGTCTGCGATCAAGATCTATTTGGTAAGCCACTCCTCTAATACTGCCTGTGCACAGAAATAATTTCGGCTCCCCGTTAATTTAAGTATTGAACTGAAATTCTGCAGCTGCTTTCTGCCAAGCTTGAAAGCAGAAATTAATTTCAATGACCCAGGCGAGTGGAGGGGAGCTCTGTCAGGTAATTAGTCTTCGTCTTTTGCTACTCAGGGTCTATCACTGTGTTAATCCATACATAAACCTAGGCATTCCCGGAGTCACTGGCAATCTGCGGGGCCGTTTAACTACCTCTTGCTTGGGTTAACCACGAGCCGGGCATCTGCAGGAAAACAGATGAAGGCTCCCTTTCATGTTTCCCTTCCTTCTACCTATTTAGGGCCAGCAGAATGAATGAGCTGATTTACATGTTCTTTTCCCCATTTGATTGAGTCTGCAGTTGATTAAATAGAGCTTGGGGCGTGAGAGGGGATTGGGTGGGGAGAGGTTCCCACTCCTGCTGCTTTCTGACTCGCCAGTTTATTAATGAAAGAGCCACGGATATTGATAACCCTGACACTACAAGTGCAGCAATTAAAGGGTATGTCCTTCCAGGCTTCTAATTAAAAAGAAGGCTTTTTCTCTCCAGGATGGGTCCTATTGTCATATTTGCATTTGATTGTGGCTCCGGTCTGGGGGCTTCTCTGCCTTTTCCTTTAGAAAAAAAAAATCTCCTGGGGGAAACTTAGACCTGAAAAAAAATAAACACAGCGTGAAAGGCTTTGTTGTCAACGGGGGTCATTTTGAAATCCAAGGAAGAGAATTTTTTTGGAGGAGGCACCTGTTCACAACCACAGCCTGCTTCTCTCCCAAACCCTCCTCTCAGCTTTGAGGAGTGTTTCAGCTGTTCTATGTTACAGTAATGCTCAGTTAGGACAATTTTTGCAGCTGGTTCCTTTCCTTTCCCTTCCCTTTTCCTTCCTTCCATCTGTCCTTCCTTTCTTTTCTTCTTCTTTTTTTTTTTTTTGAAGACAGAATCTCGCGCTGTCACCCAGACTGGAGTGCAGTGGCATGATCTCGGCTCACTGCAACCTCTGCTTCCCAGGTTCAAGCAATTCCCCTGCCTCACCCTCCCGAATAGCTGGGATTACAGGCACACACTGCCACGCCCGGCTAATTTTTTGTATTTTAGTAGAGTCGGGGTTTCACCGTGTTGCCCAGGCTGGTATTCAACTCCTGAGCTCAGGCAATCTGCCTGCCTCGACCTCCCAAAATGTTAGGATTACAGGCGTGAGCCACCATGCCCGGCCCCTTCTTTCTTTCACCAACTTTTAAGTTCCAGGGTACAATGTGCAGGATGTGTAGGTTTGTTACATAGGTAAATGTGTGCCATGGTGGTTTGCTGTACAGATCAACGTATCACCTACATATTCAGCACGGGTGGTTGTTTCGGATGCAAACCCCTGCTTCATGCAGTACAGGAACCCGCTCACATCAATGGCAGGAGCCTGGGAGGTGCAGAATGTGGAGACGTGAGCCTATACCTTGCCCCTGTGCCCTTCCTGCCAATTCTGAACACCAGGATTCTAGCTCAGAGCGGCCGACTTGAGTGGCACTCCAAATTTTCAAGGGAAGTCAGAGATCTGGATTTGGAAGTGAAACATTCCTTCAATAGTATCCATTCGCTAAAAGTCACCATAGGCGCAAAAGCCAAAAAAAAAAAAAAAAAAAAAAAAAAAACCCAACAACAAGAAGAAAACACACACACACACACCCATGACCCAAGGAGAGGACGTTGGCAACTCCAGACACTCTCTATCGGCCTCCCTCCAAACCTGAAGATCCATTTCTTCTCAATACTCAATGCTTTGTGTTTCTATTTTGAACCCCTCATTTAAAGAAAATGAATCTGCCTGGTGTTGCTGTGTCACTTTCCTATCTGTGTGGTCACAGGCTATGAAACTGCCCCAGCACTGTGTGGGATTCAAAAAGGAAACCAGCTGTGCCCTGCGAACACCTGCCTCCCACTCCCTCCACAGTTGACATTAGATCACCACTCTATCTTCCTATTACTCTTCATCCTCACACAGAAGCCAATCTGGGCCTAGCATGGTGGCTCACACCTGTGATCCCAACACTGTGGGAGGCTGGGGCAGGTGGATCACCTGAGGTCAGGAGTTCAAGACCAGCCTGGCCAACATGGTGAAACCCTGTCTCTACTAAAAAAGACAAAAAATTAGCTGGGCGTGGTGGCGGGCACCTGTAATCCCAGCTACTCCAGAGGCTGAGGCAGGAAAATCACTCGAACCTGGGAGGCAGAGGTTGCAGTGAGCCAAGATCATACCATTGCACCCCAGCCTGTGCAACAAGAGTGAAACTGTCTGGAAAAAAAAAAAATCCAATCTGTGCCCCTGGAGTCTGAGGGGAGGCCTCTCTCTCCATCCCACCCACCACCAGGTCCTCCCAGAGGCAACTCCGGGTTTATTCTCAGCAATGAACCCACTACAGGATCTCAAACACTCTTACTTTCCTTCTGTGCACTTCCATTTCCTCATCTGCAAAGTGAGAGAATAATTCTGAGCCCACAGGTCTGTTATGAGGTTCCCATGAAGTCATATACGGCAAGGTGTGAGCCCAGGTGCCGGTCTCCTTGTAAGGACTGACCCAGCTTGGGTTGCTTCCCTGCGTGTGTCATCGATGCCTGGGCCCACACTGCATGTGTCATTGATGCCTGGGCCTACAGGACTTTGCGCACATGCAGAAGTACTTTGTACATCCTGGGAGTCAAGTCTTCCAAACTCAACAGACTTTTGGTTTCAAGTTTTCACCTTGCCCAAAAAGAACAATAAATGTCCAAGTATGGGACAGGAGACTGGTCTTTTAGGCCCAGCTTTTCTAGCACTAAAGTGTGTTTCTGTTCATCCCCCATAAGACGGGTAAAAGATTATAAAGGAAAGCAGCCCTGATACCCAGTAAGCCTTTAGGAAATTAAGCCCCCACTACCAGCACCCCAGAGGGAATCATTCTCTTGTTTTACACTGATATCTCTCAGGTTTTCTTCAAAGTTCTTTTTCCATGCCTAGGACTAAAGCTTGCAAATAGAAGAAAAAAAAAATTCCTGAATCTTCACAGGAGCTACAACTGTGAAATCTCCTAATTATTTCTGATTTTACTGTGAATTCCTAGAAATGCCACATCTCCTCCCAACCCAGAGAGAGAGAGCACCCTGAGGAAGAGAAAAGCTCTAATGCTCTAATGTATTCGATTGGAATCTGAAGTGCTCTATCTCTCCTCTGACCGCCCCCGCCCTTCCCTCCAGCCTGCTGCTGGGGCACCATGGAAAAGTCAGAAGCATTAGTCTGGTGTCAAGTGGCACTGCTATCCACATTCTATGAGAGTCAATTGCAATTAACAGGGTCATTCAGAAAAGGCAGGTACAGGCCAGACAAAAGGAGTGCAGACAGATCTTATCAGAGCCCAAGGCCAACAAGCTGGGTCTGGGCCTTTCAGATGTTGCTTGCAGAGGAAACAAAAAAAAAATGGTGGTGGAAGGTGGTAGCGGTTGGAAAGGCAGACCCAGCCAGAGGGGGAAAGGACAGGGAATGAAAAGAGCTGGGCAACTGAATAGAGAGGTTTAAAGAACAAACACAGACTCCTGGGCCTATGTCTTGGGTTCAGATCCTGACTCTGCCCCTGGCCACTTAGGAAACTTGGGCCATTCAACCCCTCCAAGCCTTCGTTGGCTTGTCTGCAAAATGGGAATACAAATCGAGCATTCCTGTTTTTTAAACTGTCATGTAAAATAATTGCCATGGGAAACAGTGTTGAGGGTAGTGCCTGATATTGGGCAGTTATTAGAATAACTAAGAGAAGAGCTTAGCTTGGATTGGGGAAAGCGGTACGGAGAACCCAGAGAGAAGTGGATGATGTGAGCAAGCTTCCCAGGGAAGAACTCAAACACTGCACAGACAGGTGAGCAAGTTGAAAGTGATTCTGGGTCTACCTGGTAGAAGAAACCATGGAGACCCCTTCCCCCAACTCAGAGGAAGGACGGACCCTGCAAGGAAGGGATGCTGGTACCAATTACAGAGGTCCCCCTCTGCGTTCCCAAAGGCTGGAAAGTGGAGACACACACAACACAATAGGCCCTGGCCTGGGACAATGTTACCCAGGCCCTAGGTCCCCTACACATCCCTCCATTTTGACACTCTTAGCTGCCACCAAAGGTGTTTAAAGCTCCTTTCAAATGGAAGGGCTTAAGCACCTACTCCGCGCTTAGCTCTGAGCCCTTCATCAAGGAGCATACAGGAAAACAACGTCTCCAGCCCTTCCTTCTTTTATCTTTCTTTGATCTGGGAATGATGTCAGTGAGTAAGGAAAGGGGATGTAGTAGAAGGTTCCAAAGCAACCGAATTTCCAATGTCAGGTGGACCACTGATGAGTTACATCACTGTGGACCATTGGCTGGGTATCTTTAAAAGCCTCATCTGTAACGTGGGGCCAGAAACAATTTTTTTTTTTTTTTGAGACAGAGTTTCACTCTTGTTGCCCAGGCTGGAACACAGTGGCACTGTCTTGGCTCACTGCAACCTCTGCCTCCTGGGTTCAACAGACTCTGCTGCATCAGCCTCCAAGTAGCTGGGATTATAGGTCCCCACCACCATGCCCAGCTAATTTTTGTATTTTTAGTAGATATGGGAAGGGTCGTTGGTTGGGGGGAGTTCACCATGTTGCCCAGGCTGGTCTCAAACTCCTGACCTCAGGTGATCTGCCCGCTTCAGCCTCCCAAAGTGCCGGGATTACAGACAGGAATATTTCTCAACACAGAGTTATTGTGAAGATTAGAAAATGCAGGCAGTGTGATGGGCATTGCATGCATGCAGTTTATTTTTCATTAGTCCACATTCCTTGGTGTGCTGCAGATGAGCAGGGATTGGACAGCTTGAACCCTCAACCTGTCTCAAATGCGCACTTGCCTCTGTTGGGAATTGCACAGACAAGGGGAACGCGTCCAAACCACACCACCCTCTATGACCAGATAAGGAGTTTTAACTAATGCACAGGCCCTCAGATTGGTCCTTAACAATTGGTCTTTAAATGATGCAGCTCAGGGCTGTACCATGAAGAGCGTATCTGAAGGAGCAACCAAATTAACAGGAGGTTGAATGCCTCTTGCCTCCCTTCCAGAAGCAAACACATGACTCCAGAGCAGGTGGGGAGATGCCACTCCATTCTTACTTGCTGAGCTAGGTTGCCTGTTTTTGTTCACACACCTCAGTAAGTGAGCACTTACCTTTCAGGCCCTCTTAGAATTCCAGAAACTTGAGGCTAAAAATCCATTAATTATCAGTTTTAAAAGTTCCCATGGAGTGAGAGAAAAGAGGGTCATTACTAGTAAGCAAAAGGACTGAGAATGGCGGATGGGGAGGGCAGCTACTCTATTTTCTATTAGGAAAAAAAAGATAGTACACAGCAGAACCTCATTAAGTCAGTATCAGTTTATTCAAAAGAGCTTATCATTTGCAACAACTATTCCCCAATCAACTGGATGCCTCTACTGTAATCTCCTTTAACACTGAAAGTCTGATGATTAAATATATTAATATATCAGAGAGGCCAAACTTGGTTTATTCAAAGGTGGGGGTCTTTGGCTGTGATGTCTCTGAGGTGTCTGGTAGAGCAATTGACACACAGTAGGTTTGCAATAACCCTTAGCTCCCTCCCCTTGCATTTGGGACTATCAAAGCTTTAACCTGGTCTCTAATATGTCTAGTCCTTATCAATAATAACCTGGTTTCCATTATAATATACTACCTTTTATTAAACTGGAGCCAGAAACTCTTAATAGCAAGAGCCTGTCAAAGGCATTTTAATCACTACTAGAGTGCAGATGTCTCTCCTAGGAAAACACAGGCAGTGTTCCGCAGCGAGCATAAGGACCGTCCATCTACCTTCGTGTTGGCAGGATGAGTTACGGAATTGTATTAACCGTGCAATTAGGCCAAGGCTTCCTCTGTACTTCCACAGTGACCTCTCTTGGCTCTGTATAATACGAGGCACTTTTCTCTGTGTCCTGGTTTCCAAAGCATCTTTTTCCCCTCCAATGGCCACCAATGATATCTGCAAGGAAACGCCAACTTCTGAGATTTGGGCACGCCTTCCACTAGCTGTTTTTCCAACATGGACATCCAGCTCAAGGGCAAAATGATGCCCAGGGCTTTTCATAAGGACGATGACGACATTGATGTGGACGGAGATGATGTTGACAGCGCTAAGTAGTGAGTACTCACCGTCTTAGTGCCTGTGTGAATGCTGGTCAAGCATTTTTAGCACTTCATCCTCTCAACAACCCTTGAATAAAGAAATAACCAACATCTTCATTTTGTAGATGAAGAAACTGAGGCGCAGAGAGGATGAGCAACTTGTCTGCCCTCCCCACCCGCCAGAAAGTAAGTGGCCCAGCCAGGATATGAACCCAGGTGCACGACTTCTAATTGTGCATGTTTCACAATTCTCCTTCCCTTCTTGCCCAGTCAAGGACAACACATTAGCGCTCCCCTAGTTCCTCCCAGATGAGCAGTCGCAGAGGTCCCCTAATCAGGATCTAAGGGAGTGGCCTAGATCCAAGTCCACCTGCCATCCTTCCTCAGGCTTTTTGGGCGATGGATTAAAGGGACAACCAGGCATCTGTCCAACAGGCAAAATACTTAAGGTTTAGATTGAAAGGGTCTCACGCATCTAATTCTAATAGCCCAGAGCCAGACCCCAGCAAATCCTGAGTCAGGAAGCCTTTGACTGCAGATGTTGAGTGGCAAGAGGTACAGTTTTGGCATTAGGCACATTTAGATTTGAAATCTGACTTCCTGGCGTAATCACATTGGGCAAGGTTTCCTATCTGTAAGAGGGGGAAATATGTCCCGCAGGGAAGCCGTCAGGGTTGGATGAGGAATCCCAAACGAAAGCATGGGGCTGAAGCTGGTATGAATTTATTTACAGGCTCTTTACTGCTCTGGACCCTTTCCCTCCTCCTCGTTCACAAAGTCAGCACTTTTCTCAAGCCCACCTAAACACCAGCGTATACACATGCACGCGCACACACACACACACACACACACACACACACACACACTCTCTCTCTCTCTCTCTCTCTCTCTCCAGTCGGGTGCTGAGCCTCTAAACTATTGGCCCTCAGCTTCATTCCGTCCAGATGATGTTTATCGGCAGAATCCACTGATTTAGAACTTTTTTTTTTTTTTTTTTTAACACAGAGTCTTGCTCTGTCACCCAGGCTGGAGTGCAGTGGCGCAATCTTGGCTCACTGCAACCTCCGCCTCCTGGGTTCAAATGATTCTCCTGCCTCAACTTCCTGAATAGCTGGGATTACAGGCGCCCGCCACCATGCCCAGCTAATTTTTGTATTTTTAGTAGAGACGGGGTTTCACCATGTTGGCCAGGCTGGTCTCGAACTCCTGACCTTGTGATCTGCCCGCCTCGCCCTCCCAAAGTGCTGGGATTACAGGCATGAGCCACTGCGCCCGGCTGTCCCTACAACTTTGAACAGCTCCACTTGCTCTCCCAGTCAAACAGCATTTTTGGTGCCTGAATGAGGGAATAAGTGAAAGAGATAAGGATGACTTAAAAATAAGAGCTGAAGCGTATCATTTCCACACTTGGACATTTCAGCATCCATTTATAATGAGATACTTGTCATACACTTAACTAACTGCCTGCTCTTAGCTCACCACTATGGCATTCCTATTCTCCTGGACATTTGTATTTAGACACAAAAAAGCGAATCTCTAATGCTAAAAATTTTTATTCCAAATGTACAAAAAGGTCTCTCTCTGGTACAGAGTCATATAGCTGCATCTCCAACCTGCACCTTCTCTGGGTTCAAGAGTGCTCACTGTATGAAAAACAGGGTCCAACCCCACAGCTGGCTGTCAGTTGGCTCGAGGGTTGCCTCTTTGGTCTCTCTAGGGGCTCAGACTAATAAAAGGACACTCAGCCTTTGGTCGGCAGAGCTGGAACTGTTCTCAGCAATGAGAAATCTAAAAAAAAAAAAAAAAACACCTCAGATGGTTCCTCCCCTGCTCCCGTAGGTGACCTACATGTGAGTGGGAAGGAAAACAGGTCCCAATCCCCGTTTGATGCACTCGGGAACACAGCCCGGGTTGCACCGCACACCACAGCCTGGAGTCCTCTTGATGAATCATACATAAGTCGGAGAAGAAAGCCAGGCCTGCCAGCCCAACTTTGCACTTCACAGCGAAGCATAAAAGCACGCAGGAGGTAGCACAAGTTGCTTTCTTGAGAAGCGGGCCTTGCAGCAATGTTTATGAAAAGGAGGAGACCTTTGTAGTGGCATCTCTGAAGCCAGAGGCCTGCCAGCGTACTCATCAGAAACCCGCACAGTGAAAGGTTGGAAACCAGCGTTGCCATGCGTTAGCTAGAGAACACGGGCAGGACCTAACCAAAGTTCTGAACTCGTGGTTCTGTTTTAAAGTCATACGGTACAAAATGCAGTATCACCTGCTCAGGCTTGAAGACAGGAAGGGTGGAGAGGGAGGGGTGAATGAAAAATTGCAATCCAAGAGCTCCTAGGTTCAAATCCCTGCCCTGTCCCGACCTAGTTGGGTAGCCCCATAGAAGATACTTATGCTCTGCAATCCTTAACTTCTTGTTTTTTTGTTTTGTTTTGTTTTGAGATGGAATCTTGCTCTGTCACCTAGCATGGAGCGCAGTGGCACGATCTCAGCTCACTGCAACCTCTGCCTCCCAGGCTCAAGCGATTCTCCTGCCTCAGCCTCCCGAGTAACTGGGATTACAGGCACACGCCACCACACCCGGCTAATTTTTTATTTGTAGTAGAGACAGGGTTTCACCATGTTGGCCAGATTGCTCTCAAACTCCTGACCTCAAGTGATCCACCCACCTCAGTGTCCCAAAGTGCTAGGATTACAGGCATGAGCCACCATGCCTGGCCACCTTAACTTCTTCATCTGTAAAATGGGGATAATAAATGTTGGATCCCTCTCCAACATGGCCCTACCTTTCTATTACACGTAGCAGGGGTGGAGAGGCGATCAGGCAAGAATTTGGCCAAGTAGGCCGGGCGCAGTGGCTCACAGCTGCAACCCCAGCACTGTGGGAGGCTGAGGCGGGTGGATCACCTGAGGTCAGGAGTTCGAGACCAGTCTGACCAACATGGAGAAATCCCAACTCTACTAAAAATACAAAATCAGCTGGGCGTGGTGGCGCACACCTGTAATCCCAGCTATTCGAGAGGCTGAGGCAGGAGAATCCCTTGAATATGGGAGGCAGAGGTTGCAGGGAGCTGAGATCGCACCATTGCACTCCAGCCTGGGAGACAGAACGAGACTCCACCAAAAAAAAAAAAAAAAAAAAATTGGCCAAGTAAGTGGGGGAAGAGAGTGTCTGTGGTATGAGGAGGACACTAAGGGGTTCTATCAACACCTTGCTCGTTTCTCCCACCCCTTTCTTGGCCTACACCCTCTTCAAAAAAATAACATCTGCGACGTTAAGTAGGAAAGCCCAAAAGAAAGGACTCAAATACGGAGGTAGCGGAATAACTCAATAATGACTCTGATACTTTGGGCATGCTGACCTACTCTGTGTCAAATACTATTCTACGTGTTTTAGTGAATTATATCATTTATTCCTCACTCCCCTCCAAAACAATCCCTGGAAGCAAATACTAGTAGTATTAACCCCATTGTACAGATATAAAAACAGCTCAGAAAGACAGGGGCATTCTGCAACTTGTCACTTAATATGAGAGAACTGGAATTCAACCCAGCTATTTCTGACTCTTGATCTCAAGTGTTTTTCTATCAAGCAGCTCCTTGCGAATTTGCTAGTTTGGTCTCCAGTTTCTGGATTTCATGGACCAAGAAGACTTTTATTTTTTTTAAGAAAAAATTGGGAGGTCTGAAATCAGGTTGTCAACTTTGTTTTATTTTTCCGAGTAAGCAGACTTAAAAAAAAATAAACCACCTCCAATCACTGTCATTTCATAGAAGACAGAATAATTTAAATCAAAAAGTGCATGTAAGACAGAAGTGCCAATAAAAAGAGAGCAAGCTTCTCCTACTTCTAATCACTTTGAAAAGAATATTTTGGCTGGGTATGGTGGTTCACACCTATAATCCCAACACTTTGGGAGACCCAGGTGAGCAGATTGCTTGAGCCCAGGAGTTAGAGACTAGCCTTGGCAACATGTTGAAACCCTGTCCCTACAAAAAATAGCCAGGCACGGTGGCACACACGTGTAGCCCTACTTGGAGGGCTGAGGCAAGAATATCTCTTGAGCCTGGGAGGAGGAAGCTGCAGTGAGCCAAAATCGTGCCACTGTGCTAGACCCTGGGTGACAGAGCCAGACCCTGTCTCAAAAAAAAAAAAAAAAGAATATTTTAACACTGAAAATATCTGTTGAACATAATCTCATAATAAAGGACAATCATATAAATTAAACTGATTTAGCTTTATATGAAATAAGTCATACATCTGTCCTAATTCTTCCGCAGTTTGCCATAGCTGGAATATCTTGATGATCGTCAGTTTGAGTTCTGTTTTGGGGAATGGATGCTGGACCTGTCCAGCTCTGTCTCAGCAACCATGAGCAGAAATATTCTGATGTGGTGAGGCCTTGACACAAGCCACGGAGAATCTTGGGTGAGGAAGGGGTGGATGAGATGTCACGACTGACCTGCATCCACTCCTAAATGTGATTTGTACAGTTGTCCCTCAGTATCCAAAGGGGACTGGTTCAAGGAACCCCCCCAAATACCAAAATCCACAAATGCTCAAGTCCCTAACATAAAATTGTATAGTATTTGCATATAATGTATGTGATGCTCCTGTACACTTTAAATCATCTCTAGATTACTTATAATACCTAATACAATATAAACACGATATAAATAGTGGTTATGTTGGATTGTTTAAGGAATAATGACAAAAAAAAGCAGTTGGTACATTTTCAGTACAGATACCACCCTCCGTTTGTTCGAATGCTTTTAATCTGTCATTAGTTAAATCTACATATGTAGAACCCAGAGAGAGGGGGGCTGACTGCATATGGCCTCTTTCGTTCATTCACCCAGTATTTGTTGGCTATTTTCTTGAGGTCTGGTCCCAACTATGTCTTAGGAATACAACTGTGTCAGGCACTGAAACGCCAACCCAGGTTTGGTGGTTTGCAAGGAAGACTCATAAGACTCAGCATACGGTCACACTCATGGCTGAGATTTATCACAGCAAAAGGATGCAAGGCAAAATGAGCACAGGGAAATGGTGAATGAGGCGAAGTCTGGAGAAAACCAGGTACAAGATTCCAAATGTCCTCTTCCAGTGGGGTCACACAGGATGCATTTAATTAGTCCCCCAGAAATGAGCTGTGAAAATATATATGAAGTATTGTCTACCAGAGAAATGTATTAGGGACTCAGTGTCCACAGTTTTTATTGGAAGTTGGCCACGTAGGCACCCTCTCTGTAGCATATAACAAAATTCCAGCCTCCACAAAGGAAAGCAGGTATTCCACATGAGCCCTATTTTTGGTACAAGCAGTCTAGACAGAGTGAGCCATCTTTATCTGATCTGGGAATGGTGACAGCCCTCCTAAATTCCAAGTTCCCAGATGCAGCCAAGAGCCAAGCTTGCGACAGTCTGCTGTACTAACTCTTTCCCACACAGCAACAGTGAGCAAAATAGGACCCCAGTGCCTGGCCTTGTGAAACTTACAGCCAGATGAGGAATACACAATCATCACGCCATCATCATTCATTCATTCATTCATTCATTCAACAATTATTTTTGAGGACTCTCTCTGGGCCAGTGACTGGTGACAGATTTTCAATGAAATAGACTAAAATCCCTGCCCTTGTGAAGCTTCGAGTCTACATGAGTGAGACATTGTAAGTGCTAAGGAGAAAAAAAGAAGGCAGGGAAGAGAAGTGGGGAGGACAAATACAGTTGCTGGAAAAGGGAAAATTAACTGAGTTTGGATAATTTTCTGTGATCTACGTTAATTTTCTATTTCTAAAAATCTACTTCTTAGATAATTTTCTAAAAACTAAAACTCAATTAATTTTCTATTTCTAAATTAGTTTTTTCTATTTCTAAAAATCCACTTTTTTGGAATGAGTTCAAAGAAATACTTATATGAAAGACCCCTGCACCCCAGAGAAAGTGATGATCCATTTGAAGCCTAAATGATGAGAAAGAGTTGATTAGCTAAAGCAGGATGGGAAGACTACTCTAGCCAGAGACAAGAGCCTGTGCAAAGGCCCTGTGGCAAGGAGCAGGGTAGGTAGCAGGTTTCTGGGGAAAGTGGTACAAAGTAAGCTGCAGAGGTTGGCAGGGGTCTTGCAGGCCCTGGAAAGGATTTTGTTATTTTATCCTAAGGGATATGGTGAGCCAGTGAAGGGATTAAGCAGGGAGTGGCAAGTAGGGTGGTGGCAAGATCAGATTTCTATTTTAGAGAAATGACTCCAGCTTCTGCCTGAAGAAGGGATTTCAAGAGAGTCAAGAGGGGAAGCAGAGATGCCAGTGAGAAATCTTACTGACAACACTGCTATATACGGCACTAACTCACAGATTTGGAATTCACCCTACATTGCTATCAAGTGTGCTCCTGGGAGACAAAGGAAGGCCTAACCTCACCAATGTCTTATGACCCCATCCCTTGCAGAGGAAAAAAAAATAAAATACCCAAGAGAAAAAGTCTTCCTGTTTTCAGAGTCTTTAAAATGGCATAAGAACCCCAAAGGGAAAACTCCAACATGGGAATGCGAGCAGTGGTGCCCTTTGAAAAGTTTTCATTTTATTTTAACTTTGCTAAATCTACTTACATTCACATTTTGAAATATGTAAGCACAATAAAACACTGCAGTTATGGTCTATTGGGTTAAAAATCCAGTTTTTGGAACGGGTTCAAGGGAATACTTATATAAAAGACCTGAGAATGGAAAGTAATTCTGCAGATAAAATAGAACGGAAACATCTCCTAAATATGCCTCTTGTAAGATAAATGCACAATGAGGAGGGGGCCTGGGACCATCACTAATGGGAGATTCACAACAGTGGCCTCTTAATCCCTCACGAAACCAGCTGGAAGGGAAGCGCCTGGCTAGTCGTCGGCATCAACATTCAGACTTTTCCAAAGGTCTCTCCTCTTCCTTTCATAATTCATTTGAAAGCAAGAAATTAACCCTGAATTTAAAACAGTGAAATTCCATTCTAGCACGTCACTCACAAAGCACGGAGTGACCATGGTGTTTATTTTGCAAAGTTCCAGACAAAGAGAGCTAAAAAAAAAAAATTGCTGGAATAAATCCATCAACAGGCATCTCAGTGCTTATTCTGTGTAATTATCCTTGCATGGGGAGGCATACAAAAAAAGGAAGAAAATATAGTTCTTATCCTTAAGGAGCTGGCAAGTCTGTTAGGTGGGTACTTTTCAGCTCCATGTATATATCAGGTCCCCTTGGGAGCTTGATAGAAATACTGATTCTCGGCACCCACAATCCCCCAACCCCAGACCTAGTAAATCAGAATGGCCACACGGGGCTTGGGAATGTATATTTAGAGCAAACAAAGGGGATTCTGCTGGAAGGCTGAGATTCTGAAACACTGAACTGAAAAGAAAGGGAAACTTCAGGAAACATTAGCACCACTCAATGTGACATGAGGGAGAGGCCTTACTCCTTAGTTGGCCAAACCGTCCACTCAAGGTAGCATCACTCAGACGGCAGCCATGACAATTCCAAGCATCCAGCTTTTGCTTTCCCACCTCCAACAAAGGAAGCAGATCCTCGGTGTGAAGGTTCATTCCACTGTAGGGCCACTATCTACTGCTCCTTGAAAATCCTTACAAAATCTGACACACCCTGTATCTTTCCTTGGGTTAAACACAGTTTACTGAACTCTTCACCCCTGGTCCTGAGGCTACTCTCCCAAGGACAAATGCCAGTTTGTCAACAGAGCTCTCAACAGGTGACACTCAAGGCAGAAAACAAGATTCCAGACAAGTTCTGGCCAACGCCAAATCCACGGGATTCTTGCCTCTCTTGATCCAGACATTTGATGTTGACTAACACTGTCTAAGTCGGCATCATCTTGTCAGAGCCCAACACCCTGAAATCACTGCATACTCTACTCTGCACCTTTTGTCTAGTCAACTTTTCCAAAATGAAATAGAGTTAACATAGGTGCCTCCATGTTGTTCCAGAGTCTTCCCAGGATTTGCATCAAAGTTATTTATTTCTTGTCCCTGTCAATGACTCTTCTCTCCCCAGTCCACATTCATTCTTTGTCTTCCTATTTATGTGTCCAGTTTTTCCTCTTTATTCTTTTTCTTCTCCTTTTCTCTGTGATTTTACAAAGATTTCCAACAGAACACCTGAACTCTCATTGGTGACTTCTTGTTGGCATCCTGGGCCATTATTCAAAGACTTACAGGATCACAGAATGTCAAGATTGGAAGAGGCCTTGGAGACCAGCCACAGAAAACCCCTTGTCATAAACTATGGTATAGAGAGGACACAGGTAAAACTGAATCGCCCAAGTTTGGGGTTAAGCCAAAATTAGGATTCAGGTCTTCTCCATACTGAGTAGTTTGTGATGGCCTCCCTTTGGGACTTTAAGACCAGACTAGTTGGCCAATCAGGTTTGGAGGGCTATCCCCTGGGGAGGTATGGTAGCAAACACACCTGGGGCACAGGGGGAAGAGTGGCCTGAAAGGGGCCTAAATTATGCAAAGTAAAATGTAAAGTGGGAGAACTCACCCACACTGCCTACTGCTCTAGTATGATTTTTATTTAAAACAAAAAAAAGAAGAATATGGCTGAGATTCCAGAAATTATAGTAGCATGCTGCCCTTTGTGTATGTATGAGGTGGGGGGAAGAGGGAAGAGGAGGCACAAAAAGCAAAAAAGAAGTGAAAACAAAACCAAAGATAAAAACACACCACACCATGATGTGTGTACATCACAAGAACACAGGAGCCAACAGCAGCAACTTTTGAAGACCAAATTGTTCCATCTGGAAAAATTTAAGCAACAAAATAAATAAAGTAGTATAGGATTATAACATAAAGCATAAAATAAATGTCCATGAGTGTACCGTGATATAAATAAATGATTAAATAAATAAATGGGGGAGAAGACACAAATATTCCATGCAGAATTCCAAGTAGTTTATGCAGATACTCTACCCTCGAAGAGTGAGAACATTAAATCCCCACTCCACAAGCATGAGCTGGGCACAGCAACACTCCTCCAAAGGCAGCAGTGTGGAAAGTAGAGGGAAAGACTAAGTGTGCAGTGGAGAAACCTAATGAACACTACCTTGACCAGGTGAATCAGAGTCACCATCAACAGTGAAGAGTCATGATGAAGGTGGAATGCTTGATACGATGTGATGAAAACAGACCTCTGGGGTCTTCCTCCCTGAAATTCATTAACTCCAGTAAACTCATGAGAAAAACATCATAAAAATCCCAACACAGGAGCATCCTACAGAATACCCAACCAGCACTCCTCAAAGCTGTCAAGGTCATCACAAAGACAATTCTGAGAAACTGTCACAGCCAAGAAGATGCTAAGGAGACCTGACAATTAAATAAAATGTGGTATCCTGCAAAAATTAGCTGAGCGTGGTGGCGCATGCCTGTGGTCCCACCTGCTCAGGAGGCTGAGGCAGGAGAATCACTTAAACCTGCGAGGCGGAGGTTGCAGTGAGCCAAGATCGCGCCACTGCACTCCATCCTGGGCAAAAGAGCCAGACTCCATCTCAAAAAGAAAAAAAAAATAAATAAAAGTGGTATCCTGGATGGGCTCCTGGAACACAAAAAAGTCATTAGGTAAAAAATTTTTTAAAAACCTAAGGCAATATGATAAACGATGGACTTTAGTTAATAACAATATTAGGTTGGTAAAAAGTAATAACAATATTAGGTTGGTGCCATTACTTTTAAGTAATGGCAAAAACTGCGATTACTTTTAAGTAATGCAAATTTTACTTAAACTTACTTAAAAACTTAAGTTTTAAGTAATTGCATTACTTAAAAACTTTTAAGTAATGCAATTTTAAGTAACGGCAAAAACCGCAATTGCCATTTGCCAATTACTTTTGCAGTTTTTGCCATTACTTTTAAGTACTGGCAAAAACTGCAAAAGTAATTGGCAAATGGCAAAAAAACTGCAGAAGTAAAACCGCATTACTTTTAATAGCAAAAAACACATTTACTTTTGCACCAACCGAGTATTATTATTACTATTACTTTTAATGGCAAAAACCACAATTGCTTTTGCACAACCTAATATTTCAGTATCAATAATTTAATCTTAATAAATGTACCAAATAACATAAGACGTTAAAATAATAGGATAAACTGGCTGTTACACACATGGGAACTTGGTACTACAGTCTTGATTTTTCTTTAAATCTAAAGATGTTCTAACGAAGTCTGTTTCAAAAAATAAAATATGTACCAACTGAAATTAAACAACAGCATATAGAAAAGCATATGGCATTCTAGTAGTAGGTTGTGGATTGTGTGGGGGTGAATTTCAGGGATCCAGTTACCCTCAAATGGAACACGCTGGCCTTGGATGGGGAGGCTCCAGGGATTCCTCCCCTTTAGTGAGGAGCTCAGTCAGGGGAACCACAGAGGGACTGAGGCTAAAGAGTGGGGCTGGGGCAGCGACCCCGGTGACCCCAGCCTAAACGCAGAACTGCAGCTGTCCTCATGAAGCTGAGTTGTCAAAGGATCCCTCAGCGTGATTGGTGATGTTCTCCAGCAAAGTTTTAGTAGCTTAGGAATGGCAGCCAAGACTTCAGACAGCTTGGGACCTGCCATGTGTGGCGGCTACAAATCAAACGAGTGCCAGGGAAGACACCTCTTCCCAAAGACAGGCTCTTGTTCCAGTGATGGAGGCAGAACTCAGGGTCAGCGGGGACATTAACCAGGATATGAAGGGGGCCATGATGTTCTTACCCTTTAGGTAAAATGAACAGGGTTTTGTGTGTACAGACTCCAGGTGAACATCACCTTTCATCACCATGCCAGCATTCAAAATCATGTTCATACGATATCTGCTCCTTTAGGCAAACAAATTCAAGCCAGAAATCGTACAGGGAATAATACCTTCTCGTTCACCATTGTGTCGTTCTGCAATAAATAATTTCCAGCCAGGGTGCTGGAGAATTCCAAATGATAGACATATTATGTTCATGAAAGGCAACTTTGAGAAAAATCTTGCTGCAATAAAAGTGAGGGTTTTTTCCCCCTTCTCAGCATCTCAGCTTGCCATAGAAATGAGTGATTTTCTGAATTTCTGCCAAGTTAGATGGGTTCAGTATGCTATTAGATTAGTCTGTTTATACAGAAACAGCCAAAAATAGGAAACACACAGAAGCTATTAAAGATATTGTCCTGTGAGGGAAAGATTTGAATGGTTTTCTTATTGCAAGTGGGAAATAAGATATGAGTCAGTATTAATGTGATAAAGAAGTTAATGCACTCTAAAGCAAACCGTCCAAATCTTCGTCTTGTTTCAGAGGTGACAATAAAAGGAACATCCAGACAATTATTTAGGGTTTGGTTAGCAAAGGAGGCAGAGAAACTTTGCAGAGCCCCTGCCAGTTGGAAATACATGTCCTTTACCACATAATGCTGGGGCACCCAGGGAGTTTTCCGAAGGGAACATGATTCCACGAAAAAAAAAAAAAAAAGATTAGAAAATAAATAAATAAAACAAGGTTTCAGAAATTCAAAAGCAAAAATTCCAATTTCACTTTTGCCCTTGAGTTGTTGTGCAAACAAATGGAAATCATATGACCTGTTAGGTCAATGTGATTCAAGAAGCAGGACATATATTGAATTCTACGTGCAAGATGCTGTGGGTTCTTACTTTCCTCATCTATAAAGTGGATGGTGCAACCTGGACTTTGAAGTCCCCTCATTTCTCCTCAGTAAGTCCCAACTTGACCTGTAGAGCAAAGACTTTGCCACATTCTGGTCACATGAGCTGCTCCTGATGATATTTTATTCTATACAATATGTGACTCTGTAGGTGGAAGTGTGTCTAAATAATGTCCGTATGAATCCCAGTAATGTATGTATATTATTTTCTTCTTCATTCATAGTGGAAAATAATGAAAAATAGAACTTTCCTCAAAAAGTACACTTTTTTTTTTTTTTTTTGAGACAGAGTCTGACTCTGTTGCCCAGGCTGGAGGTGCAGTGACATGACTCAGCTAATAACATCATGGCTCCTTTCACAACTTGGTTAATGTCCCAGCTGCCACCGCACTCACTGCAACCCCTGCCTCTCGGGTTCAAGTGATTCTCATCCCTCAGCCTCTCAAGTCGCTGGGACTACAAGCATGCGCCACCATGCCTGGCTGATTTTTGTATTTTTAGTAGAGATGGGGTTTCAGCATGTTGCCCAGGCTGGTCTCGAACTCATGACCTCAGGTGATCTGCCCGCCTTGGTCTCCCAAAGTGCTGGAATGACAGGCATGAGCCACCGTGTCTGGCCAAAGAGTACAGGTTTCTTATAAGATCATCAAATTCCCATCTCTCCTCTGAAACCTGGTGAGTAACTTAGAACTTGCTGTGCAGCCAAATGCCAAAGAAAGATGCAGTCTCTGTCTACTATCCAGGGTGTACACATTTTCTGTTGCCATCTAACAAATTACCAAAAGCTTAACAGCTTAAAGCCACATACATTTATTATCTTAAAGCTTCCATAGGATAGGAGTCTGGGCATGGCTGAGCTGGGTTCTCCATCCAGGGTCTTACCATGCTGAAATCTAGTTGCCTAGTGGGGCTGCGGTCTCATCAGAGGCTTGACTGGGGATGGTCAATCACCTTCAAGCTCCCTTAGGTTGCTAGCAGAACTCATTTCCTTGTGGTTATAGGACTAATGTCCTCATTTTCTTGCTGGCTTCCTTAGGGCACTCTCAGCTCCTAGAAGCCAAATGCAGTTCCTTACTGCAAGGCAGCTTACTTTTTCAAAGCCAGCAATGGAGAGAGAGACTCTCTTATTTTAGCTCCTCTTTAAGGGATTTTCCCCTTACTAAGTCAGGCCCACCCAGGAGGATCCCCCTGCTCATTAACTCAAAATCTGTCTCATGTAAGACCTTAATGGTATTTCCAAAATCCCTTTGCTTTGCCATATAGTGTAACCGAATCTAAACAGTTACATCCTATTATCTTTTTCATATTCTATTGGTCAGAAGTAAGTCTCCCATATCCCACCTACATTCAAGGTGGGGGAAGGGTGATCACATCAGGCCTTGGACACCAGGAGGTGGGGTATCACTGGGGCCGTCTTAGGGTCCATCTGTCAAACAGAGGAAGAAACTACAAGGGTTCACTTTTTTTTTTTTTTAAGATGGAGTTTCACTCTTGTCACCCAGGCTGGAGTACAGTGGCACGATCTCAGCTCCCTGCAACCCCCGTCTCCTGGGTTCAAGCGATTCTTAAGTCTCAGCCTCCTGTGTACCTGGGATTATGGGTGTACACTACCACGCCTGACTAATTTTGTATTTTTAGTAGAGGTGGGGTTTTACCATGTTGGCCAGGCTGGTCTCAAACTCCTGACCTCAGGTGATCTGCCTGCCTCGGCGTCCCAAAGTGCTGGGATTACAAGCATGAGCCACTGCGACCAGCCACAAGGGTTCACTTTTATCAGAGTAGGGTCAGAATTTATTTAATCACGAGCTTAGAAACTTGGTGCAGGAGAGAAGAATGGAGAGAAAAAGGATAGAATCCCAAATTTCTTCCCAATAGTCATATCTTTTCAAGGTTTTACTAAAATTATCTGCTGCCCAGGTATGATGTAATAAAATACTGGTGTGCTTAGAATGCACAGTTAAACTTCAGCAGCTAACAACTGGGTAGCCAAAACTTTCCTTCAACTAGCCCAAGAATGACATTGGACATCCAGGAGCACTAAAACATCAAGAAAAACCAGTACAATTTCAAAGACAAACCTGTGTCCAGTTGTCTAAAAGATTAAAACAAGAAGGCTGGGCACGGTGGCTCACGCCTGTAATCCCAGCACTTTGGGAGGCTAAGGTAGGCAGATCATGAGGTCAGGAGATCGAGACCATCCTGGCTAACATGGTGAAACCCCATCTTTACTAAAAAATACAAAAAATTAGCCAGGCATGGTGGTGAGTGCCTGTAGTCCCAGCTACTCCGCAGGCTGAGGCAGGAGAATGGCATGAACCCACGACGCAGAGCTCGTGGTGAGCCGAGATGGTGCCACTGCACTCCAGCCTAGACAACAGAGCAAGACTCTGTCTCAAAAAAAAAAAAAAAAAAAAAAAAAAAAAAGATTAGAACAACACAAGGTTAAAGGTGCAAGTGAATCATTGAATATACTGGCCAATAAAAGCCAAGTTCTGAGACTACCAAATAGAAGTAAAATGGAAATGTGTATCTAAGTAGAGGGAGAGATGCAACTGGAAGAAGAAAAGAATAAGCAACTCCAAGAGGGAAAAATAAATCAGTTACCAGGGGAGAGGTGAAAGGGGTGAGGATGAGGAGGTAAGACAGCAGCAGCAAACTGCCCACTAGGAGGAACTGGGTGGGTGGTGAGTAGGGGGTTAGAAGGGGGCATGAAAAGATAGATCTGTGAGTTAATGGAAAGTTCAGTTAACCAGAATGATATGCCAGTTAAGTACAATTCCACCGAGCTTGGCAGCCTTATTCTGGCCATTAACTTTAATGTTTCGCAGATCCCCAGCATTTTCACAGGTGTGAGTTAAAACCATCTGGTTTCTGCACTATACCCTGCCCATTAAAACCCAGCATTTTCAAAGATAAACTGTGGACCAAGGTGGCAGCAGGAGAAGAGAAAGGAAGTTAAAGGCTGCCACAGGCTTTACCTTAAACAGAAGGAGCCTTTCAACAGCCTTTGAGTTGGATTATTTTGAAATTGCAATGTAGAAAAAACTAAAAATACAGTGAGATGCTTTAATCTCCAGAAACACAATCTGGGTAAGTGAATTGCTCAAAAATAAAATTCCAACCAAATATACGCAATACGTAGTGACCTGGACATGAAAAAATGAAAGAAGAAATAAACTGAGGAAGAAATCCATATCCAAAAGTATGTCTTTATAGTAGTGATATTTATAAATTTGACACACTTGCCAGCAGAGCTCACTAAAGATTATTTCTATGCAAATATGCATTTTGCTAACCCATCGCTGTGCAAAAAGGAAAAAAAAACCATATTTCCTGAAAATCAATTCTTGTGCAGTACAAGTGCATCAAGAAGCAGGAAGTACACTGACAAATACTAAAATGTGCCAAATTTTCAAACTTCTCAGGGGACAAGAGTCCCAGATAAGGTGGCAGAGGACATAAAACTGTCCCACCCTACCCACTATCTAGTGTCTAGTCTGGAGAGGGTACATGACCAAGGCAGCTCTGCCAATGATACAGCTATCTTCTCCCATCCAGGGACCAAGTTTCGGCCTTGAATGTCCCAAGCACCATGGTTTTTTCCAGTTGATACAGAAACTTCTACACGAGTCTGTTGGAGGAAACTTGTCAAACCTAAGCACCTGATTGATAGGAGGCACAATGCAGGGATTCTATACAGACATTCAGCAGGTTCTTAGCAGAAAGCCATGGGCCAATCCTCTTCTGTACCTTAACAAACAGCCCTCCTAACAGCACAATTAAAACAGCTTGCTGCTTCTTGGTTAAGCCAGTTCCTTAGATTTCTCATTTCAGAAACCAAAAGGTATAGTATTATTATTCATCCTACTCACCATTAGCTACTAGGTACACCATCCTCATCAACTGTGTGCCAAATACTGTCCTAGGTATTCTAACTCATTATTAATTAGAGATGATCTTCCATTTGGCAGAAAAGGAAGCTGACGTTAGAGATTAGTCTCATTTTCTCTTTCACTTGGTTAATCAGGAGTAGTGCACATGCTACAGGAACTCAGATAAAGATAAGGCCTATGGTTCTGTTACTTTTATTTTTATTTATTTATTTATTTATTTTGGAGACAGGTTCTCACTCTGTCGCCCAGGCTAGATGGAGTACAACGGTGCAATCATGGTTCAACCTCCTTTGCTCAAGTGATTCTCCTGCCTCAGCCTCCTGAGTAGCTGGGACCACAGACATGCACCCCCATGTCTCATTTTTTTGTTGCTTTTATTTGGATACAGATGGGGTCTCATGATGTTGCCCAGGCTGGTCTCCAATTGCTGGGCTCAAGTGACCCTCCTACCTTGGACTCCCGAAGTGCTGGCTTTACAGACATGAGCCACCACGCCCAATTCACATGGTTCTTTTTACTATCACTATTGCCTCCATTTACTTCTGTATTTAACAAATTGTATAATAAAATTGAGATTAGAAGTGGCATCACAGCAGGAGCTGAAAGGGGATAGGAGGAGGTTGGCAGGGTCCTGTAATTATTCTGTGTATAACATGTGGGTGCGGGTCACCCATGTGCATGCAGTGTGTACAAATTTGTTGAGATATACACCTGGAGTGTGTGCCCTTTTCTACTTGCATTACACTTTTTTTTTTTTTTTTTGAGATGGCGTCTTGCTCTGTTGCCCAGGCTGGAGTGCAGTGGCGATCTCAGCTTACTGCAACCTCCGACTCCCAGGTTCAAGCGATTCTCATGTCTCAGCCTCCCAAGTAGCTGGGACTACAAGGGCAGGCCCCCATGCATGGCTACATATATATATATATATATATATATATATATATATATATATATATATATATATATATATATATATATATATATTTTTTTTTTAGTAGAAATGGGGTTTTGCCACGTTGGCCAGGCTGGTTTCAAATTCCCGACCTCCAGTGATCCTCCCACCTCAGCCTCCCAAAGTGCTGGAATTACAGACATGAGCCACCCCACCTGGCCTAACACTTAAATGAAGAGTTGAGGAAACTTTGCCCAGAAATTTCAGTATCTTAAAGTCTTTGTTCTTGCAGCAGCAGTGGGAGTTGCACCTTTCTCTGACTCCAAGGCCTCCTACTTGGAGAAGATCCATGCTGGGCACATCCAAGGTGTCCGCGTATAGCCTGTCAGCTGGGTCTGAGTGATTGGTCACTGACCAATTCAGGCCACAGGGCAGCGACTCCAAGCTTCCTTCTCCTCCTCTCAGGTCTCAGGTGGGGAAGACAGTGGGGAATTCTCTCATGAGTCATTATACATATTACAAGGAAGAAAGCAACTCTAGCTTTATTCCCCCGGATCAAACATGGATCCTGTTGAGAAGAGGTCTCTTATGAGAGCGTACTGTGTCCCAGACTTTGTATGTGGAAGCCCAAACCCCCAGTACCTCACAATGTGACTGTGTTTGGAGACAGAGCCTTTTAAGAGACAGTTCAGGTAAAATAAAGTCATTATATGGTGGACCCTAATCCAATATGACCAGTGCCCTCACAAGAAGAGGCCATAAGGATGCAAACGCACACAGAGGGAAGACCATGTGAAGACAGAGAAGATGGTCATCTCCAAGCCAGGGACAATGGTACAGAGAGAAACCAACCCTGCTGACACCTTGATCTAGGACTCCCAACCTCCAGAACTGTGAGGAACTACATTCCTGTTGTTTAAGCCACCTGACCTGTGGTATTTCTACAGCAGCCCAAGCAAAATAAAACAAGCTCCAGAGTGAGAACTGCGTCAGTGCTTTTCCATTTCAGATGGACAGAGGTTGGAGAGCAAGGACTTTAGAATCAGTGAGATCGGGACTCAAGTCCCCACTTTGTGCTGTGGCCTTCAGTGAGTGATTTCCTGCCTCCAAGCCTTGCGTCTCTCAGAGGCAAAATGTGGACAGTCATGGCCTCTTAGGCTTGCCATGAAAATTTAATTCAAGAACACATGAATAGCACTGAACACTACATCTGGCTCATAGCAGGTGCTCAATAAACACTAATTGTTAACATTATTCATATGAATGATAATATAATGAAGATTAAAAGTCCTTTCCCACTCACACTTTGTTATAAAGATGGGCAATGTGCACATGAAAAGATGCTAGGCAAAGATAGATTCATATTTTGACAGAAATGTCAAAATATAGCAAGACACCTTCATTCCATCATTCAAATAAACATTAACGGAGTTCCTGGGATGCTGGAGGCAACATGTGGATAGGGCCAATGCGTGAGATGCCCAAGATGGCACAGAAAAGACAGCCATGCACAAAGATTTCCTGGGACTGGGAAGAATGCAGCGGGGCCCACTGGAATACCTGAGCGCCATGCAAGCTTGAGGAGCAGGGGGACTCACTTCTAGTTTGGGATTGGGGGATACACCTCAGGGATCATCACCTGCTTTCCTCAGAACACACACAAGCACGTCCTCAGAGAAAGACGTGGGTGCTTCTTTATGTGGCTTCTTAAGTCCACCACTTGTGCTCGGCAAAGTCACTGCACTGAGCATTGTGAATGAACGATCAATTTCACGAAATACTTAGGCAAAGCAGCAAAGCCACAGTGTGGTCACTTTTTTTTTTTTTTTTTTGGATACAAGGTTTCTCTGTGTGGCCCAGGCTGGGGTGCAGTGGTGCAATGTCGGCTCACTGCAACCTCTGCCTCCTGGGCTCAAGTGATCCTTCCACCTCAGCCTCCTAAGTAGCTGAGGCCACAGGTGCACGCCACCACGCCCACCTAATATTTTCTATTCTTAGTTTCACCGTGTTGCCCAGGCTGGTCTTCAACTCCGGGGCTCAAGTGATCCACCTGCCTCAGCCTCCCAAAGTGCTGGGATTACAGGCGTGAGCCACCACAACAGGCCTATCACCTTTTAAAGACTAAACTGACCAGTTGATGTGGAGGGTTGAACAGAATGTCCAAGCTATTTTTCTGGCCATGTGCATGTTAGAGATGCATGGCAAGGCTGCCAAAATCACCACGCTGGGTTTTGTGTCTTCTCAGATCATGTCTACTATCTGACATGTGTCTCTTGTTAAAGCAAAAGGAACATTATAAAACATTATTGTGGTCTGAATGTGTCCCCCCAAAATTTATATGTTGAAATTCTAACCTCCAGAGTGGTAACATTAGGAAGTGCGGACTTTGGGAGGTAATTATGTCATTAGAGTGAAGGCTTCCTGAGTAGGGTTAGTGCCCTTTTATTTACTTTATTATTATTAGTGTTGATGGAGTCTCCTCCCTCTGTCTCCCAGACAGGAGTGCAGTGGCACCATCTCAGCTCACTGCAACCACTGCCTCCCAGGTTCAAGCAATTCTGCCTCACCCTTCCAAGTGGCTGGGATTACAAGCACAAGCCACCGAGCCTGGCTAAGTTTTTAGTTTTAGTAGAGACAGGGTTTCACCATGTCAGCCAGGCTGGTCTCGACCTCCTGACCTCAAGTGATCCACCGAGACACCTGCCTCGGCCTCCCAAAGTGCTGGGATTACAGGTGTGAGCCACCACTCCTGGCCATTAGTGCCCTTTTAAAAGATACCCCAGAGAGTTGCCTCTGCTAGTTGAGAAAATAGCAAGATGGACACCTATGAGATCAAAAACAAATCCTCACCGGACACTGAATCTGCCAGTGCCTTCCTCTTGGACTTCTCAGCCTCCGGAATTGTGAGAAATACATTTCCGTTGTTTATATATTATTCAGTCCATGGCATTTTGTTATAGCAGCCCAAAAAAACTAAGACAAACATCCTACTTGCTTATATAATTAAAAAAAAAACCACAAAAGTGTGTGTGTGCTTGTGTGGCCGTGGGAATGCATACACATGGCAGGGAAAGCCGAAGACAATTGCTACCAATACCCTTTCCAGGCCAAAGACACAGGGTAGGGAATTCTACGTAGGAAGTGAGAAGAATAGCTAATGTTATCTTCTTCTTAAAGATTATCCTGGCCAGGCACAGTAGTTCACGCCTGTAATCCCAGCACTTTGGGAGGCCAAGGCAGGCAGATCACGAGGTCAGGAGATCGAGACCATCCTGGCTAACACAGTGAAACCCTGTCTCTACTAAAAATACAAAAAATTAGCTGAGTGTGGTGGCGGGCGCCTGTAGTCCCAACTACTCGGGAGGCTGAGGCAGGAGAATGGCGTGAACTCGGGAGGCGGAGCTTACAGTGAGCGGAGACTGTGCCACTGCACTCCAGCCTGGGCAACAGAGTGAGACTCCGCCTCAAAAAAAAAAAAAAATTATCCTATTGATTTCCTAAAACAGCATTTCTTCCTTCCCTTTCTTTCAACCACTACTGTTTATTTATTATGTATTTATTTATTTCATTTATTTTTTGGAAATGGGGTCTTGCTCTGTTGCCCAGACTGGAATACAGTGGTGCGAACATAGCTGCAGCAACCTCCAACTCCTGGGCTCAGGGGATTCTCTTGCCTTACCTTTCTAGTAGTCCCAAGCAGCTGAGACTAGAGATGTGCACCACCACACCCAGTTAATTTTTAAATTTATAGTAGAGATGGGTCGTGCTATGCTGCCCAGCCTGGTCTTGAATTCTGGGCTTCAGGAGATCCTCCTGCCTCAGCCTCCCTACGTGTTGAAATTACAGGTGTGAGGTGCTGCACCCAGCCCCAACAACTTCTTTTTAGCCAACTATACACCAGGTACCGAGTCGCGGAGAGGAGAGCAAAGGCAGCCCAACTCCTAGGGGACCTGACGTCTGTAGCAGAGCCTGAAACTTAGGATCTCCCATTAGCGCCTTCAACAGTGGTGATGCCCTTTCAAAAAACAGAGAGTTTCTAGAATGTTATTACTTAGCTTACAACCTCTAAAAAATAATGGGAATGTGAGTATTTTAATTTAGCTAAAAATATAAACTTGTACAAATTATTTTACACATAGAATTTCACTAGAGTGTCCCCAGACTCAGGAACACCCCCTATTTCTGAATTGACAATGCATTAGCCCTACCTTCTAGCAAGATTAGGGAGGGAGCTGTATATAACACAGCCCAGAGCAAAACGTGATTAAACATGTATCAACTGATTAAAGCAAGCATCACAAAGAGCTATGGAAAAGGAAAATCTAAGAATGGATTTAAAAGATGGCTTGATGGCTGCAGCAAACCACCATGGCACATGTATACCTATGTAACAAGCCTGCACGTTCTGCACATGCATTCCAGAAGTTAACTTAAAAAAACATTTAAAAACCAAAACAAAAAGACAACTCTGTCAATATTTCTGGAGTGTACATAAAACACGTCAAGGAAGAGCCTGCTGTTGGCCCCGTCCCTCTTCATGTAGCGTTAGTATCAAAAAGGCGAGGCCCTGTAACTGGACTAAGGTGGAGGGGGTGGTCCCTCATCTGCCATACACCTATGTCTCTCTAGCTCAAAGACCCACACATTCCCCTGAAATTAAGAGAATGGCATCAACAGGTGTTCAATCTGCTCCCCAAGGTCAGCTTCAGAAGTGAGCCCAGCAGGACACACACCGTGAACAGGGTGGATCTGGGCTGGCCCAGAGGACCTGCCGCCCTCACCCCAGCCAGAGTATAGGAGATACCTCAGGGCCCCGGCTCAAAGGCAGCAATGTGGACTCAGAATAAATGATGCATTGAAGATATGATAAGCATGATTTTACCAAAAACAGAACAATACACACACAAATAAACCATGTTATTCTACTTGATTCCCTCTGCTTTGTGCATCTATTTATCTATACTGCCCAAGCTGGAAAGGACTGTATGAAACCCAAAAGGCTGTCAACACAGATAGTTCTTTCAATAACCATTTGATGGCAAAAGCAGTCTACAGCTGACAGAAGTTGTTTGTCCCACTGAGTGTGAATATTCATTCATTCTGATGTGAGATATTCATGTGCTTAATTACAAGGTGCTACCTCCAGGGGTGACACAACATGCAAGGTTCAGCGCATTTTCTGCAAAGAGCCAGATAGTAAATATTTTAGGCTTTGTGGGCATATGGTTACTGTCATGACTACTGAGCTCTGCCAACGTAGCTGAAAGCAGCCATCGCAGTACGTAAACCAACAGGTACAGCTGTATAGCAATAAAACTTTATTTACAAAAACAGGCCAGATTTGGCCTATGGGCTGTGAATTTGCTGACCCCTGTAATACACAGAATACGCAGTGTATTCTCTTCTTAAAATTTGAAAACTTCTGAATTCTGAAACACATCCGGCCCCCAAAGTTTCTGATAAGGGGTTGGGATCTTGTTCCCATTTTGGAAAGCATTCTCGGCTGGAAAGTTCGTTCCAAAGAGCTGGGGCCTTCCTCCAGTCACTGCTTAGCTAGCTTTCCCAGGTATTCTGCAGCCATCTCTAGCAATACTTACACAACAACAGTAGTGGTGATTGCATCTTGAATCCGGAATTCAGGTGTGTTGAACCAGTGGAGAACACCCACTATGGGTCAATTCCATCAGATAATTTGCATGCAGGTTTTGTAGAGGGAGAAAGCATAAATGTCCCTTGTAAGGGGGAGAGGAAACTGGCAGGACAGCGATTCTGCCAGAGGTAGGTTTCCCAGATGACCCTCATAGACACCAATCTGGTTTCAGGAGGGGCCTTGTAACAGGGACACTCAGGCAACCCCAGGGTCCAGATGACCAAGTGCGACACAGCATGGGGACAAATCACGCATCGGGACTTCAAGGAACACACTGGGGCTTCCATACGCTCATGTTTCTGAAAGAGTGATCCCTGCCCTAGGCCCGGAGAAGGTAGAGATGTTGGGAATGTCAGGAAATGGGACCTGGGCATAGACGTTCATGTGATCGGGGTGATGGGCACCAGCATCAAAAGGCATGGAGGGGAGTCCTCACTTGTCATTGTGAGCAGAGGAGCAAGCAGGAAGGCCCCATGCAAGAGAAGCTGAGGGCAGAAACCATGAGTTACTAAAGCACAGTTTCCTACAAACTCTCAAGAGGCACCTCTTGGGGAACCCAGAAGTACTGAGTGGTGTTCTGAGAAGGACAGGGTCATAGATCCACAGGTAGGGTGAAAGGCAAGGTTGGTAGTGACCCCAGAGCATCTGGAAAAAAATGAGACACATACTAAAATTTACTATTTCTTGAGCACTCATGTTACCCTAAGGGACTATGCTGAATGCCTTAGAGACGGTGGTTCTAATCCTTACAGCAATCCTGCAAAGTAAATATTGTAGCCTTCATTTTGTAGGTGAAAAAATTAACATGGGCTGGGTGGGGTGGCTCATGCCTGTAATCCCAGCACTTTGGGAGGCTGAGGCTGGAGGATGGCTTGAGAGGCCAGGAGTTTGAGACCAGCCTGGGCAACACAGCAAGTCTCTGTCTCTACAGAAACTAAAATTAAAAATAGCCAGGTGTGGTAGTGCACAACTGTAGTCCTACTTGGCAGGCTGATGTGGGAGGAATGCTTGAGCCCATGAGTTCCAGGCTGCAATGAAATCTGATTGTACACTGCACTATGGCCTAGGCAAAAGATTGAGCTCTGTCTACAAAACAAAACAAAAACAAAAACCTACATCATGTGCCAAGAGCCACCCGCACCTGCAGAGAAAAGGCTGGGCCCCAGATGCCTGACTCTGAGGCCTACGCCACGCTGCCTGCCGTAAGAGATGGGCCCTCCTTCATAGGATGACCCATCAAATGTATGGACACAAAGAGCTTGTCTACCTTCAAGTTTTACCTCCTTTAGAAATCAACATCCAAGTCACTTTGCCATCCTTCACAAACCTTCAAGGGCCCTTGCAATTGCTTTTCATTCTTGTCCATTTACACCTCTTTGTTAGAATCACTCTTGGGAAACAGTGCTCTCCAAAGAATACCTCCTCACTGTGCTGTAAGCAAATTCTGGCCCAAAGGAGTAGGTAATACAAGTTTCCTCATTTCCATCTCAATCTACCAACACTAAAGAATCCTAAAGGATATGCCAGGTGCACACCAGGATCCAACTTGCTTGAGAAGTCTTAAGTCTTCAGCCAATGCCTATTGAATCTTCTTGACCCCATCTGTGGGCTAGGCTGTATGGCTGTTCTGTTCTTTGCTACCCTTCCTATAGCTCATTGGCTTCTGGCTTGTATACATGATTTGCTTCAGCCAATGGAATGAGAGAAGCAATGCCACGCCCCTTCCAAAGTAGAAACTTTAAGATCCTTTGGTCTCACCACTGTTCTTTTTCCTTTCCTTGACAACAATACGTTCCTTGACTGAAGCTGATACTGGAGTGAGATCAGAGCAGCAGCCAACCATCAGCGACATGCACCATAAGTGAGAAATATATGAGTTGCTGAAAGCACTGATATTTGGAACTGTTTGTTCTGCGTAAAAAATCATGCAGAGGCTGGCTAACGCAGCATCTAACTATCATTTTCCCAAATATGTTGCCAAAATAACTCTCTGAAATTGAGACTAAGCTTCTTGGTCTTGCTTAGGGCAGTACTGGCCATACAGAGCTGGCCAGTACCTCCCATAAGTGTCTGTGGGAAGGAGGAGGGCAGGGAGGCCTCCAGGGAGGCAGGGCAGTCATATGACCAGGCTCATTTCACACAATAAAATGCACCAAAGAATTCCCTTAGGATAGACAATTTATTCATTTCAAACCAAGTAATCTCCTTGGCCCCCAGCCCCATCCTCAACCTCCTGTAGTTTTGTTATTTTTGTATTATCTAATTGCGTTGACAGGGGATTTAAAATAAAAGGCTAGGTTGATGTCATCAACGCTTGCCTAAACATATGAGAAGGAGATGTCTTTCACCAAAAGTCTCACGAAATGAACGTAGCAAATCACAAATTACTCCCTTGTCCAAGGGCAAAATTTCAACTACCTATTTCAGTCGTTTCAATAAGCAAATCTCTAATTAAATGATGAACAACTTGTCATTATGCTTTGGTGACCACACACACTGGGATATACATTTACTTGTTAAACTCAATTAAACAACATATGATTGAAATTGTTCTTCATATTGCAACTCTGCCTGCTTCCTACTTGGTTTTTTGTTGTTGTTGTTGTTTTTGTTGTTTTTAATGTTAAGAAACATGTCTCTGAAATTCCGTTCGTTCTCACTGTCCTGTGCTTAATGAGAAATTGTAGGCTTCCTGTCATTAATTGCAAGAATACGTTGTTCTACTTAATGCCACATTTGTAAATACAAACTATTAATAATAATAATGATAATGCCCCCAGAGTTTGCTGCATTCCAAACCTCCAGATTTTATAATATCAGAGCCATGCCATTAGCCCCGACGGTTTGATTATGATACATCCCTAAGTTAGATTTCTGTTTTCCACATCTCAGACCTAATATAAAAACTAGCACCCCATACCCACATATCTGGGTTCACTTTAGGAGAAGGGGCAACAGATATAAACAGACTTTCAGAACTCACACAGAGAGACTAGTCAATAAATGCACTGAGCAATTTTTTCAAGCAAAATTTAAAATTAATATGTCCAGGTAAGACAGCTTCCTTCCCACCCCAACACTATAGCTTTAAAGGAATGAGTATTGTAGGTGACCTTTTATCTTTTAAATAAGAATTGAGCTCCTCGTTCAAAGACAGATTTGTTCTTCCTTTGATAGAAGAAGAAATAGTTATCTCCTTTAGTATACCACCTTCAATATTCTTACACATGAATAGTAATGAAATTGAATCTTTTTTTCCCCCTCTATGGATAGGTTTTGTGGAAAAATTAAATGCCACATCTAACCTTCTAGTGTACTTCATATCTCTGGGAAGAATTATGAAAAGGAGGGTAAAAGGGATCTTTATCACAAACTGAATTAACGCACAAAGTACTCCATTTGGAAGGTATATCAAGCGAATCCATTAAAAACCCTTCAAAGGCACCAAGTGAGGACACCTTGAAAATGAAGCAGGGACCTTGCCACAGACCAGCAAAGAAACCTTGCTGAAGCAGCAGTCTTTCCAGCGAGATCGCAATCGGACATTCAGCGGATTCGCAGAGCTACCTTCTGCTAAATAAAGGTCGTTTGCGTCACTGTTACTTAAAGGGGGGTGGGGGTGGGGGCTCTGAGCCTGTTTATTCTATGCTACCCCCTACACACGCACAAGCTCTTAATAGAGAAACCTGGTAATTAATCACTAAAGCAAGAAAAGGTTGAAATTAGACAGAAACTAAAAACACGCACATTTTTAAATCACAGGGATTAGCAGATAGCTTTGGAAAAAATATTTTCATTTGCATGGTATAGCTTCCTGTACTTTGGACCCACCTCACCCCTTTGTTTTCCAAACGAAACTATATTTTTGATAGCCCAGACTGACAAGGCAAGGCAGAATGCAAACTTGGAGTAGATGTCCAAAGACAGGCTGCATTTTAAGAGTGACAGGGACCAGGAAGCCCCCAAGAGCCTGCCTGGTGAAGCCAGGGAATCACTGTCTCCTAGGAGGGGTATGAGGAGTCTGGGAAAAAGAAAAAAAAAGAAAAGAAAGAAAGAAAAAAAAAAACCTCAGAGGCATGTGACTTGACCAGAAAACATTTTTTTTTTTCTTTTTTAAGTCACATGCCTGGACTTTTACTTAGAAAATAGGACTATCGCTTTAAAAGCAAGATTCTTCCACTCTCCTGGTGGGGAAGCATATAGCTATTTCAGTGTTTCCTCTCTGAGCAAGAAAATAAAATACATCAGTGCTAAGCCTCCCCTTGAAAATGAGGTTATCAAAGAAAAGCTTAAAAAACAAAAACCAGAACAAAAAAATAACTTGGCAGTTTTACTTTCAAGATGCAAACACCAAAAACCTGTCAGGAAACAATGATATCTATCAACACTTCCTAGTTTTCACCAAATATATTTTAGAGAAAGGATAGAAAGATTTCAAATATAACCTTCCCCTGCCCCTCTGTAATGTTTGTCTTTAAAAATAAATCTGGTGGGACAGAAAGGTATTTGACATACTGTTTAATAACTAATTTTTCTATCATTTTAATAAAACTCAGCCTTTAAAAAAGGGTCCCAAATATGAAGAATCAAATATGCTCCCCAGACATGCTAGATTATTTGTCATAAAAAGAGTAGAGATTTTATTGCTGCTAGTTAAATCGTTTCGAGCATATAGGAAGTTTCCGAGGTCAGACCATTCATGTGCCCAGATTTGGAATTTAAGACCACCTGACCCTTTGTCATTTCTATAAAGGCTAGAAAAAATAAAGGGAGGGAACAGATACTTCAACCCAGGAACCCCTGGAGGGCAGGCGACCCCGGCTTTAGTTGTCCTGGGTCCGCAGTACTCCAAATGAGCAGCTGGGAACTGTAAAGGTCCCGTCATGTCAGTAATGCCTGTTCCCTTTGAAACCAAGGGTGGACGCCAACTGACAGGAAGATGGAACGGGTTGGTGACCCTGCACTTGACCCTTCCACAGTATGGGTCTGCAGAAGTCTGACGAACTTACCTCACTTAACTCTTTCTGGGCATTTCTGCACAGAGTGGCTCTTGAACCTCCCAACAGCAGGGAGAACTCCGGTTTCCCTGCTGAAAGGGAAAACACTGTGGCCAAGTCGCAGCTTTATAAGGCAACTTCCACTCTGCCTGGGGCAAGAGCACAGAGTAAGGAGACAGTTATGTAGCACAGGCATTTGGGGGATTCAAACAGACTTGCAATCTGGTTTCATAAATGGTAAGGGCTTTGAAAGAAAGCAAAACAGGATAGACCTCATTATTCTGCAGTAGAGAAACTGGCCTTTTAAGCTGAACCTCATGACTGTATCAGCATCCTGGTCCTGAGTGTATTTTCACAGTTCTTTTCTTTGTTCTGTCTCATGCATGGTGTATTTCTGCTTAGATTTACCAGGAAGGGCCCCGTGGCATGGTCAACGTACGACCTCTCTGGGTTTCAGGCACTCTCAGGCTTGGAGAAAGCCACATCACATCATATCAAATGCACTAAAATGGTTCCATCTCCCACATTCAATATCACTGAAATCTAATGATATAAGATTTGTGTTGCGGTTGACTAGTGACATAATATTATGTTTTGTAGGTATTTAATTATACTTTGATAGATTTTAACTTTGCGATTTTCTTTCCATAATTCAGAGCCAGCAATATTTTTACAGGTCTCAAACATGTGTGCAGGTCCCCGACAAGCTCTTGTACCCTAAGCCCTGCAGGTACCTATTGTACCCGATAGAAAATCCAGCCCTTTTCCGTGGCACCAAAAGACACGCTCCAAAGAGAAATGACAAATATGAAAATGCAATGAAACACCCTGACACAGCACACTCTGCCCTTGACCAAAACAAACACACACACACCCTACTCCAGTTTTTCTCTTAAGGGCCCCTATATCCTCCTTCTCTGTAGACAGCCAAAAAAAAAAAAAAGAAGAACAAATGAGTCACTCCTCTTACGCCAGCTGAATGCCTCGGATGGTCATTCTTTGGAGACTTCTCCGGGTCTAAGACAACAGTTCACACTCTAAGACCCTTTGGTTGGTTTCAGGTGTAAGACTTTGCTAAATTACAGCCCTTAGCACCAATAAAAATCTTTATAACAATTTTTGAAAGATTTTTGAAACAATTTGTGCTTAATTATCATTGGACAAATATATGCAAAGATAAGCTGACAACTTTCCAAACTCTTCCATCGTCTCTGGACTCACAAACAAAAGGGAAGAGAAGTAAATGATGTAAGCGTATTTCATTTACGTACTCACAGGAGCCCCGATTCTTACAACTATTTTGTATATATTTTTAATATAGTTTATTAAATATTGTATTTGAAAATATAAACCGCTTTATTAAAGTAATTAATGTTTTTATAATAAAATATGAAGTATTTTATTAACTGTGTATTTATTGTGTTTTCTGTTTTCTCATTTTGTATTTTAACTAATTAATAAAATCAACTTTTCATCCAATCTGAATCATTCCATTTCTGGCAACTCTTCCACAGCCCCTTGGCCACCATTTGCATTGTTCTGAGAAGTGGGGAACTCTATTCAGTTCACCAGGTTGTGGGCAGACAGACAAAAACAAAAACAGAGTCTGCCCATTAGTCCTGCACAAAAATGATCATTGGACATAATTAATCAGCGATGTGAACCGCTGTGGACATAAAAGACAATTGTCTTTTCTCCCCAACAATCCCTGCCCACTCAAGTGTTCAGGTACTCAGTTACATTCAACACAGGCTAATTCACTTATCCTCAACAAGTGGGCTATTGATTTTTGCCTGTTTTCAGAACAGCCTGTGGCTTTCTGAATGACAATAGCGTCCCCTATTTAAAAAAAAAAAAAAAAAAAAAAAACTGCAATTCTGGGGAAATGCCCTTTCAGTCGTCCTAATCGGGCTGGCTTCACATTTGTCTGGATGTGTTCACATATTCAACTTCGTGTCACTGATTTTCGCACCATTCTTTTCTCCTTATTCCTGCGGAATGTGGCATATTTCTTGTCTTTTTAAGCTGACAGGTCAACAGGATTTGCTTTTGTTCAGAGGGGCTCATATGAAGGGTACAAGAAATTCCCGGACATAGCAGGAGCAGGGCATCAAGCACCCTTTTTTTTTTCTTTCTTTCTTCTCTTGGTCATCAACTTCTGAAAAGCATGTAGCCCACATTCTAATTTTCCAAAAGAATAAATCCAAAGTAACCGTTTCCTTTGTACTTCTACATTAATAGTAAATAGCATCCTTCTTATAAAAGAGAAACAATTTTAAAATGATGTAAAATTTTAAATGTGCTAAACTTTTTAAGTGATTGCACCAAATTAAAAAAGAGACTACAAAGAGAGCCAGTTTTTGTTGAAAAGAAGTATGTGTTTTTACATTAATTATATTAAGTTTTAATAATAGCCCAGTGGTAAATTTTGACTGTGTTAACGAAACCATGATGATTGGTTGTGGACTAGTAGTTTGATAGCCATAAATGTTAAGCGTAAACTGAACAGTGTCTTTAATTTGGGAGGGCATCCCTCGTAGCAGAATGTGTCTCCTAACTAGTATATATTTTGACAATAGGCATTCGAGAAGCTGCAGTACTACTCCAGCCAAAGCTGCCCATTCAATTCAGATGCTGAGTCTATTACAAATGCGCATGTTTCAGCTTCTTGCTCCATGCAAGAGGTATTTGAACTTGCATATTAATTATAGGGCCAAATATGGTGCTGGAAAAAAAGAACAACACACACACACACTCCACTTAACCAGGGGAAAGGTTCAATTTAACCATGAGTGCCCCAACATTGCTTCATCAGAGCTTCTTCCTATCCTTTCCATGAAGGGCAAAGATAACTGGCTATTTTCATCATCTGTAGACACTCAGGAATATGACAAAGAACTATGCCTCCAAGCACGAGAGGCGGAGTTGTAATTCTGGATAGCTGAGTTTCTAAATAAAGAAATTTTAACATTTGGGTTGTTAATTAGGTTGCTCTAGAAAGGGCAGGCATTGGTTGATTTTTTTTAAACTCTGGGCATATTTTCCATTCTTCAGTTAGCACAATGGTAACAGAAAACTGGCTACCCTTTTGACAAGGGCCAAGGGAAAGAAAAAAAAAATAGGCTGGAGTGGTCTTGCCTTTCTTTCACTGAGAGTAGAAGAGCGAGGTTCCCTCCCTTGACATGAGCCCTGTCTTTGTGTTTTGCACCTGGATTTTTTTTTTTTTAAGGACTTAAGAAGTCAAATCACTAAATATTGATTATATAAGACATGCCTGAGCAAGACACACCATGAGGGAGACAGAGGAAGAGGAAGCAGGAGGCTGGAGAGACAACGCTAACAATGAAAAAATTATGGGGAAACAATGACATATCAAATATCATGAAGTGGCAAACTCACAGGATACAGATACATCAGGCATTCCTAGACTTTGAAGGTCTAGTAGAGAAAAAAAAAGCTAGCCAGGCTAACACAGAC
The DNA here is from genome assembly GCF_000001405.40 of Homo sapiens. Classification (NCBI taxonomy): domain Eukaryota; kingdom Metazoa; phylum Chordata; class Mammalia; order Primates; family Hominidae; genus Homo; species Homo sapiens. The sequence goes on along the minus strand of NC_000016.10, from coordinate 78,605,110 downwards.
TTAACAACTTTTAAGTTTGCCAACTGAGGGCTTTAAAAAGAAAACAAAATCAGCATTTAAAAAGGAAAGAAAAGAAGGGAGGAAGGGAGAGAGGGAGGGAAAAAGGGAAGGAGGGAGTGAGGGAGGGAGGAAGGAAAGAAAGGAAGGAAAGAAAGGAAGGAAAGAAGGGAGGGAGGGAGGGAAGAAGACAGGGAGGGAGGGAGGGAGGAAGGGAAGGAGGGAGGGAGGAAGGGAAGGAGGGAGGGAGGAAGGGAAGGAGGGAGGGAGGGGGGAAGGAGGGAGGGAGGAAGGGAAGGAGGGAGGGAGGAAGGAGGGAGGGGGGAAGGAGGGAGGGGGGAAGGAGGGAGGGGGGAAGGAGGGAGGGGGGAAGGAGGGAGGGGGGAAGGAGGGAGGGGGGAAGGAGGGAGGGGGGAAGGAGGGAGGGGGGAAGGAGGGAGGGGGGAAGGAAGGAAGGAATCTTTTTTAAATCTTTATTAAAGGAAATGGTATTTAACATTGAAGAAAAAGGGTAAATAATAGAATCCTAAAAGAAATACTTTAAAATTGATACAACGTAGCTCATGAAAAACTCACTATTTTGTATTTTTCTAATTTTTACAAAAGAATGGTGAAAGTTTTGTCACAGACGGACCTCTGGGATTTAACAGATGACAATTCTCTTTTGCTCACCCTCACAGCATCACTCAGCACCGTGCTTGGTACAAGGGCTCCATGAATATTTGCTGAATAAACGAGGGCCCATGTACAGTAACATCTGCCACACTAAAGCATTCATGAGGGCTAGAGAAGTCAGGGTTAAGAGGACAAGATGTAAGACCATGAAGGCATTGGTGTGGTAGAGAAAATAAGGAAGGGTGCCCCAGGAGTTACATTTGGAGTACATGTAAACAAAGTATTTTGGGCCCATCCACATGCATCTGAATTTGTGTCTTCAAAATTCAGATTCTAATTTTATTTATTTATTTATTTTTTAGACAAGGTCTCGGTCACCCAGGCTAGAATTCAGTGGCGTGATCACAGCTCACTGCAGCCTCCACCTCCCGGGCTCAAGCGATCCTACCGCCTCAGCCTCCTTAGTAGCTGGGACTATAGGTGTGTGCCACCATGGCCAACTAATTTTCTTCTATGTCTTGTAGTAGAAGGGTTTCCCTATGTTACCCAGGCTGATCTTGAACTCCTAGGCTCAAGCAATCCTCCCACGTCAGCCTCCTGAAGTGCTGGGATTACAGGTGTGAGCCACTATGTCAGCCAGCTTCTAATTTTTGAGAGAGTCTACTGACACTGAGTCAGATGGAGAGTGGTCAGTCACTTGTCTGTCCCCACCCCACTTGTTCCAACTAGATAAGAAACAAAGTGTTCTCTTTCAATTTCATTACAGGACATATTTTTTATTTTATTTTATATTTATTTACTTATTTTGAGAGTGTCTCACTCTGTTGCCCAGGTTGGAGTGCAGTGGCACAATCTTAGTTCACTGCAACCTCCTCCTCCTGGGTTCAAGCGATTCTCCTGCCTCAGTCTCCTGAGTAGCTGGGACTACAGGTGGCTGCCACCACGCCCAGCTAATTTTTTATTTTTAGGTGAGATGGGGTTTCACCATGTTGGCCAGGCTGGTCTCGAACTCCTGGCCTCAAGTAATCCGTCCTCCTCAACCTCCCAAAATGCTGGGATTGCAGGCATGAGGCACTGCACCCAGCAGGATATAGTTTTTTAAAATGCATGTAGTTTGCCTGATCACCCAGTGGGGGCGTTCATCCCTGATACTCAGAATGAGATCTTTTTGGTGCAGTTGATGCTGGTGAGAGGACAGGCCCAAAGGGACCTTCTGGCTCCTCCAGTCACCACCTGATGACTTAAACTATGAGCATCCAATGCCTTATCTGTGCCATGAAAATGATATTGGCACTTCTCCAGGTGTGGCAGAGAAGCTGTTAGAAGATGATGTGCATAAAACAGCATAGCACAGAGCCTTGCCCAAGAGTGGGGGCTTAAGAGCAACGCAAGAAGGAAAAATAAATAAACAAATAAAACATCTGATTGCAGTTAGTACTCCACCTCCACCCCGTTCACAATTTCTGAAAACACGCTAGATACTGGCAAGGTGGAGTATTACATTTTGTTGAATCTAAGAACGCAGAATGGTTCTGATCAGGGAGATGGAAAGAGAAAGCTAATCAGCAATGACAAGTAAAAAGTGTATGCAGAAGACAGAGCGGAGATTCAAGTCTCAGGATTGGCAAAAATTACTCAATTTCTCTAAGCCTCAATTTTCTTATCTGTAAAATGGAGAGAATGATAGCATCTACTCTTAGCAGACTTAAATGGAACGCTACAAGATAAACCATGTAAACCATTTTGTGCAGTGCCCAGCATACAGTAAATGGATCGTTAAAGAAAAATGATTTATTGTTATTTTCACTATTCCTGTCATGACAATGATCAGAACAGAGTAACCACTTGAAAAACCTGGCCGGAAGGATATGGCTACTTTAGATTTCAGTTTATCTTTTGCATGGAAAGGGATGATGCTACCAGCACAACAGCTTTCGTTGTCAGCCAAATAAGATCTATCGAGAAGAGGCCGGGTGTGGTGGCTAGCACCTGTAATCCCAGCACTTTGAGAGGCCGAGGTGGGTGGATCACAAGGGCAGGAGTTCGAGATCAGCCTGGCCAATATAGTGAAACCCCGTCTCCACTAAAAATATAAAAAATTAGCCAGGAGTGGTGGCACGTGCCTTTAGTCCCAGCTACTCAGGAGGCTGAGGCAGGAGAATCGCTGGAACCTAGGAGGTGAAGGTTGCAGTAAGCCGAGATTACACCACTGCACTCCAGTCTGGCTGTCAGATCGAGACTCTGTCTAAAAAAAATCTATCCAGATCTATCCAGAAGAGAACAGGAGAATAAAATACGAATGGGAAAATACTGAAGTAAGAGGTAACTCTCACAGTCCTCTATGCTCTGACTAAAGAGAGATTCTACTAGTGTGATTAGTTCAAAAGCGTGTAATAAGCCCAACAGAATCATTTTAAAATAAGACTCTAATTTCAGGAACCTAAGGAAGTCTGCATTTTAATAAGATATTTCATTATATCCCTAATACGAAACCATTGTTTGCCTGACTCTATAATTTATTGTTAGACAGACACTGCACTATTACCAAAGCAAAATGAAACAGATGATGATTTCGCTAATAAAACAATTGGATCATGAGGCAAAACCCAGCTCGGCACTTAAAACAGGGCTGAAAAACTCCGAGTAGGGATCTGCAGAGTCGAATATTCCCAGTTGGAATGTCACCTTTCCCTACTCTTCCGCAGAGAAAATCATTGAAATAGCCTGCTAACAATACCATTACTGTCTCCCTAACTTAATCCTTTGTTCCTTCCAGAGAAAAGACTTCTGCTGATTATGAATATTCCACTCTACAATTTCCATCAATTAATATACTACCACATTCTTATTATGGTATTCATAGCTTCTTGATTTACATTAGAAAGTATATATTTTACACCACGGGTAAAGCTATTTCTTCCCCTTTAACGGAAAGTGCTTATATAAAAAGACCTTACAATTTGGAAAATGGCGGTGGGGTATGTGTGTGTGAATAATGGCTTGGAGATAATAGATTCTATTCTCCTTTCTGGTTTTTTTCCTTTCTTTTTTTTTTTTCTCTCTGCTGGGGAATTCCCATGCACCAGTCAAGGAAGGCAACACAGTTGCCCTGAACCTCCTCTGTCTTACCCGTTTCTTTCTAGAGCTAAGCCTGAGTGTCTCTCCAGAATCTGTCTCCAACAGTTTATAGAATTCAGAGTTTGCAACTTGCTTTTCACAAACACCCAAAGGGGCAAAGAGGGACCCGGCTTCCTTCTGGGTGAGTAAAATAAGGCAGGTGGCACTGAAGAAGAAAGGAATCTTGGTGATAAAGGAGTTCTATATGAGTGGCAGAGAGGCCAACCTGGGTTTGCCTCTCCATCCCTGCTGTGCGAGGAGCCATGTCACTTATACACCCTGAGTCCTGAAGGCCTGACACATAAAATCAGGGTATTTACATCCCTGCCCCAGGTATTATGTGGAAACTGAACGAGGTTGAGGGTGCAGGCAATGCTTTAAATAGTGACAGAGGGATGGCAGAAGCTCTAGTAGGAAAGGCAGTCTCTTGCCCAGGTACCTCCAAAGCTACAGATGCCCTGCAGAGACTGAGATGGCCACAGGGTCACACAGGCTTCTCCCTGTCACGATAGGCAGAGGATTCTAGGCGTGAGTCACCTGCACAGTGACATCTGAGTCCATTCTAGACATCCGATTCAAAGGGTTGAGCACTCCCAAGATGGCTGTACAGAGAAGTCAAGCCTAGAATTCTCTCAGTGTCCAGACTTCAGGGCTTATGCTTTCATGGCCCTATTGTCTTGCTGTCGTTCTAGGGCAGTTTCATCAGCTACCAGGGTTTCCTGAAGAATCCAGAAGATTATAGTCTCAGTCATGCCACAGGGTAGCTGTGCAGTCACAAGATGGGTCCTTCACCTCTCTGGACTATAGCCCCACAAAATGATGATGATCCCTAGGAGAAGTGGTATCCTGCCCTCATCTTTCATTCTGTAAACATGGATGCTTTAACCCACGGAGGGTTGGGGGGAAAGAAAAGAATACTTAAAATGGAGATGACTTCACATAAAAATCCGAGTCCTTGATTCTGTTGGAAACAACCCAGTAACAAATGGCTGGAGCTGGGGGGCTGTTTCCGTCATCTGGGGCCCCCCCTCCAGCTATGCTGAGTCTCTACTTGGTCTGTTTCTCTTATTTACGGTAACCTACAGGTGACCCTGTGATATGGTTTGGCTGTGTCCCTATCCAAATCTCATCTTGAACTGTCGCTCCCACAATTCCCATGTGTTGTGGGAGGGCCCCGGTGGAACGTAACTGAATCATGAGGGCAAGTCTTTCCTGTGCTTTACTCGTGATAGTGAACAAGTCTCACGAGATCTGATGGTTTTATAAGGGGGAGTTTCCCTGCACAAGCTCACTCTTTGCCTGCTGCCAACCATGTAAGATATGACTTTGCTCCTCCTTGCCTTCCACCATGGTTGTGAGGCCTCCCCAGCCATGTGGAGCTGTGAGTCCACTAAGCCTCTTTCCTGCATAAATTATGCAGCCTCAGGTATGTGTTTATCAACAGCAAGGAAACAGACTAATACACCCCCACGGCATCTTTGAGTCCTAGAAATGCGGTGGTTGACCCACTGTCATTTAGAGAGCTCACTGTCCCTTCCTCAACATGGACACCACACCCAATCCCAGAGGTTTTGGCAAGACCCAGAGTGCAGAGACTGAGACTCTTCTTCAGCACCCCCAGTCTCCCGGGGGTAACAATTCTCCCTCTGTTGCCCACACCCCACTTCCTAAACACAAGGCATCTGTGGATGTCCCTTGGTCCAACCTGTCTCTTCAGGGGCCGCTCTGAGACTCGGGAGCAAATGTTGATTGGCAGGCCTGGGTTTTGCTGCATTTCTCCCCAAACTGTGTCAGGAACAATTAAGTGGGGAGGCCTGGAAATGAGAGGAATGTGGCCCTCCTGAGGCCATGTCTACACATGACCAGGGCCATCCATGGGGCCAGCTTAGTGAAAAACACCAGTCAGAGGGGCTGCCTGATTGAACTGACAGGCCAATTCCCCAGCCATGGCCACAGCCTTAGGCTATGGCGGGGGCAGGGCAGCAGGCCCTTTGGTTTCCTTCCCATTTAATGCACTTTGCAGAGTCTCAAGCCCAAGGTGGAGATTCAGTTCAATGTCTGTGGATTGATTAATTAATTTAAAGCCCCTGAGAGATCCCGGAGGTTCACAGACAAAGCTAGACCAGCTGAGAATTTTCCTCTTTCTCAAAAGGAAAATGTGCAAGACGCAGACCCATTCTTGGAGGTGATTTACATTTCTGTCTTGATCCCGGGACTGGAGGAGGGGATGAAGTCTCCATCAGCAACCCCTGGAGTTTAGCTGAGAGCAGCTTGAGCTGGCATTCAGGTTCTGATCGGACACCTTCCTGACATGAAACAAACTGTGAGCCCCAAAGTCCAGTTTGATTGTTCAAACTTAGGGGTCCAACCAGTCTTGACCTCAATGCCGACCCTGCCACTTACTGGTTGCCTAAGTGCATCACTGAAACTTCCTGTGCTTCAGTTTCCCTGTTGAGAGGCGGGAATCTGAGTGAGCTATTGGTGTCATGTGTTTAGAACAGTGCCAGGCAGAGTAGCTGCTCACTAAAAGCTATCTATTTGTATGAAGGGGACAATGAAGAGGCCAGATAAGGTCTCACCAAGCACAAAAGCCAAGACTCCAGGGGCTGCCCCAGACAAAAATGCCTCCAGTGACCTTTCCAGGCACACTGTAGTCACTGGCATATTAACTCCTTTTGCATTTAAGGGGAGAGATGCTCCTGCTTCAACCAGTGCTGTGATTTTTGAAAGGAGATTTCTTTTCAAAACGTTTGCCTGCCAAATGCCACAAAACACACCAAGCCAGGAGGTGTGTTGGCGTCACCGATGGCACCGACCTGAGAGCCTGCCTGGTCAAAATCTCTCCCCCAACTAAGCTCTCGCCATGGCAAGAAATATCTGGCTATTTGCTGAATTGTATCAGAGCAAAATGAACCAAAATGCACAGGGGCCAGGGCGGGGGGAAAGAGGAAGAAGTTAATAATACCTTATAAATTCAATTTGCATTCCCCTCTCGATTTTAACCCAGTCTACATGAGCTTTCCAAAATAAGCAGTCATTTGAAATCCTCCCACGTGACAGACAGTCTTACACATCTTAAAACACAATCCGTTTATTAAACCTAACAGCACAATGTGGTTTTAACTGGTTCTAGAAAATTCTGATAGTGAAATATTTTCTGTTTCTGGGCCAGAAGTGGTCATTTCTTCTTGAGAATATGATGTTTGAAAATCAGTTCCTCCTATTATAGATTTCTCCCTCAGCTTGTAGAAAATCCATGATTCCCTAAACATTGGTCTTTGAAAGCACATTGACTAAAATCTTCATGCTTAATTCATGAAGCGCAGTCTGGAGATTAGTGGAGCTGGACATAGACCAGGAATACTTTATCATATTCTAATAAGCAGAGGCTGAAAATTGCATTTCTAAAGCTACACTATTAAAGGGCATACCGCAAAACATGACCCAAACATAACTCAGTAGTTTTACAGTGTCTGAAAAGGCTCTGATATGATAAAGTATGCTGACGAGGGGAATAAACACAACTAGAAATTTCTGAATTTAAAAAAGAAAAAAAAAGTGGGGAGGGCTTAGCATTCAGTATATTCATGGAAATATATTTTATATATATATATATATATACACATATAAATAAACTCATATTTATGATTCCCATTAAGCAATTATTGACTATCAACTTATGTTATAGAAGATCACTGAGGCACCACAATTTAGGGGTTTGGAAAGCATAAAAGCAAGAGAGATGAACGAGAAAAAAACAATTTTAAACTTAATGAGGTTAATTTGAAGGTTTCCAGAAAAATCTAAGTCCTGGCTTTTCAGCTTTTCTTAAAACAGGTCACCAGTATTGTTTCTGAAAGCAGAAAGCAAAGCATATTGTGGGGTGGGCGGCCACAAATGCTTAATGGTGGACCAAAGACATTGCTCAGAAAATGGTGCAACATAAAACGCCCACTGATGCGGGCACTCACTGCCTACAAAATGATGGCAATGGGTAAAGAGCCACCGTAGAATCCAAATGAATGAATCAGCAGTGCATATGGCCCCAAGTACAGTGCCCGGCACACAGTAGGTGCTAATAGTATCCGTTTAATTGATTGACTGACTCCTTGATTAATATATGAAGGAATGAAAAAGCAATGGAAACAGCACCTATGGACTTCCCAACAGCTCCTGGGGACTTTGGATCTACCTACTAAATGCTTGCTAAGCTGTTTTCCCTCTACAAAGGCACCGGCTAAAATAAACAAAGCAATAGGTCAGGAGCAGTTTTCACAAAGATACTAGCACCCAGGTCGTAAGCACCTGGCTCCAGCGCTTCTACGCAGAAGAGGGTAGGGGAGCAGCAATGAGATTGGGAGGGGATCGCATGCTGGAGGCTCAAAGGATTTGTCTTTAAACTGCATCTGCATAGCTAGAACATGGTTACTGTTTAGACCGCATGTTTATTGAGGATAGCATCAAGAGAGTGTGGGGCTTGCTTTGGAGAGCTGGCTGATTGTGTGTGTGTGATCTCCAACCCTCAAAGCCAGCCCCATCACTGCTGAGATCACAGTAGAAAGATGAGGGCAGCTGAAACCGTGCTGATTTATATCATTTTATTTTCATGGCTGTGTACTCACCATGCACCCTTCGTTCACTTAATGAAAGGGCTTCGCTTACTTTCTACTAGGCCCGGCTTACCTCTCAACTGATTCTCCCTGCTGGCTTCCAATGACACAGTCCGTGTTCTCCCCACAAATGGACCTTGAAATCAGCATGTTCCATAGGTCTAGGTTTCCTCTACCTCAGCTGGCTGGTCCTTGCACACCTGTCCTGTCCCCAGTCTTGGAACACCCCATCTTGCACACCTGTCACGATCTCGCCAACCTCAATCTTGGAAGTCACCTTAGCACCCCTGATACGCCCTGCTGGGGCAGGACTGGCTATTCCTGCTGTGGGTTGCCACAGCAGCCTGTGTCATCCCACCGTGACCTGGATTACCTCTTCACTGATGTACACCTTCCCCACCACACTACATGCTCTTGAAGGGCCAAGACCTTGACAGCAAACTGCTGTAGACCCAGGCCTAGCAGAACCCAGCCAGACAGGATCTCAAAACGTTTCTATTGCATGAAACAAATGAACAAAAGAAAAGATGGCAAACCCAAAGTATCCAACCATACAGGGTGACTTTGGATATCATGTTTTGTTTTGTTGATATCACTCAAAAGATAATATCGTATTTTGTTTTATATTCTTTCACATTAAAAAAATAAGTCCTACCATGTATAATACATATATAGTCACACATGATTAGAAATTTTGAATATAAAAAATGAGCAGAAACAACAAAGAGTAAAAAACTTCTCATCTTCCTACCATTTAGTATTTTTCCCACTCTGAGTATATGTCTTATCCCCTTTGAATGTTGAAGTTCTTTTCCACTCTCCTGAGTTCAGGTTTCTTTTTAGTTTTATTGTATTTTTAATTGATATTTTAGATAGCAAAAATAAATTCTGGTGCCCTGTTGCACAGAAAGGTGAATACAGTTAACAACAAGGTATTGCATATTTCAGAACAGTTCAAAAAGCGGGTTTTGAATCTTCTCATCACAAATAATAAAGGTTTGAGATGATGGCTATGCTAATTATCTTGAGTCAATCATTACACCATGTATAGATGTACTGAGTGCAGGTTTCTGCCAGCAGCTATCTGAGGAGCCATCCTAGGGCCACTCTGAGTATGGCTCATCATCAAGACATCCACACTGGTCAGCTGGGGGGCAGGTGGCCCTGCCTGCCCTATCTTAAGGACACCGTATATCTCTGATAGCTAACTGTGGTGGGGAGGGAGAGATTGAGGACCTCACCATTGAGAGATGTGGTCTTGTACATAGCCACGTGAAGTCATGAGTGAGTATGTTAGTTGCAAAGACATGGCGGATCTTTGGTCAATGTATGATCCCAACGAATATTACGTTCCACAGGCTGCAGGGAGGCAGGAGTCTTGTGGCTGTCAGCGGGGAGGGTTGAAGCAAGGAGAAGACTCACATGTGAGCAAGAAAAACACAGGCTTTGGTTCCATATTCAGGAAAAAGGAGGAAAAAAAAAAAGACATTTCCAGTTGCTCCTGCCATTGCCACTTCCCTAGTCCCACGACTGCTAAACCTGCTGGCAGGAATATGACATCTGACTCCAAATCTATTTCAGCAGCAGCTGCCTGCAATGAAGTATATGTCTACCCATCCTCAGAGGTTGCTTTTGCAGGTTTGCAATGTCTTCTTCTGCCACTGCCTCTGCTAACACAGCCTCATGCGCATGGCAGCTTCCACCCTGGGGTCCCCAAGCCTCTTGACAAAGTGCTTTCCCAAACCACTCTGGTTCCCTGGGCCATGTCCCTTTTCCACAAGTCTTCAACAGTAAGGATAGGGTTATTGTGAAAGGAAATCACTGCTTTCCTGAGAGACAGGCCCTTCTGGTTCTCTTAATTATAATTCTTTACTTGCAATATGCATAGGCTGCTATTTAAATAAACAATGAGGGATTTGAAACAGAGAAACTATGAAAATGAAATTGCTTTAATTTACATCCCGAGAGACTGAGGCTATAGAGTTTTCTGAATGCTAAATAAAATAAATAAAAACTTAAATAAGTGTCAAGTTGGAGGTAGCCTATGAGTTATAAAAAGGGACAAAGGAGAAAGGTGTGGTCCATGACAAACCCTGAGGTCCCACGCTGCCCTGAGAAATACAGAGCCACTGCACTGGGGCTATCATCCCTTTCTGGAAACAACCAGGAAAGGAGGTGAAAATGCCATGGCTTATGCCACCTGAAAACTATGAGTTTGAGCCAGGTGATTGAGACTTTTCATGTGGGATTTGTACCTAGCAGGGTGGTCAGAGGAAGCTGTGTGCCAGCTGGCAAGACCAGCCAAGAGACAACGGGACAATTTGGCGGGGGGGGGGGGGGGGCCTTTCCTCAGTCTTCTTCGTCAAGACTCAGGTAACACAAAGAGAGGTCAGGTTTTGCTGCAGCAAATGCAAGAATATGAGCGGATTGGGTTTTGCTGCTGGAGAGTATTGCTGAAAACAAAAAAAACAGTCTACGGAAATGTCAGGAATCGACTTTGCAAGGCTGCAGAGGACCATATGAATTGATGCACACACAAACACATACACATAGGTTTGCTTCGTATATGGGGTTAAAAAGGCCCTAAGGATTCCAAGAGATAAAGCAGAGGACAGGTTAAAGGATGGGCATTAATAAGCCAGGAGGAGGAGTTGAGAAGGAGTTGAGAAGTGACTTTATCATCCTCTTGCCGCAGACTTTATAAACGTGATCACATCTCACATCTCCGCCTCACGATATTTTCCCAATTGACAGGAGACGAAACTGAGACTTAAATAGTGTTTCTAATTACACAAGTTGGATATAATGATAGTGGGACAAAGACGCAAACTAAGGTCATCCTCCTCCAACTCCAATTGCTAAAGAAGGAACCCAAAGATCATTTTTGTTTGTCTACAGCTTACAAATGTATGGCCCAGCTGACCCAGGGACTCCTCGTATGTCCTCAGCTTGCAATCATGCTAGCTCTATCTTTGTTTCATCTCTACTCCTTTCTGATTCTCTTTGTGTATCAGTCTCTCTCTCTCTCTCTCTCTTTTTTTTTTTAACTACAACAGGCAGTTTTCCTCTGTTGTACGCTGGGAAGATGCTGCCAAGCAGCAGGATCACCAGCTTAGCTGTGTGTGGTGAAGTTATGCAAATACCTCCCCCTGTCAACTGTGGCAGCAAAGTCCCCGGAAGGACTTGGACTGTCCTGGTTTGATATATGCTCATTCCCCCATCATGCACTGTGGCCGGGAATCAGGAACTGTGACTGGTCTGACCTGGGTCATGTGCCCACCTCTGGCTGGTAGGAATGGTTTTGATTTTGTGATCAATCCTGAAGAGGAAGACAGGTGCATGGCAAAGGAAAATGGGATAGTACAAGGGTGATGGGGGAAAATGCTGGGCAGACAAAACTGTCAGTTAGGACAATAAAATATCAGTATCAAGGCCAGGGATGGTGGTTCAAGCCTATAATCCCAGCACTTTGGGAGGCCGAGGTGGCTGGATTGCTTGAGGCCAGGAGTTTAAGACCAGTCTGGGCAATATAATGAAATCCCATCTATACACATAAAAAAAAAATCAGGATCAAGTGATCCTCAAAAGAATCAGGATACACTCCAGGGGAGCAAGGTAGGGTGGGGAGGGCAATGACACCTGGTTTGGCACAAACTCCCAGTGGGTCCCAAATATTCGTTGTCATTTCTTCCTTGGCTAAAGAGCTTTTGTATTTGCCTAGACACATTGGTGCTAGGACTGAAGGCTGTACTTTCCAGCCTCCCTGGCAGCTATCTGTGCTCAAGCAACTAAATCACCACCACTGGGAGAGAAGCAGTAGTGTTGGGTGGGGCTTCTTAGAAAGCTCTTCAAAAGGGAAGAAGTTAGTTCCCTCTCCACCTTTTCGTTTTCATGCTGCCTGGTCATTCTGGGCAGCGAGTTATCATGAAGATAGAAGCAATGTCACAAAGCAGAAAGAGAAAAGGAGCCCGGATCATCGATGACGGTGGAGTGGCCACCCCAGCCCAGGGCCAGAAAACAACTTATTTTCTGTTGTTTTATGTGGAAGAATTTACCACCATGTTTGGGTCCTTGTTAGCAGCAGCGAAATGCAATTCCTAATTTACACACCTAGGCTCTGATCCAGGCCTGCCAAAATATGCCAGGCCTTGTCTTCCAGCTCTGGCTCTAAGAAATAAAAAGAAGCAACCCCACTGAGGCTTCTTCCTCCTTCTCTTTGCCTCCTGATTCTTGTCTTCTTCCTCTTGCTTCATACACCTGATTCTCTGCGAGTCCAGGGGCTTGAGGAATAACTCTGCGTCCTATGGAATGTTTCCATTCTCATCACACTTACAATCTGCATGCTTGTGTATGTTCTTATGGTTGTAATTTAATACAGGAACTTCTGAGAAATGGTGTTCAATTCAATATCATTAAGTGACTGCTTGAATGTTTATTTGTTATCATGCTAGCCTTGCCAAAATTCCACATCTTGGCAGAAGACACATATGTCCTATTTAGTGAAATAGAATCTGACCTCTAAAAAGTGACACAGTAAAAACAAACAAACAAAAAATAAAACAAAAACACATCCGCTTTGCAAAAAGCTTCTTTGCCTAGCAGACCTTTTTTGTACCATGCTGTTCTTTATTTTCACATATGCACATCATATATTGTAATACGAAATGGATATTGACTGCAGCTGAGGTGAATATCCACACGTATTGACCTCAGAGGTAAATATTGACTGAGACAAAGGTAAAATCGATGCTTACCTTGAGGGATAATCAATCTGGATATCTATTGAAATAAGAAGTCAATAGGCGCATTGTTAGGAACACTGGTGGTTATGGTCGCTTGAGCGCATCTGTACAGAGAGTGGTCAGTGGTGGTTTTCTGGAAAACTAGAGGCAGTGGTGGTAGCTCACAGAGGCTGCACTGAGTACCTTTTCTCTAGTTACATCTTCTTTGAGTTTTGTCACCAGCTACCACTGCACTAGAATAACCCCAGGCCACCCTGTCCAGTGAAGCAGTCCAGCCTCCACCTTCAGAGAGCAGTTACTCAATCAGGTACTTTAGTTATCTCAGTCTTTTCTCCCTGTAACAGGAAACACAAACTGATATGGTTATGCTCATTTTAGAGCTTGGTCAGCTGAGACTCAGAGAACTCAAGCAACTCGTCTAAGGTTACAGAGAAGATAAATGATGGTAACCTAAATCCAAAACCCATTTGCCTGATGTTAACATTGTTATCTGTCTACCACCCCACAGTCTCTTAATGAGGACTATAAAGTGAGGCTCCATGTAATAGAGATACATGAGAGGGAAGAGGGGATGCAGAGAGTGGAAAGTGTGAGGGAAGGTCTACGTGCTGGCCACTGGAGACAGTTGTGTACTGGGCTGTTACTCTTCCATGGCCTAAACACCCAATCCTGGTGGTCCCAGATGCTTCATTTGAGGCTATGTAAATTTGATACAGTTCTGGTCAAGGAGATGTCAGCCTAAGTGTGTTGAGGGGCTTTGGGGAAAGGTTCCCTTGTTCCCAAGAGGTACATATAGGAAGAGAAGGTGCTTTGTTCTCTAGCAATAGGCTATCTGGTTATAATGTCTGGAAGTGCTAAAACCATCTTGAAAAAGGGAGAAAGGGGGGTGAAACTGAGGGAAAAGCTGACAGACAATCTCAGAGAAGCAGAACCACATCATGGCATGTCACCTCTCACCACCTGACTTCTGTACTTCAGACTAGGGCAGATAACACATTTTCATACTGGTGGAGCCACCGTGAGTTGAGCGCCTTGTACGTGTACCCCAGAGCATCTCAACCAAATGAGGAGGTGCCATATTACTCCTCCATACGTGTGCAGAAACTCAGATTTAGAAATGCACAGTGTCCTTTGTAGCAGCTGGTGTTGTCTAAACGCTGGAGTCTGAGCTCTTAACAACTCCTCTGCAACCATCCCAGGCACACCTCCCATTTGAGGCTTACACCATGATCTGCTAGAAATTAGGTCTTGCAAATGAAGCCCATTAGACCTGGCACTGATCCCATCTACCCGACCTTGCAACTCCTTCACGTCAACAACGTAGAGATGTGCCTTCTCAATACTTACTCTCTCCAAAGGCTTTAAATTTCTAAACTGTTTTACTGAGTTACAAGACATTTCCATCTGCCTTAACACACAAACTGCAGGAGAACTTGGTTATGTCTCCTCAACACCTAGTGTTAACAAGTATCAAGAAATACACTTTGTGTTTTCAATGTTTCTTGTCTAATCTGCTCCCTAAAAACCTTTCCCTCTTCCCCAACTGGGAAAATCCTATTTATTTATCAGTGAGCAGCTCAAATAATATTAGAGTTGAAGGGTTCTTCCCGCACCCTTCTTGACCATTGCCACCATCTTGGATCTGTCTTCCTTAATACTATAACACTTTCAGATTCCTCTTAGAATATTCAACACACTTGCTTCCACCAAATAAGGACACAGCAACGTGGTGCCTTTTTGAAGGATAGAAAGCAGCCCTCACCAGACACCAAGCCTGTCTGCATCTTGATCTTGAATTTTCCAGCCTCTAGAACCACGAGAAATAAATTTCTATTTATAATTTTTTTATTTCTATCTATAATAAACAGAGAGAGAGAGAGAGACTGAATGCCTAATATCTATCAGACATGGCAAGCTATTTTCCTATCCTATATGTGTTTCTCTCCTTAAGGATAGGCATCATAGCTTATTGACTTCTATAATCCTAGGACTTATCACAGTGCGTGACACGTAAGAAGCAACACAAAATTTGTTGAGTGACCATAGCCTTCAGGTAAACTAGAAGATAACCTGTCACTAATCATGAAATGTTCTTGGGAAATTCCAACAAATGCCAACTCCCTAAGTAAAGACCCTCTTCCCCTGGAGTTTTCCATTTTTCCCCCCTTGCAGCTAAGAAGTAGCATCATAGTTAATGGTCCACATGTTATTCTACAGAAGGGAGAAAAAAGGGGGAAAAAGCCAGCAGAGAGATGACCAACCTATTAAATGAGAAGAAACCAAAAGAAGGTAAACAGTCGCACACTGTAAGCTACAGTTTTACCTTCACAAGTCTTTATTTTTAGATGCAATCCAGGTATTTTATCACCCAATTATGGGCTATCTTTATGCCTTTACCGGAAACTACTTGCTTAAGCAACCACTTCTCTACTGTAACTTAACCAAGGGCCCTTGCAAGGAGTTCATTAGGGAGGCGCTGAAGAGTTGCAGGTTCTGCCAAGGTGGACTCTTGAGTGCCATGGGCAGGGAGGCTGAGATGATGAGGAAAAGAGTGGCAGGACAGAACTGCCAGCCACATAAAGCTAGTGAAAGAAGGCATCAGCCCCCTTCAAGACAACCTCTGCGGATACCAACAAGGTAGAAATGACTGTCAATAAAATCACAACTAGATGAATCAGGTAACCTGGCTGGCATGTGTCCCCCCATCAAGGAGGACTAATACAGAATGGACTAAATATTCTTCATTTGTGCTTTTCTATTTTGTTTTGCTTTGCTTTTCCTCTATCCTTCTCCCTCTGTTCCCTCCTGAGCACTTACCGCAATAAGAAACTCTAAAAAATAACAAACAACACTCCATATGCTCCCCGGATCCCAACAGAAATACTAGACTCAACCCTGCCAAAACTTGAGAGCTAAAATACAATTGGTTGAGGGAGAAACAAGTACAACAGTGGGAGAATCTACAGGTAACTGATAAGGTCTTAATAAGGAGGTTGGTGCAGATGAAAGAGATGTCTCATTTACTTCTATGATGGCCACATTCCCAGCAAGAGGCTTTGGAGAGTGGCTGCTAAACAGTAGAGATAAGAAACAAAGGAGGGAACTGCCACTTCTTCCTGAGAAGTTCCTCCTCCTCCTCTTCTTCTATCAACACTATCACTACCACCCCATCACCACTACCACCACCCTGGGTAAACCTGCACCTCTCCACAGAGACCACTCTGGGTTCAGCTCCTAATGCCAAAAAGCATATGCTAAGTGTTTGGTACATAGTAGCTGCTCAATAAAGTGATGCTACGTCAATAAGTGACATACTCTTAGCAGATGTTAAAGGCATTAAGAGGCACCTAGGACACCTCAGCAGGAAAGAACACTCAACAAGAACTCAAGTGACTCAATGACCTCACTTTCTCTGAGCCTCAGTATCCTCATGTACAAAAAATAGACTAACTGGTCCTCCAGGCAGCTTCTGCAAGCTCTGTGATTATAGTATTTCATTCCTCTTCATGACCTGCTACAAGAAACTTGTGAGGCCACTACAAAAATAACTTTCAGAGCCCAAACAGGGCAGATTTTTGCTGCTGAACAAGAACTTCCTGAGAGCAAGCCTCATCTGAGTACAGAGTAGCCCCATCCTGGCCCCCCAAGATATAAATCAATATTTCACCAAAGGCAGCCTCAATAAATCAGGCTGGGAATTAAATGCAATAGCCAGATTATCCATTATCCGCACCCAAAACCTATGAGTCTGGTCTCCTTCTGTTTGCCAACTGCAAGAACCTGTTCAAGTTTGAGGCTATTGTCATCTACAGAGTATTTCAAGAGCTTCACCTGGAGCAATGGAGCCACCCAGGGGAAACTTCACCATTTATCCAATTAGCTTGCCAATACTAACCCCCTCTCTGCACCTGTGCAAGGCCCGCCAGCAGGAAGGCAAGGGTTAGGGCCACAAAGCAGGGCTGTGACCACCACCCAGGGAGCAGATACAGCTTCATAATGCTGAACTGAATTGCAGGTCACATTTGTATCTTATCTATTTGCCACAACTACAAAAGACCAGGTGAAGTCCCTTGTAACCACTGCCATCATTTCCAATGGGGAGGCCCGCTTGATTTACATAACCATAAGTAAACATGCAGAAAAAGGATGTCACTTAGGAAACTTAATGTTTCCTGACAGCAAGGAATTGGCATTCACTGGGACATTTTGCACAATTACCAGGAAAAAGTCCTGGCCTAAGGATCATATAACAGATCAAGACAGTATTAGCTGGCCAACAAATGTCTATATCCAGCTCCACAAAAAGCAAGGTGAAGGCCACAGTCAAGCCATCAAGCACCTCCCTATCTGGGTCACTTCACTCCCTCCACTCCCCACACCCAATTCCTCAAAATGTCCTATGGATCCAACACCAAAGAAAGTGACATTTCTTCTCATCAACATCTCTGTTTACGGTAATCAGGGGAGGGCAGTGAGCGAATCTCAGGACACCAAGTGATCGCTTGTTTTCAGGATAATCAATAAGACACTTATCTTGAAAGATTCATGCACGTTTGGAATCAATTATGAATGGGATGATGATAAAAATCTGTAAGAGAGTTGCTGAATTGTTTCTTTTTATTATTCTTATCAGAGTTATGCTCCCTTTGGTTGCTTTCTCTGAAATTTTATTTTAAAAATGTAAAGAATACTAACTGGGCCTCACGCAGTGGCTCACACCTGTAATCCCAATACTGTGGGAGGCCAAGATGGGAGGATTGCTTGAGCCCAGTACAAGACAAGCCTGGGCAACATAGAGAGACTCTGTTTCTACAAAAAAAAAAAAAAAAAAAAAAAGTTAGCCAGGCATGGTGGCATCTGCTTGTGGTTCCAGCCACTCAAGAGGCTGAGGTAAGAGGATAGGTTGAGCCTGGGAGGTCAAGGCTACAGTGGGCTGTGATCACGCCACTGCACTCCAGCCTGGGCAACAGGGTGAGGCTTTATCTCTAAAAAAGGAACACTAACTAAATCATGCCATTATCAAATAGATTGCCTCATGAATTAGTAGAGGTTTTCAAATTCAGATGCTATAGAATCTTGGCATATCTTGTAGGGTTAAGAAAAGTGGGAGAAGGGATTTTTCCATTGGGGATATGAAGGCATGCAACATGGTACACAGTCATAATGGCATGATTTTTGGACTTAAACAAACCTGAGTCTGAAATTATAGACCCATCAATTATACATAGATGATACTGGGCACATTACTTAACCTTCCTGAATCAAAATTCCTCTATGTCAAAGAATAATGGCATTTTCACCATAAGGGCTATGATAAAGATGAAATGAGATTATGTGAAAGATTTAGCAAAATCCTACACATTCAACAGGCACTTAATAAATGCTCATTATTTTTAATATTAAAATTGTGACTTGGTTACATTGAGCAAGTTTCTTAATCTGAGTCACCATTTTCTCGTTTCTAAAATGGAGATAACAAGCGTATTGCAAGGTTGTTGGAGAATTCAATTAGACAATGAGTAAAACAGCATCTAATACAGCAACTGGCAGGTGGTAGGTACAGAGGATGACAAATAGAATTCAAGTAGAAAAACAAAACTAAAGGAGAAGAAATCTGGCCTTACCTCCCCATTTTGCCAGGAAGGAAACTGAGACATGGAGAGGTTTGTCTAGCCTCAGGTTACCTAGAGTAATTATTTCATGGCGTCCTGGCACCAAACCTCTTTCTTTTTAAAGGCAGAATCTTGCTCTGTCACCCAGGCTGAAATGCAGTGGCATGATCTTGGCTCAATGCAACTTCCAATTCTGAATTTTTAATTAAATGTTTCTTTTTTCTTAAGAAACAGGGTCTCGCTATGTTGCCCAGGCTAGTCTTGAACTCCGGGGCTCAAACAATCCTCCCACCTCAGCCTCCCAAAGTGTTGGGATTACAGGTATAAGCCATCACACCTGGCCTAATTTTGTTTGTCTGTTTGTTTGTTGTTGTTGTTTTTTGGTAGAGATGACATCTTGCTATATTGCCCAGGCTGGTCTCTAACCTCCTGGGCTCAAGGGATCCCCGAGTCTCGGCCTCCAAAACTGCTGGGATTATAGAAACGAGCCACCACGCTGATCACCAAACCTCTGAAGGGAAGGAAGATGCGCAGCTTGGAAGAGAGAACAAGACAATAAAAGATTCCAGAAGGTGAGTTCTAATATAAAGGCCACAGAATCAGGCCAAGGAGCACCATGATACGGGAATCTGCCCCCTGCCTTGGGGTTGCAGGGGAAGGGACCAGAACCAGGCCTCTGTGGAGAAGCCAAGCACAAATTAGGCAAAAAAACAAAAAAAACAAAAAAAAACAAAAAAAAAAACCCAAAACAAAACAAAAGAAAAAACAACAGCAACAACAAACGGATTGTGCTGCGAAGTGACTTGAGAAGGAGTGCTGGCTGAGTCAAGAGGTCCTGGTGGAGCCACTATAAGGTGGAAGCGAGGAGAAAACCACAATACCGAGGGACCCTCTGGGGATCCTGGGGTTTGCTAAATTAACCCCAAGTACTTTGGCCAGTGAAAGTTGAGTTGGGGGCCCATCAGTGAATCCAGCTTTTGGGAGGTGGTCAAAGGCTGTAAGAGTCAACCCCACAAGTAAGTGGCCGATCCCCAAAGATAAAGAATGCTAACGAATTTCCAGCCTCCTGGGGCTGGCAGCCAGGGTGATGGTCTCCATTCGACCTAAGATCCTACCTCAGGGAGAACTGCTGCCAAGGCCTGGTCTTCTCTTGGCCCTAAATAGATCAACATTCAGCCTGAGTTTGCAGATTACATTTTATGGGCCACACCATTTAAGCTGTCCTGTGGTCAGAAATAGCCCGGGGGTGGTCAGAACCACAGCCTTGTACATCTGACGCTGAATTTAGTTCACACGGACATGGCTAAAGAATTTCTTTTTAGGTTCAGGTTTTGAGTAAAAGATCCGTAACTGCCTTTGAACAGGCCAGGGGTGGAGGCCTCAGCTGAATAGGGAATTAGGTCAAGCGGTCATCTCGGCCTTTCTGCCTCTTTGGCACCCAACCCTCAGGCACCTCAGTTGTTGGGAAAACCCACTGTGTGCTTTGACCGAGGCGGGAGAAAAATTCTGTCAATGAATGGGAAATTCTCTCAAATGTTTTGAGATATTGCTTACACGCACCGACGTGCACAAATATTAAGCATATAGCTTGAACTTTTACACGTGCACACGGCCAAGTGATCACATCACCAGATGAATGGAAAATTTCCAGCATACCACAAGGCTCCTTCCTGCCCCTTTAAGATCACCACCCCCTGGTAAGCTAACTGCTATTCTGACTTCTCTCACATGGAAAATTCCTGCCTGCTTTTCACGTTTACACAAGTGGTATCATAGAACAGAATATGTCCTCTGGTAACAGTCTGTCTTCTTTCACTCAACAGCATGCCTAACACTCAAACTTTAAAAGGTATATATTAAAATAACACCTCAGTTCACTTATAATGGGCTCCCGTTATATGCCGGGCTTAGAACAGTCCTTGTCTTTAATCCTCACAGCAAACTCAGCACATGGGAATTACTGTTTCAGTTTTACTCATGACAAAATGTAAGCTAAGAGATTAAGCGACGTGTTGCGAAATCCCAAGCCTGGAAAGTCACATCTTGGGGTTATGGATTCAAGTGCTTGGTCTCCAAAATGCAAACACCTTCATCTTGGCCAATTTGACCATCTTTGACTCATGACTCCATGGTTGGGAATAACTGATGTAAAGCACTTCTTACAATGTTTTACATAACTGTATATGGCAATAAATACTAGCTATGGTGATGGTGATGACAATGATTATGCCAGGCCTTGTGTTAGTCTTAGAGAAGGAGAAATGATCAAGACAGACGTGGTCCTAGATCTCATGGATCTTACAGTCCAGTGTGGAAGACATAAACCAAACACACAAATAACTTTATAATTACACACTGTGATCACAAAAAGAAGGGACAGGTTGATCTGGGCCACACTGAATGGTAAAGCTTAGACAACATTTCTGCAACAGCATTTTCCTTCTTGAAGTGTTTGGGAGCAAGGAGGCTGGGGACCTTCAGCAATGTCACATAGCAGTTTTGTGAGGATGCCTAAAATATTCCCCCAAACAGGTATGCAACACTAACCAGCTTTGCTCGAATAAAGCTCTTCACCTGAGAGGCTCAATTACATCTGCAGTGGACTCTTTCAGAAAGAGCATTTAAAAGGCAGCTTCGCCCTTGGCTCCTGATTTTCCATGTCAAAAGCACTTAACTCAAAACCCTCTAGATTACCAACTCCACATCAGGGCACGGGTTCCTGGGCCAAGCAACCCCCCCAACCCGCTGCCTGATGGCTTGACATTGAAAGCAGCTGCATTATCATTATGTTATCACTGGGTCAATCCCAGCTTGGGAAGATGAATGGGGGACCCTGACATTTCAAGGCCTCCTCTCAAGGAATTGCTGCCAAGTGCATCTTCCCACAAAACCTACAATCCCACATTACATTTTATGACCTGGGATGCTTTTCAGAGAAAAGAGAAAAAGAATTCTTCTTAATGGAGCCATTAAGACATGATTCTAAATTCCTTTGAAGATACCACAGTGGCATCTCATCTTACACTTGAGTAGGTAAGGTTCTAGAATGGGTACATGAAGCAAATCTGAGTACTGTCAGAATTACTCTGGAAGTGCCAACATTTCCTTTGGAGCCAGTTGTACCCTCACTCTAAGGAGGGCCAAGAGAATCAGTTGTTCCTTCAGCACTGCTTTGGCCCTGGTTCTTTGGTTGAACCATGGGATAGAGCAGCCTCCTGAGTTTCAGGAACACACATCTTTAAAGACTTTGCATTACAAGACACCCCAATTAAGAGACTCACAAGGACAAAGGCTTCGAAAACAAAAGATTCACTTCTCCTAACTCCCATCTTCTTCAAGAGCTCTGCTCGGAGAAGGGAATGGAGAAATCATCTTCACTCTGTGAATTCCTAGGTCTCTTGCATGAAGTTGAGCTTAAGAAGATTAAACGCGCATTTGACAACATGCACTCTGTCATGAGACTGTGATGCCCCAAGAACAAGGCACTTCTTTTCATCATTTCTTGTCCCCAAAATTAGCAGAGCTCTGGTTCCCATAGGAGGTTCCCGGTACATCACTAGAAGGGCCTCTTGTAACTGACATAAGACATACCAGGTCTTCAGGGCATTTTGCAATCAAAGGGTGGAATAAGGACCCCTGATGGAAGTAGCTGGGAGCCACAGTTTGGCTCAAATTGATGAAGACTTTTCTAACAACCCTATGCATAACAAGTTTACTGTTAAGCAGGGGTCATCAGTCACCCACCAGGAATGACTAAGCGGAGATAGAGGTATCGGGCTAAGGTTGGACCAATCAACCACCAATAGACTGATGACAGTTTTGTAAAGGTGTCATTGATCAACATATAATTAGAAACACAAGGATTGCACATAACGTCTTAATTCTGTGCAAAATGCATCCGAATTTTTAAACTGTCATCATACACCAAAAGAGAATGTAGGCAAGCCAATCAACGTCAGGTCATATAAAAAATATAATTTTTGAAAAACTAAATCTCTACATTTAAGAAAAATTGATACTCCCACTTTGTAAGAAATACTCATTGAAGCCACATTCTTGTCTAAATTAATACAATTAACATTTTTATCTATATTCAACAGTAACCTCAGATGACAAGCGTAACATAATCCAACAGCAATTGCTATCAAAAGTATAGATCTTACTTGATTTTTACCTTCACCTGACACACTTTGGCCATGTATTGACCACTTAGGAACATTCTTCTGGCCGTAAATCCAATCAATAATTCACTTGTGCTGAACATATAACTGTACATTTTCTGCTCGTATAAACCCATAGATAATGAGTGCCGATTATAGAGCAGAGAAACCAAAGATGCTTCTGCACCCAGCGTTCCTTCTCAGAGGACTAACCTGAAAATGATCTTTGCCTTGTCTACAAACGAAATATTTAAAACAATGTTTTGATGCCCCAAGTTATACCTGACATATTTGTCAATTTTCACAGATGCTAGGAGTGATTAGATTTGGGGGTCAGATACTTTAAGGTCATCTCGAGACCACACATTTTAATTTCAAATAGAGGATGACAAACCCGATAAGCAAAACTTTATGAAATAAAAGGATATGAAATCAACTTACACTACTAGTTGGTATGGGGAAAACTTTTGTATTAAGTCCTGTCATCTAAAGGTAGGGAACCTGGTGTTACAAGAGATAATTTTCCTGACAAATAACCTTGGTAAGTTAAGGCACCTAAAAAATGTACTGGTATAAACTACTTCAATCTATGGGTAGCATTTATTCCCAATGAAAAGGGGCCCACGGGAAAGAGACTTTGATTCCATGTTTCAGTGCATTTACTGGTTAAAAAAAACATTCCTAGAGGTTCACAATAAATCTAAAAAGATCATTACCATTAACGTGTAAGACGACAAGACTAGCACGTTGGCAGTCACAACTTCAAAGGGTTAAACTATAAAGACAATGAGATGGCCTAGAAGTGCTTTAAAACTCAATTAAAATAAAACCAGTTCCTGTTAGTTTTTCCAACCCAGATTTAAGGCTCATTCTGTATTATCTATTCATATGAAAAAGGGTACAGCAATTGAATTTTGAATTATGCTAACCCATTTTCTCAGCTATAGAAAAGGTTGGCTTCCAGCCCAATGAATACAATAGCCACATGCTCAAGACCCTTAATTATCTAATTAATGTAGTGTCATTTTAGCAATTAGTTCAAAGGACCATATGTAACTTTTTCCTTTATAAGATCAGAATTGTAAATATTTTTAAAACACTTGTTATACGGTGTCATGTCCTGCGCATTAAGGATATACAACAATGATTAAGAACAGAAAATAACCAAGAAAGCTCTTAGATTAAAAAAAAAATCAACCACTCTAATAAGGCTGATGGCTGATTTTCATATGATTAAAGTCATTTAATAAGTTCACAGATATACTTTTTTGTTGTTCCTTTTCAATAGATTACTCTTTGCGAAGGGTTCACAGATATCCTTTAGCTGGCTACTAAATTAGACTTATGACCAGAAATTACCACCTGGGTGGGCAGACACTACCAAAGAAAATTAGAAGGCATGTCTGAGGTGAAAGAGGCATAGGTGTTGAGAAGAATTCATTCTAATGAAGGCCATCATACATGGCATTATTAAATGAAGAATAATTAGCAGACTTCTCACAGAAGACTAATCTTTGTCGCCATTTTCTCACCACTGCAGTATTCGTGGAGCTGAATTTTAACTTCAAATTTTTCATATACTCTGCAAACAAGATAGTGTTACAAAAGTTGTTTCTATAATTTACTAATACCAGAGTTGTTGGATTGTAAAGGTAATGTAGAGAAGTGTGCTTACGATAAAGAAATCCTTTCTGTGTCTTTTGTTCAGGCCTTGCATTTGGCAATTTGTTCGTGATGGGACTGCTTATAAATGCCTCTGGGCATCTGCCAGGAGTCCTTGTTTTTGATGAAAGACTCAGCTCCACAACAAGGTTATTTACCTGGAATCACAGAGGCAATCAATCTGTAATTGGTGCTCAGCATTGACTGAAATCCTCTGTTGGAGGCCAGGTGCAGTGGCTCACACCGGATATTCCAATACTTTGGGAGGCCGAGGAAGGTGCAATACTGTACTGCAGGAGTTTGAGGTCAGCCTGGGCAACATAGTGAGACCCCATCTCTACTAAAAATACAAAAGCTAGCCGGGCATGCTGGCACACACCTATAGTCCCACCTACTCAAGAGGCTGAGGCAGGAGAATCACTTGAACTTGGGAGGTGGAGGTTGCAGTGAGCCGAGATTGCACCACTGCACTCCAGCCTGGGTGACAGAGCAAGACTCGGTCTCAAAAAAAAAAAAAAAATTTCCTCTGTCAAAGAAAACAGCAAACATGGCCCTTGCTTTCAATAGGCTTTGAGAAAAGCAGGAATGTGCACAAAGAAGAGCAAGCGCCTTAAACGCTGGCATGACTCAGAAGACTCCCTCACAGCCACCTGCATTTTAACATTCAGAACAGAAGTCGATGGCTCGGAGTGAAATGCAGAGACACTTTGCTTGGGTTCCAGTGAGTCTTCGAGGCAGCCTCATTTCAGAAGAAGAGACATTTCCCAAGCACCATCATGTTCCAGGTATCACCGTAGGAGATTTAAAGATATTATCTCCTCATTTCTCACAACTACCTAGCAAGGCAGATGATATTTGTTTTCTCTAAAGAAAGAAGAAGTGAAAACACACATAGTTCTTATCCCACTTCTCCGTCGGTAATGTGATAGAGACAGAGATGATCTCTTACATTTCCTCAACTTTCCCACTCCAAAACCTTGAAGTACAGGAGTTTCCTGGCTTCTGTTTCTTAATTAGAAAGCCACTTCCGCAGTCTCTGGCGCACCACAGCACCTCACCTAGCATCCTTCTCTCTCGCCAGCCTCATCTCATGTTGTTTCCTACCCCCTGGTTTATATTCACTTAAGAGGAACTCACGCTCCTCCCCTCCCATGATCCTTCAGCCTGAGTACCCTTCCTCAGTTTGCCTGGTGAACTCAGTTTACCCTTCAATTTGGCTCAGACATCTCTTCGCCTTTGGAGCCTGCCCTGCCTCCCTGTCTCACTCTTATTCCATATCACTCACACCGTCGACATATGCTGTCACACTCTACTGCAATTTAAGTACTTATCTCCTTGACGAAACTGTGACGTAATAACAAAGCAAAACCTGCCTTTTCATCCCTGGTAGTTAGTAAAGTAACACCCACAAATAGGGACTTCCTAATTATTGCTGAATCATTAAAGTGATTTTTAACACCCACAATAACTAGAAACAGAAAAACACAGCCAAAGACGAGAGACCAAACATGATGAAGTGGCTGACAAGAAAAAACAAACAAACAAAAACCTACGAAAAGGGCAAAGGAAAAAAATGCCTAAGATGTATAATGTAATACTAATGTTACTGCCTCTTTTGTGGTGGTGGTTTCTGAAAAGCAAGAAAGTTCATAAGTAATATCAACAATCAACAAAGCTACAACAGCATTACAGGTAATATTTGTTTGTAGAGATGCACCTTTCCCATTAACCTGTTCACAGACAGATGTTCTGTAGCATGTAACACATGTTCCAAATGTCAGGGATGCAATTCTGGAAGCCGCGCAGGAAACCGTGCTTTCAGAAAACCATGCGGTTGTATTCATTTCCATTTACTTGTTATGTTGATGCATCATATTGATCTTTTTCCAAATGACCCATAGCTGGCAATAAATTTATTTCAAACACTGCATAACAACTGCCTATGTATCTGTCTTTTTAAATTTGGTGTGTGCGTGTGTGTATGTTTGTGTGTATAATATATAATTTTCGCCAGCCGCGGTGGCTCACGCCTGTAATCCCAGCACTTTGGGAGGCCAAGGCAGGTGAATCACGAGGCCAGGAGATTGAGACCATCCTGATAACATGGTGAAACCCTGTCTCTATTAAAAATACATAAAATTAGCCAGGCATGGTGGTGGGCGCCTATAGTGCCAGCTACTCAGGAGGCTGAGGCAGGAGAATGGCGTGAACCCGGGAGGCGGAGCTTGCAGTGAGCCGAGATTGCGCCACTGCACTCCAGCCTGGGTGAAAGGGTGAGACTCCGACCAAAAAAAAAAAAAAAAAAAAAAAATATATATATATATATATATATATATATATAAAATTTGGTATGCACATATATTTGTATATAAACATAAAATTGAAAGGCAAGAGACTAATCCAGTGGTATGAGATTATTTTTAATTGTCAAAAAGGCAAAAAAGCATCAACAACAGCTTAATTAGTGCATAGTGTCTTGTATTAAGATGACACAGTATCTAAGTACTTTCGGAAGCAGGTGGCTAGTGATGTTCCCCAAATATTTTATAAAGTTTATACAAGAACAATGGCGGTATACTTTTTTCCTCTGAAATCTGGACCTAGGTGACAAATGTTCTTGTGAAAATATTAGTGAGTCTTGGTTATCTGGAAAAACTGTGGCCACAAGGGTACAACTGATAGCAAGAAACCACCCTTGAATATATTCTGTCAAACGGAAATCCTGAAACTGAATTACCAACGGCACAAGCCCAAACAAGGTCATCTGTACATGTGCTAAACTGAAAGTCATGTCATTGACATTACCTAGCAACAGATCGTTCGCAAAGTGGCACCTTCCGCAAGACTGCTAGGAAGATGTGGTCAAATAGAGTGTCAACACACTGTCTCCCAGAGCTATGAATTGGGGAATTGTCCAGAAGGTCTTTGAGAAGGTGAAAATGATGAATGTATGTAATCATCCCCATTTAAATAATTTAGGAACCAAAGCCCAGAAAGCATAAGTAAATTGTTCATCGTCCCAAAGCTAGGAAGTGGAATGGTTTGGACTTGAACTCTAGCTGGCTTGGCTCAAAATTAGGGCATCATACCCAGGGCTGCATGAACTTCCTTCCTGGTGAATTCAAGGTTGCATGAAAGGTGAGCCAGCTAAATGATTTGCTCGTGGTCAGGGCACCCTTTACTCATGGCCGCAGTGCTGGAATTTAGGGGACAAATGCTCAGTTTTAAAAGCTCTGTTCTGAAGAAAGCTAAAAATCTGAACAAGGTTTTAAACATATATTTGCCCTGCACCACCACCAAATACAACAAACTGGACAGAAAGTCTGTTCAGCAAATATTCATTTTCCATCCTCTCACCTCCTTGTAAGGCATACAATTTCCCTTCTGAAGCTGGGCTTGGTTATGTAACTGACTTTAGCCAATCAAAGTGATGGGATGTGTTAAGTTTCAGCCCAACCCTATGAGACACTGGTGACTAATTTACACCAAGAGAAGAATGTTCCCCAATTCATGACTCAACTTTCAACCTGAGCTATAGAATGAGATGGGTGAAATGGGGCTACCTATAAACTAATCACTGAATTTTGGGGTGATTTGTTCTGCAGCAATAGCTAACTAATTACATGGAGTGAAGATGGGATGAAAAATAAAATGGTCAAGATATATAAAAGTGAGCAGATGGTAGTGTGGGGATGGCAAAGAAATGTTAGCCTTAGAAGGAATCTTGAGAAAGGATTAAGATACCCAAGGCAGCATTTATTTTAAGGGACAGGGTCTTGTTGTGTTGCCTAGGCTGAAGTGCAGTGGCACAATCATAGCTCATTGCAGTCTGAATCTTCTGGGCTTAAGAAATATCCCCCTTTAGCCTCTTGAGTAGCTGGGACTACACCTATGAGCCATCATGCCCAGCTAATATTTTTATGTGAGTAGAGACAGGGTCTCACTATAGTGCCCAGGCTGGTCACAAACTTCTGGCCTCAAGTGATGCTCCTGCCTGGGCCATCCAATGTGCTAGGATTATAGGCATGAGGTACCAGGCCTCAAAGCAGCATTTTTATGTGGTCACTGCTTTCATGGTTGTGCAGCTTCACCACTTAAGGAAACCGAAATGGAAAAACATCAGCCTCATGAAGAATGAAGGATCCAAGCCCAACGCCTCCAGACAAGGAAAGTGTGCAAAAGGAACAAAGAGAAAACACATCATAGCTCTATGCTAAACCAAGCTATGTCTTTTGGGAGGTGAACTTCAATTATGAAGTATAAATTTTGAATAAAAGAAAGAAAGCTGGACATTTTGTGAGTTCTGAAAAATCACAGATGCATTATTTGTTGTAGAAAAGTTGGTGAAACATAGAAGAACTGGAAGGAAGCCTATTTAAAAGATACCTCAAGATTATGGTGATTACTTCTTCCCTTTCAAATGCATAGCATATTGAAGTTTCTTTTAAAAATTCATACAGGAGAGTCATTCTATGCAACGGTAAGAGGGAAACTGTCAGACAACATTCCCAATTCAATATTATATTGTGCTTCAAGAAAAGATTTCCATATATTCTAGATTAAAAAAAGCCTCATAAATAAATGATAATCCAGTACATGCTCTGAAAAATGAAAAAAATAATTTTGTGTTTGCATTTTACTCCACAGGGTAAAATTTAATCTCTCTTTTAATATAGCATGTTTTATATAAAGAGGTAAAAAGATGTAACCTTACGAAAATTGATTTTTTTACATGTTTAAAAATGTCCCATGCAGTATTTATCTAGGCATTTTCCATCTGAAAGTATAGACAGGCATTATATGTTGATAACTTCACCATGTTGGGTTAAAAGTAAATAGAGTTGTGATTTAATGAAATTTTTCTTCATAGTGCTAAAAATAATCAAGACCAAATCGTGGCTTTAGGAGGGTGTCATCCATTATTCAGGCTAGGCTTTCAAAACTGTATCATGGTCTCTAATGGCACACAGTAGGTGCTTATTAAATATGCGTCAAATGCACGACTTAAGAGAGGGCATGTGGGAGATCCAATGCCCCAGTCCAAAACAAAGCTGAAGTCACAAGATCTTAGGATGGGGTGAAATCAGACGATTTGTGCCTTCTTGTCCTCCATGCAGACATCCTTTTTGGTTTCCTGAGCATCCCTCAGGAGTTTTATAGACTAATGGGTAGGTGTAAGATTAACACCACATCCTCATCGCATCAGACAACCTGGAGATAGGGCTATTTCAGGCTAGTATCCTCTAAACAAATACGTTCTAAATACTAACTAGGAACAGTATTAGGGAGATCTGAATCTTAGATAGTCTTAACAACTTTGAAAAAAAATAAAAAGTCAGTTTTGATGTGTTGTCTGGCCCTCACCTCCAGGGACAGAACTAACCCAGAGATGGTTTCTCATCCCAGCTGAAGGAGGATTCCAGACAGCAATTAAAATATGCAAAGTTTTTCTCAAAAATCTTCGTATTTTAACTTTAAGGCTTTCCATGACAGCTTTAAATATATATATATATATATATATATATATATATATATATATATATATATATATATATATATATATATATATATATTTATATATATATATATATATATAATTGAAAAATAAATATTGAATATATTCAGGGTCTATAAAGTAATGATTTGATTACTATATACATTGTGTAATGATTATCACAATCGAATTAATTAACACATCCATCACCACTCATGCTGTACATTAGATCTCCAGAACTGGTTTATTATTAACGAGAAGTTTGAACCCTTAGATCAACACCTCCCCACTTCACTGACCCCCTAGCCCCAGCAACCACCATTCTCACTCTCTGTTTCTATTCTATGAGCTTGGTTTTTTCAGATTCCACATTGTTAGTCAGATCATATGTCTTTGTCTGTCTGTGTCTGGCTTATTTGACTTAACATAATGTCCTTCAGGTTCAGAAATGCATTTTTAAAAATGTGGTTCACATATACAGTGAAATATTATTCAGCCATAAAAAGGATGAAATCTTGCCATTTGTGACAACACAGGTAGTAGTCTTTGAAGGCAGATCTTCAGGCCATAAGACATTCATGGGCTTCTTGTTGCTTTCAGGAAGGAAGCAACCACCGACAACTTTAGATAGGATTCAGGTCTTACAGTCTTCAGAGACATTATTTGGCAGCAAAGAGGAGAGAAGATACTTCAAGTTGTGGCTGATAGACTGTAAGGTGGCCCCACATAATCCCTACCACCTGGTATTCACACCATTGTGCAGTGTCCTCCCTTTGAATGTGTGCAGGACTTCTGACTTGGTATTAATCAGCAGAAATCTGGCAAATGTGATGAGGTATACATGGCTTCCATGATTACATTGGGCATGTAAGACACCATCTTGTTGACCAACTTGCCCCAGAAACTCTTGTTGCTGGCTTGATGAAGGAAGCTGCTTTGTGGGAAAAGCCCAGATATTCAGGAACTGTTGATGCCTCTAGGAGCTGAGGGGTACCTCCAGCCAACAGCCAACAGTCAGCAAGAAGCCAGGCCGAGTCAAAAAGCTACAAGGAAATAAAGTCTGCTAGTAATCTGGGTGATTTGGGAAGCCAATTCTTCCCCAGTCAAGCTACCAAATTAGAACACACCCTGGCCAATATATGATTGCAACTTTGTGAAACCCTAGGCAGAGGACCCAGCTAAGTCTGATACTCAGATTCCTGATCCACAGAAACCATGAAATAATAAATGTGTGCTGTTTTAAGCTGCAAAATTTGTGTTAATTTATGTAGCAAGAATAGTGAATGATACACAAGTGGAGAATGTGAAGTGTGTTCAAGTGGAGATCGAGAATGAGCAGATGGTGTGGCAAGGACAGGAAGCAAGTGAACCTGATGAAAGCTTTGGATTATGGTTCAGTGCAGCATTCCTGCTACCCATCTTATGGCTGTCTACAGAAGTGTATTCAAGAAAATGCATTAAAATAATGAACAAATTAGTGAGACAGAGAGTACACTGGGCAAAGGAATGACAAGCTGAGCATTATAAACTTAGTCCCAGAGGGCCCAGGGAGCCACTGAATGTTTTTGAGCAGAGGAGTGATGTGACAAAGGTGTGTTTTAGGAAGATGCATCTGACATATAGAATGGAATGGAGTATGGAAAATTCAAATCACAGGGTGTAATACCACATTCTTATGTTTTCATCACATAAAATCTCACAGGTCAAAATGGCTAAGAAGAAAAAACAAAACAGCCAAGTATCTGATACCTATTTTGGTTTCAAGGTACTAGAACATTTCTTAAACCTTTTTTGTTTTGTTTTGTTTGTTTGTTTTGAGATGGAGTCACGCTGTGTTGCCCAGGCTGGAGTGCAGTGGCACGATCTCGGCTCACTGCAAGCTCTGCCTCCTGGGTTCACGCCATTCTCCTGCCTCAGCCTCCTGAGCAGCTGGGACTACAGGCACCCCGCCACCATGCCTGGCTAATTTTTTGTATTTTTGGTACAGACGGGGTTTCATCATGTTAGCCAGGGTGGTCTCTCTCCTGACCTCGTGATCCGCCTGCCTTGGCCTCCCAAAGTGCTGGGATTACAGGCGTGAGCCACCGTGCCCGGCTATAATTTTTTTAATTTTTACTACAGGAAGCAGATTCTTTCAGATTATGTGATATGTGCCACATATAACAAGACTTCACATAAGCAATGTGTGTACACTTTAATAACATATAGAATGACTACCTAGGTACCTGTCACTCATTTTAAGAAACAGAACTTTCCAATACCTCCCCTGTGTATCTCTCGCCATGGCACCATTCTGTTTTCCTCCCAACCATGCCCCGTCCCTCACACCTGGGAAAACACTAGCTCATATTTTGCATTCTTCATTCCCTTGGTTTTCTTTATAGTTTTATCAAATATCCTGAATGTTTAGCTTTGCCTATACTTTAAGCTTTCTATAAATTGAATCATACTGTATATATTCTCCTATGTAAATGCTTTTTTTTTTTTTTTTTTTTTTTTGAGACAGAGTCTTACTCTGTAGCCCAGGCTGGAGTGCAGTGGTACAATCATGGCTCACTGCAGCCTCGACCTTCCCGGCTCAAGAGGTCCTCCCTCCTCAGTCTCCCAAGTACCTGAGACCCCTGAGACCACAGACACATGATACCACACTGGCTAATTTTTGTATTTTTAGTAGAGATGGGGTCTCAGTATGTTGCCCGGGTTGGAATCAAACTCCTGGGCTCAAGCCATCTGCCGACTGTGGCCTTCCAAAGTGCTGGCATTACAGGTGTGGGCCACTGTGCCCAGCTGTAAACGCTGTTTTAATCCTGAATTATGTTGCTGAGATTCTTCTGTGTTGATGCACGTTCTGGTATCCACCCATTATCACTGCTATCTCCTATGCAGGAATGTGCCACCATTAATTTCCCCATTTCATTGTAGACGGCTTTTGGAGGACTTTCAGGTTCTTGCTATCACAAATTATGCACCAGAAACATTCCTGAGCTTTTCCTAGTTCTCAACAGTTTCTCTAAGGCATCTTTATAGGAACCAAATTGCATAAGTTGCTAAGTACTACTTTATTACGTAATACCAAAATATTTTCCAAAATGGCTGTTTCAGTTCAGTAATGCATAAAATTCCCTATTTCTCCACATCCTTCCAGTGCTTGTTATGACCTTAGTACTTAACGTTTTGCCAATCTGGTGAGTGTGAAATAACTTATCATTGTTGTATTAACAGCAATGCCTTTTTTTGAGATGGAATCTAGCTCTGTTGCCCAGGCTAGAGTATAGTGGCGACATCTCAGCTCACTA
The DNA here is from genome assembly GCF_000001405.40 of Homo sapiens. Taxonomy (NCBI): domain Eukaryota; kingdom Metazoa; phylum Chordata; class Mammalia; order Primates; family Hominidae; genus Homo; species Homo sapiens. The sequence continues at coordinate 78,571,805 of NC_000016.10, read as the reverse complement.
CAACCTGTCTCCCGGGTTCCAGCGATTCTCCTGCTTCACCCTCCCGAGTAGCTGGGATTGCAGTCACATACCACCACGCCTGGCTAATTTTCTATTTTTAGTAGAGAAGGGGTTTCACCATGTTGGCCAGGCTGGTCTGGAGCTTCTGACCTCAAGTAATCCACCTGCCTTGGACTCCTTAAGTGCGGAGATAACAGGTGTGAGCCACTGCACCCAGCCAACTGCAACGCCTCTAACTGATGAGTTTGAACATCCTTTCGATAATATGGTATTCTTTATAGGACAGTTTGTATTCTAAGGCACTTGCCCTTTAAAATCCACATGTCAAGTTGGCAAAACAAGACCTATGCCCACAAAAACTTATTAATAAAGTTAAAACATAATGTGTCAAATGAATGTGTGTCTGTTAAGCTGTAATGCACACTATATATATATATACACATTTAATGGGACATTTCACAAAGTCATCTATGATGAATTTTGGCTCCCAAGTGTACTGGGTGTATGACCTTGGGCAAGTCATTTACCTTTCTAAACCATTACTGGCTCATAAAAATCTATTTAAGCAACACATTTACAAAAATTGATACATAAAGCAAAGGCTGTCTGCATTATTAACATTTAGAATCATCACTGCCCCTTTCTTCCTCAGTGGATTTTCAGAAATGTACATTTCTCTTCTACTGTAAGTAACTACAGTAAGCTTTCCCATTGCAGATAAAGAAAGGAGCAATACTTCCCTTCAAACCTCAATTCTAAATTTAAAAATCACAGATTACATGAACAAGTCATCTGGGCAACATAGTCTCTTCAGCAATGAATAATCTTTGCCTTGCCAGGGCACCGTTTCACTTTCTGTTCCTTCTACCCAAAACACTTTTCCCCTGGCTATTCACACTGCCAGCTCCTTCTCACCTTTGAAACCCTGTCCTTACCTGCCCGTGCTTTCCAAAGCTTGCCCCGCCCGCCTTCTCCCCTGCCATTCATTTCCAGCCCAGTGCCATGTTTGTTTGTTTCTGAAAATGTATCGCCACTGGAATATATTTTATCTTGGTGTTTACTGATTTTTTGGCTGGCTCCCCCACTGAAATGCACACTCTGTAAACCTGGCTTGTCTGGGGTTCACCTTTGTGTCTTCAGAAGCTTGAGAAACGCCTGGCTTCTAGTAGGAAGCTGGTTGAGTAACTGCAGCAGCTGGGCTTCGTGGCTCACACCTATAATCCCTGTACTTTGAGAGGCAGAGGCGGGAGGATCACTTGAGTCCAGGCATATGAGACCAGCCTGAGCAACAAGCGATACTGCATCTCTATAAAAGAAAAATTAAAAAAAATTAGGCAGGCATGGTGGTGTATGCCTGTAATCCCAGCTACTCGGGAGACTAAGGCATGAGGATCGCTTCAGCCCAGGAGACCGAGGCTGCAGTGAGTTATGATTGCACCACCACACTCCAGATCCTGTCTCAAAGAAAAATAAATTGTTGCATTAGTTCATCTACTACCAATGTTTCAGAAAGGATTTGGTGGTGAAACTGGACATTTATACGCAAGTTTTTATATTAATAAAACACTTGGGCCCCAGACCCGTAGTCTAGCATTCTTTATTTCCACCTCACTAGTTTCCCCTGAGTTTGTTTGCAAAGTTAAATTTCTAAAAAAGGCAAACAAGGCCACAAGGATTTCCTGTATTCTCACCTGTCTCCCTTTTACCAATAAAGAAGTTATATGAACATAAATCAACAAAATACTGTATTTTCTTTATATTTATATCCACCTGTTAGTTTTAGAGTTTTAATCTTTCCGATAACCATCCCACTGCAAGCTCTTCAGGATGGAAACCATCTCTTATCACATGTGAAATTCAAAGAGGAAGCTCTAAGAGCACCATGTGACAAGAGGTACCGATGGGTATTTATGATCAAGGAAGATGATGAGCTAGAAGCAGCAGCCTGTCGATGAGGTCACATCATATTACGAATATGGTTTATTAGCAGCTCCCAAAGATATGCCCTCTCTTTGGTCAATAAGAAGAGGATAAAAGGTTCAAGATAAGGAAGAAGCACTTTATAAATGAAAACGTTCACTAATGAAATTAGTATCGTTATTGCAGGAAGTGCTAATTTTCCTGCTCACTGAGAGTTTAATAAAAATGTTATGTCTACTCTATAACTGTGATTAATCAGTGTAGTATTGAGAAGTACAGCGATTCTTTTTCAACAAGGCAATTTTCAAAATTTGAAAAGGTGTAAATTTCATGCAAATTGCTTCATAATCATATATGTACAAAAAGGAGCCGATAAAATTGCAGTTACGAAAAGAATCATTAACATTTAACTTTTTCCCCCTTTTCTCCAACTGCTCCTTAAATGGTTTATGATAAATTAAATGACTTGACCAACTGAAATGTATAATACAGGTGAATGTCAACAAAACAGTGATATTTTAAACCAACTCAAATGTGGATGTCAAGTTTGAACAGTGATATGAAATAGGACATTTTATAAAGGAAAACTGCCTTGATTCAATGAAAATGCATCTACTTGTTTTAATAACAATATAGAGAGACAAGGAAGCACTTTTCTATTTTTGATTCTTCTCAGTGGGAAACAGTACATCTTTGCTACAGAAAGTCACATTTCTGCCCATAGGGTTCTTCCCTCCCACCCCAACAGGTCCCTAGGTATCCTGTAATTTTAAGAAACGGTTTGCAAACCTGAGTGTTCCTCAGACAGAGTGGCCTGTAATGAGCCAGCCCAAGAGGCTGACACCCAGGTGCCTCCAATCTCATCGTGTGTGGTGCCTAACAGCACTATCTGGGTAAATCCAGAGTAGGTTACTCATCTGTTTACATAGCTAAGGTAGAAGTGGACAATAAGACCTCAAGTATAAGGATGACAGTGTTAGGATTATTAGATGCATCTACTGATAGCCCGTAAAACGTGTAAGACAGAAGCAGAAAACAAACTTACTTGCACACACTAGTATTAATATTGTGACAGCTAACAGCCAGTTGTTTCTGGCTTTTAAGAAGTTGGGGCTGGACGCTGTGGCTCATGCCTGCAATCCCAGCACTTTGGGAGGCCGAGGCAGGTAGATCACTCAAGGTCAGGAAATCGACACCAGCCTGGCCAACATGGCGAAACCCCACCTCTACTAAAATACAAAAATCAGCTGGGTGTGGCGGCGGGTGCCTGTAATCCCAGCTACTCGGGAGGCTAAGGCAGGAAACTCGCTTGAATCCAGGAGGCAGAGGTTGCAGTGACCCAGGATCGGGCCACTGCACTCCAGCCTGGGTGAAAGAGTGCGACTCCAACTCAAAAAAAAAAAAAAAAAAAGTTGGAAGCTTTTTTTTAAAAAAAAGAAAAATTTAATATATAACTTGGAAAGCAGTGGTTAGCAATTTCTTGGTAATAACTCAAAGTGATTCTAAATGGTCTGAGTACTGCCACGGTTCTTGCACTGGGTGGATTTTTCTTCCCGCATGCAGGCTTTTGGAGGGACAAAGTAATGATAAGTAGGAACCATTTTCCTCCCTCATCTTCATCCCGTACCTCATATATTTTCTAAAATGGCCCCACTCAAGGCAGTTACTATGCACAGCCGATGTTGTTCAGAAGAGTTTTTCAGAGGATGATTTTTGGTGAAAGTGGCATATTTTAGAACCATCTGGTCACATGCATTAATGCACACTTTCAAATTCCGCACGGATTTTTACGACGGCGTTCTTCTGCCCTAAGAGTCTCTCGCAGGCACTGTGTGTAAATGAGACAAAGACTCCTGCCGCCTTCAATTCGCGGAGTAGTGAACAGAGGCTCTAGATTTCACATGGCAACACATTTTCCATTATACGCTAAGATTAATAAACCTCGCAGAGCCCCGGTGAGCCACTGGAAAACAAGGGCAGCAGGGTGCTTGTTTCTGTTCCATTAGACACGGGACGAGCTGCAGGCTTGACACACTCTGTCACTCCAGCCGGTAATGGGCCTCCTCGAGACCACCCCGGCTGGAGGCTCTGCTGGTTTGGTGGCCCAGTTGCGGGAGAAAAACTTTGTCCTTTTCTCCCCGACTCAGCCACAGAGGCAGGGTGGATGAGCTGGAACTCTCCACAGCCAGTGGGGAACAGCCAGTTGGTTCTTCTTTGCCCTAGTTACGCAGCAAAGGGCACCCTTTAAATACAATAGCAGGCTGCGGCGAGCTTGGGAACCTTTCAGAATACACAAAAAAAACTCACTTCTTTTTTTTTTTTTTTTTTTTTTTGAGACGGAGTCTCCTTCTGTCGCCCAGGCTGGAGTGCAGTGCTGCAATCTCTGCTCACTGCAAGCTCCGCCTCCCGGGTTCATGACATTCTCCTGTCTCAGCCTCCGGAGTAGCTGGGACTACAGGCACCCGCCACCACGCCGGGCTAATTTTTTTTTTTTTTGTATTTTTAGTAGAGACGGGGTTTTACGGTGTTAACCAGGATGGTCTCGATCTCCTGACCTCGTGATCCACCCACCTCGGCCTCCCAAAGTGCTGGGATTACAGGCGTGAGCCACCGCGCCCAACCAAAACCTTACTTCTTGGCAGTGGAAGAGCAAAGACCCTGGCAGGCAGCTCAGCTTTGGGAAAGCGTCAGGACATGATGGGGGCTTAAATTGGGCTTCTGCCAATCACGCCCTTCACCAGGGTTGGGCTTGTGATCTTTACTGGGTCATTCTGAACCTCAGTTTCTTCTTCTGATACTGAGAATGATGAATACACCTATCACTTAGGGTGGGATTAACAAATAATGAATGTATGACTTCAGCCTCATGCCTGGCACATAGAAAGCACACACATGTGAGTTTCTGCTATGATTACACTGGTGGTTGCTTCCATTTTAATTACTATGATTGCTATCGATACTGCTGCTATTACTAATACTATTCACAGAGACGTGACCCCTTTGATCTTCAATTCTTTCAACTCTGAACTGATGACAGCCATGCCCCACTCTGATTGATGAATCAAACAATGTGCAAAAAGCATGTTCTTGGTACTCTATCGGTGCTCAGTTTATTGCACATCTCCACCTTTCTGGCAGGAATTCTAGGAGGAGGAAGTAAAGCCCACTTTGGTGTCACTAAAATTTCCAATCTCCTGACTGCACTGTTGTGAGCCCTGTCCTGAGAGACTTCTCCCTACAGAAGAAGGAAGCTCTGCACAGTCTTGGGAGGTAAAAACCACAGCTTCCGGCTGCCTCTGAGCACTTACACCCTCCCAGCCTCAGCACAGACAGCCTCAGTTGGTCCTTGGAACCATCCTGTGCCTCACATGGATGCCTCACAATTTACAGCAAGGCCAGCGACAATCAGGGAGGAGAAGCCACAGGCCCAAGGCAGCAAAACTTGGTTTTTGGCAGAACTCAGAAAGCCAGAGGACCCTCTCCTGGTTCTGATACCATGTTCTCCCACTACTATACTTGCTATTTTCTGAATCACTTAGTAGAGAGGTAAGTGAGATAGTTGTTATGGACTAAATGTATGTGTTCCTCTCCCCAGCTCCCCCAAATTCATATGCTGAAGCCCTATGCCCCAGTGTGACAGTACTTGGAGGTGGGGCTTTGGGAGGTGACTAATTTCAAATGAGATCATGGGGGACGGGGTACGATGGGATTAGTATCCTTATAAGAGAAAGGTTCCAGACCCCTTCCTCTCTCTGCCATGAGAGGACACACAAAGGCATCCATCTGGGAACCAGAAAGAGAGCCTCAGGCAGGCACAGAATGTGCCCATGGCTTCACCTTGGACTTCCCAGCCTCTAGACTGTGAGGAATAGAGGTCTGCTGTTTAACCTGCCCAGTCTATGGTATTATGTTAAAGCCATCCAGGCAGACAAAACAATCGCCATTGTATGAATATCTGCCCAGTCAATGTTGGGGGCGGGGGGCGGGGGATGAAAAATGTGATGGTCTTACCCACATTTCAGTCCTGAGAGATGGAGCTGGGACAGCTTCATAAGGAAGACTCCCATCACTGAGTGGCCCCCTGGATAAAGCTTATATTCTCTACTTCCGCGGATAGCCTGGAGGATATTGTTATCCCTGCTCTATGGATGAGGGAACGTGAAGTCCAGAATTAGTGGTTGTGGTAGAGTAATAATGACTCCCTACAAGAGAAGTCTACACACTAATTCCCCAAATTTGTGACTCTGTCATCAGCCATGGCAAAGGGGACTCTGAAGATGTGATTAAGGACCCTGAGATGGAGTGATTATCCAAGATTATCTGGGTATTCCCAATGAAATCAAAAGGGTCCTTATAAGAGAGTGGCCAGAGGGCCAGATGAGGAGAATGTGATGGGACAACGGAAGAGGAATCAGTAAAGGAGATGTGATGATATTAAACTGCTGGTTTGAAGCCAGAGGAAGGGGCCAAGAGCCAAGGAATGCAGGAGGCCTCTAGAAGATGAAAAACGCAAGGAAACAGATTCTCCCCTAGAGCCTCCAGAAGGAACAAGCCCTACTGACATCTTGACCAGGTGAGACTGATTTTGAACTTGTGACTCCCCAGAACTGCAACATGATAAGCATGTGTTGTTTAAAGCCAGTACGTTTTTGGTAATTTGTTTATAACAAATCAGCTATCAGCAAGAGGAAAGAAACACAGTGATGGAGTTAGACTTCAAACTTAGAGGCACCAATGCCAAAGTCAGAGTTCCTTCTACTCTGCTATGCTGCTCTGATGAATGAATGAATGGACAAACTGAGGTTCCTTCCAGTTATAGTTGCTGGGGAGAGAACAGTTCAAGAACCTGCTTGTACTCTTCTCTCGGTTCCTAGGGCTCCAACAATTGTGTAGTGTATCCTTTGATGTTGTTTTCGTTTTCTACTTGTCTTGTTAAAAAGGAAGGAGGATTTCAGATGGCATGGATAAATACAAACTGCATATAAAAACTAGAGAAGAGTCAAGAGTGGGGAGAAAAGGGAGCAAAAGAAAAAGAGGAAAGAAAAGAAAAAATAAAACTGATGATCCGTAAATAGATCTTGAGGGGAAAAAATTTAAGTTAAAATTTTTAAACAAATAAGGAAATAGGTGAAATTAGTTGCCAGAGAGGTACCATATGGTTGTATGACTTTACTGGAGCCAGGAAGAAGGGTGCCAGAAATTTATTTTTGAGCTCCCGAGTGGCCAGATAAAAGAAGGGAATATTCTCAGATATGAGGTTCAGATTTAAAAAGAAATTGATTGCTTAGGAGAAATGATCTTTTCTTGATATGAGACCTCTGAGAAAGGTCTCCTGGGTTCTCTGTGTGTTAACACTCACTCTCTACCCCTCCCATTAGATCCTGCCACCTGATCCTTGTGAGGGAGACTAGATTTTCAAGGATCTTCAATTTCTTGAATATCCCTGTAGCATATAACCCTGGATGAAATGTTCATGCTTCCTGAGACAGAAAACACTAGCCAGGGCATCAGCGAGGGTTCACTCACCAAATAACTGAATACTTCTGCATACCAGGCCTACAGCTGAGGAAAAGGGCAAACACTACACATTTTACTTCTTTACAACAGCTCCCGAAGAGTCAATTTCAAAAGTATTGTCTCCATTCAATTTTGCTGTGCAATGAACCATCACAAATATTAGTGGCTATAAACAACAGCTACTTATTTTTAGCTCAAGATTGCATGAGTCAGCAATTTGGGCTGGGCTCAGCTGGGCAGGTGTCTGCTGTCAGCAAGGCAGTTGCGTCTGTAGGTTGGCTCTTGGCTGGGGCAATATGGAAACATGGTCTTGTGTCTCTCATCGCCCAGAAGGCTAGCCTGGGCTTGTTCGCACCCAGAAGTAAAAGGGTTCGTAGCACAGCAAGTGGGCAAGCACCAACATAAAAGCACGTTTCAAGCCTTTGCTTGTGCCGTGTTTCCAAATGCCTCATTGGTCAAATCAAGTTTCATGCCATCCTGGTTCAAGGAGTGGACAAACGAACTTCACCTTTGGAGGGCGAGATCTACAATTTCACAGTGCAAGGATGTACATATGCAGGGGACAGGGAAGAATTGGTGGCCATTTTTACAATCAACCATAGATATTAATTATTGGTATCTGTGGACTTAATATCTGCCAACCAGGACACAAATACAGACAGTTCTTAATAACAAGGGATATTAATGAATCAGATCACTAATCATTCCTCCTGGATAATTTAATATAGTTTATTCAACACAAAGGCAGCAGGGTGGAAGAGAGGTAGCTTCCTAAAAGGCATTTGGTTCTAAAAATCTACCTTTACGTTCTATTGCAATAGGAGAAAAAAAAAAAGAAAAAAAAAAAAAAGCGTGTGTGTGTGTGTGTGTGTGTGTGTTCACCCACACGAGTGCCCGTATCCTGAACACATACTATCTTTGGATTCTCCCTCCTACGTTGTTATTGTTCAATTTTTGGCTTCAATACCTGTCAGTTCTGTTCCTGAACCACCCCATACTGCCCTGAATCTGCAGCTGCTCCAGTGATATTCAGAGTATTGAAAAGAAATAAATAAATAAAATAAAAGGAAAGTTGCAGAAGGGCAACACTTACCCCATACACAGGAAAATAGACTGAAAGGAAAGTATTGTCAAAGTGTTTTGCAAATGACATTTTCAGCAATATAAATTATGATTTATTTTCCCATGTAATCATCTTGATTGCAGACATCCTTTTGGAGAAATCGCACTGCTCTTGGCTAGCTTTTTAAAGCCTCACAAGACAACTTTCAAACCTGATTAGTATGTATGCTGTAAAATCAGATACATTATATTTAGCTTGAAGTGCAGAGCATCGTGGGTGCAAAGAAAGAAAGATAGGGGGAGGGATTAAAAAAAAAAAAGAACATCTGTAAAGCTTTTCAGAGGGATCTGCACAGCATATGGCAGAGTAAGAGTTTGCTCAAGTTCTCTTTATGTAATTAACTGACTATGTGTCACCTCCCCATCGTGGAGCTCCGACGTCGCTCAGCTATGGGATGTGATGACTCCGTACCAGGGAGGGGCTCATGCTTTTCTGTGATGACACTGAAGAGCTCAGCACTTCCATAGACAGGGTCTTCCCTGAGTTAAAGATCTTAACTCCTAGCTTGCATGCTTTCACCTCCATTCAGGGGAGCGATCAGATTGTCAGTGAGTGCAGATGGCCTCAAAGGAAGGCAAGTATTGACCGAGTGTGAGCAACTGACAAAGAGCTATGTATGGAAACAGGCCTCTCCAATGGGAGTAAGTGACAGGCCCAGCAGGGTCAGCCCAGAGGGAGGCACGTGCAATGCCAAGGGCAGACATTTATGGAGTCCTCAAGCTCAAGGTCAACAAGTGCAGAATGGGTACCTCCATGAACCTGGGAGGTTAGGGGCCTTGCTTGCCTCCCTTAACTCTGGTATGCTCAGCATCAGGGGATGTGGGAACAGATACATTCCTGGAGTGTGAATCTAACTTGTAAGCAACGAAAACACTAGATCGTATAGTAACACACAACACTGCGGAATTCAGAGTAGATGCAGAATATGCATGGGTTTTTGAGATAAAGTGAGCTCTCAGAGTAGGAATTCTGCATGCAGTGTGAGAGCTAGAGGCAGCATTCCCAAACCTCGCGAGGCTCTTATTTCCTTCTCCTGTGCCCAAAAGGCACTCCACCACGAAACAGTTTGAGAAGCTAGAGATTTCCAGAGAGCTTGGATCAAATCCAGAGTTGAGCATCCAATTTGTTTGGATAACTCTATCTGAGAAAAGGGCAGGGGAAGTGATGTTTGTTGAGTGCCCAGCATATGCCTCCACGGGGCTAAAAACAAAGACTCCATTTGCCATTGCTTCATCATTATAGCAATCCTGAATGTCAACCCATTGTTAGGTTGGTGCAAAAGTCATTGCGCTTTTTCCTGTTACTTTTAATGGGAAATTAGATAGAGACGTTAAGGCACAGAGAAGATAATGAGTTGCATCAGGTCACTCAAGAGACCAACTATTTTCAATTCACTTCCACTGCTGGTAACTGAAGATCCTGAGCCATAGAAGGAACCCTGCGTTCTTCTCTGCAGGCAAAATCACTTGCTCGGCTCACAGGTGAAGCCGTGTCTGCCTGTAATAAAACCTCTGATTCCCTATAAGGCGCTCTACCTAACATCCTTTCTTTGCAGTTTATATCTTCTTCAATTACCCCCTTTCTTTTATATTAAACTTTCTGCTTTTGAAAAAGTCTCTCCAAATATCAGGTCTCTTTTTTTTTTCTGTTATTCAAAAAAAAATGGGGCTTTGATACATAAAATTCTAAATTGGCCTCCCGGATTCCCGGTCCATGGTGTACGCATGCATTCTTCCAGTTACTGAGTCAATTCATACTCTAGGTACTGTCATGAAGGGATTTTGCCAGTGTTAATTAAGACTCCACATCAGTTGCCCTTAAGATAAAGAAACTATCCTCATCACGTGAGCCCTTGAAATCCAGACCTAGACATCAAAATCAAGGAAAGTCAGAGAGATTCAAAGCAGGAGGGAACTACATGCATGAGAGAGTTTCTGAGCCCTTGAAATCCAGACCTAGACATCAAAGTCAAGGAAAGTCAGAGAGATTCAAAGCAGGAGGGGACTCCATGCACAAGAGAGTTTCTGTTGCTGGCTTTGAGATGCAGGGGGCCAAAAGTCAAGGAATGTGGGTTGCCTCTGGGAGCTGAGGGCAGCCACCAGCAGAAGTCAGTAGGAAACAGGGGCCCTAGTCTTACAACTTCAAGGATCTGAATCCTGCCAGCATCCTGAATGAGCTTGGCAGTGGATTCTTCCACAGAGCATGCAGGAAAGGATGTTCCTCCAGCGGACACCTTTATTTTGTCCCCAAGAGACCCTGAGCAGAGAAGCCAGTCACATTGTGTCTAGGCTTCTGATCTAGAGAATTGTAGTTAATAAACAAGATGTGAATGTGAACTGCTAAGTGTGTGGTCATTTGTTACACAGCAATAGCAAAAGAAAAAAAAATTCTGCAGCATGCAACAATCCCAGCTTTCAAATAAAATTTTCTCCTGTTCATTTCTTTGGCATTCACAATGACCATGCCTTCAGAGTATAAAATTCATAACACAAAAACTCAATCACCATAGCTGCTTTTTTTTAATTGCTTAAGAACTGGTTTCAAAATGATATGTATCACTAACATTATTATTATTGTAACATTATTATCATTAATTTTTTTGAGACAGAGTTTCACTCTTGTTGCCTAGACTGGAGTATAATGGCGTGATCTCAGCTCACTGCAACCTCCACCTCCCAGGTTCAAGGGATTCTCCTGCCTCAGCCTCCCAAGTAGCTGGGATTACAGGCATGCACCGCCACACCCGGCTAATTTTTGTATTTTTAGTAGAGACGGGGGTTTCACCATGTTGGCCAGGCTGGTTTTGAACTCCTGACCTCAGGTGATCCACCCACCTCGGCCTCCCAAAGTGCTGGGATTACAGGCGTGAGCCACCGCACCTGGCCACTAATGTTATTCTTGATGGTAATAATATTCTATTCTAACCAGTAAATACAGACCAGCAGCTAGTGTAATTGTTTTTCTCTGCCGTATCTTACTCAAAGGCAAGAAAGAAAGATTTCAGATCCAAACAGATTTCAGAATCAATTCCACAAAAGGTACCTGTTTCAGTAGTACTGACTTATTCTGAGCTACTAGCTGGAGAAAAGCCCTACTATGCATATTTTTTGTATAGAATATTTTCTAATATAATCTCCTGAACTGCAGAGACGGGAGAAAAAAATGGCCTTGTAAATTTCTCCTAACAACCAAAAGTACACTAAAAAAGACAACAGCCTTTCAATGTCACTAATTTCTCTGAAGCAATATAACAGCAAACTCCAGAGACCTTGGCTAGTTCAGACAAAATAGAAAAACGTAGATTCAGGAGAAGCTGGGGAGCTAGGCTTTCTGCAACGGATTGTAAGCCAAGTCATAAATTGAGGTAAAGTATGAGATAGAGGGGGGAAGGAGGGTGGAGCCTGTTGTTTTGTGCCTGTTCACTTGAGGTCTGTAAGATGAATGGGCTGAGAATTGTCCTGTCCATTTCTGCAATACATTCACACGATTAAAGTCATTAGTTAGAACTTTCTACCAGGAAGCTATTGTGAGAAGAATGTTTCCCTTGAGGAGGAGGATTAAAAAGAAAAAGAAAAGAAAATCCTCCCGGAATACACAAAAATATATGCACAGGAAAAATGAAGCCAGTGGCCATTTGCTAATAGTGTTGCTTTAAAAGCATACGCACTTAGAGCCTCTTTTTTCCAGCACGTTTAATAAGAAACCATATTAACAAGGTGATCCAGGCAATGCTTGGGAGGAAAGGGAAAAAGTTCATTCATTTCATAAATCCATTGGCTGGAGAACATCTCTTTCTCCCAGTCTCATGCTAGAATTTGATCTACTTGCTCCTCGACACTCAGTCTACAGGCATGTCTTAGTCTATATCCATCCCTGGCTCTGGCCTCCATGATCTCTTGCCGGGACTATTCTAGGAGCCCACCTGCTACCAGTCCTGACCCTCACAAATCCATCGTTCTTCCCTGAAGCCAGAGGGCTCTTTCTAAAATACATGCATGGTCCCCTTATTATGTGAGATACCACAACATTCATAAACGCTCCCAGTGCTTTCTGTGACTGTCAGGGTAAGATCTAGAATCTTGCTGTAACTGCTGAAGCACCTGGGAAGGTCAGCTCTATCTCCAAGCTCACCCTTCCCCACTACTGTCCCTCTCCCAAGCTAGGCTCCAAGCCAGACGGAACTATGTGTCCTTCCACGTAGCGGCCAGATCTTGTGTGGATGCCGTGGATATGATTGTGAGCAACAAAGTCCTTGTAGTCAGGGAGCTGACAGCCTGGAATAGCCAGCAGAGAATTAAACAGATAACCACAAAATGACCATGGTTGTAGGGGTTAGTATGGGAACAAAGGAGGATGCAAGGTACCCAACTCAGACTGAAGGTTGTAGAGAGAAGGGGTCTAGGATTCAGGCAAGTCTTCCGAAAGAGCCACTTGGTTTGGTGAAGGAAAAGGCATACTCTAGGCAGAAGAATGTGACAACACAAAGGCCAGGCCTTTCCAAGCTTGATCAAAGCCAAGACTGGGGAGAAGTGACACTGGCAGAGGCCAGCTCAGTGAATTGGAGGCTGGAATCAGGGAGACCTATGAGAACCAACACAACAGCTAGGTGTAAGCAGGCAAGCTCATGAATGAGCATAACAGAAATCTCCAATGCCTAGGAGGCCAGGCCATTTCTACAATGAGTGAAGCAGGCCTGATGGGTACTATGGCAAACCACAGGGCACATGCCCCAGCTAAAGAGGGGCAGCCGCTGCTCAAGTCCAGCCAACTGTAGCCAAATGTAAAATGCAGGCAAAGGATGCCAGATCTGCTTTGTCGAGATAAGCAGGAAATCCCAATTTTGATGGGATGTCTCCCAAGTTTTAAATGTTCACAGCTAATTTATTTCATTAAAAAATCCAAAACAAACTTCAGCAGGCCAAACCAAAGACATCCACAAGCCAGCAATTTGCAGCTTCTAGGATATGACTGGGAAACGAGGATGGAGACTCCAGGCACTAGAAATTTTCTTACTTCTTACCCAGGGATCGGAAGGGCAAAAACACTGAAAATAAAGCTGACCTCCGGGAAGGCGGTGGTGGCAGCAGCCAGGGCAGCTGCTGCCCAGGAGTGAAAGCAAACCTCTCTGAAAGCCAAGAATGAGCCGGGGCCTTCAGAATCACAGCCCCACATCTGTGACCTAAGTTAGTCAACAAATGCTCACTGAGGGCCGACTATGTGCTTGGCACTGTTCCAGGCTCTGAAAAAGCAGCAGTGTAGAAATCCAATGAAATTCCTGCTCTGCACTTTGGGAGGCCAAGGTGGGCAGATCACCTGAGGTCAGGAGTTCGAGAGCAGCCTGGCCAACCTGGTGAAACACTGTTTCTACTAAAAAATACAAAAATTAGCTGGGTATGGTGGTAGGTGACTATAATCCCAGCTACTCAGGAGGCTGACGTAGGAGAATTGTTTGAACCCAGGAGGCGGAGGTTGCAGTGAGCTGACATCGCGCCACTGCACTCCAGCTTGGACAACAGAGTGAGACTCCTGTCTCAAAAAAAAAAAAAAAAAAAAAAATCCTTCCCTAGAGGAATGCACTTATGTGTCGCATTTCCGGGCAAAATGAAAAATAAGACAGTTTTCAGTGGTTTTAGCAAAGGCTGTGATAGAGGGTCATCCTCTTCAGCTATAGTGCCACTCCCTTCTTGGAAACTCAAAGACGACAAAAACGTGTAAGTGAAACGGGCTCCATGGGCCCAGTGCTCCGGCATTCCAGAAATGAAGAGAATGGGGTTTTCCTGCTTGTTTTTGGATGTATCCCCAACACCTAGAATGGTGCCTGCACGTGCTAACATCTGCTGAATGAATGTGACAATTGAGGGCTAAGAGATATTCCCAAGAGCCCGGTGCGGGGGGCGGAGAAATAATATCACTGAAGTTGGTATTGGTTTTTCCCACATGAAAAGCATTTCTCTTTGCTTCCAAATGTCTATGTGATCATAGATAGGTAGAATCAGGTCTTAAGGTAAATAATAATAATCATGATAATTGGTCTTTCCCTGTGTTAGCAAGCTTGGGTATTCAGAAACAAGCAGAGGCAAAATCTAATAGCCCACTACAAAAAGGAAGTCCAAATGGAGCAATGTGGACTTCTCACAATCATCCTTCCACATTTTCATCTCTGCTTCTCACTTAGGACAATCCCTTTTCTTTTTATTTTATTGCAATGTGTTTTAAAGTAAGTTTGCCGGCTGGGCTCGGTGGCTCACGCCTTAATCCCTGCACTTTGGGAGGCTGAGGTGGGTGAATCACCTGAGGTCAAGAGTTCAAGACCAGCCTGACCAATATGGCAAAACCTCATCTCTATTGAAAATAGAAAACTTAGCCGGGCTTGGTGGTGGGCACCTGTAATCCCAGTTACTTGGGAGGCTGAGGTGCGAGAATTGCTTGAACCCGGGGGCGGGGGTAGTTTGCAGTGAGCCGAGATCATGCCACTTCACTCCAGGCTGGGCAAAAAAGCGAAAGTCCATCTCGAAAAATAAAAATAAAATAAATAAAAAATGTGTTTGCCGGTCTCAGGGAAAACAAATACAAAGCAGTGTTGTGCAAAATCACACACCGGTACGTTTGGTTGAACTCTGTCCTAAACACAGACAGCAGTCGTGGTGGGCACGGCAACTCACCGCACGCCGGTCCAGCTGCGATTGATTTCAAGACCCATTTCCATTGTAGATACTTTATAATTGTACTCTAATTGTAGTTAAGATGGCACTCAAGATAAATGAATCATCTCAGATATGGGAACAGGGTGCTCCATCATACAAATTCCCTGACCGTTCCCCGTGCTCTGAGACCAGAAGAACTCTGCTCCTCTCAAGTCCCAGTTGGTGATAAAATTCCCTTTGCCTTCCTTGAACCAGATCCTGACAGCCAGCAAGCCAAGCGTTCCCAATCGCCGACTGTCTCCATGTCTCTGTGTTGGATTTTTTCTTTTTTTTTTTTTTTAGAGGAGGAGGGAAAGTACCCTGTTTATTTCCAAACTCCCTTGCATCTGATGCACGATAGGCTGGCATTTGCTGTTAAAGCAGAAAATTATAAGGAGGGCCTAATTGACCCTCTTGCGTCTTTGAAAAAGCCTGTCTGTGGTCTCTAATTGACCCTCTAGGTACCTATGGAACAATGAATGAATCTTCAGGAAATAATGGAGGGCGATGATTAATAGCCCGGGCCTGGCTGGACCTCCATCTCTCACAGTTCTTCTCCCTGTTACTTCCCTTCCTCCCCTCCATGACACTCGATTCCTTGCATTTCATAAGCAGCGATTTATTATTATCACAGAATAATAAATACCCTGCAGTAGACACTTTTAAGAATCGGAGACATCACGATTCTGCAGAGATTGTGATAACATTTATTTAAGCTGGCATTCTCATTTTTCTTATTGGCATGGCTCAGAAGAGTCCTCCTCTGGCATTTGTGGGCAAAGTCAAACAAGAGGCTTCTTTTGCACTCCTTGTGAAATCATTCCAAATGTGGAGTCATTTGGAACTGCAGGGGCTTCTTACTTCCAGTCCAAAGGGTGAACATTGTCCCTTTTGCCTTGCTCATAAGAGGACTAAAGCCCTTCAGACGTACAGCAACAACAACAACAATAATGCAAGTAGTAAAAAAAAAAAAAAAAGTGGCACTCCTTTAGTGGGGAATGTGGTACTGGCCTGCATATATTACCTTGATGAATACTCACAGAAGCCCCGAGACATCGATGTTGCTACTGTCCCCATTAGTCAGAAGAATACACTGAGGTGCAAAGAGAATAAGTAATTTACCTAAAGCCACAAAGTCCAAAGCTGCAGCTCTGTATGCTATACACATCGCCTTCCAAGTATTCAACAATAACTGTGCCAAATGTACAATATTAAGGATATGTTTTGGGAAATGTGAGTATTAGAATAAAAAAGAGTACCTTTCCCTTTCAGTTTGGTTGAAAAATGCTTCCTTTCCCCGGACAGTATAGGAGAATACATTTAAATTTAGAAATATACACATGCCTCCAATGAGGATTCTGAGAAACTAGAATTTTTTTTTTTTTTTTTTTTTTACAAAATCATAGCATTAACTATGAGAGAAAGAGAAAAAGACAGAGAGAAAGAGAGATAGAGACAAAGAGGAAAAAATCCGTCCTTCCAAACCCACCCTGGCCCCCACCAATGTCTCCACATTCCTCGGGACCTTAAATGGCAAGGGAGCCAGAAGTTGTCTGCCAGGCCCTGCTGGTTTATCCGGGCCCCTTTTCTTCTTACTCAGTGCTTTGTGGGAGAACAGGCCGCCTATGCAGCAAAATTAATGCTTGGGTAAGGCTTACAGTCTTTGTGAAAGGAATGGATTGTCTCCAGCACCAGGTCCCACCTCTGTCTTCAGAAAGCACTGGGCCACCATTCAGAGTCAGGGGCTCTGGGTGGGCAGTGGGCTTCTGACAGATAGGTGCAGCCCACGTGACTCAGAAATAGAGAAGAAGGGAGCTGAGGAACCAAATCTGCGTGCCCTGAATGGAAGGCTGCCTTAGGCCACCTCTACGGTCCTATTCAACTGCAGCATTTTAAAAGCCAAATGAGACTGTCCTGGGGATTTTTTCTTGTCCAAAGGCACATATATATTTGTGTGTACCTGTGTGTGTACACCCACGTATATGCATGGATATGTATCATACAATATATGTACATATATCAAGGTCTTTACCTATATCTATTACTGTGCATATATGTGTATGTATGTATCTATATCTATCACTTCTACCAACCCATCAGCCAGAACTGTTTTCATATGCTAGGTTTTACTGTATGGAGCTTAAAACCCATTTATGCCTCAGGTTGCAATTTTTTGAATTTTCACGATCAGACCTTGGTGATGGCTTTGAGCGGTAGGATATAAATAATTCCCACATACTTAGTGTTCCAATAATGGAACACTAGGCATATTACTACGGGGCTTATACCACTGATAGTGAAAATCTTGACAGTTCTTCTCTTCCCTTTCCATCATGTCCACATGCATCTGGCCACCAAGTCCTCCCCATCCCTGCTCTAGTGCTACTGCCTTAGGGCAGGCCACCTTCAGCACTTTTCTGCATGGTAGCAAGAAGCTGATAAGAGGGAAGGGGTGCCACATGGTTTAGCCTGTTACCCATTACCAACTTGTACTGCACTCAAAGTATCTGTGGAACAACTCAGATTTGTTGCCTCCCTGCTTGACGGCGTGTTTGATGCCCTCAGAAAAACACTTCCACTCCTCAGTAGAGCATCACAGCCCTCTGCTGTATGACACCCGACCTTTCTACACTTTTCTCTCTGCACCAAGCTGTGGGAGTTTGCTCTCTTAAACTCCCACGTTCCAACCTCAGCCAAGCTCTCCGGGCAGCCACACTTCCCTTTGCCAGCTGTGACCACCAATACTGCCACCAGGGGGGTCTGCAGGACCTGCAGGGCCACACTCATTGGCACCTCGGTGACTTCACTTACTCTGGTCACCCTGCTGTCTCTCCCAGGCCTCCTCCCTCACAGACCTTCTAGGGAAAGGTTCTCTATCATGGTCAACTTTGAGCCGTGTATATTGGCCACAGGCATCCCTCCTTCTATTAGGGCGCCATACTGCTCACTTATTATTGCCTAAAACCTGCTCCCTTGTAGGCTTTCTTTACAGGGCTCTAGCGGATTCTTAGAGATAGTAGACAGCTCACTGGTAACCACAGTTCAAATGCAAACCAACCAATTCACAGCCACACCCTCACCACTGGCTTTATTGGGCTCGAACTCCAGGCCACACCCACCTACCCTAATCACCCCATAGCCATGGGTCAGACACCTAAAGACAACCCCTGTGTCCCAGAGCCCATGGAAATGACCCAAGCCAGCCAATCCTAAGCCTGCTTACCCTGCCTGGCCCCTTCTTTCCTGTGAAAATCACAATAAAAACATTTTTTAAAAAAATTTAAGTTCCAGGGTACATGTGCAGGATGTGCAGGTTTGTTACATAGGTAAACCTGTGCCATGGTGGTTTGCTGCACCTATCAACCCATCGCCTAGGTATTAAGCCCAACATCCATTAGCTATTCTTCCTGATGCTCTCCCTCCCCCAACCCCACTCCTCACAAGCCCCAGTGTGTGTTGTTTCCCTCCCTGTGTCCATGTGTTCTCATTGTTCAGCTCCCACTTACAAGTGACACCATGCGGTATTTGGTTTTCTGTTCCTGTGTTAGTTTGCTGAGGATAATAGCTTCCAGCTCAAAACTCTTGACAGTTCTCCCCCTCTCCCTCTGCCTCCTGCCCAACCCTGGGGCTTTCCCAGGTAACTCCCTGTGGCATGTGGAGTCCCCATGGATCTGTGAGTAACAAACCATCTTTGCAATAGCAGTCATTTCCTCATCTTGGCCTTACCATACCACAATAAGAATAAAACCTGTTAAAACAGAGAGAACAGAGGGAGAAAGGAAGGAGAAAAGGAAAATGAATGAAGAAGGAATAAAGAATGAGTAATTAAATGAACAAATGATAAGTTACTTAAAATCTGCTTTTTCTTAGGAGGAGAAAGAACTAACAGAGATGCAGAAGTCCTCTTCTACTCGGGCTGGGGATATGCATGAGAAAGACACGCGTGGATGCCGTATGAGCTCTCGTTCTGAATGCGGAAATCTGACCTCCCACCGGATACTCAGTTCAGGGGGCTCCTGGACCCTCCAGCTGCTCCTCTACTCATCGCTCCCTCACTCAGAAAACCAGCAGAGAAGTGAACTTCCTCAAATGACTGACGGTAAATATCCAGCATGGAGCTGGATTACAAAACTGTATAAACTGTAAATAGCATCACGCTATTCCCTTTTAAAGAAGTGTCAGTGCTTTTATTCATTAAGATTCAGATGCTATGGAGGGGGCAGATGCGCCTTCTCCCCTCCTGGATCCCAAATAAAACACCCCGTATGGAAGCAGATGGCTTTGTGTAAATCAGATGACAGTTTACGGAGTGAGACGGCCTCATCGGAACGGCATTACAAGTATCATCTTTTGAGGGGAAATGGGGTTAATCAAGTCCAGCTTTAATTGGAGGTCACATTTGCATGTGAAATTCTGGGTCCCTGTAAGGACTGCCTGGGTCCCTGGGTCATCAGGCCAGTAACCTCTCCACCATTTTCTTTCCAGAGGGAGCCCCAGGTAATGCATGAGAAAGGAAGTGTTATAAGAAGCCAAGAATGGGTGCCCCCCACCCCCCAACCAAGAGCCAGTTCTGTTAACACAGCAGAGAGCCCTCCCCAGGTCTCAAAGTCTCCCTGCCTTTGCTGCCACAGGTAAGAGGGGGTGGTTTTGCTCACTGCAAACCACATAACAGAAACAACACCTGCTTGGGCACTTAACCCTGGAACGGGAAAGCTGAAAGTGGTTTCTGTTTATTTTGATCTCGAGCGTAAAATGAAGAGCAATCATGTCCCTGGAGTCTCGGCAGAGGACAAACAAAGCTGATGGAGGAAGACAAAGTCTGCTTTTTCAGGATGCTTCATGGGAGGCTGGGGTGTTAAGCGCTCCTCAGCCTGCCTGTGTGATCTGAGAAACGGGGCGGGGGCAGGTGGGGCGGGGGCAGTGGCATCAGGTGCCTGCCTCCCGCCGAGGGTATTCACCATTCAAAGCACAGGCGCGAAGAGCAAACAGCTACCAGACAGAATCCTTTAGGTCTAGGCTATTCCTTTCCTTTGAACCAGAGACAGGAACAGAACACCTTAGCCCAGCCTCCCTGCAACATTCCAACACTTGAATTGTAGGATGGGAGTCCCAATTTCCCAGACATCAGGGCAATATTCTCCCATTTCCTTACAACACTGGGTCAATGTAAAGGTTAAAAATTTAAATAAATATAAATAAATAGGAGATCAACATCCTCCTTTCTTGGGAAAATTCAGACAATGCTACACAAAAGTTTGGAAGACGAGATATCTAAAGATCACCCAGAAAAAAGATATAGGAGCATGCTGTTTTCATTAGGTTTCTTCAAAAATCAGTGGTATGATTTCACAGTATTTTGTTTCATGGAATATATTCACGATATTTGTTTCATGGAATAAATTCATGATATTTGTTTCATGGAATATACTGGATATCTGTTTCATGGAATATATTCACGATATTTGTTTCACACAATATATTCATGATATTTGTTTCATGGAATATATTCACGATACTTGTTTCATGGAATATATTAGGTATTTGTTTCACTGAATATATTGACTGTTACTCAGAATCCTAACATGCAATGTCTTTCTTCAAAAGACAGTGTCATGCATTCCTTACAGTGGATTTATCAATTAATGCTGAGTCCCCAGCCAAGTGATAAGTCATACCATCTCTCTTACTCCTTTTTTCTTAATCCTTAAAAAAAAAATTAGGTCCGCCCTCAGCCTTTATATTCCAATTCTTCATTCCACACTCCTGACTTTTTCCCAAGTTATTCAAGGATGGAAAAGCGTATCATCTCCAAGCTAGCTCTTTCCCGCCTTCCCATCCAACCACCCCACTCTGCTGCCATCCCCAGCACAGCCCAGGAGTAAGATATTTGACAAGAATTGTCAGGGTTAACAAGAACTCCCAAAGCAAGCACTTTGAGTTATGTCAGACAAAAATGAAAATTCAAAAGAGGAGCATTCATCCATAGTAGAAAATATCATGTTCTAAAACCATGAAAATCAAAAAAGAAAATGATTTTTGAAATTATGTCTCCCAGACAAACAAGTGCTCTTGACCAGAGGCCAGCAAACTACAACCCACAAGCTAAATCCAGTCTACCACCTGTTTTTCTAAATAAAGTTTTATTGTCACACAACCATGCCCATTGGCTTATAGATTATCTATGTGCTTTCACTAATGCATGATAGCTTAGTAGTTGTGATAGGTACCTTGTAGGCCACAAAGCAGAAAATATTTATCATGTGAACCTTTGCAAAGTTTGCAGATGCTGTTCTAGACTCAAAATTCATTTCAGTGTCTCTCAAATAATTGGGTTTGCTTTGTTACTCTGAGTATAAATGGAATGATCCAGTGAGAACTTTTAATGACAATAGTAAGGAATTATTAATTTGGGTTTAGTGAAGAAGAGAATGTTAAAGAACCAAAGAAATTTTTAAAGATTCACAGCCACTCTTTTTGAAATAAAGATTAAATCCCTACCAGGTAACTTCATTCAACCATGAACATTTATTGAATGTGTATTGCGTGTTTTCAACCTAGGCATTTCCCTTCATTGTTGCGGGGGTGGGATGGGAATTTTCAGTCCTCCTCTCCTGACTTTTCTTTTTTTTCTTTCTTTTTTCTCAGTCAACTCTGTCCTTGTTTATTTTATCTGGCTAAATAAAAAATCCTTTAAAGATTCCCCAATTCTGATGGGGTTCCTGCCCTACATACACCATACAAATGTTTGTTACAGGTATTTGGATATCTCAGATCATCTAAGACGTTCATCTTACCCTTAGGCTTCATATCTAAACTGTAGGATTAAGCCGTTCAGAATGTACTTGATTCCTATAATATGTAGTGATTTTGCTAATGTTGTTCAGTTTTGTTTCCTTGCCCAGAATGATTTCCATTAGCTCGCTTGCAGATTAGCAGCCTAATCTCCTAACAAGAGCTCTTCGATCAAATGGTCTGGAGTGGCCACATGTCTTGCTGCTGCCAAGTGACTGATTTAAGAGATGGACAAAAAGGAGACACACAGAAGTCGAGATAGCATGATTAATGGTCGATCCAACTTTCTCTGAACCGCATATCATGACTGAATGGGAAACCCTGAAGAGATTAAAGGGGGGAATTACATTACCATGAATAATATAAAAAAGTGATATTCTGTCTAAAAACCTTTTGAGTGCAAGTGACTCGAACAAATATATTAACAGAGCTTACAGCAGATTCAATCAGGTTGAACGCTCCCCAGAATTTATTTTGAAATAAGCTTTATATATCTGAGACGTGAAGAATGAATCTATTCGTGGCTGGCAGGAAAGCTATTAACATGCAGATTTTAATTCTGCCTTTGATTCTACAGAGGTTCTATTGTCCCTCCTTTACGACCGGCAATCTCTCCCAATTACGGATGTAGTACACCTCCACAAATCTCAATACCACAGTGACACTCTAGAGAGCTGAGATTTATTTTCCTCACTTTATTCTAACTTCTAAAAATAAGTTCAAATATTTATTATCAAGGCACCGATAAAAGTATGATGTTTAAAAGCATGAATTATATTACACCAACCCATCCATCTGTTGGAAATGCCAGTTTGGGGCTATATTTGGGGGGCAAAACTTGGCAGTTAAGATAGAAACCTTCTTTACAAAAACTAGGTGCACATTAACTTACAATTAAGCCTTGATGTTAATGAGGTTACAGCATGTGACCAGTTAACGGGCTGCAGCCAAAAGGCAAATATTGAAATGAAGGCGTTTATTTTCAAACCAACAAACCTGAACTAAACCATTACACTAAGTCCCATTAGCATTCTAGTTATTGGGCAAAATAATTTCATCTCCAAAATTAATTAAATAAATTGGAATGACCTGGAATCACTTCTGTGGCAGGCGGATGGAACAATACTGCATGAAAGGCAAAATCATTTAGAGTCAACCGGCCCATCAGTTCCTTGAGAGATGATGTTTAAATTGATGGGAAGTGAAAGTTAAAAATATGATTCATCCAATGAGGCAGTGATGTACTGTTAAAATGTTTGCAAAACAATTTTAAAAATAAACCTTACTTAAAAAAATGTCTCCCCCTAAATTCAGGGATAGGATGTCTTTAGATTAAAATAATATGTTAACATGTTCATCACTTAGAAAATTCGGATTCTGCTCTGCGTGAGTCACATTTATTTTCTAAGCAATCTGGATTTTTTTTTTCTTTAGGAACAAAAATTAATAAAATACATGACTGTTGAATGCAATTAATGGGATCCAAGGGCTACTGCCAAGTTTTTGAAGAGAATCAACAGCAGAGTCTTAGCTCAAATCATATCCACATCAGTACTACGGATTAAATGTTTGCGTCCTCGCAAAATTCGTAATTTTTTTTTTTTTTTTTTTTTTTTTTGAGACAGTCTTGCTCTGTCACCCAGGCTGGAGTGCAGTGGTGTGATCTCAGCTCACTGCAACCTCCACCTCCTGGGTTCAAGTGATTCTCCTGCCTCAGCCTCTGGAGTACCTGAGATTACAGGCATTCACCACCACACCCGGCTAATTTTTAAAATGTTTTTAGAAAAGACGGGGTTTCACCACATTGGCCAGGCTGGTCTCGAACTCCTGACCTCAAGTGATCTGCCCATCTCAGCCTCCCAAAGTGCTGGGATTACAGGTGTGAGCCACCACGCCCAGCCATATGTTGAAATTTAATCACCAATATAATATATTAGGAGGTAGGGCCTTTGGGAGGTGATTAGGTCATTGAGGCAAAGCCTTCATGAATGGGTTAAGGGCTTAAAAGAGGCCAGATAGAGAGACCCTTTGCCCCTCCCACGATATGAGGACATAGCAAGGAGGTGAACATCTAGGAACCAGAAAGTGGGCCGTTGCCAAACACTCAATCTGCCAGCAGCTTGATCTTGGACTTCCCAGCCTCAAGAACTATGAGAAATAGATTTCAGGTGTTTATAAGCCACCTAGTTTATGATATTTTGTTATAGTAGCCAGGACAGACTAAAGCACAAGGCTTTCTGGATGGCCTAATGAATGAGAAGTAGAATCACTTGTAACTAATACAGTGTCTAGAGCACAGTCAACACTAGGCAAATGCCAGCAATCACACTTCACCACAGGGTCATTGAAACCTGGCATTTGGGTGCATGCTGTGTCGTTTGTGAGCTATGTGACCTTAGATACACATCTAACCTCTCTGTCCCTCATTTTTTTCATCTGTAAATTGGGGATACTAATAGTGCCCCCTCTAGTAGAATTGTATTAATTTGAAAGAGCTGATGTACGCAAAGCATTTGTTATAGTGTCTCCAATGTAAAGGCTCAATCAATGTTCATCTCACCCTATCCCCGTGGGTTGAAACTGGCAGACATTCCAACAGGCCTGGTAGTTGTTTTTTTTTTTTTTTTTTTTTTTTTTTTTTTTCTGAGACAAGGTCTCACACTCTCCCAGGCTGGAGTGCAGTGGCATGATCTTGGCTCACTGCAGCTTTGACCTCCCAGGCTCAAGCAACCCTCGAACCTCAGCCTCCCAAGTAGCTGGGACCACAGGCATGCACTACCATGCCCAGCTAATTTTTTCTATTTTTTGTAGAGGTAGGGTTTCACCATGTTGCCCAGACTGATCTGAAACCCCTGGGCTCAAGTGATCCACCCGCCTCAGCCTCCCAAAGTGCTAAGATTACGGGCATGAGCCACCGGGCCTGGCCCAGGTCTGGTAGTTCTTAACAACTACTGTTGTGCCCAGGTTTTCTAGGCTCTCTCTGGTAACACACGTCAGTAACTTATCTCTTTAGATGGAGCTTTCTCAAAGTGTGGTTCATGGACAATCAGTACCAGAAGAACCTGATGCACTTCTTAAACACACTGATTCCTAGACCCCATCCTGAATGTACTAACTCAGAATCTTTAGGGAGTGGGACTAGGAATTTATATTTTAAAAATAAGTTCCTAGCTGAGTCTCAGGTATCCAGAAGTTTTGAGAATTAATTATTTCAACAAACAATATAAACAATGGAATCGTAAATAATCTTTTCTTGGGCAAGGTAATTGCAATCCCACAATATGAGATGTAATTAACAAAGTGATGAAACTCTGGGTCCAGTATTCTTTTGAACAATCTCTTGCCCTCACTTTCTAGTTACACTCAATGTGGGCTGCCTTTCAAGTCCCGAAACCTGTTGTATACAGAACCGGGCCTTAAAGTTCTGATCACACTACTGTTTTCTCTACCTCCTGGTCCCAAGCCTTCTCCTGCCTGACCCCCTTCTGTTCCCTTTCATGCTTCAGTTCCAACCTCACCTCCTCAGAGAAGCCTTCTCTAGCTCCTACACAAGGTTAGAGTCATCTGTTCTAAGCTGTATTAGTAACTTACATTCTTTGTCATAGTATTAGCTTTTTGTGATTAATTATGTAAATTTCTTTAAAGACCGTCTTTCTTCTTCCATAAAAAACTGACAGAGGGTAGGGACCATTTTCCCCTTATCCACCATAACATTCCTTGTGCCCAGCATAGAGCATGTTACAGACTAAACTGCGTCCCCCTCAAATTTATATCCTGAAGTTCTAACCCTCCATGTGACTGTATTTCAAGACAAAGCCTTTGAAAGGGTAACTAAGTTAAATGATGTCATAAGCGTGGTGCCCTAATCCAAGAGGACTGGTGTCCTTATAAGAGGAGGAAGAGACACCAGGGATGTGCACCAAGAAACAGACGGAAGGCCACGTGAGGACAGAGCAAGAAGGCGGCCGTCTGCAAGCCAAGGAGAGAGGCCTCAGAGAGACCCTGCCAGCAACTTTGTCTTGAATTTCCAGCCTCCAGAACTGTGAGACAGTAAGTTTCTAATGTTTAATATCCCCAGTGGGTGGTATTTTGTCATGTTAGCCATAGCAAATGAACACGGTGCCTGTTTCAGAATAGAGACTCAATGGCTATTTAATCGCCAACCATGACTATTCCTGGGCATCACTGTGGTCTCTCCACTCTCATTTTATCTGAAGGAAATAAAACATTGAACTTGTTTAAGGATGGATTTAAGCCAGACATGGTTGCAGGCACCTGTCGTCCCAGCTACTCAGGAGACTAAGACAGGAGAAGCTCTTCATCCCAGGACTTTGAGGCCAACCTGGGCAACATAATGAAATCCCATCTCTTTAAAAAGAATTTTTTTTTTAAAAGAAATGGATTAAAAGGAACCATCTCAATATATCCCACGAGGAGCAGGCCACAATCGCCCTGCAGGTAACCATTTCCTCAGAAGCAGAGATTAGAACCAATACAACATCCCTGAGTTGGGGCTGGACATTCACTTAGTCCAAACAGCTCCCCAACAAAAGTTTTGACCCTTGCAGTCACTCCCTGGCCACAGTGGTACCAGTGGGAGGGCAGTTACTGCTAATCAGTCAGTCCTAAAGTGCTGAGGGAATCAGAATGTGGGTATGTACTTAGAGAATCACTAAAATGAGAATGAAAACTTAATTCACGTTTGGTTTGCTTATTCTAGAAATAATCTCTCTCTCTTTCTTTCTCTCTCTCTCTTTTGTAAAGCTGGTGTCTCACTATGTGCCCAGGCTGGTCTTTAACTCCTGGGCTCAAATGATGTTCCCACCTTGGCCTCCCAAAGGGCTAGGATTATAGGCAGGAGCCACCACCCCTGGCCATAATCTCATTTTTTCTTTTTTGAGATAGTCTCACTCTGTCACGCATGCTAGAGTGCAGTGGAGCGATCACAGCTCACTGCAGCCTTGAACTTCTGGGCTGAAGTGATCCCCCTACCGCAGTCTCCTGAGTAGCTGGAACCACAGGAGTGCACAACCATACCCAGCTAATTTTTAAATTTTTTGTAGAGATGGATGGTCTGGCTCTGTTGCCCAGGCTGGTCTCAAACTCCCGGACTCAAGTTATCCTCTCAAAGTGCTGGAATTAGAGGTGTGAGCCACCATGCCCAGCCACATCTCATTTTCAATCATCTCATTTTAACCCACTGTGCATTGCAATGAGTTAAAAAATGGCTTTGATGCCACACAGTTCTGCATGGGAATTACAACTCTGCCACTCAGCAGCTCTGTGACTTTGGCATTCATTTAACTCAGTCAGCCAGTTTCCTCATCTGCAAATGAGGAACTGACTACTTAATAAGATGAAGATAATGTCTACTTAATAAGGTTGTAGGGAAGATTAAATAAAGAATGCAAAATGTTCAGAAGAGTGCTCTCAATAAATGGTAACTATGATTGTATTATTAAGGAGTTGGATTTTATTAATAATTAATATAATGTTAGCGCTTGGTGAAAGACATCTACTGTTTTACAATTATAGTCAGAGAGAATATTAGTGTCAGTTCTCTATTTCCTACCAAAATATTTGCTCTCAAAACTCAATTTTTTATTCATTGAATATTAAGAGATTATGCTAGATCTTGGCCAATATATGCAAGTAAATTAATTCACAAATATCCTGAAAGTCAAAAACATGGGTTTCTGCTTGGCTAGGCTTTTCCTACTCTAGGAACCTCTAAGCCCTACTACTAGAAGCTTTGAAACTGAGGGATGTAAGTCTATCTACAAATTCTCTTTAATCACAGTATTCTAATCATAACCTCTTTTTTTGACAAGAAATTTATGGCAGGCTGTTGAGATGTTAGTTTATTGATGATTAAAGTACCAACCGTCCTTGATACAAATAAACAGGGTTTCAGAGTCATAAGCAGGAAGACAGGGCACCTATCAGGCCCTGCGGGAGATGCAATTTATGGGGCATTCAATTCTCATCAGTGTATTGTCAGTATATTCAAGGGATCTCACAGGTTTCTGTTTTGAGGATGGATGTTCCCTCCACAAGACAAGGAGCACAAAAGTTAAGGTCTTGGGTCTTATAGTCTTGATGCCTCCATTACAACTGAGGGTTTAATATTGAGAAGTGCCCTTGGCCTTAGGTTTTTGCATTCCAAGTCTTTCAGCATATGGTATGCTCAATACAGTGCTTCAAACAGAATTTGGCCAGTGTTGAAAAGTTTCCATGTTAGGGCCCAAACTTCTGTGTAAGGTGCATGGGTGGAAGCTGCAATGACCAAGCAATGCCCTTTTGCTCTGTTCACAAGTTTGACTTTATCAACCAACAATACAGTACCTCTTAATCCTTCTCGCTGTATGTGAAAGGGCATCATTGTAGTAAAAATCCATAGTGTGCACAGACCTCTGGTTTTCTTCTAAGCCCACAGGGGGATGAGACATTCCCACCCTCTTCAGGGCCACGTGACTGGCCTAGCCAGTAGGCAGCCAAGAGGAAACGACTCGTGACACTTCAGACCAAACCATTTAATTGCTGTTGTGACTCGCCCTAACTGGAGATCAAGAAGGCCATCTGTGCCAGATGTAGCAGCTGTGAGATCACAGACTCTATAAGTCCGGGTCCCTCAGGGACTGTGCAGAAGAACATGCCAGCCCACACTGGACATGTCGTATGAGCAAGAAATGAAACACATGTACTCTGCTCAAATATGTGTACTATGCCCTTCCCCAACCACATCCCCTTCTGGACATATACACAGTCACACAGGTAGACCATGAAAGGAAAAATTGTTTGCTATTCTGCTTCTACTCTCCTCCTCTCATTTTTCTATTGGTTCTGGCTACAGAAAGACATTGGGGCTAACATCCTCAGGGATCACATTGTGACAACCCCCAGGCCCGTCGTTTGGGTTTTAACTGAGAATCCCATCTCAATTTTCCCTGCATTAAGAAAGAAAGAAAGGAAACGAAAGCACTTGGAGCTTATTACCTTCACTTCTCACAGAAATGCATTCATTGAATTATGATTCAAGGTTATGCCAGTTTAGAGGGCTGATAGAAGAATTGTCTATTTAATATGTGTTTCTGTGTCTTTTATAAAATCACAGTTGAGCACAACTCTGCTGGGTGCATTACGCAATCCCTCCTGTGTGGATCTGTGCGGTAGGAACCTGCTTAAGTTCAATTCCAGCGAACACGGTCACCTCTGCACATCGGCTTCTGTTGCATAGTTTTCATTCCCTGACAATAGTAAGCAATGTGGTTTGCTCTCAGCTTTAACTACTAAAAAACAAAAACAAAAAAAATCTGGGACCAAATTCAAACGCAAACTGGGGGACTAGGCTGACTGCAGGTCCCTGCAACACCACTCTGTCTTCTTCTGATTGCCTCTCTCTCCTAATTTTCAGATTCTACATGATGTTCTCCAGCTTGCAGAACACAGGGTACATCATGTCATCTAGAGTCAAAGTCTCCTCCTTACCCAAGTATCTACAGTCAGGAAAATGGCACCAGGAGATCATTACGTAGGTTCATCCATCCGGCAGTGTTTACGGAGGGCTGGAGATACACCTGATGAACAATTTCTGTTAGCTTAACATTTCAAATCCTGAGATGTCTAGTGTCGATAGAAATTTGGGAGGTTTCTCCAAGAAGTATTACTTTACAAACATCATGAAGATTAAGTCCAGGTCCTAAGCTGGGGTCTGTGCAATTTACTTTTTTTTTTTTTTTTTTTTTTTTTTTTGGTATACTCTGTTGAAAGAAACCCTCTGGTAACTGACTTCAAACATGACACCAATCCATGCAAATAGTCCCATCTGTCCTCAACTGATTCTTACAAACAAAACAAATTTAACTTTTATTTTTTATTTTTCATATTACAAAAGCAACGTATGTTCACAACAGGAGACAAAAATCAGAAAACCAGAAACAGTAAAAAGCTAATACTTCATAGTAGTCCATTTGCTGAGTTCCTAGGTCTGTGCCTAACCCATTGACATATAACCCTGGGAGGTGGGTATTATTGTAACTGCCACCTTACAGATAAGGACCTGGAGGGGAACAAAGGCTAAATCACTTTTTCAATGTCACACCTCACAGCCAATTCATGATAGAGGCGGGATTTGATCCCAGGTCTGTCTGGCCAAGTTCATTAACTTAACTATAAACAATTAAATTATACCCTATCCTATCCAGAGACAAGCACTGTAGATATCTCAGTGTATTTCTGTCAGAACATTTGTCTGTGTACGTGTCTTTTTTTTTTTTTTTTTTTTTTTTTTTTTTTTTGAGACGGAGTCTCGCTCTGTCGCCCAGGCTGGAGTGCAGTGGCGGGCTCTCGGCTCACTGCAAGCTCCGCCTCCCGGGTTCACGCCATTCTCCTGCCTCAGCCTCCCAAGTAGCTGGGACTACAGGTGCCCGCCACTACGCCCGGCTAATTTTTTGTATTTTTAGTAGAGACGGGGTTTCACCGTTTTAGCCGGGATGGTCTCGATCTCCTGACCTCGTGATCCGCCCGCCTCGGCCTCCCAGAGTGCTGGGATTACAGGCGTGAGCCACCGCGCCCGGCCGTACGTGTCTATTTTTATAACAGAAGTGTATTTATAGAGTATGTGCAATTTTGTAAATTGCTTTTCACGTTTAAAATAAATGTCAGGTCTCAAAATATATTAGGTTCTCCGAATATTCTCAAAAGCCTTTTAAAAAATCTAAATTAATTGTATCTACCCACGCCACCTCCCCAACTCAGCTGACAATGACCTTATTAATAGTGGGGGACCTAATTCTCAGAGAAATCTCTATTGGTCCCAGCGCTTCGGGAGCTCAAGGCAGGAGGATCACTTGAAGCCAGGAGTTCTAGATCAGCCTAGGCAGCAAAGTGAGGCTCTACCTCTAAGAAAAATTTTTAAACATTAGCCTGGCATGGTGACACATGCCTGTAGTCCCATCTACTCAGGCTGAGGTGGGAAGATCGCTTGGGCTCATGAATTTGAGGTCACCATGAGTTATGATCATGTCACTGCACTGCAGCCGGGGCAACAGAATGAGACCCCATTTTTTTTTTTTAACAAAATATCCACTAGATAAAATTTGCAGGAGCCTATAGAAATCCACAGAAACTCAGAGCTCAGGTAGGAGCTAACAAGCCCAGGGTGTAACCACTCCATGCAGATTTCAGAGTCAGAGACCCACGGGAAATATCAGCATTAATGAGCAATTGGTAAAATGACATGTTGTTTATCTGTCCAAAATAAAACTAATCCTTTTCTCATTTTACCCCACATCAATGATTTCCTGAGTACTAGTAATGCCCATGAGAAGAGACAAGTATATTTGCAATCAGCAAATGTGCTGGACTACCACACGCAACATGCAAGGGGAAAAATCCAGGCCCAGGCAACAATTCTAATGTGTAGAACCAAAGCTCAGAATCAAGATGGTGATTTTAAAGAGATACATGATAACCCTGCACAATTAACCTATAAAAAGCACCTGGGTTCTTGATTCCATTTTTTTTTTTTTCTGTTGCTCCTTGCTGCAGGAGATCAATCCCATCAAGATTCTATTGTTACCATTTTGCTTTTTCTAACTATACCTAAATATATGAATATATCACTCTCTCAGGCAGAAATTGAACACAGATCGGAGCTAAAAAAAGTGTGAGGGTGGAAAAAGAATGTTAACTCTACAGTTTATATTGGTGTCTGATTTGGCTGTGTGTGTGTGTGTGTGTGTGTGTGTGAGAGAGAGAGAGAGAGAGAGAGAAAGAGAGAGAGAGATGTATTGGAAAGGGGAGCTAGAAACACTGTGAAATGGGAAAGGCCTGTATTTAAATGTAAGTGTGGTTTTATAAATATGTACTGGATCTGATCCTATCTATGAAGAGAGAGTAAATTTCCCAATAGAGGTACAGTAATGGCAAGATAAAGAAAATGAACGCATTCCCAGCATCAAAGATAAATGCTCTGGGCATCATTGCTGGTGTTAGATTATCTATTGCATCTCACCCCGACATTAGCATTACTAATTATGAGCTGCCTCTCTTTAGAGGGAAAACATGCTCTGGCAAGGTGCAGAAATTTCATTTCCCAGGCAGCCACTGCAAGTACAATTTGCACACACACATATGTGCCAATCTGTCCACACGTGGAAGAGAATCGGGAAATTCTTAAAAATGCATGTGTGCACTCTACAATGAAATATATGTGGACCTGAAGTCCTACTTCTGTCAACAAGAATTAACTAAATATTTTTTCACTTATTCTTTCTCCACTTTTTATCGATGCAGAATTGCTTACTGGAAGAGAAATGCACTCTTTAAAATTCTACTCTAACCTCTCCCCCTAAAATAATGCTGTATGTTTTCTAAGGCTACAACAATGGCTCCTATGACAAGAGCCCCTAGCAGGGAAACAGAGAGCTGGATATTTTTGCGAGTTATTTCAATTAATCCTCACAAGACTCCTTTACCAGTAGGACAAGGCTCACGCAGATTCCTGTGATTTTGTCTGTGCATCTAATTACTAACCTAACCACCATAGTTCAGTTGAACACATATTTATTGAGCAATTACTATGTGTCATGCACTGCAAAGTCTAGGGGAAAACCAAAATTCAATAAAACATCATTAAAGGCCTACAGACAGGCAGGCACAAGTTATCAGGGTTGCAAGTTCCTGAAATATTACGCAACACAAAATTGTGACTGCTGCCATGAGATGCTTCCATGTTCTCTGAATTGCTTCCTTACCAAGACTTCTTTCCCCATTCATCCCACAGCTGTGAAAGGGCATTGCTTGGTTTGCCGTCCAAAGCAGCTATTCCAGGTAATGGAAGAAATTGCAACAGAAGAAACATATAAACAAGGTAAGTTTTCAAATGCATCTCATAGGTACTATTCAGGACCAAATGAACAGAAATAAACAATCCTCCAATATCAGGTGACATATTTTATACATTTCCACCCATGCGTTTTAGGAAGGTAGCAGAAAGAAAATGCTCCTAAATCAGGGTTTTAAAATCAGATGCTGGTATTAGAAATAAGATTAACCTGGTCCCTTAACAATCAAATTTATTACTAGTAAAGGGTTATGAAAAATTCTATCTCGATGTCAAACATAGGAAACACAAAGTCTTTGGAGGCATATAATGATAAACTGCAGCTTGAGCAATTCTCTCAGAGAACAGAATGAGCAGTTCAG
Organism: Homo sapiens; assembly: GCF_000001405.40. Taxonomy (NCBI): domain Eukaryota; kingdom Metazoa; phylum Chordata; class Mammalia; order Primates; family Hominidae; genus Homo; species Homo sapiens. The sequence goes on along the minus strand of NC_000016.10, from coordinate 78,538,562 downwards.
GAGTTCAGAGCATGCTCGTCTGGAAGGTGTTCAGTTAAAGAGGAGGGCAGGCTACAGACAAAGGCACGGAAAGGTCATCCATGGAGTCATTCCATCTTCATTACAGTGGGAAAGCCCGTGGCCGAAGTGCATACACCAGGCCTCAACTTGCACACCACGCAGAGGTTTAAGACTCATGGGGAAATTAAAATATTAAACAAACGTCAATGTATAGAGCGCTGGCAGCCGTGCCTAGATATTGCTATCTGAGCTTCCAGGTGCAACCCCAGACATCCAAAATAATGTGATATGAACATTCTCCAACCCCTTGCCCCGCTTTTTTTTTTTTTTTTTTTTTTTTTTTTGGTGTGAGTGATAGCTTAATTAAAGATTACAATCTATCTTCTTCAGAAGGCTAGAGAATGGACTGGCAATCACTAAATTTTCTTTCAGGTAACTGCCAAACTTAAATTTGTTCTTCCAAATAAAATAATTACCCCCTTCTGTGCCGCTCAAAATACCATGCTGGAAAAAAGACAGTGTTCATGATTTGCCCTATAATTCAACCCTCATCTTTTCCGTTTTCAAGAATCGGGGAAAGGTGAATTTCATTTACTGATTATCAGCAGGCCTCCTGAGAGATAGGCCGGGGCTGCTGTAAGGTGAAAAGCAGCTCTCACTGGCACCGCGGACAACCTTCCGGAGAAGGCCGAGGCCAGAGGCTTTTCCACTGCCGGGTGGCACCAACACGTGGGTGGATCGTTCTGGCCCTCCCAGCACACCCCTGATTACCTCCCTTTCAAATCCAGACAAAACCAGCTGCCAAATCCAGCTTCCTCATCACCCAAAAGGAAGCACTGGTCTACCCCTACATGAACTGTGGCAGCTGGGACCCTGGCTCTAACTCCAGCCCCCGAGACAGTTGTCACAACAACAACATCACAACCAAGCTCTTTCTTCGAGCCTATCTGTATGACTTTTCACAGATGAATTGGTTCCCAGTGGCAAACAATATGGTTTAGTATGTCAGCATGACCAATCGGATTATAAGACACAAGAGAAGAGGTAAATCATATGATAATGATGAAAACGATAAAACAATGAGAACTTTTAAAATTAAAAGGCAGTAGGTATCACATTAATGGGCTCAACATCTATAGTCAGTGAGAAAATCAGTTCCACCGCTTAGAAGACACGTGATTTAGGACAAGTTACATCTTCCTAACCCTTCATCTATCTACCTAGAAAATGCATATCATGTATCATTGGGTTATTTCAAAGATTAAGTCAGATAACAAACAGATGGAAGGAAGGCAGGGAGACAGGGAGGCAGGCAGACAACTCTAATACTTGAAATACTTGACTCTGGCTGGGTGTGGTGGGTCACCCCTGTAATCCCAGCACTTTGGGAGGCTGAGGCAGGCAGATCACCTGAGGTCAGGTGTTCAAGACCAGCCTGGACAACATGGCAAAACCCCGCCTCTACTAAAAATACAAATATTAGCTGAGTGTGGTGGTACATGCCTGTAGTCCCAGCTTCTCAGGACGTTGAGGCCTGATAATTGCTTGAACCTGAGAGGTGCACGTTGCAGTCAGTTGAGATTGTGCCACTGCAATCCAGTCTGGGTGACAGAGTGAGACTCTCTCTCTCAAAAAAGGAGGAAAAAAAAAAAAAAAAAAAAGACTTGGCTCTGCAACCAGCACATACTAAGTACTCAATAAACGACTTTCATTGTCCTTAAGCTGAGATCTATGATGAAGCTACACAGACATGGAAATTAAAAAAGAGAAATAATCCACATCAGCTAGAGGCAAGTCACCTTTTCCTCCTCCTCCTCCTTCGTCATCATTCTCCTCCATTTTCCCTTTTCATAGTCATGATCAGCATCAGAGACCACACTTTAGCTGGCTAAACCGGCACAATCCCATGCTCAGCTTTCTTTGCATGGGATTGCATTGATTCAATGTTGACACTTAATGGGGGAGGCTCAAACAGTACTGTCCTTGGCTACCATATACACTGGGATATGTAAGGGTGGTGCGAAGTTGCACCAAGAGAAAAACAATCAGCGGACTTCCCTCTTCACCTCCAGAGAGGACCTAAAGCAGAGAGAACCCAGCTCAGTGGGCAAGGCTGCATTCAGCCTGCCTTGTCGGCCAGTCCCTCACAGGACCCCGGGGCAGATTACATTATCTTGGATGCCCCACAGCTCGCAGCTTCTTTCTCATGGAACTGATCACACCCTTCAGGAGGGATACAGTCCTCATGCCTTCATTTAGCTGAGAAACTCAGACCCTCCAATCAACCTTTGGTTAAAATCTACATGACATTTACACTAAAAACTTCATTTTGGTGGGGGCAAAAGGGAGGAGAATGGCACCAAATTACACCCATGCATGTGTACTCTGGGGGTGGTTTATGTTGTGGTGCCTGTATCTTAAACCTAAGGATATAATAGGAGGGAACACTTAATGAATGCTTACTGTATACAAGGCCCCATGGCAAGCAATTTATAAACACTAGCTGTAAACTTCTGAACAACTCCATTATGGCTCCCACAGCCAAGACTAAGGCTGGAAATACCCGAAACTAACCTTGCCTGAAAGCTTTGTGTGTATCAGGTGCTATGCAACGAATTTTGTGCGCAGAACCTCACGGTCCACTGTCAATAAATTATCCCCACTTCACCACCGAGGAAAATGAGTCCAAGAAAGCCTAAACCCCTTGCTCTAGGTCATACCTCTGAGCAGCACTGGAGATGGATTCCCTCCAACTTGTGTCTGGTTCTCTCTTCCTTCTCTCTTCCCCTGATCCCATGGCCAACGGGAACAGTGTTCTAGGAATTCGTGAACATACATTGTAACAAAGACCACAACATACATTGTAACAAAGAAGACGAGATTAATGATTACAGGGAAGAGATTGTTTAAACTTCCTTTATTCACTAACAGTCAGAAGGTATCAGCCAAGGGAGGCCTTCTTTTCAAAAAAATATTTCAAAGGTCCGTGGCATCAGAGACAGAAAAAGTCTTACTTCTAAGGGTTCTTCTGTCGTCCCCTTTCCCTCTACTTCAAGGTAATGGGAGGGGGAAGGCGCCAAAGGGCTGCAGGGATGGTGGACACTGCATTCCTCTCTTGCCTTCTCTTTACAGAAATAGAATCCTACAATTAGCTGCCACACAATAAAAGTCAGTAGTTGGAGCTGCTGTAAGGAGATGGAGAGAAGATAAAGCAGCAAGTCATTACCCATATCATCCATCTCCCGGACTCAGACAGAGGGCGTTTCCAGAGACCTAACCTAGCTCTGGTCCCCATCACTGATCATTCAGACTCTGATGGAGAAAGCAGAATTAGCAGGTGATCTTATCTCCCTGAGCAGATCCTGTGTCCATCTGCAGCCTCTGTTCGAAGAGTACAAGGATCTCCATGCAATGCTATCTCAATGCAGGGAAAAGACAACACTGGAAGAGGAAGAGAAGGAGACATAAAACCAGCTTTGTGAATTCTACCAGCGGACAGGAACTTGGGTGCTCGGGGATATCAGTGTATAGTCTTAAAATATAAAGCAATACGCTGCGTGCGGTGGCTCATGCCTGTCATCCCAGCACTTTGGGAGGCTGAGACGAACAGATCATGAGGTAAGGACATCGAGACCATCCCGGCCACCATGGTGGAACCCAGTCTCTACTAAAATACAAAAAATTAGCCAGGCATGATAGCGCGCACCTGTAGTCCCAGCTACTCAGGAAGCTGATCAGGGCAGTGGAATCGCTTGAACCCGGGAGGTGGAGGTTGCAGTGAGCTGAGATTGTGCCACTGCACTCCAGCCTGGAGACAGAGACTCTGTCTCAAAAAAAATAAAATGAAATAAAAAAATAAAAAGATGTAAAGCAATATTGCAGGACATTCCCCCAAAACATGTAGTTTTAAGAAAGTCATTATTTAGAATAAGGTGGGGGACAATGAACCTCCATAGGGGCCATCTTCCCTATATTTCACCTTCCAAGATTTCCAGAATGTTTGTCATACCTTCTCCACCTGTGAGTCCAGTCATGCCAAAATGTCACTCTTGAAATTTTTTAAAGGCAGAAATGAGATGCTGTGGACGTCTGAATCAAAATTGAGTTTCCAGGGAAATTACACTGTCTGTCTTCTTTCACCATGAGCCTCTCAATGGTTTTCAGTTGGTTGTTTCAGTGATACATGAGGATTTTAAAATACAAAGGGGATTTATAATAACAAAGAATGCCTAATATTTCTTGAGCAGCTATATGCCAAGCACTGGGCAAGCTGATTCACTCTGACTGGATGATATATTCTTCACAACATTCTCAGGAAGATATTGTTTTCCTGTGTTTGGTATTTGACAAGACTCAGAGTGGGTAAGCCTCCTATCCACAGATGCATAGCTAATACATCGAGGATGTCCACACTTTAAAAAGTAGCCAGATAGCGCTATTAATAAATTTTTCTATAACTCAGGGATTCAATGATTCTAATATTTATTTTCCAAATATGATTTACAATATTGTTTATATCCATTTTTCTGAGAACTCTCTTACCCATCACTCATTCATCCTCTAGTTTTGGCAAATACTAGAATATTTGCCTACGCTAGAATGTAGGGTTACTACTCTGTATCTGGCACTGTACTGGTTACTGGGGAGCCAACTGTTAACAAGATGGACACACATCCATCCTCAAAGGGCTCACAGAGATGATAGAGATGGAAACAAACAATGAGCAAGTATGCTGAGGGCGAGGACGAGAACCAGCGAGTTCTGAGGACGCATTCGGGAGGGGCCTACAACTTCATCCCTCAACATCCAGGGAAGGCTTTCTGGAGGGAATAACATTTCTGCTCAGACCTGGAGCACAAATCGAGGTTAGGTCTGGGGAAAATGGGTGCAGAAGGACAACTTTCAAAGAGCAAAATAATCACAGGTCTGCCTCTCAGGCCAGCCCAGGATTTTCTAGTTGTACCTTGTGATCTCTCCCACTAGAAGTCTTTCAAATGCTCAAGCCCCTCTTGAAGAACCTGTAGACTAAGCTTGTCCAAACCATAGCTGGTGGGCCACATGCGGCCCAGGACAACTTTGAATCTGGCCCAACACAAATTCATAAACTTTCTTAAAACATTATGAGATTTTTTGGGGATTTTTTTTTTTTTTAGCTCATCAACAATTGTATATTATGTGCAGCCAAAGACAATTCTTTTTCTTCCAATGTGGCCCAGGGAAGCCAAAAGTTTGGACACCCCTATGTTAGACTCAACTGACCCAAAAGTGCTGGGATTACAGGCATGAGCCACCATGCCCGGCCAAAAGTTTTCTAATTTTCCTTCCAAATCTAGTCACCTCCTGTCCCCTCTCCGTCAACTCTGTTCCCAACTGGCTGACCTGTAAAGATAGCCTCAGGAGCTTCCTTGAGCTCCAACCTTTGGTTGGTTTAGCCATTGAGAGGCACTGGGAGGAGTTCTGAGGATGGAAAGGAACTGAGGCTAGGATACTCCCATCTGTCTGGCTCCCACCCTCCCAGGTCATCAGGACCTCTACTGACGGTGGCAGCTCCCATCAGCCTGTGACTCACCTGCCCTATCCAAGCATCTGTTCCCTCCTACTCTTGCTTCATCAGGCCTTGGTCCCTTGGTGGTTTCCTTTAAGGCTGCTTAGAGTTTTATAAATGGTTTTTGATATGGTTTGGCTGTGTACCCACCCAAATCTCTTCTTGAATTCCCACATGTTGCAGGAGGGACCAGGTGGGAGGTAACTGAATCATGGAGGCAGGTCTTTCCCAAGGTGTTCTCACAATAGCAAATAAGTCTCAAGGAATCTGACGGTATCATAAGGGAGAGTTTCCCTACACAAGTTCTTTCTTGCCTGCTGCCATGTGAGATGTGCCTTTCACCTTCTGCCATCACTGTGTCGCCTCCCCAGCCACAAGGAACTGTAAGTCCAATAAACCTTTTTCTTTTGTAAATGACCTAGTATTGGGTATGCCTTTATCAGTAGCATGAAAACAGACTAATACAGTCTTTTGTTAAACTCTTCTCAATCACCCAGTAACTATGCCTGCTGTTTCTTATCAACACCCTAGCTAGTATCAATCCTTAAAAAAAATTACAAAGCATGTTCATGCATTTCAGCTTCAGGGGAGAGCCTAGGCAGGAACTTACTATGGTCATTTCAAAGATGAGGATTTCAAGGCTCTGAGTGGGTGGCTGGTCTAAAGCCACAAAGCAAGTAAGAGACAGAGAGAGGACTTGAACCGAAGTCATCTGTTGCCAAAATGGCATCCCCCCACCACCACCCAACTCCTTCAAAAATACATTTTGCAAGTACTCATTTTCATTTTAAAGTGATACCAATATTAAAATGTAATTCAATAAAAACATGATTTTATAACAGAAAGGGAAAGGCAGACTGCTGAATGTCTCTAGCATTATAAATCTAACTAAATTCAGAATCTGACAGCTCTTCCACTCCCAAATGCATAAGGGAAAAAGAAAAAAAAAAAAAACTCCCTACTCCCCCAAATACCACTTCTGACCTACAGATCCTGTCTCTAACTAATCTCCCGCCCAACCCAAAACTTATTTGTTTATTACTTTACTTTAAAAATTTCCCACCCTTTTGGGAAGGTGGGAAAGGGAGAAAGAGACTGAAAAAGTTATTGTAGTTGGCAGGTTTAAACAATTTTTATTTATTTATTTGTTTGTTTATTTTGAGACAGAGTCTTCCTCTGTCGCCCAGGCTGGAGTTCAGTTGTGCAAGTTTGGCTCACTACAACCTCTGCCTCTGGAGTTCAAGTGATTCTCCTGTCTCAGCCTCCCAAGTAGCTGGGATTACAGACACACATCACCTAAACCGAATCCCAAAATACAAAAAAATTTTTGTATTTTTAGTAGAGACAGGGTTTCACCATGTTGGCCAGGCTAGTCTCGAACTCCTGACCTCAAGTGATTCACCTGCCTCAGACTCCCAAAGTGCTGGGATTACAGTCATGAGCCACCACGCCCAGCCCATTTATTTTCATCTCATTCTAACTATCCAACTTCATACATGTAAGAGAAACTAAAAGAACTGGTAGCAAAATACAAAAGATAATTTTTGGTATGACATAATAAAGTATTAGAGAGCAACAATAATAGTCACATCCTTACTGTCCAATTGTTTCAACCAAACAGGGTGCACAATTCAACCAACAGAACCATTCTAACCTAAGGAAAAGGGCTCCACTGCCTTCTTTCTCATCCTAAGGAAAAACAAAAAGGAAATAAATACTAATGCAACCATCCATCTCGGAGAATGGAAACCCTTCCTCGCTCTCACTGTCCCTCAAGAAAGACTCCCAGCACTGAATGTAAGAGTCTGCATTCACGCTGAAAAGGCAAATTGAGACCTCTGTTTTCTGCTTAATTTCTACATTGTGAGAACCTAGCAAGGTTCTCTACCAAAAAGATGCCAAGACTCATGAAATGCAAACAACTCCAAAGAACCAAACCAAATCAAAAAGTAATCAGCATTAATAAAACAAGGACAGTTAATGGAGAAGTGATAAAGACCATAGATTGCTTTGAAATTCCAATTCCATATTTGCAGAGTAATATCAATTCTCAGAGCCTAACTTTTTTCATCCCTCAACTAAGTGAAAACTACTTTATGGAGTTGTGAAATTAAGTGAGATAATGTGTTGTAAAACGTTTAGCACAGCTCCTGGATTATTATCCACACTCAATCAATGTTAAAAATTATTATGAGCACTATCTCTAGCAGCAGCTAGATGCCAATCTCACCATATTAAATTTCATATGTACAAAGAATTGCAGGTATCAATGATAGGGACAGGAGGCAGGGAAATTCTGGGCAGAAGAGGGCAGGTCCGTGGTGAGGGCCCCATCCTCAAGCCTGGAACTGTGGCCCAAAGTGAGAACATATATCCCTGTTTTTCCACTCAAATATTGCCTTTTCCACAACCACCCATGGCCCGGCCTGCCCCCAATCCTGTACCCATAAAAACCCCAGGCTCCGCTGGCACATTGAAGAAAAGAGGAGAAGCAGCTGGAAATTAGAGACCACAGTTGGAGAGAAGCGGCTGGACTTCAGAAGAACAGCTTGATGGCATAGCTCCAGGGGAAAATTACCTTCCTGCTTTGTCTTCTTTTTAGCTTATCTTCCCAGTGAAAGCCACTTTCATCAGCAATAAAATCCCCCACATCTGCCATCCTTAAAATTTGCTCATGAGACCTCGTTCCTCCTGGACACTGGACAAGAACCCAGATGTGGGTGCAAAAGGCTGTCACGCTGACCCTCCACTGAACTGTTAACACTTAAGCCGTCCGTGGATGGCAAAACTAAAAGAGCACTGACTGTAACACTCCTTTTAGGGTTTCAGGGGTCACGGGCATCCCCTGCCAGATGCTATCCCAGGGCCAGTACAGAGTTCATTCCTGCCAGTGCCCAAAAGCATTTACCCTGGCTCCTGCACCTGCTCACCTGCATGCTTCCTCCCAGAAGGGGTGGAGTGCAGGGGGTTCAAGTGAGTGCAGTTCACCTCTACTGGCACCAAAGCAGCCAGCTAGTTCCAGCATCCGCACTCCACTTCCTGCCTGCAAAGGGGTCAGGGAAATTTCCTGCTTCATCAACACGGAAACCAACAAGACTCTTCAGGAGATTTGTAAAACTTTATGATTAGCATTACCTGTTATTTTTGCTTCAGTGCATTCTACAGGGTCACAGAGAGAACTATATGTAAGTATAGCTGGCTCCCTTTATAATCCTAGGTATTTAATAGTATGCATTTTAAAACACTCTGAGGGCTGGGCATGGTGGCTCACACCTATAATCCCAGCACTTTGGGAGGCCGAGGTGGGTGGATCACGAGGTCAGGAGATCGAGACCATCCTGCCTAACACGGTGAAACCCCATCTCTACTAAAAATAAAAAAAAAATTGCCAGGTGTGATGGCATGCACCTGTAATCCCAGCTACTCAGGAGGCTGAGGCAGAAGAATCGCTTGAACTCGAGAGGCGGAGGTTGCAGTGAGCAGGGATCTTGCCATTGCATTCCAGCCCAGGACACAGTGCAAGACTCCATCTCAAAAAATAAAAAAAACGAAAAACATTCTGAGAAGAGGTCCAGAAAGAGCCCACGGGACCCGACAGAAAGAAAACCACCAACCAGAAAATAGAACAAAACATACCCAAGAACCCCAGCCACATAATTCAGTAAGAGGGCTCACTTCTATGAGGTTATGTGAGAATGCATTTGATAAAGAGGCCACTCAACAGGACTGTTTTTAATTAAAATCTATATAATAGAAAGTTCTTGGTCGGGTACAGTAGCTCATACCCATAATCTCGGCATTTTGGGAGGCTGAGGTGGGAGGATCCTTTGAGGCCAGGAGTTCAAGACCAGCCTGGGCAATACAGTCAGACCCTGTATCTACAAAAAATGAACAAACTTAGCTGGGCATGGTAGTGTGCACCTGTAGTCCCAGTGACTCAGGAGGCTGAGGTGGGAGGATCACTGGAGCCAGAGAGGTCAAGGCTATAGTAAGCCAAGATCGTGCCACTGTACTCCGGCCTGGGCAATACAGCCAGACCCTCCCTAAAAAAAAAAAAGAAAGAAAGAAAGAAAAGAAAAGAAAAAGGAAAGAAAAAAAAAAGAAAGTTTTTTTCTAAACAACTGACTCTCCATCTATGATGTGAGTAAGCTGGGAATCCAAGATGGCTGAGGTTACATAGAGGTTGCCTGATTTCTACCAATCCTTAATGCTGAACACGAAGAACCAGCCACTGAAAAACAAATAGGCCTTTTCATTTTCCTCAAACCCCTACCTAAAGTTCATTTTCACCGGCCAAATTTAAAAATCAATTAATAAATTACAACTGCCAAAGAATGTTAAAAAGCCCAGAGGCACCTAAGAAGTGCTTAGAAGAAACAAGAAAGCATTAAGCCTGAGATAAATGGGTTTACTGTGTGTTTATTATAACGATGACTTAGTACCCCAAAGCAAAAACATTCTCTTACCTCCACTTACCACTACTTTGTATGATAACAGCAGCATTAATTTTAAAGTCATCATGAATCAATCATGAAATCTGACTCATGTTTTTACTGGCAACAAAACACCCTAATTAGCACCTTGAATACGAGCCACTTTCTGGATGGGCTTTGGTGAGAGCGATCTTCTGCTGTTAATTCTTTGCTAATTACTCATAGTACAGGAGGTTGGACTATCACTAGACTGGGTTAGAATACCCATGTAGGGCGGGTGTGGTGGCTCATGTCTGTAATCCCAGCACTTTGTGAGGCCGAGGTGGGCGGATTACGAGATCAGCAGACCGAGACCATCCTGGCTAACACGGTGAAACCCTGTCTCGACTAAAAATGCAAAAAAAAAAAAAAAAAAAAAATTAGCCAGGTGTGGTGGCGGGCACCTGTAGTCCCAGCTACTCGGGAGGCTGAGGCAGGAGAATGGCACGAACCCAGGAGGCAGAACTTGCAGTGAGCCGAGATTACGCCACTGCACTCCAGCCTGGGCGACAGAGCAAGACTCCGTCTCAAAAAAAAAAAAAAAAAAAAAAAAAGGACATGTACCAGTCCTGTGACATAGCCACCTTGAATCTTTGCACAATGGCACAGAGCTTCCCAACCTGGGCACTGCTGATATTTTGTGGTGGGCATGGTCCTTTGCACTGCAGGATCCTTAGCACTATCCCTGGCCTTTGCCCACTAGATGCCAGTAGCACCTTTTCCCCCCTATCCTCTACCCTCCTGAACTGACAACCCCAGATGTCTCCAGATATTGACATGCATTCCCTGGCAGGCAATATCACTCCTGATCAAGAACCTGTTCATGAGGCTACCATAAAGATTAAATGTAACAACATACATTATTAAACAGGGTTAGTGAGCTGTAAGGTGCATAGTAGGACTGACACATACATGGTTAAATGTAGTTAAACTCATTAAGAGATACAAGTCTGGCTGGGCGCGATGGCTCATGCCTGTAATCCCAGCACTTTGGCTGGCTGAGGCAGTCTCATCACTTGAAGTCAGGAATTCAAGACCAGCCTGGCCAACATGGCGAAACTCCACCTCTACAAAAAATACAAAAATTAGCCAGGTGTGATGGTGGATGCCTATAGTCCCAGCTACTCAGGGGCCCAAGGCAGGAAAATCTCTTGATTACAGGAGGCAGAGGTGGCAGTGAGCTGAGATCATACCACTGCACTCTAGTCTAGGCAACAGAGTGAGACTCTGTCTCCAAAAAAAAAAAAAAGAAAGAAAAAAAGAGCGAGATACAAGTCAAATGGAAAGGTGGCTTCTGCTACCAGCTTAGAAGAATTGATTCAAAGTCGTCCTTAGGTTGTGTGGGGTTGTTCATCTGTTCATTCCTACATCATTTTTTTGTTGTTTTTTTACCCCGCTCTTTTTGCCCAGGCTGGAGTGCAATGGCATGATCTCGGCTCACCACAACCTCACCTCCTGGGTTCAAGCGATTCTCCTGCCTCAGCTTCCTGTGTAGCAGGGATTACAGGTGTGCATCACCACACCCAGCTAATTTTGTATTGTTAGTAGAGATGGGGTTTCACCATGTTGGTCAGGCTGGTCTTGAACTCCTGACCTCAGGTGATCCACCTGCCTCGGCCTCCCAAAGTGCTGGGATTATAGGCGTGAGCCATTGCACCTGCCCTCGCTGGCACACTGGGCCAGGCCAGACCAGGCCAGGCTGGCTCCTCCCTCCCAGACCCCCCTCAAGATCACTGCCACCCTCAACCCAAATTTCCTAAGCAGGAGAGACCCACTGCCCCTGTTGCCCTCAACTCCTAGTAGGGGCCTGGGCATGGACTTGGAGATGGTCACAGGTCAGCAAAGGCTGCAGTCTTGACACGTCCTGGGCTGGCAAGACCACAGGGTTTGGGGCTGGTGACTGAGAGAAAAGCCTCTTGCCCAACCCGCTCTAGGACAAGAATGTGTCCTAGAGCAGAGGATCCAATCTGGGGGACACCTGTTTGCCCTAGATTCAGGTGTTGGGCCCATGGAAAAGGGAGATTAAGTTCCCTGCCCCTGGCTAGAACCCCATATTTTCATTTTGCAATGGATCTTCTCTATTACATAGACAGCCTCACCTGGGCCTTTTCCCTATTTCAACATGTACCTTTGGGGATTCACTAGAATTAGGCCCCCACATGAGGGGTCCTTCTTTGTCACAGCCAGTGGAAGGGGGGCTCAGCACCACATTTCCTCTTGGAAGAAAAGGTCGCAAGGATCCAGGACCAGCAGCGCCTCCAAGGTCATCAGCACGGCAACAACACATGAAGCAATTAGGAGTGGCCTCCGGCGTCCTGCACTGACTTCCTGCGGCTTCTGCCCCGCTACTCCCTAGCTCCACTACTGGTGAAACTGAAGCCCTTCCTCGGGATCTCTGATCTCACTTTCTTCCGCTACAATGAAGACCTGGAAGAATCTGTTCACTGATGACCAGGGCTGGTGTGTGAGCATGCACACCGAAATACTGTTAGGAAACCTCTTTCATCAAAATTATAAAAGCCAGAGCTGCTTACTGGGTGTCAGAAGCAGATAGGATGATACATGTGCTCTGCAACCATAAAATACAATGTTCCAATCAAATGATAAATCATGCTTATATGATTTTTATATCTCCCGTTAGAAGAAAAAGAATTATACTTTCTTCTCACACCTCCCCTTGCCCTTTTTTTTTTTTTTTTTAAAGCAGTGTGCATCTTTCTGAAACTTCTAGTGAGTCTCAAGTCATGACAACCTGGGTCAGAGTCAGTACAAATGGGACAAACCTGGGGGAGAAGAAAGGGGAAGATGTGGCCCTAGTAGCTTATGGTAGATTCTCGGTCATTGAATGCTCTGTCCAGCCCACCATTGTCCTTGGGTGGGAGAGGTGAATAATGTTGGAAAAGATAGAAGATATTGCTGGCATCTTCTTTGTTATTGTCCCCTACAAAATGCAGTGGATGCTACCAGACATTTTGAGACTCAATCCTTATGGAAAAGTAAGAACCAAAAGAACTATTTCCTGCAAACAAGTATCTCCCATTTGACTTTATAAGAAAATCTGGGCCGGGTGTGGTGGCTAATGCCTGTAATCCCAGCACTTTGGGAGGCCAAGGCTGGTGGATCACGAGGTCAGGAGATCGAGACCATCCTGGTTAGCATGGTGAAACCCCGTCTCTACTAAAAATATAAAAAATTAGCCGGGCGTGGTGGCTGGCGCCTGCAGTCCCAGCTACTCAGGAGGCTGAGGGAGGACAATGGCATGAGCCTAGGAGGCAGAGCTTGCAGTGAGCCGAGATCATGCCACTGCACACCAGCCTGGGGGACAGGGCAAGACTCCATTTCAAAAAAAAAAAAAAAAAAAGAAAAGAAAAACAAAATTTGGCTGGGCATAGTGGCTCATGCCTATAATCCCAGCACTTGGAGAGACCAAGGCAGGAGGACCGCTTGAAGCTAGGAATTTGAGGCCAGTTTGGGCAACATAGTGAGGCCCTATGTCTGCAAAAAATTAAACAAGTAGCCAAGTGTGGTGGCATGAGCCCGTAATTCCAGCTACTCAGGAGGCTGAAACACGAAGATTGCTTGAGCCCAGGAGGTGGAAGCTGCAGTGAGCCTTGATCACGTCACTGCACTCCAGCCTGGGTGCCAGACCTAAGGCCTGCCTCAAAAAAAAAAAAAAAAAAGAAAGAAAAACAAAATCAACGCATTCTTTAAAAAAAAAAAAAAAACCCATAAAAAATCAAAATAGTTCATACTTTGACCTCCCTTACTATATATTAAATATTATTTATCACAATGCTAATACTTTGTTACTTAAAAAGATAAATACAGGCTGGGCGCGGTGGCTCACACCTTTAATCCAAGTACTTTGGGAGGCTGAGGCGGGTGGATCACGAGGTCAGGAGTTTGAGACCAGTTTGGCCAACATGGTGAAACCCCGTCTTTACTAAAAATATAAAAATTAGCAGAGCCTGGTGGTGCACAACTGTAATCCCAGCTACTCGGGAGGCTGAGGTAGAAGAATCACTTGGACACGGGAGGCAGAGGCTGCAGTGAGCCGAGATCATGCCACTGCACTCCAGCTTGGGCAAAAGAGCAAGACTCATCTCAAACAAACAAATAAATAAATAAATAAATAAACAAATAAATAAATAAATAAATGAAATCTCTAGTCAACTAAACTTTACCAATTAAGTTGCATTTTAATGGAGAGGGAGAAGAAAGTGGCTTACAGCAGTAACAACAAAAATAAACAAAAAAAGAGTATTGCTCATCATGGCTGTGTCTGCTTCTAATATTAGTCACACCATGACAAGTGCCTTTAGAAACTAACAATAGCAGTACCTTTGCAATAAAAATGTTTACTTTATAAAGAGAAAAAGAGCAGAAAGAAGGGAATCAACCCAAACACATCAGAGAATTACAAAGTGATGTTTGCCGACTAAAACACACTTCATGTTATTTGATGTTGACTTGATAACCACTCACATTGGAATCACCACAATTTAATGAAAGCTCCCATGTGATCCACACGAAACAGAGTCCTAAGTGAATTGTGTATTTGTATAGTAGCACATGTTAATAAAATACTGAGGGAAAGAAGAACAAGGAAAAACAGAAATCACTGGTATTTCTTAAAATGGGGCTGTGTTCTTACCTGTAATTTCTTCATCCTAAAACTCTAGCTCCTAGCTGCACTATGGGCCTCCCCTGAGAGCCTGGGCCTCCTAAAGGGAGTGTGTGAGCAGCTGTTCCAGAGGCCCCCAGGGTCATGCTCTCATAAATCAGACGTTGTGCTGGACATCATGTATGCGGGAAAACGGAGCATCTTTCAACAGGGAAGCATGACTGTGATGTGCTGAAACCATTTCCATTTACAGAAGCACACACTGTACCACATTACGAAAAGCGAAGTTTTTTCACCCAAGGTGGAGAAAAATAAATATGGAAGAATAACTCTTCCCCCACCTCCATCAGACTGTCCACTGGCAACTAAAACACCATCACCCAGATAGAGAGTACAAGCATTTAAAATTCACAAGGAATCAAACATCAGACTAGAATTGCTACTAAGCCCGTGACCTTCAGCTCCCCAAACATTTATGATTCGGTAATTACCGGATGGCATTGTTACTGATAGCTGTACTACTTCCTCTCTTATAGAGCCATTTGAATACAAGAGGGGAAGCAGGGCTCTCAGCATTTGCTGGGTACAGCAGGGGATCCAGTTTACAGCTGTCTACCTTACCTTGAATTTATATATACTGGCACATATTAAACACTATGAAAAATTAATATTTTATTTAGGTCCTTTGGTTTAGATACGTGCCTTTAAATGAAGATGGTAATTATTACTATTACTGCCACCACCTTTGATAAATTTAGGTCTGTAAGCCACTGCTCAAAGAAGGATTTAGAGCATAATTTCTTCTCGTACCAGTGTTAGGTTTTTTAATTTTTATTTATTTATTTTTTTGGGGGATGGGTTTCACTCTGTCACCCAGACTGGAGGGCAGTGGCACGATCTCAGCTCACTGCAACCTCCGCCTCCCAGCTTCAAACAATTCTCCTGCCTCAGCCTCCCAGGTAGCTGGGATTACAGGCACATGCCACCATGCCTGGCTAATTTTTGTATTTTTAGTGGAGACGGGATTTTACCATGTTGGCCAGGCTGGTCTCAAACTCCTGACCTCGAGTGATCCACCTGCCTTGGCCTCCCAAAGTGCCGTGATTACAGGCGTGAGCCACTGCGCCTGGCCCACTGTTAGATTTTTAACCCTACCAGATATTCGACTTGACTTTATCATCCCAAGTCTCATCAGAGCTCCTCTGTTGTAACCTTGCCCCGACTTTTTACCAAAGCTAGCAAGAGCATCTCATCTGCTCAATTACTTATTAGTGTTGCTATAGAATACCATTTCCTCTTGCGGCTGATAAAATATTAATCAAAAACAGGAACTGAGCAATTTCCCAGTGTAGATGTCTTCTAATGGTAATACAGGGAGTCAAAGAGAAATCTGGAGGTCATATGACAGCTTCTGAAGAAGACAGAGAAGAGTGACATCGGAGACAGAGGAAGAGACTGCAGGCAGAGCCCGAGAGCAGGATGAGTGACTACTGTGCAAACAGAGGAGAGCTTCCAGAACCGTGTACACAGTGCCTTGTGGGAAAAGGCTTGGCCTCAGAAACACTCAAAGAATTAGGTTTTTGTTGTGCTTTAATGTTCCGCAAGCCTTCAATTAAGCAAAATGGTGTCTTGATTTCACTAGTTTTTTTTTTTAATCCTAACCCTTATTTTTCAACTCCTTCTAGGTTTCATGAGTCTACAACCTGCCTTAGTAAAGAAAGTACACCAAAGATGAATAAATCTCAAATCAGCTTCTGAAGTTTTTTTTTTTTTTTTTTAAAGCCTTCCATCACTTCCCTTCTCCTCCATATTCCCTTGTATATGAAAAGAGCACAGGCTGTGGATGTAGACAGACGTGGGTTTGCAACAGCTCTCCCACTTACTACAAAGTGATTCATGGCAAAATACTTAATCTCTCTGAATTTCAGTTTCCTGAAAACTTGCAAAATGGGCCTGCTGTGAGCTTCAAATACTCACTGTCCCCATCTCCAGTACCCAAAAATATATACATACCAGTAAAAATCCAGACGAATATCCTCCTTCTCCTATGAGCCACCCCAGTCCCACACACAAGTCATTTTTCATAGGCTTAGGGTCAACTGTGTTTTCACATGGGCTTCTTATGCCAAAAAAAAAAACAAGTTATGTGTTAAAGTGTTGACTAAATACTACCTAATATTTTGAGAGATACTCTTTTGGAACTAGTGAAATAAAAAGACACTTAGAAAGGTAACCATCTTGATAACACCTGTGAACTAGACTGGGAACCAATATTGATGTTCCATTTCTTTGGTTAATACTTACTCAGAATTTATATATATTAGCGTATTTAATTCATCAACTTGCATGACAACCCTGTAATATAAGTAGAACTCTATTTAACGAAGGAGGAAACCTAAACACATAATTAGCCCAGCTTCACACAGGTGGCAGGTACTGGCGTTGGAATATGAACTTGAGCCTTGTCTTTGAGCTCTCTCTGCCTTCCTCATCTCTGTTTCTGATATTCTGCTGGAATATCCCCATCACCACCCACCCACACACCCCCATTAAAAAATAATATCAAGGCTAGGCTTGGTGGCTCATACCTTATTTCCAGCACTTTGGGAGGCTGAGGTGGGAGGATCACTTGAGGCCAGGAGTTAGAGACCAGCCTGGGCAACACAGCAAGATCCCGTCTCTAATTACTTTAAATAAATTACTACAAATAATATCAAAGAGCCAAGAAGATAAAATGACTTTTGAGGCTGCTCCAAAAGCCACTGGAATGAAGAATTAAGTTATATAAGACAGCTGTCAAATGTTTTAAAGCAAGGAAGTCATTTCTTCACTGGGCAGTTAAACAGAATCAACTCAATTCTACAAGGCTCAGGGAGTGTGTTTCCAGAAGGGGCCTGGAGGCAATCTCCTTGACCCTGCAAATTCAGCCCTTCACCCATAACTGCTCGCCCTGGTGACCAGCACCCCTGACCCCAGCACGCCACTGTCTATTTTGAGCTCTTTTGTCTTCTTTTGCTTGTTAACACCATGGCAAAATGTAAATTCGTCTCTTGCCTATAAGATACAACCAAGGCTCCCCTGAGCTCAGAAAAACTGGACTTCCAGAGGCCACGAACAGAAAATCAGTCCTCATCACAGATGTTCTAATATCTGGCCCTGGGATTTAGGGAGGGTGAATCATTGGCCGTGGTACAGGGGTGGCCAATGCAGGGATTCATGAAGCTCTCCCCACGTACCCTAGACTTCATAACAAACATTATTAATCAGCCAGGGCCGTCCTGCCCTGCCCCACCCCACCCCACTCCCAGTCTAGAGTGAGTCCCAGCAGCCTTCCCACCAGACAATCCTGACATCCACTGCCAATCTGTGCTGAGCATCCAAGACGACATTTATTCAAGCTGTGTTTCTTCCACAGAACCATTAGTAAAAGCAGGCTAGTTACTTTCTAATACTTGTCTGCAAAATATGTGTGTAAAACTGATGGGCTTTCCACCTGCCTTTCCAGCCTCGAAAACGAAATCAGAAGTCTTCGAGACATGAAAATCAATTAATACTGTGATGGGCTGGTCAAATTACTCCTTCTAATGTGCGTATCCTTAAGTACCATCCACTTTTACATCTAAAAAATTCAC
Organism: Homo sapiens; assembly: GCF_000001405.40. Classification (NCBI taxonomy): domain Eukaryota; kingdom Metazoa; phylum Chordata; class Mammalia; order Primates; family Hominidae; genus Homo; species Homo sapiens. The sequence continues at coordinate 78,520,289 of NC_000016.10, read as the reverse complement.
TGCGTTGAGTGTTTCTATCAAGACTTTGGCTCTCTTCACCGTAATCCATCAGAATGATAAAAATCCATTTTCAAAATTTAGAGTCCAGCCTGGCAATCCTATGCCTGGGAACTCATCCCATAGGAATAAAAGCTTCAGACTGGACATGCGAACAAGGATGTTATTGCATCACTATCTGTGGCCGGGATGGGAGTGGAGGGAGAAACCTTTCGAAACTAAGTGAATGTCCCTCAATAAGTTCCATCTGGGAAATGACTGCATGGTCACAGTATGTTCTCAGTGTGGAAAACCATACTACAATACAGAACAGCATGCGTAGAATGATTCCATGTTTTATTAGGTGAAACTACTGAAAAAAGAATCTCAAAAACCTTTAGTCCATTCACGCTGCGATCCCAAAATAGTATAACTTAGGTGGCTTATGAGTAACAAATTTATTTCTCACAGTTCTGGGGGCTGGAAGTTCAAGATAAAGGGGCCAGTAGATGTGGTGTTGGGTAAGGGTCCACTCTGGCTCATAGATGGCACCTGCTTGTGGGCTCCTCACATGGTAAAATGGATAACGGTCTCTCTTGGGTCTGTTTTATAAAGGCACTAAACCCATTCATGGGGATTAGTACCCTCCGCCCCCAGGACCTTATCATGTCCTAAAGGTCCTGCTTTGTAGTACCGTCACGACCTTGAGGATTAGGATTTTAACCTGTGAATTTTGGGGGGATGCAAACTTTCTAACCATAGCACACCCTAAATATGCATCTGTGTATGTCTATATATCCATATGTAATATATATATATATATTTCATAGATGTATAATATAAATGAAGAAAAAAATTAGAAGGAAACACATTAGACTGTTAACATGTTTTACCTTCCATGGAAAGGTCTGACGTGGGAAGAGGGTAGAGGAAGAAACTAAGCCAAAATGTGATCAAAATGATGGCCGTGAAGATGACTATTACCAGAGCAACATGCTTACTGCCTTCAGGAAAGCAATCGGAGCAAGCTCTGTGGCCCTCATTGGGTTCTAGGCACTCCGCAAGTCCTTTAACACACAAAACCCTTTTAATCTTCACAGCTGGGTAAGGCAGGTAACATCAAGAGCCTCGTTTTAGAGATGAGATCCCTGAGGCCGGGGGCCACAAGTCACCTGCACAAAAGCCACACAGCTAATAGACGGAGCCAACTGGCCCCACTTCAAAGACTATACATCCATCTATAGCTGTCTCATGTATAAGATTAAATTAGAAAAACAGCTAAACAAAAACTAGACCTATCCACTTGCCAGTAGGTGAGAAATCAGCTCAGAAGACAGTAAACAAGCAAGTTTTTTTCTGTAAGCTGCCTTTTCCTATACTTCAGAAGACCACAGCTATGAACCATAACACCCGTGAGTACCAAAGAACACATGTGGATGTCGCAGGTTAAGGGCTGAAAGGTCATTTTATGCACAGTGAAATCACAGGCAATCCATTTCTCTACCACCCAGCTAAAGGAAATCCCTGTCTTGAAGCCAGACACCTCCTAGGAAGCTGGCCTTGTTCTGGTGCCATTGGGACCTTCTCTGTGTGGCTGCCCACTGGTTCCCCAGGACCTTGCATGGTGGCTGCTGAACAATCGGCATTCAATAAAAAGTTCTTAAATAAATGAAATCTAGATGCCCAGTAAATACATGTTGCTAAGGCTAAAATTATAAGTTTCCATTGTGTAGAAATGGACAAAAGTACTCCTAAGGGAGCTGTGAGTATGTTATATAAAGATAACATTTATGGGCCAGGCGTGGTCACTCACGTCTGTAATCCCAGCAATTTGGGAGGCCGAGGCGGACAGATCACTTGAGGTCAGGAGTTCACGACCAACCTGGCCAACATGGTGAAATCCCATCTCTAATATAAAATACAAAAATTAGCCAGGTGCCTATAGTCCCAGCTACTCGGGAGGCTGAGGCAGGAGAATCACTTGATCCCAGGAGGCGGAGGCTGCGGTGAGTTGAGATCACGCCACTGCACTTCAGCCTGGGTGACAGAGCAAGACTCCATCTCAAAAAACAAACAAACAAAAAATAACATTAATAATAATAATAACAAAAACAGCAACAACTACCACATATTAAGCCCCAACTTAAAAAGCACAGTGATAGACTCTGTAGGTACATATTTCATGTGACTCTTATGAAAATACTGGAGAGCACATACTGCCGTTCTGATCCAACAGATGGGGAAACTGAAGCTCCAAGCATCTAATTACCAAGCTCAAAGACATAGGAAGGTGGGGGCTGGAATACAAACCAAGGACTGTTACTTCTCTTTTCAGTCCATCTCTGTGGTCCACACATATCTGCCACTCACTAGTAAAGAAAAGACTAAAGGATGAGGTGTCCTGGTTCTTCATTTAAAGTTACACATTCAGAGTAAAAAAAAAAAAAAAAAAAAAAAATAGGTTGTGTAACATCATTCTTTTTTTTTTTCACTTCTTGTTATATAAAACGACATCACTCTTAATCCAGAAGGAAATAAACCTCAAAGCCAAGGTAAACAGCTCCATAACGTGACATGTGTTTAGTTTAAGACCCGTCCCAACATGAAGTCAACGCATGCCCTTTCCATCCTCACCACCTCGCGCTTCCACCAGACATGGATTGCGGGGAGCGCTGAGGACTTTTGACAGATGTGGCGACGCAGAGGGATACTTCAGTTTCCACCCTCTCCGGACCACAATATGACAGTTACAGAATTCAAATCCATTTGTATCCCCTGTTGAATCCCACATAATTCAGTAGACATTCATTAGGATGCCATAATGATATCACACAGCCATAAATACATATGCGAAGCGTCGAACAAGACATTCATATTTAAACATAGCTGGAAATAATTTCAGTTCTGGTGATTTTCAATTGCTCATTCTATTACTTTTCTGTGGATGCTTCAAATGTCAAAATATAGGAGAGAACCAAGAATAAAGGGGTGGGTGGGTGGGTGTGTGTGACAGTTCCTAGTTTAGCAAGAAAAGGCATTTGGGTACCAAGTTACATCTGACAAATATTTTGTTTCAGGAAAAGGTAACTTAATAATAGATGATAAGCTCCTTGATATGTCAATTGCAGAAAAATCATTCACACTCCTATAAAATGCACTGTAAGATTTTAGTATTCTCAGATACCTGCTTCATATTTGAAGGATGGCTGCCCCGATTTCATAAATAAAAAACACATGGAAGACTTTTTCATAAAACTTTAAAAACTATATAAAGCAAACAAATAATGCAGTTAAAATTAAAACCACTTGAAATTCACTATTTTCAAGGAGGAGGAAAAATGATTTCTCGGGAAACAGACCCAAGTCTCCAAAAAGGTACAGACATGAGGTAACACCAATAATAATAATGTTAATCTTGATCTTTTTCTTACAGTTCTCAACTGCAGACAGAATCACACAGTTTGGCTTCAGCCTCAATGATGTGTCCATTAACACCTCTCTTCTCTTAGTAGTTTTCAGGTACCTTGCCACGGATTTTTGAATTATTTAAATGGAAGGAGCATTAGGAAACCCTCGCGTTTAAATTATGCTAAGTAAGGATCATTTCAGCTGGACTTTTGCCTGTGCAAAAGTATATACCCTGCAGGCACGTGTGAAGGGTACAGAGGAATAGGAGGAGACAATACACGTGCAAAATGGAGAACGATGGCTGGGGAACAAAATTGTAGAAACAGGCCAAGTATGCATGATATTTTAAAGATTCCAACATCACAGAGGAAATCTGAGTTCAGATATTTGAAGAGATGATGTCAATTTTCTAAAATGTTTCCAAATGTCTGGAAAGCTCTGAGCATGGGAATTAAAAATGAATAGAAATCTAGCTACCATAAATAACAGAATATCTGTAGTATGGAATATTACACAACTATTAGAAGAAGTGGGTTCTCTCTTTAACTGTTGACCTGGAGGTATGTTTGTGACCGTCCAGGGAAAACCAAGCAAAGAGCAGCAGGCATAACAGGACAGTGTTCTTGTAAAAGCCAACAGCAAACCCTCCCTGCATTTGGCATAGATGTCTGTTTAAGGATGGAAGAGCTCAGAGAAGAGTGTGAAGGACTCCCGGGGCGCTGTCAGCTGTGGTCTTGGGCAGCAGGTACTTCTGGCCTGGGCACTGCGGAAAGAAAGGGGCACGCCAAGAACTATTTTTCTTGCTATTCATTTGCACGGTTTCAATAATTGGGATGAGCACATGCTACTCTCTTAATCTGTGAGAAAACCTTAAAGAGAGGGAGCAGGGAAGGGGAGAGAAGAGAAAAGGGGGACAAGGGGGGATGGAAGGAGAGAGACTGATTGATTGACTGATTGACTGAGAGACAAATGAAACCTAACAACACGTAACAAAATTTCACATGGGCCAAAGATGTTCACCTTCAGGTGTCTTTCTACCTTGCCAGACTGCCAAGATTGGAGAATGTTATTGCTTTTTTTAACTGAAGGTGCTGACTTATTGGAAGAAGACCCTGTACCCTCCGCTAAGTTACCTTTGCAGAAGAAACTGTTGCAGAAGTGCTGAACACGCAGACCTAGGGCAACGGGCAACGCGCAGTCTGGCAGGTGAAAAGGCAGGTGTGGAAGGGAGCGGCTGCGAGGAGAGGCCGGCAAGAAAGCTGACGGAAGCTTTCCATCTCACCTAGGCATCCGGCCTGGCTCTGCACAGAGATAGCTATGTGATGCCCGGATGGTTCCACCAGACGTTTCTAAAAACGTTCATAGACAACATGCAAGTCACCTACCTCTTCTTGCACACTTCCGGGGAAATGACCAGTACACCAAGCAAACCATTAGAAATAAATAAAAAGAGCTGGTGTCTCATCTCAGTGTGCCTCTCAAACACAGATATGCCATTTAATTCCTTAAGTGTTAGTTAAGTAACTACGATGAGCTTAGCTGTACGCAGAGTCTGAAATTACATCTTCAATTCCCTCCACACACGAGATCTATTTTTTTCTCATTAGAAAAGTAACAAAATCATTTCAGAAAATAGTCAGCTATGGAATAGTATTTTTTTGTTTGTTTTATTTTCTGTTTCTGAGACAGGGTCTCGCTCTGTCGCCTAGGCTGGAGTGCAGTGACACGATCTCGGTTCACTGTAACCTCCGCCTCCCGGGTTCAAGTGATTCTCCTGCCTCAGCCTCCTGAGTAGCTGCAATTACAGGCGTGAACCACCAGGTTCAGCTAATTTTTTTTTGTATTTTTAGTAGAGGTGGGGTTTTGCCACACTGGCCAGACTGGTCTTGATGTCCTGACTTCAGGTGATCCACCTGCCTCGGCCTCCCCAAGTGCTGGGATTATAGCCATGAGCCTCAAAAACGCCTGTGATTCTCAAAACACAGACCATGGCCATCTTGCTACCTGATATATGAAACTTCACTTTATGGGGCTGTATTCCCAGCACTCAAATAGTGAGTGGCACATAATAGATAATTCATTGGTCTTTTCTGAGAGAAGGGAGGCAGACAAATTATAGTAACATTATTTATGTATATCTATTTTCAATGCCTGTGTGTTTATATAGCCAGAAAACCACCCTGTACATACTGTTTTTAAACTGCTTATTCCACTTAATAATAAATTGCCAGCCTTTTGCCAACACTAAATGCATTTTTTAAATGCATCAAGAAACTCTTGCTATCTTGCCCTGGGACAGGTAAGGAAATCTGGTACACTTATCGGTCAAGGAAGCTGTTATCAGCACCAAGAGCTCAGAGGAAAGGCAATGATGCCTATCTAAGTGTACCAGGGCCGCAGATTAGGACCACTTCACCTTTGCTAACTTTTTAGCTCACTGCACTGCTTTTACCTCCACACATGGAAAATGTATCTATCCTTTGTCAAGCAAACTAATAGTGAAAACCTGCCAAGGAGAAAAATTTCATGGACCTAATAGTGAACTCACAAGCTGTTTTCAAGCAGTTGTACATGCACACACTCAATGGCAGCTGTTGCACATAATTAATGTGCTTATTATACATAATTATCTAATTACTAAAGGAGGGAGTCAAAGCAAGTGTGGGAGGAAAGATATTAAAATCTGCTCTTTTTAGAATGTTCTATAACATAGACTAGGTTGCTGTATCTGAAAGTCACTCTCTAAGTTTTTTTCTGACGTCTGAAGCCTCTATAGAGAAAGTCTTTCTAAATGCTTGAGCAGTATTTATGGGGTTGGCTGATTTTGAGTCATTCTATTAACAGAATAGGTTTCTCAATAAATACTATATAAAGAAAATTGTGACATACAACTATTCTTTCGCAACACTGTGTGAACCAGGACTTGTAACAGACACCTGCAAGGGAAGAGTTTCCCAATGGATGTTCCCAAGAAGACTGTCATACAAAGTGATACAAGTGGGGGGGGGGGGAGTGGGAACTGTAATATAAATTTAGAAAACACTGTTTTTCGACCAAGTGTTCCCTGTAAGGTTGATTCCAAGACGTGTAAAGTATGCAGGTGGATGGTAAGTGGTGACGTAAGTTTGGAAAATACTATTCGCTCCCCTTCTTAGAGGGGTATATGAGACATTTACATACAAAGGCTCTGATAAGTATTGTATTTCTCAAATATTAATAGTTTTGACACAGAATCCTTTTACACCACCTCTGTATATTTGTAAGTATCAGTGGGACTCACAGGCAATTTGTATTGGAGGACAGGCTAATATTTTACTATTTCCCCTGGATCATTCCTTCACCAAAAGGTTAACTTTCATGTTGAATTGAACCCAAGGTGGAATTCAACCCAAAAGCAACCATCATACAGTAAGATACATGAAAAGCTAAAGCAAACTCTACCCATTGAAGGAGTCTCAAGGAATGTCATTTTCCAGTGATTCCTAGCCTCACTGATTCCCCCACCAGGGCAGTGGATACCCTATCTCAATCATTATTTCCTACGACCCAATAATTACATCTTTTATCAAATGTTGCCCATACCCTCTCTTGAGAATATTCAAGCTCCTACAAATTCCACATCTGAAAAGAGAGCCTCCTACTTACATAGAAGAGATAATTTAGCATCTTTGAAGTATAATTTATTTTATTAATTTGTCAATTCATATCCTGTCTCCTTCCAAAAATGATTTGAGGCATTTGTTTTAATGCTATCATCAAAATTCAATGGGCCATGACCAACGGAGAGAATGAAAATACAAACCAGTTGGAATCTCCAAAGGCACATGTTCATTACGTTTACTACTTAACTTTAACTTTTAATCTCGGGCCATAAAAATTGTCCTAATGAAAGGTCCACAAATATCTCCTAAATGTGCAAAGCAGCAGCTGTGATGACCCACAGCATATGCAGGGCTCTTTTCACTAATGGGCCTTCCTGCCTGGGACTGCCTGAAAAGTAAGACTGGGTAACACGCAGATCCAGATTCTTCCAAAGTGATTCCAATGGGAGGGCTGCATTCGGAAGCAAAGGGACTGCTCTGTTTCTGTTTTTAAATTCAATTTCAAAGCAATGCAACAGTAACCTTCATTGATTTACAAGCCAGTCAAGCTTATTTTAGCATCACTAGTGCAAGTACTTGTGAAAAAATTAATTATTTACCACATATACATAATAACATGAAAACCTGCGAAATGAGTCTCATTGAAGTCCCACCCAGAAATCTTTCTCATCCTTTAAGGCTCCGCACATAGTAGGGGACTCAAGTCCTATTTGCTGAATGAACAAATGAACTCACTCCACTTGAGTATTGCTTTTTTAAAAATTCCATTTCTAATCATGCATTCAATGCTAAGTAAATACAATTAATTGCCCAATAATTTAAAGTGATAAAATGGGTTTTGGTGAACACGTTTAATTCTACTCAACACATTTTTAAAATCAGAAACACTCAAAACTCAGTATTATTTTTCCCTCAAACCTCTTACAAATTGAATTCTGGAAATAAATATACTTTTAAAAGTATATTATCATCATAGTGCATTTCTGCATGAACAATCCATAAGAGTAATTGCTTTTATAATGTGATCCATAAATGCAAATTTACAGGAACCAGCAATTGATAATATTAAATATCGGGAGTTTCTTCTCCATGTATATGGCTTTTTCCTTTTCTGTAATACACCATTCTGAGGAAACACCACAGGGCTGCTATACTTGATCACACAATCTTTATCATTATTTTTCCAGCGTTTTAAAATTAAGTGCAAGTTGCATTGCTAAGTTTAGAATCTTGGATGGAATAACTTGTGTTTGAAGCCAGTGTCTCTAAAACCCTTTATTTCTGATGCCCAGCAAGTTTGATACAACTTCTTTTCATATGTAAAGTGGATCTATGAGATGCTATCTTACCCATTCAACGCAGAAGAATGTGTAAACAGAAGTAGCTGGGTATTTTAGCAGTAAACGGATAATGTCATAAACAGCATGTTGTATTTAATATTCAGATCAAGACATCTCTGTCTCATTCCAGCAGACCCTTCTGACAAAAGCCATCCCATGTCTGCCAGAAGTATCGAGTCCAGCTGAGGACAAATTTCAAGATGAACCTGAAATCAATTTGCCATCAAATTTTCATGCCTCTCCCAGACTATCTGTGGCATTTTATTAGCAGCACCCTAGGCGGGGGGTACTACAGATATTGACACTTAGCTCCTACAATAAACTTTATTGGCAACCTCTGTCTGAATGCAGTACTCAACGAGAATAACAAGAAATATATTGGGAGATGTAAGTGAGGACGTGCTGTAATCACTCGAATCCATTTTGTTCAAAGGGCCTGGGCATTTCTTAGGCAACAGGCTTGGGGGCAACAGGCCTGCCCTCTGAAGTACTACTGACCTTCACATTCAACGTGCCTGCAACGTGCATGGGATTGCAAAATGTCATCTTGTTCCCTTTTTGTTTTCAGCTGGACGTTTCTGGTGTGCATTATTTCAGAGTTCTCAAAATATTTCAAATCCTTCGTCAACGGTCATAGTGTCTGGACCGAAGGCATCCCTGTGAACTCCGCTAAAAGGCTTGACGGAAGGGAAAAGACATGGTGACTAATTGTACTAGGAGGTGATGTGTGCGCTGGGGAGGGGGAGGTAACCAGCTGCTTTTACATTAATGACAGCCGTCTTCTGCCTTTTCCCGATTTTTGTACAGGCGGTTGCAAGGGCTGTAAATATCAGAAAGGGGAGGACCTGCAATTTGCTAATCATAAAGGACTTTTGCTCTCTGAAAACACCCTGGGACTATAAACACGCAGTATGAACCAGGCACGCTGAGCAGCCCACTATGCCAGGTGGCTTTGCTGCTGGACACGTGGGGTAGGCACATGTCATCTTGCTCCCCTCAATGGTGATATCAGATGGAAACAACACATACAACCAACAAGCACCATCTTTGTGGCTTTGCGACTCTGTGCCAGGCACCGAAGCAGGTGCATTGCACAGGTCATGCATCCTCAAACATCCTTGAAAGTTAGCAGCTGATGGAAGTGAATCCACTGCTGTGGTAAATGTTTAACAAACACTCCTGCCAAAATGAAAGGGTGTGTGTGAATATACACACATATGTTTATCATACATTTTACTGATACGAAGGATCTGTAGCACACAATTTACAAATAAAAATAAACAACATTCTTTATTGTAAATCCCACAGAGCCAATTGATTCTCACTCAATGCTTTCATGGATTTGTGCCCAACTCTTGTATCCATAGCTAAATTATGGTTGCAGTTGATGAGAAAGTGCAGTTACATGTAAGTATTGCTTGATACTTTTCAGTTAATCAGAAAGATGAAAGTGGCCGGCACGGTGGCTCACGACTGTAATCCCAGCACTTTGGGAGGTGAGGCAGGTGGATCACTTGAGGTCAGGAGTTTGAGACCATACTGGCCAACCAATCAAAAGGGTGAAACTCCATCTCTACTAAAAATACAAAAATTAGCTGTGCATGGTGGTGGGTGTCTATAATCCCAGGTACTTGGGAAGCGGAGGCAGGAGAATCAGTTGAACTCAGGAGGCGGAGCTTGCGGTGAGTGGAGATCGCGCCACCTCTAGCATGGTCAACAGAGCAAGACTCCATCTCCAAAAAAAGAAGGATGAAAGTGAAACAATAAAGACAGACATATTTTGATACATCACTCACTCTTCAAGGGCATAAGTGACTCCTAAGTAACTTCTTTACTAATACACTGAAGGAATATTTCCGAGAGAGACAGACAGACAGACAGACAGACAGACAGACAGACTTGGAGACAGGATCTCTCTTTGTTGCCCAGGCCAGAGAGCAGTGGCACAATCATGGCTCGCTGCAGCATCCCCAGAAGCTGGGACTACAGGCATGTGCCACCATGCCAGCTAATTTTTCTTTCTTTTTTTTTTTTTTTTTAAAGAGATGAGGTCTCACTATGTTGCCTGGGCTGGTTTCCAACTCCCAGGCTCAAGTGATCCTCCTGCCTCGGCCTCCCAAAGTGCTGAATTTGTGAGCCACACGGCTTCCTCAATTTTTTATACTATTCATAATGTAATGGTTTATAGGCACTGTACGCTTCAATTTAATCTGCATTATTAACATTGCAATCACTTTCTAAGTCAAGACAATATAAACAAAACAGTGAAGGCTTGATCAGTAGTTTTTGCCTGTTTCCGTGGTGTAAATAGTCCTGCCATCGCTGCTTTTCAGCACCCAAGTTGGTATCCCTGAATGCAGGGCTGGGAAGCATTGCACACTGGCAGAGCGTCTGCAAATACTCCACCGTATAGACACAACAGACGTAGATAACCGCAAAAGCACAGCTAATAGTCACATGCGGTAAAATGGCTACGGAGTATTGAGGTGCGATTATTATTATTATTATATTATTTTTTTTTTTTTGAGACTGAGTCTCGCTCTGTCACCAATGCTGGAATGCAGTGGTGCAAACTCAGCTCACTGCAGCCTCCGCCTCCCGGGTTCAAGCGAGTTCCTGCCTCAGCTACCTAAGTAGCTAGGACTACAGGTGCTGGCCATCACGCTCGGCTAACTTTTGTATTTTTTAGTAGAGACAGGGTTTTGCCATGTTGGCCAGGCTGGTCTTGAATTTCTGACCTCAGGTGATCTGCCTGCCTTGGCCTCCCAAAGGGCTGGGATTACAGGCGTGAACCACCATGCCCGGCAAGCTTCAATTATTAATTGAATAACTTTGTCATTGTCCTGTCCTGTTCTACACGAAGGGAGGGCCTCACTGCACACTGGAAACAGTGCCCACTGTGCAAGGGCAGGCAGGTGTGCACGCACACACACATACGTGTCTACAAAGCCACACATGCACGCCTTTAACGGGAGATCCTGCTGGCGAAATCTCGTTATTTGCCTAGAGAGGATACTTTTGAACAGCCAGCCAATACATGATGCAGATGTAACAGCAGAAGATAATTAAATATCTGCATTCCTGAAAAGAGTTGGTAGGTTTGACAGAGACCAAGGAGAGAGAGGAAACAGTAATCACCCCTTCTGACCAGGGGCACCCCAGCCACCAGATCAGCCCTGTGGAGAGACATCGGCTGCAGGCATAGTGCTCAGATCTGCAGATCCCGGCATTCACGCTCTGCTTCCCAACTCTTTCTCCATGACCACCAGCGTTTCTTCTGTTGCTTTGAAATGGAGGGCACCATCAGCTTTCAACTACTTATCAAAAATGAGCAACATCATTGTGCTCTGAATCATTTGCTGTAATTTCTCAGGCAAAACCTGGTTTGAGAAATAAAACCTAAGAATAGGGACTGGGTGTGAGGTCTAGAGAACACTCCGACATCAAGGCCAGGCTGGCCAACCCTGTTCTGCAGAGCAATTAGCTACGTCTTGCAGCTAGATGGCTGTGTTGTTTTTGTTTACAGGTGTCCAATCTTTTAGCTTCCCTGGGCCACAGTGGAGGAAGAATTGTCTTCGGCCACGCATAAACTACACTAACACTAACAATAGCTGATGAGCGTTAAAAAAAAAAAAAAAAAAAAAAAAAAAAAAGGCCGGGCGCAGTGGCTCACGCCTATAATCCCAGCACTTTGGGTGGCTGAGGCAGGAGGATCACCTGAGATCAGGAGTTCAAGACCAGCCCGGCCAACATGGCGAAACCCTGTCTCTACTAAAAAAATACAAAAATTAGCAAAGCTTGGTGGTGGGCACCTGTAATCTCAACTACTAGGGAGATTGAGACACGGAGAATTGCTTGAACCTGGGAGGCAGAGGATGCAGTGAGCTAAGATCATGCCACTACACTCCAGCCTGAGTGACAGAGCAAGACTCCGTCACACACACACACACACACACACACACACACGCACGCAACCAAAAATCAAAAAACACCACAGTCCATGCATAAAAGGTCCGTGCATAAAAATCCTGATGTTCTAAGAAAGTTTACAAATACGTATGGGGCCACATTCAAAGCTGTCCTGGGCCACATGCGACCCGGGGGCCATGGGTTGGACAAGCTTGTCTGAACAGGTGCGAATTCGGAGGATCTTTCACGCCTTATTAATCAAGGCAGGATGCTGAGAATGGCTCTGCGCTCAGCACACGGCACAGTAAGACTGTGTTTCCTCCTCTACCATATTATAATTCAAGCAAATCCTCAACAGGTAAGAACGCATGCCAAGAGGTGCAATGCTGATCTGGCTGGAGACGGGACCAAGGCATTTCTCAAAGAATGTCGAGTATGGGGGTGATATGTGTGTGACACTGATGTTGCATGCCTGCTTACTCAAGGATAAGATGCCTAATAGGACATGCAGTGGGTCTCTCTGCGTGTATTTTCAAAACATAAAAACACAGGCAGCTTTTTATGGACCAACCGGAGTGGAAGTATTCTAAAGTGTTACCCAGAAATGCCAGAGCTGTAAAATGACTGAGATATAAACTAGAATATTCTATCACTTCTCAGCAACATTGTTTGTTTCCTTTTGACTTTTTATTTTTATCCCAAGGGTCAGTTGCTTAAAATAAGCATTGATGTTTCCTAGGCACAATTTACATTTTGAATGTGAAGTCCAATCTATGGTTCTTGGCTGGGGAAAAAAATTCTTATTTACGTTTATATATTACTGCTAATCTTGTCTTTAAATATAGTCAGCACACAGAAATCACTCATGTTCTGTCTCCTCAATAGACTCCTGATTCTTTTCATTTGTTCTCTGTTGGTTGAATGAATAGAAGAACACTATCAAAGTCTATCACTTTATTTGGGATGATGTTGCTCCTGCTAGAAAGATCTTGCTTCTCCTCCAGGGTTTATGACAACAGCACAGGTTAGAAGGGACCCTGAGGTCGTGCACGGTGGCTCACGCCTGTGATCCCAGCACCCTGGGCAGCTGAGGTGGGAGGATCACTTGAGGTCAGGAGTTCAAGACCAATATGGCCAACATGGTGAAATCCCGTCTCTACTAAAAATACAAAAAATTAGCCAGGCGTGGTGGTAGGTGCCTGTAGTTCCAGCTACTTGGGAGGCTGAGGCAGGAGAATCACTTAAACCTGGAGCCAGAGGTTGCAGGGAGCATACAGAGATTGTTCCACTGCACTACAGCCTGGACAACAGAGCAAGACTCTGTACAAAAAAAAAAAAAAAAAAAAAAAAAAAAAAAAACACACAAAAAGGTAGAGATCTTGAGCCTGAAAAGAACTCAAGTATAGCAATGACCAGACCTTGGGTAGGTAATAATTAATCACCACAGAACTTTGAACAGCCTCCACTCCAAAGCTCTTCCCACTTAGGGGATTCTGTGTCCCTGCATCCAGAAAAGGGACAGATATAGAAAGGGAGGATGCGGTCTCACCGGGCCATAAACATGTGAGTGGGCGGAGGCAGTCTTGGAGACTCTGAATATACCTTCCGGGGGTGGAGGGAGTCAAAGGAATGCTCAGGCTCTCTTTCGTTTTTCTTCTCTGTCTTGGGTAAAAATGACGTGTTATAAGCACTCGAGCTCTGCTCTTCATTTTTATAGAGTGGCTAAGTCACTGACCAGATTCGTTTCCGAAGCAAAAGCGATATAGAGTGTCAGCACGCGCCAAAAACACGCTTGGACTCTTGGCCAGGAGAACACAGCCTGTGTGTCCACAGGGAGAACGAAGAGGCCAAGTTATGTTTGGAGGGCTGCCTCCGATTTCTGGTGCAGTCTTTTCACGTCCACAGAAGTCACTACCCAAAAAACTCGAAGCCTGTCCTCCCCTTCTCCAGGCAGCCCCTGCTGGCCAAGCGAGGAGCTCTTGGACGCAGACCAATCCGATACTCAGCAGAAGATCCAGGGGTGCAAGGGTCGGGAAGGGGCTGACGGGGAATGGTGTGTCTTCTTGCCGGATCATTTCTCTCCTCTGGCGTTCAGCCAAGGAAATGCGGTTTGCAGAGCCAACCGGGTCCTTCTCTCTCCAAATCACATTGCTCATGATTAGGGAGAGAAAGGCCGAATCTTCCTCCATGGCCCTGGAGTCCTCTCCACCCACTCTCTCTACAGAATCAGATCATCTGGGTAATTTTTAAAGTGTAGTATGTGGGCCAGCTGGAACTAGTTGCCTCTTCCTGGCCAAATGCTTGGGGTTTCTTCCAGCCTTAAGCCTGCATGCTCCCTGTGCTAGGGAGAGCAGAGAGGCATGGCCAGGACTGGGAATGAGGGTGTTGCTAGCCAGACTTCCCAGCAACTTCCTGAGTTTGGAGCAAGCCAGAAGCGTGATTTTTTGGTGAGGCTGGCTGGCCCCAAGAGGTAGGGCACTGGGCGCTGTAGCCCAGCACTTCTCTAGAGCCCAGCAGAGTCTAGGTATCCAGTGCTTGAACAGTCTCCCTGGGCTGCCCAGGCCAAATCTAGGTACGAAGCGTTAAAAAAGTAAGATGATTTTCAGGGAGAAACAGATTGGCTTTCTCCAGTCTCTTCCATCTCAGAGTGTCCTGAGCCCCACTCAGAGGGCCTGGTGGACCCGAACTTTATTCTAGAAACTAGGCTAGTTAAAGAAGGCATTGTCAAGCCAGAAGCTGCCTCGGAGTCTTGGCAAGTGTATTAACTCAGTATGAAATAATATAAACAGAAAAGAACAATATTCTGTTTTCTCACTCCAGGCATTCTAGAGGCTGACGATTAGAATTCATTTGGGATGGGCCACAGCTTTCAAAAGTAAGTTCTGTGTATTTAAAAGATCTTTAGATTTGAAGTTCTGAAGAGTGGGGGCTGCCTGGTGTGAACGCTCTAAACCCTATTGTGCTTCGGCGGCTCAGAAAAATTCAGGAACAATAATATCCCTTAGAGGAGGAGAAGGAACTGTGTGAAATACACCATTTATCTCCTTTCGTGCACAAAGGCATATACATAAGCATATACAAAAACACATCAATTTATACATTCTTTTCCGGGGAGTCCTGCAACGTTTCCCAGTCATTATTTATATTAATTAATGTGGGTTTGGTTTCGAAACTGCTCAGATTAAGAACTCGAGATATTCTAGAAAGTAAATAATCCAGCTGTTGCCTACCACAGAGAGCCCTGAGCACGGATGCATAAGCTCTGGATTTGGCATGTAAACGGGGAGGCTTCATGCGTCCGTGGCGTGGTTCCAAGCCCCATGACCAGCCTCACTTTTGCAATTGAGAAACTGGAATTAATTCTCCCATCCTCCCCGATGCACAGAGATGTGTTCAGGATAAACCGAGTCATATTTCATAAGTTCTGGGTGCTAAAGGGGAAAGAAAGATAGTATTACGAAGACACTGGCATCACGACGCCCACTTCTGGAATGAGCCAGTCTGTTGAGCATTTACATAACAAAATAGCAATGTACTTTCCATGCCATAGCAACCCTGGAAGAAAACTGCGAGGTGGAAACCCTGGACAATTTGTATGAGGATTCTTGAAAATCTGAGATAGACAAACGCATTCTGAGAGATCAAGCTTGCTTATAAATGTTGGTTCATAACAATGTAATCTACATATGTGAATCTCAGAAAGTACCTTTCTCCTGGGAATTTCTTTCAGAAAAACAATCTTCTTTAGTTTACTGTTTTTAAACCTTTTCCCCCTTCAGGGATACTTTACCCTCTAGACTTGCCAAAGAGCCATTTCCTAATATATCCTAGAGAATACATGATTTCATTTTTCCACAGATGCATTTCTATACACCTGGTATTTCAGTTATTTATTAACCATGCCTAGTTTTGTAGTTTCTAGCTTTGTATCTTTGAAGTCATTAAAACTTAATAGGAGAATTAATCATAAAAGAAATCTATCAAACACAGTTGCCAAGCACTTTTTTCCCCCTGACTGACATCTTTAAGATGTATTTGAATGTTATTTATTTCATCACACCCAGGGAATAAAAAAAACATAACTTGCAGCTTCCAAGTTCAGAGAAAGCATAAAAATGTGATTTACTATTTATTGTACACTTAGTCGCATGCATATTATATATTGCATGTTAATCTTCAACTGGCTAAGTTTAGCAAATTTGACAACACTACTGTTTGCTAGAGAGGAAAAAGAGTCGACATCTGTTCTCTTCCAGATATGAATCCTTCTTGGAAGGAATCAGAAATACTCGCAGGCCTTCTAGTTTCTGGGTAAACTGATAGAACACAGGCTCTTTAACTGGACAGTCAAACCACAATGCCCCCTGGTGGTGAAATCATGCATATACACATGTAAGTGTTTGCACCTTGTGAATATTTTTAAGAAGAAATCTTATTTCTAATGGTGTGGAAATGTTCTTTCAGTTTTAAAAATGCAAAGACAAAGATCATGGCACATCAATTATGCTTTTAGAGAGAAAATAAAGAATCGCTTTGCTGTGAGTAAAATTAAAGATGCATTTAGTTTATCAAAATCACCTTGATCAAAAAAAAATTTTTTTTTTTTACAATAAGGAATTATATTTAAATTCCACACTGAAGATCTGGAGTATGGGGGGGATATAGGAATTTCAGCATATGTATTATCTGAACTAAATTTACAAAAGTGGAACAGTTGGAAGGTACTTATAGGTAGACCTGAGGGTCTGTTACCTTATTTTCAGTTCAGTGAAAATGAAATGAGAGCAGATTCCAGATTTTACCAGCGGATGGAAGACTCCATCTTCCCATCATGCTCTCAGCATGCACCTCTGATAAGCAGCTTAAAGGGAATTTCCTGGGGTCAGACATAAATAGAGATTCTCAGGTTCTCTTAATCCAGACACACATCGCTTGCGAGTTAGGCCTCATAAATCTCAAAAACAGTCAGCAACATATGAAAGGCAATGTTGTTAGAAGGCTCAAATACATTAAATGGGAACGTCTGAAACATGGACTCATTAATCATACAAACACTGCCGAGGCTGTGTAGTAATCAAAGATCGCAGCACCTTCCTTTCTTAGACAGCATCTCATTTCGCTCCTTGCTATCGCTGGAAGCAGGGAGGCCCAGAATAGAAAACGCCATTGCCTTCCTTCTTCACCTAAGGAGGAGCTCAGCCATTAACAGTTACGAGTCATACTGTAAGTAGAGCATGAAAAAAATCACCAACGTATCCCAGCCCCCTTTTCGAGATCTGCTGGCCTTGGCAATGATGACTTTTTTCTGATGCACAACATTTTAAGACACTTGCCCAGTGTCATAGACATCACTGCCAAGACATGTCATCAAAGGATATTGGAATGAAAACAGAAGTCCATGCTGAAACTTGTGGACAACACAGATGCTCATGGCAGCATTATTCATAATAGACACAAAATCCATGAACTAATGAATGGATACACAAAATGTGGTATATCCATACAATGGCGTATTACTTAGCCACAAAAAGAAATGATGAACTGGTAGATGCTGTCGCAGGGATAAACTTTCAAAACATGATGCTAAGAGGAAGAAACCAGACACAAGAGACGACTAACATATCACTCTATTTATATGAGGTACGCAGAATAGGTAAATCCATAGAAACAGCAAGTAGATTGGTTAGTGGTTGCCAGGAACTGGAGAGAGGAGGTATTTGGGGTGATGACTAAGGGGTCATTTTCTTGGGTTAATGAAAATGTTCTAAAACTGATTGTGATGGTGGATGCAAACTCTGAATACACTAAAAGCCATTGAATTGTACACCTTAAGCAGATGAATTATATGGTAGGCACATTATATATCAATAAAACTATTAAAGAAAATGAAAAGGATATTGGAGGGCTAAGGGCAGATAGGCCCTGCAAAGCTCCAGTGGATGTGTGCCTGGGAAGGAAGACAAGTATAAAGAAGAGAATAGCATTAGCATCCAGAGAAGTTGGCTAAAACCCTGAGTCAGGCTACGATACAATTCTTACTTTTGCAAAGGGGATAAGACTCAGGTCCATGCCCCCAGAAACCTTCTACGTTAACTCTGAGAGGAACCGAAATCTGACGATGGGCAGGTGGGACCACAGTGGTTTTCACCTTTCATTGCCACCCCAACCCCACCGCAACATCCTTCCCCACCATGGAGCCTGATTTCATTAGCCCAGGGCATCGCTAGTTTCACGTAACTTCTCAGATTCCAGCAGTTTGGGAGGCTGAGGTGGGTGGATCACTTCAGGTCAGGAGTTCGAGACCAGCCTGGCCAACATGGTGAAACTCTGTCTCTAATAAAAGTACAAAAATTACCCAAGCATGGTGGCGGATGCCTGTAATCCTAGTTACTCGGAAGGCTGAGGCAGGAGAATGGCGTGAAGCCAGGAGACAGAGGTTGCAGTGAGCCAAGATCCCACCACTGCACTCCAGCCTGGGTGACAGAGGAAGACTCCATCTCAAAAAAAAAAAAGAAAGAAAAAGAACTTCTCAGGTGGTTCTAACGTACAGCCCAAAGTGAGCAGTACAGTTTGAAAGAGAGCCAGCAAAAAGGTTGGAACTTTAAAGAAAAGCTGGGTGAGCTATTTTGCAGGCTGTCTCAATTTCTTACACATTCACAGATACCTAGACACTGCTGCAGCCGGCTAGAGGAGGTCATCTTAAGCTCTTGAAAATCTGAAGATTTTCATAAAGAATGCCAAAACATTTACACAAACAAAGATATCTGAACCAAGGGGTCTGCTTTTATTTATTTTTTTTTTATTTTGTGTTTTTACAACATGCAGGTGCTGCTCCAAAAAAGTTTTTCAAAAAAAAAAAAAGAGAAAGAAAGAGAGAGAAAGAAAAACATGTATTGCAGTGAGGGTATTTATGTTCAAAGTTCAGAAATTTGTGGGCATTAACTGAGACCTGGAATCCCTGCCATTCAGCTGACCCTCTGCCCTGCCCAACATTCTTCACTGTTAAATGCCTAAGAATAATAGCCTCCTCCACCTGCACCCCAGCAAAGTGAAACATATTTCCCTGGCTGGGTTTTAAGTCAAGCTAAACACCAGCAGACCTAAGCGTGGTACCTGCATCACTTGGCCGTCCAGAGAAAGAGACACACTGGCTTTGAATTCTTTTGGAACTTCTTTGAGCCAGAAAATATCGACTCCTAGCAGGCCCAGCACAGGCGCTGTTGTACATGCTCTCTGGGTCTGTACTGATCAATGACAATTTTGGTAAACACTGCCTGAATAATTCATCATAGAAAAAAGCTTTCGAATTAAATGATATTACTGGGGCTTCCAGCACAAACACACACGTGTTCCCGAAAAGCTAGTCCAGCTGGAAGACTGCTTGGAATAACCACGATGATACCCAAGCTAAGCCCCCCATTTTATAAATTGTAATGAGTCATCTACCTACCCTACCCTCAGTCATAGGAAAATGCTGTTGGAGCCTCAGCCAGGTGTTCCAGCAGCATGCACCTGGCACATCTTGCTATGGCTTCTCATGGTAAAATGCTACCATGGTTAACCCAACGCGGCAGCATGCAGCGATCTAAAAAAAAACAAACAAAAGCGGAACAAAGATAGATGAAGGGAAAAAGGAAGGAAGGAAGGAAAGAAGAAAAGGAGGAAGGAAGAAAGAAATGCAAAAATGTTGGCTGTATTTTGTGCAGAGTAAAACTGAATGGCAGCGGGAATAATTCAATTTAATCTTGGCAAGCGGAATGGAGACTTAGGAACCACAGCAAATGCCAAGCAATTCATACCTTCTGTTTTATTTTAAAGCCCCACCTTTCCCCACTGCACAAAGTCACACACACAATTAGTACTGCATTGACCGTAGGACTGGCAAAATTCTACACCAAAAAGCTATCCTTGGCTCAAAATGAGCTCATGCATTAGAATGGCACACCAAAAACCTCAATGTGTGCTTTGAACCATGCTAGTCTGCTTTGCTGTTGTGTTGTTTTGTATTTTCCCACAGGCAGAAACCAGGTTTTGACCCACTTCTTCTCCATCCCTCTACTGCTTTCTTTAAAGATTCAAAATGAGTCTCAGTGAGGCCTCAGAACGGTAAGGACCATTTGGTACTACTTAATCCTATTTAGGCAAGGCCAGGAATGTCTATTTATAGCACATTAAAGACGGAATGTAAGGGAGGGGTCCATGGCATGAAATTCAAGGTCTCAGCATCCAGAGACAATGGGACTTCCAGTGCCTTGGCCTCGATTTCTTACAAATGCGTTCCACGGATGTATTTGACAGAGGCTGGTGTCAAGTCCTGGGCTGGATACTGGAGCTACAGATTAAAAAAAATAAGACATGGTTCTTATCCTTAAGGAGTCAAAGCCTAATAGGGAAGAGAGTCGCAGGCACAAACAACTACCAGATGGTACAACTAGTGCTCTACACTAAGAGCCGGCAAAGGGGCCCTGGGCCAGGAGGCA
The DNA here is from genome assembly GCF_000001405.40 of Homo sapiens. Taxonomy (NCBI): domain Eukaryota; kingdom Metazoa; phylum Chordata; class Mammalia; order Primates; family Hominidae; genus Homo; species Homo sapiens. The sequence continues at coordinate 78,499,574 of NC_000016.10, read as the reverse complement.
GGAAGCCCGTCCACCGCCCGGCATTGTGGACTCAAGGAGACAGCTGATGAGTAATCTGCAGTCGCTGCTAGTTGCCAAAGAACGGAAAATCTCCATGAGTCCCACCTGACCACTTAGAAAGGTTAGCTATGGTAAAAAGTGAACAGGTGGGATACAAGCCAAAAGACAAATAAGACTATGAGACTATCACAAAGGGGCTGGTGGACAGCCAGGGGGTCTCCCGTGGGCCAAACCCATCCAGAAAGACTACAGAGCATGTGTGCCACCCCACCACCAGAAGCAAGGCCACACACATAAGAACATCGTAGCTTGCTGCCTTTCCACCACCTCCGCCCCCTCACCCCCCCAAAGCAAAGCCATCTCACTGAGCTAGGGCCAGCGTGGACACCTTCAAGTGTTAGATACGCACTATCACCGTGCATCACGAGGAAAGAGAAGGGCCCACATGGTTTTCATACTTAGGAAAATTCAGCTTTAATCAAACTCAGTTAATTATTGACTCAACAAGGATGAAACTACAATAAAACCATTTTTGCCAGAGGCCAAACTATTAAGAAACCTCGTGTACTTCATAGACAAAAAGCCTTCAGAAGTATTCCTTGAGCCTTCATAATATTCCATCTTAACAATCATTATTGTGCTTATCTCTCAATGCCAATAAAGGAGAGACAATCGAGGAAGTTGCCTATGTATTTAAGGAAAAAAAACAGACCAGTAACAGTGGCTCCTGCCTGTATTCCTAGCATTTTGGGAGGCCAAGGCAGGAAGACTACTTGAAACCAGGAGTTCGAGATTATAGTGAACTATGATCATGCCATCATGCCACTGCACTCCAGCCTGGGCAACAGAGCAAGATCTGTCTCTGTTTAAAAACAGAAAGAGAGAATGGGGAATCGGCCTAAGTAAATGCCGCTGCTCTCCTTTACAGAATTAGTGAAACAACAATGTCCCTTCTGAATTTTTCTTGCCATGAACATCTCCCAATCCTTGTGTGTTGCTCATTACCCTTTAGGCCAAAGGTGTGCAGCACTTTCTCGGTCTCTGTCACCTTCAACTCCTCATCAATAGCCTCACACCTTGTGCTTCTCAGTGGGTAGAGTTTTATCATAAGATTTGTGAGCAGGCCATGTGTGGTTTAGAAAAGGGGCTCTTCCTGAAAACCTTGCCCCTAGGTGGGGAAGGGGTGGGAAGAGATGTGCCTGGTCTATCAACTGTGAAATCACTGGCCTGAGCCCCATGAATTACAGCCTGCAATTTACAGAGCAATAAAATAAACCACAAAATACGCTTTAAGAAGTCTAACAGCATTATTTTTCTCCTCCTGCTTCATGGTGACAACCCTGATGCTTTTTTTTCTTTTTTTTTTTTTTGAGATGGAGTCTTGCTCTGTTGCCCAGGCTGGAGTGCAGTGGCACAATCTCGGCTCACTGCAAGCTCCACCTCCCATGTTCATGCCATTCTCCTGCCTCAGCCTCCCAAGTAGCTGGGACTACAGGCGCCCGCCACCACGCACAGCTAATTTCTTTTTGTATTTTTAGTAGAGACAGCATTTCACCATGTTAGCCAGGATGGTCTCGATCTCCCGATCTTGTGATCCGCCCACCTCGGCCTCCCAAAGTGCTGTCATTACAGGCGTGAGCTACTGCTCCCAGCCCCCTGATGCTTTGTTAAAAATACCAAATTCCCTTTAAAATGTGGGCTTTTTTAATTTTTTTATAATTCTCAGTAACTCCGGTGTATAATCTACCATTTATTGATTTATTTATGATAAAACAACCTCTCATTGTGAAAAACAGCTAAGGGTGACATCTCCAGACCCAACCACTGTCCCTGTAATGTCCTGCTGAGAGTCCACATTTTGGAAATCCAATCATGAAGAGTGATTAGACCTAATCAAACAAGTATTTATTCAACACACAATAATGCTAGATGTTGGAAGGGCCATTTTTACATCAGATTCTTTTCTTGCATTTACGCTGTGTGTACATTTTGAATATTAACCCCTTATCACATGTGTGGTTTGCAAATATTCTCTTTCTGTAGGATGCTGCTTCACTCTGTTCATTGCTTCCTTTCTGTAAAGAAATTTTTTAGATTGTTGTAATCCCAGTTGTCTATTTTTGCTTTTGCTACCTGTTTTTCGGTTCATATACAAAAACACTCATTGTGCAGACCAGTGTCATGGAGCTTTCCTCCTTGTTTTCTTCTACTAATTTTACACTGTCAGATCTTATGTTTAAGTCTCCAATCCACTTTGAGTTGATTTTTCTATATGGTGTGAGGTAAGAAAAGAACAAATTCTGAATAAAATTGGAGGAAAAGCTAGAATCAGAGCAAAAAAATGAGTATGTGCTGTGGAATCATTTGGTCAACTTCCTCATGTGCATATGCTATTGAGTCTTTCCAAACACCACCACTCTCAAGCATGAGCAGACATACACCTAACAGAAGGTCATCTGTTGTTTTATGCCAAAGCAAAAGGCATACAATAGACGGCTTGGGCCTTAGCATCCAACATCCCCAAATCTCCCTGCAGAATAATTTCTGACTTTGCCTTCCTCCAAAGTTTCCCATTACTAACATCTTTGCCATAGTTAACTCCCTTGATTTGAGCATTTCATTCTCCTTCTGGATGGCTTGAGAGGGCGGGAAAGGAGAGAATCAATGAGCAAGGCCATCTGGCTTCAACAGTCATTCATTCCTCTCCTTCCATGCACATGGCACAGCAAAAGGGGTTTCCGGAAAGTTGGAGTGACTTCTCCATGTCTTGGGGCCTCTTCCTCAATGCACTTCCCATTTCCCTGGGCACAGCAAATGCAAACACACAGTAAGAAAGCTAATAATTTGTTTGGTTTTACATAGTGAGTTGTCAGTGATGTTGTCTAAAGGGACACCTGAAACCACGAGTAAACCAGAAACTTGGGGTGCATAGAATGCATCCCTCCCTTCAAGATCTTATGCACTAAAGAAAGCAGTGTAATGGGACAAATCCATTTCCCAAAACATGTCCATGGAGATTCAATGGTCATAGAATGGTACACACACCTTTGATGTTATCATAGTGGTCAAGTTAATTGAAAACAGCCACGCAATGCCAACCCCGTGCTAACACGTTTGATTCCTCCCTTAAATTCCATTTACAGGTCATCACAGATAGGAAATTCTCCAATAAGGTCAACACGACAAGGACATCTGCAGTGATCTTTCTACATGCTCTGCCAACTTGGCACTCATCTATAACTTTAGAAGAGGAGGCAGAACATCAGTGATGACTGCAAACATATGCTTGATTTTTTTAAGCAACGGGAAAATGAAAAATGAACGGGAGGAGGGAACACTGCTGCCTTCTGAGGACAGAAGTCGTGTTTCAAGTAGTCAGGAGTGATGGGGAGGTGGGACGAGAATGAAGATTTAGGGGAATCTGAACAAAACAAGGTGGTGTATGGGGAATGAGGGCAGTCAGTAAAGCCAAATAGTACCAGGTGGAAAAATAGCCTAAAAGAAGTACAAGTCTAATCATCCAAAAATTCTAAAGCAAAACTAAAACTCCATAGTTCAGCAAAAGACACCCTTTCAGGTGTTTAGAAGACTGTGGTTATCCGTTTAAAGATGTTCCTCTCTCAAGGAATCTCTGAGAACTATAAATGTGTTTATTAATTTTTATTCTTTACCTAACTAGTAACCGAAAATTATAAACGTAATCCACACTCACTGAAAAAAATAAACCAAGCACAGATTGGTTCAAAGTAAAACATGACCATCTTCCTGGCCGGGCACAGTGGCCCACACCTATAATCCCAGCACTTTGGGAGGTGGAGGCAGGGAATCATTTGAGGTCAGGAGTTCGAGACCACCCTGGCCAACATGGTGAAACCCCGGCTCTACTAAAAATACAAAAATTAGCCAGGTGCCGTGGCGTTGGCCTGTAGTCCCAGCTACTCGGGAGGTTGAGGCAAGAGAGTCACTTGAACCCAGGAGGTGGAGGTTGCAGTGAGCTGAGATCACACCACTGCACTCCAGCCTAGGTGACAAAGTGAGACTCCATCTCCAAAAAAAAAAAAAAAGACCATTTTCTATGACTTCCTAGCCAAATCTACACCTTGAGAAAAAAAACCCTATCAAAAGTCTACTACTGGCCAGGTGCAGTGGCTCACGCCTGTAATCCCAGCACTTTGGGAGGCCAAGGCGGGCAGATCACCTGAGGTCAAGAGTTCGAGACCAGCCTGGCTAACATGGTGAAACCCCGTCTATACTAAAAATACAAAAATTAGCTGGGTGTGGTGGCGGGCGCCTGTAATCCCAGCTACTCAGAAGGCTGAGGCAGGAGAATCGCTTGAATCTAGGAGGCAAAAGTTGCAGTGAGCCGAGATCATGCCACCGCACTGCAACCTGGGCGACAGGCAAGAGTCTATCTCAAAAAAAAAAAAAAGAACACAACAGTCTACTACTAATCTTTCTATATCTTTTCTTATAAGCACACAGATGCAGCTTAAATAATTATTTTTAATTTTAAAAATATAAATCAATGAAACATCCTCACTTTGCAGTACGTCATGTCCGAGGGGCTTGACCCCCTGGGTTTCGCCACAGCATAAGAAACCTCCACTCATCTGATGGCGGTGAGCTGGGTTGCAACAAAGTACCGAAAGAGGAAATAACAAGCCTCTCTAAGGACAGGCCTAAAACCCTCCGAATGGGCTGTCACTGTGCGATGAACATCAGCCTCTTACTCAATTGACAGGCCTTCCTCCGGCTATAGGATCTTGACTGTAATTACAGGAAAAGCCATACCATAAAGATGGGGGGAGGAGCTAATTGACAAAACGCTCAATGTGCTGACTCAAGGACCGATGACCAAGCCTTAAATTTATTTTCCTCAAAAAATGACTGATATGTTGTCCATTAAGCCAGAACCATGCAAAATCCAGGAGATGCAGTCTTTCCAAGGTACCTGTGTGGGGTTCACACAGAAGACTCCTGGACTTTAAATGAAAAAGATCTTTGGAATGTTGCCTGCCAAAAACAGAATTTCAAAAAGCACAGAAGTTTTATTTGTTGCCGTTTTTATTTCCTTTTGTTTGCTTAATGCTTGTGTTTGTATCAATCTTATTTATTAAACCATCCAAAATGCAAAAGGAAAGACATCACTTTGAGATTTGAACCTCCTCTAAGCCTCTGGTTGCCAACTTTTTTACCTTCCAGTGTGGTTTGGCTCTGTGTCCCCACCCACGTCTCAGGTTGAATTGTAATCCCTGTGTTGGAGAAGGGACCTCACAAAGGTGTGTGCTGCATAGGGGGCTAATCTGTTCTCTGCAGGAACTAGACGGGATCATGAGGTGCTTTCTAATCACCATCCCCCTAGTGCTGTCTTGTGAAAGAGTTCTCCTGAGATCTGTTTGTTTAAAAGCATCTAGCACCTCCCTACTTTCTCTCTTCCTCCACTGCCAGCCATGTGAAGACATTACCTGCTTCCCCTTCACCTTCTGCCATAACTGTAAGTTTCCTGAGGCCTCCCGAGAGGCAGAAGCCTATACAGTCTGCAGAACCACGAGCCAACTAAACCTCCCTTCTTTATAAATTTCCCAGTCTCAGGAATGTCTTTATAGCAGTGTGAGAATCGACTAATACACTTTCCAATTATTATAAACTTCTGGAATCATTGCTCTACCTAGTAGGGAAGTATTACCATTCATCTATCCAAATGGAAAGAAAATTGACGATGATCAGACATCATGCAGTGGGTAAGAACACGGACTCTACAGGCTCACACAACAATTCCACCTCTATGCTCTTGGCCTAGTTCCATCTCTTCTGTATGCCTCAGTTTTCTCATCTCTACAATGGGGGTAAGACTGTTGCGAGGGTTCCATTTACGTAACGTATTCAGAAGGAGTGCTGTGGATTATACGCTTCTATACATATAAGTGCATAGCAAGTACTAGATACATATTAGCTCATTATTTTCATTTTTGCGGTGTCATTAATCAGAACTTGTAAAAAGAATAATTCTCCTTAAACACCCCAAAGATATTTTATAAAGAACTCAGTTGATACTAGAATGACCAAATGCAATTGCTCTTCTGTGCTGTTAAAGAAAATCATAAATAAACACGTTAGTTACTCACACAGGTGGACCTAGCTTGATGTGACTGATATGTTCCCAAAGCTTTGTGTGCATAAATCAAGCCACGCCTAAATGAACTGGGTAAGCCTGTCGATCTTGCAGTGAATCCTTTCTTTCCAGGGAAGCTTCTGGACCCAAATAATGCTAGCCACCTGTCTTAAATAAAGATTCTTAACATAGGACATTTGTGTATGTGTCTTCTGCTTATGGTTAAAGAGTGAGTGTCAGGTCCAGGAAGACAATGGAAGCAGGAAACATGTATTATTCCATTAAGTAACTGACATGAAGTTTTTCGAGCCTTCTCCCAGGAAGAAGTCCAGGCTCCAACAGCAGTAAATCACCAAACCTAAAATTCCCCGAGTTGTGTGCTGTACAGGGGGCTAGTCTGTTCTCTGCAGGAAGATCCATGCTGTTTTCATCAAAACGTCACTTTACCGGGATGGTAAAGAGTATCTCCCATGCTGACTAGAGATGATTAGTAATGACTACTTGGAGTAGTATGCTAAGCATGACTGATTGATTAGTGATGTCTGTCGTGAATAAAGGACTTTGGGAGTGCATGCATGCACACTGGGTACTTGCCGTCTCCAGGCTCAAGGGACACAAGTATTCGGCCTAGCAGGCATGAGGCCCCCAGAAATTTGTCAAAAGGCTACAAATGGTGGAAAACAAACACACCTTGATGTGATTATGCATATTCTCTCAGAACCAATTACTCCCTGAATCATAACTTTGAAAGTCATTGAGAATTATCCAGAGCACATAAGCACCAAAACAGAATTTCTCAAAGCCAATATACGAAGAAAGTTTCATCATAAATTCAGTCTTCTTTGAAAAGGAGGAGAAACAGTGATTCCATGAATATCTCCTAGTGGCAGGTCCTGGGCTTAGTCCCCAGGGTCAGGGACTGTCTCCTGCTCGCTGTTATGGTCCTAGATGTAGATGAATGAGTGTTCTGTACGTTACATGCAAACAGTCCAATGTGGATTGGATGCTGAATATGTTTGACTCCAGCACACTGGGAGGTCAGTTTTATCCACAGATGAGAAGGGAGGCTTAATTGCTAGAGTCACAAATGTGGTCCCTCCAGTGGACGATGTCATGGGTCAACTTACCCACTTTGCTAGCAGATAGAAAAGAAGAAAAAAATTATACAGTTTGCACATACACACCCGCCTTCGGAATGAGTGTCTCGTCCAACCTCTACTGCCTTGTGGCTCAGGTTTCCCGCTTCATCCTCCATAAACTGTGCACACACTGTCACCTAATGGAACTATCTGCTTCCCTGTGTGTGGAAACGCCACTCATCTTCCAGGTTGCTCATTTACTTGTCATGTGAAACCAGTTGGCTGGGAATCTGAGAATGCTAAGTTTCGAAAACCCAGAGACTAACCCCAAAGCACACCCCCACACCCCCACTCCCTTTGTCCATTGAGAATGGCAAGTGTCACCTTCCATGCTTAAAATGCACCTGGACCAGGGAGAAAGTCAGGTGAAGATGTCCATCAACAAGCAGCACCCTGGGCTGCAGAATCTTGATAAGGGTAATGAAAAGAGGAGTAGAAGGCAAGGGAACGGCAATGTGTAAAGGGGAGTCTTGGGCCACTGGAGGCATCTGTGCCCCCCTCCTCTGCAAATGATAGTTATTTAAAATGACTTTATATGCTATTTTCTCCTGGGGTTTCAAATTCAGCTCCCATCTCCCAGCTTACAAATAAACTCCAGTTTTCAGTCAGTGATTCCCATTTTGATGGGATTCTGTAATCACTCCCACAGGTACACAATGCACCCTCTTATATACTGCATTGAAAACAAGACACGGTAGCCAGGTGTGGTAGCGCACAACTGTAGTCCCAGCTACTCAGGAGGCTGAGGTAGGAGGATCACTTGAACCTGGGAGGCGGAGGCTGCAGTGCACAGAGACTCTGCCACTGCACTCCAGCCTGGGTGACAGCAAAACCCTGTCTCAAAAAAAAGAACAAAGAAAACAACACATCGAGTACCACTGGAGCTTAAATACCCATCAGTGTGGGGAAAGGGAGAGAATTAAATTCAAGAACTGTTCACTGAGCACCTATTAGGTTGTCAGGCCAAGGTTAAACAGGGAATAAAACTTGGTCCTTTCCCCAAGGGGCGTCTCATCCAGGGGAAAAGATGACCTTGTAACCAGACAGTCACGATACAAAAGCACTCATGGTGTAGCAGCTGACTGAGAGGGAAGGTGATTAATGGCCCAGGTGAGTAAAGGTCTGGGAAGGCTTTGTGGAAGATATGAGGCCAAGAGCTGGATTTTGAAGGATGGAGAGCCTTTTGCCAATAGACAAGAAAGCACGAGCATGGCAGGCAGCCTCGGGGAGAGGGCACAGCTGGCACAGATGACTCAGCCTGGTGAGCTCAGTTCACTTTGGCTGAAGCATGAAGTTGGCCAAGAGGGAGAGGTGGAAGGAAAGAAGGCTGGAGCGGTCACTCGGGGGCAGCTCAGGGGCTGGTGAGCCAAGCCGAGTTGCCCGTGATGCCTCTTCCATATGAGCTCACTGCCAGTTTCATTTTATGAGCTCCTGCTAATGAGTCCTGTTTTGCAGTAGAGCAAATGGTGATGGGTGAGCTTCTCGGAGCCATTTCCTAGTCTAAGTAACGGACTGCTCTGCCTGGGGAAGAGAAGCCACGTTTGCTGGGTAAGGGGTGCTTGGTAAGGTGTAGCTGAAGACCACTGTGTAGAAAACAGGAGTCAATGCAGTTTGCTGCAGGACGGAGAACTGAGGGCCAAATGGTTCAACATTCACGTGGGTGCTTTCCAAGTCAAAGAGGACATCTGAGCAATCAGAGGATCGTTTGTTTCATTTGGTCTCTGGGCCACATCAAAATGCCCTGTCTTCTTTCTCCTCCGTCCCACAACAAGCCAGAAGTCTGAAACTAGCCCAGCATTGAAAACAACGCATGTTCGTGACCTCCTTGTGAAAACCGTAAATAGATTTGCGGGAACTACAACAATGATCACAAGAGAATTTCACCAATTACGAGCACCAAAGGAGTCCAAATCAATGAAGACAAAGGTAACTGCATAAACACATGTGCACATACATGAATAACACATGAGGTCCCTTTAAAATAGACTGATTGTACCTGAAAGTTACTAAACGCTGAGTTATTTGTGTGTTAAACAATACTGTGCACTTCCAAAAGGCTTCCGTTGGTGCTTGGTTGATGATCATGGGACCATATATTATCACCCAGCTATTCACCTTGTACGTCCTTGATAAGGAAAGGTCAACCCCAAGTAAAAGCCAACGCCACCACAACCAAAAAAAAAAAAAAAATTTTTTCCCCAATCTGAACAAATCGTTTAGTGTTAAAAATAAACAGAACTAGAAATTGTCTCTAATAAACTAATATTAGTCTCCCCAGAGGGTTAATTATGTCGCTCCGTATTTTAAGAAGAATGTAAATTGCCAGTTTCAACAGATGTTCTTTTAAAAGAATTGGTTATCTGGGAAATGATGGGTCTTTGTTAGAGCTTACCCCAGTGGAATATAAACATTAAAATCATCCGGCTATCTGTCAGACCCCTCCTCCTCCCACAACTGTTACCCATACCAGTGATACACCCTTTGCTTATCAGCAGCTTTAGTGACAAGTGTTCCAGCCGGAACTGTGGTCCCAGATTTCAGATGACATGTTAGGAGGGTTTCCAAACTCCCCTTGAGCCATCCCAGTGAACCCAGAACGGCATCTTGCCATCATGCCAGGGCCCAGCTCAGGCGCCCCACAGCCATTTCCATCCTCTTCTTTTACCCTGGAGAGCAAGACTATCAGGTCACAAAGAAATAGAGTTAGAAGGTTCTGGAAATAGAAGCCCTGTCCAAATTCAGTTTAAATGCTCAAACATGTAACATTTGTGTTACGTACATATTTGAAAGCTGCTAAGGGGAGAATGAAAACTGAAGTCTCACTGGGAAAGTGGTTAGAAAAAAAAAAGAGCTCACGAATGTCCCTGCTGTTTTCTCTCAAAAGACATTTTGTAGACACTGAAATGTATGTTAGCAGGTTCACAGTGAGAGCTTCCACACTCGGATATTTGGCCAAGTAAAGAGAGGAAAAAAATCCTCAATGTGGCAGTTCATTATTCCAAGCAGAGCGACCTCAGCTGACCTGGGGGTCTGGAGAGAACATCTGTTCTTATGTTACAGCTGGTGGTGGGTGTCTGGCTGCCAACCTCACTTGACCTAACTCTTCATTATCATCCTGGTTAGACTCACTTCACAGATAGGGAAACTGAGGCTGAGGGAGATTAATGACTCCTATAAAAAACTTAACAGAACCTGCTTTCACTATTGATCTGCTAGTAACAAGCATAAAATCTCATCTCAGCTAGAAAGGTAAGCAGATAACTATTGATCTCCTGAAGTGTTTCTGAAAGGGCTGGCCCAGAGCAGGATTTAGACACTCTGCAGAGACTGCGAAGTTCTGTGTTCTACATGCAGGAGGCAACAAGGCAGCCTAGTGCCATTATCAGAAAGCACATCCCAAATGGCAGAAAGAACAAAATAATAGTGACAACAGATGTGGCCCACTGAAAGCCTACTCTGAGAAACAGGCATTGGGCATGTTATTTGACTCAATCGTCCCACTGATCTGCCATAATGATATCATTAGACCTATTCAACAGGTAAGGAAACTAAGACTCAGAAAGGTGAAGTCAGATGCCCCAGCGTCACACAGTTCCTAATGGCCCATAAAGAAAATTCCAGGTCTGCTTGACTCAGAGCCTACCTCCCCTCCCCTACAGCCACTGTCTCAGATGACGCCTAATGAGCTCAGAGCACTGACATTGTATATCACAAGCAGCTCCACGGTCTCTCGGGTCAGCTACCTGAGGACCCAGGCTCCAGGTAGGGCCAAAAAGCAGTCAGTCTGCTCATGTGCAGATGCCACAATGGTAAATCCAGTTGAAAAATCAGAAAGTCTTATCCTTAAAGAGGGAATCTCAGGAAGAGCCAATCTCAGCACTCTTGGGTCCTAAAAAAGGGCTCAGGTGTACCACTGTGCAGGTTTTACACAATTCAATTACAGGAGGTGCCCTTTACCTAGACTAGAAAATGAACTCAGCCACCTAGACATAAGCTACACTGAGCCTATTTCACTGCTGAGACAGGACTTGGAAGACTCACAGAATAATCCTGAAATTCACATCTGGACTAACTGCTAAGACTATGCCAACTTCCAGCGTACCAGGATAAAGAGCTTCCTCTAAACAAAGACCCATCTTCCATGTTCCCTCCATCCCCAGCCAAAGGTAGCAGGAACCTTTCAAGTCCTCCAAAATCTACATTACCAAGTTTCCTGTGAGATCCCTCCCTGCTCCACAGCTCAGAAAATAGGCTGGAACCACAACAAGTAACAGCCTGAGAGAGAAGAGGTCCCAGTTCCACTTATTTTAGAAGCCCCATTTCTGAGGACTCCTGTACCTCTTTCGAAGCTTGGGGAAGGTGGGATAATGATCCTAGGGTAGAAATACTGCTTTTCTTTCTGCAGTCCAGCTTGCCTAGGCGGACATTAATTTGGTGACATAAGGTTGCCTTATGCCCTATCCTAGTGTTGGGGGATTGGTGGTTCCTGGAAGCCAGAGAAAAGGAGGGCTAAAAACAATGATGCAGTAAGCAGCTAAGAATGTAGCTCTGGAACACTAGTTTCCAACCAGGGGCCATTTTACTCCCCAGAAGGCCAGACATTTGCCAACATCTGGAGACATGTTTTTATTATCCCTACTGGGAGAGATGGTATCTAATGGCTAGAGGTCAGGGATGTTACTAAACATCTCCAAGATACAGGACAGATGCCCAGTACAAATGACCCACCTTCCAATATTAACAGCACGAAGCCTCAACACCCTGAACCAGAGGAAGCATCTGCAGTAAGTCCCAAATACATAACAGGGGAGCCATGCCTCTCGCAAACCCTCAGTGTAAAATGGTCCCGCTGTTGTAACACCATGCAAAGACGGAACATTAGTAAGAGACTCCCTTCAAACTTGTGGACTCATCCTTAATAGATCTCATTAGTTTGTATTAGTAGATGGGATACGGAATTGGGGAAATAATGCCCAGGGGCTCAACTCTGCTGATGCATCTACTTTTTCTGGGAGGAAAATAACCAAATCTCTGCTTTAGTCATTCAGGGAAACCTAGCACCTGTCTACAGCAACATGTTCAAGATGGGGAGAAAAAAAAAGAAAAGGGAAAAAAAACTGAGAAAAAAGATAAATTATTTATCCAGCATAAATATTAAAGAAAATTGCAAAACATAGTCTGATGTCACCATGCTGTTGTTATAGAATCATCTCGTTATAGCTTCTGGCAAAATACTGTTGTCCTTAATATCACTACAACAGAATCATCTGGCATGTACCAAGCAGGGTACATGTGTCTGCTCGCTGTCGAGGACACTTAGCAGGATGCGAAGCAGCTCATCACACCCCAGCGGAAAATTGTGCAGGGATGCCCTGTTAGGAATGAGCCTGCATTAGGAATAGATCATCAACTTCACCCGAACCCAAGGTGCAATTTAAACCTGACAGACAATGGTCGGGGGCGGTGGCTCATGCCTGTAATCCCAGCACTTTGGGAGGCCGAGGCGAGTGGATCACGAAGTCAGGAGTTCAAGACCAGCCTGGCCAAGACAGTAAACCCTTATCTCAACTGAAAATACAAAAATCAGCTGGGCATGGTGGCATGCACCTGTAATCCCAGCTACGCGGGAGGCTAAGGCAGAGAATTCCTTAAACCCAGGAGGCAGAGGCTGCAGTGAGCGGAGATCACACCACTACACTCCAGCCTGGGCGACAGAGTGAGACTGTTTCAAAACAAAACAAAACAAAACAAAACAAAACAAAACTGGAAGTCAATTAAACACACCCAGTAGTGTACAACAACCAGGTCCGACTGGCTTAAGAGAGCACACTGCTAAACTATCAGGAACTTTAAGACCTAGTTGTTGGGCACACTCATTATTAAGTATTAAAGTAGATAAATGTATGATTCAATAAGCTATATTAAAAAGGTAAAACATACTCAAAGCTCAATACTTCTGAATAATCTTAGTAGATGTGACTATTATCTATGCTCATGAGGTTATTTATGTCTATTAGTCGGCATAGTGCAAATACTTTACATACATAAAATGGTATGGGACTACACATCTCTTTCTAACTCCAAGTTCCAAGCTGCAACTTGAAATCAGCCAAGGTGTGAGTATTTACACCACAGTAATCAGCAAATACTACAAAACAGGGTTTGTTTCCCCTAGTTCCCGCCAACAGAGCAGGTTGTTCAACACTTACCGGCATACCACCACACACCCCCTCACATAGACACCAGGAATATGGTAACAGCATTCACAAGGAAATTTTGTTTTCAGATAAAACATCTACGATTCAAAGTTAGCAAACTCTTTTCAGCAACTACATGGACTCCTAGGTAACAGAGTCATTTAATAAATCTGTACAATAATAATTAAACACCATAAATAACGTATCCATGGAAGCTTCCTGGCTTGCCCTTTAGGCCTTTGTCGCCAAGTGATCCATGCTGACATTCTGAATAAGGCTCGCAAAATAAGTGCATCCAGGAGTGGCGGTGGAAAGTAGGTTTGCTCTCAATAATGTATGAAGCCCCATGCTGGGGAGAGGGATCCTTGGAAAAGCGGCTCCGCGGCAATCTGTTCTTTCATCTGGAGCCAGCGTTCAAGCAAAGGTGCTGCCCCAAATCAGAAGCACAATTGCTCACTTGTGAGCAGATGTCCTTCACGCGGCGGGCAGTGCTCTTTCAACACAGAGCTGAACAAATGCGTGCTGTGAGACAGGCTCCCCTCCCCATTACCCAAAGAACACAGTATACATTAATTTAGTATGTTGTGGAATAACGTTTGAAAGGGGAGTTGGTGCAGTAGAAAAATCACGCAGTGAGGCAAAATAACTTTCCAACCAAACGGGAGGAAGAAAGAGAGTTTGGTTCCTATGGAAGTTGAGGGGGAAAGAGTCTGAAATATCTTCAACCTCAAAAGAAACCCAAAACAGGGTTCCTTAGGGAGTCAAAAGGACCTCACTGGGCAGGCCCAACACAGAGCCAAAATCGAACATCAACCACCCAAAAGATCATTTTCAATGAACATGTAGTTTCATTGAAAATGTGCATAGCTGGAGGAGGCTGTGCATGTGTGAGGACAGGGAGTATATGAAACTCTACACTTCCCACTCAGTTTTGCTGTGAACTTAAAATTACTGTAAAAATAAACTTTATTAATTTTTTTTTTTAAAGTACATGTAAACCTAAACCCTGTAGTCAGATGAACTGTTTCCTTTCCGGCTGGGAATCCCAGTTGGAAGGACTTCCAACATTCATCCTAGGGAGTTTCATGGGGCATCTTTGGTTCTAAGGGAACCTCATCTATAAGGTGTTAGTCAGCTCATCAGAAGGCAGGGCAGAGCAGAGCGTGCCTTGCCAGGTACACAGGCTGTGTAGTACACAAACAGCCCGGAAAACCAGTGGAAAGACCTCCTCCCAGCCTTGATGTAACTGGGACAGAAATGGAGACAAATGCAATGGCACTTCACATTCGCTTCCCCCCACCCCACCCATCTTCCAGAACCTCGACTTCAGGACAGCTTCCGCAAACTCAATCACTTCTTTCAGGCTGACACAATTTGGTCCACTTCCTGTATTTCATTTTGGGAGAGAGAATTATTTTATCTAGGAAAAGTAAAATTAGCAACCTGCTTAGAGACTCCTGCCTTTAAAGCCCCACATCCACTCAACTTCTACACACAAATACTACCGTTTGCCACCTTGATAATTATTAAATTGTAACGTAAAACCCAACTTCTGCTTAAGTATACGTGATTATTAGACTATAAGTCAATTGTGGATAACACGCAGATATAAATGCAGCTAATAAGTCTTACTGTAATGATTAATCAATTTATGAATACATTATTTAAACTAATAGCTCAGGTAGGGTATCTTAAACAAGTTACAGAGTATATCGACCAATTCAAATACCAGCTGCTGGATCAATAGCAAACTGTAAGTAAACTCTGGGGAATAG
This sequence comes from Homo sapiens, assembly GCF_000001405.40. Lineage (NCBI taxonomy): Eukaryota > Metazoa > Chordata > Mammalia > Primates > Hominidae > Homo > Homo sapiens. The sequence continues at coordinate 78,484,351 of NC_000016.10, read as the reverse complement.
GTATACTTGGAAAAAAAAATCTGTGAACAAAAGGGTCTTAGATGAAAATAATCTACAATTTCAATTTTTAAGACAAATGTATAGTACTTTAATATATGCCAAGGCCTAAAGAGAAAGGTACAAAAGTATTACTGCAAATTTTGCTTCTATTCCAGCCTATGCAGTAATAATCATTAAGAGCAGCTCCTACAAATTCATATGTTTATACAAAGCACTACATACATATGCAAAAAGACAATGTATTCAAGTTAATTTTGATTCCTTCAAAATTGATAAAGTGGGTTCATTTCATTGCAAGGGAGCATACTTATCTATAACTGACCCTTTAACAGAAAACAAAAATTATGTCTAAAAAGTAAGGTAAGCCATTTTCCTGAAAGGGGCCCATCTTTCAACAGACACACTAGGGGCCACGTGTTCTGTCACAGCCACAAAACCTGCCCCCTAAGCCCCACTGTTGACCACAAGATGTTTTTGTGAGCAAAGTCAATGCTTGCATCATGATGCTGGCTCTTCTCATTTTTTTTAAATTAAGGCTAATTAATGTGAGTTAAATAAATAAACAAGAAGAGCCTTGATTTCCAAAGGTGTGATATTTTATCACAGCTTCAAGCGATGCTGCATTTGAAAAAAAGAATTAGTATCTTGTGAGATTGGCCACACATTATTGAGTAAGTAACAGCAGCTAAGTGAAACAGATGAAATATTGGTAAGCGATGCAGCCCACAGTATAAGTATGTGAAGGGGGTCAAAGGTTAATCCCTATTGATTTTCCGAGTCTGCGTACAGCACCACTGGGAAAGGCCGGTTCTGTTGGCAATCAGCTAGCACAAATACATTATAAATCTTACTGTCTGCCTTCACCGATCAGTGTCACTTACTTCCTTTGCTAAAGACCATTAAGAAACTACCAAAAAAAAAAAAAAAAATTCTACGCAGATGCCGGCAAAAAGAAAAGTATTAAAAAAAAAAAAAATCTTCCATGTCAGCCAATGCTTCTGCAGACGGGAGACTTTTCATGAAAGCGGAGGCACACCTCACTGAGACCCGTCTCTTCCAAGTAAAGTGACATGCAACTTTCTTGAGAGTAAATCCATTTCAAAGAATAAAGACAGAGTATTTTTCAAATGACCTTCAACATCAAATCAAAAAGGTAAAAGTATCTTTTACATTTGGGTGCATTTTTAAAAAATAGAAGAAAAGCAGTCTAACACACTCATGCATATCGAGAGCCATCTCCAACTTGACTTTGCAAAATATGGCATAACCTTGAAGCCAACAAAAGGTAGGTTGAAGAGGCCCTTCATGTCTAGGGACCCCTTCCAGTATTCCACACTAAATGTTTGACTCCTTTTCTTAAAGTGGGCCCACAACATGCATAGATCTCAGTGCCCCAAAATCTTGACGCCCACTTCTACGAACAGATATGAATGACTGTTTCTTTTTCATGCCTTTTAACAGATTGTACCATGTGTATTTTATGTGCCTGGCCCTCTTGCTAGACACAGGAAGGCAGATGAGTGAGATAGATCCTTCCCAAGAAAAATGAAACATACGTTCTGCGTCTTATCGTTGACTCTCGTACAACAAGGTCCTGAGAAACAGTCTTAGCGCCAATAAGTGCTCTGCCACTTACCAGCTTTTTAACACCCAGTTGATTACTTCAACTCTCTAAGCCTCAGTTTCTCTGCCTGGGAAATCAGGATAATTATAGTAGCCACTTCATAGAATGGTCAGGAAATTAGAAATCACATGCAAAGCACTTAGCACAGGGCCCAGTAAGTATTCAATAAATACTGGTTAATTTTTCTTAAATAATGGAGTTATTTGGCTAGGCAAGGCAGCTCACGCCTGTCATCCCAGCACTTTCGGAGGCCAAGGCAGTCAGATCACCTGAAGTGAGGAGTTCGAGGCCAGCATGGCTAACATGGTGAAACCTGGTGTCTAACTAAAAATACAAAAATTAGCCAGCTATGGTGGTGCATGCCTGTAGTCCTGACTACTACGGAGGCCGAGGAAGGAGAATCGACAGAGGTTGCAGTGAGCCAAGATCGCGCCACTGCACTCTAGCCTGGCCAAAAGAGCAAGACTCTGTCTCAAAAAATAATAAAAAAAATTATGGAGTTATTTGACATTGGGATAAAAAGCAAGTGACCTCCTTCAACCTCTGCTTCACTAATGAGGGCTGTGGAACTGTGATGTAAAAAGACATGAAGCCATCTGACCCACCATTCCACCTAAATAAATGTATAATATCCACCTATTCCCCAGAATAGGTGGGACCATAACAAGCACATTCTAAGTTATTCTTTAGAAACAGATTTCTTAAGTCCTTGAAATGTGTATGAAAGCAAAACCTATCAGAAATGCAGACAGCTAGGCAGCTCAGCCTTAACCAAGGATGTGAGAAAGTTACGAAATCTTTGGGTAAGGAAAGGTTCTCTCTCTGCAGAAAAGTTATTTATTTTATTTTAAAGCTCCAGCCCCAAGAAGATTAATAGAAAAGGTTCATAGATATGTGTTATGTCTTCACAGTTTTCACAAACACAGCTCTTATCACATCCACAGTACACATGCAGGCGCGCGCACACACACACACACACACACACACACACACACACACACACTTCCCTTGCCCTGAGCAAAAGTCATAGCATTCTTGAAACAGTTCTGGCAAATACAGCCAAATTGTTGGGAAAACATTCTTTTTTTTTTTCACAATTCCATCAACTAGGCTCAGTGTACCACGTGCTGATATCAGGATGTACTTGAAAATATTTTAAATCCCTTTAAATTAAGGGGTGGTGGGAGGTGAGGGATGACTCTCCCAGGGCTAATGATAAACAAACGAACATCCTGCAAAGTTCCCATCAAAACTTCAGCATCTATGCCATGACTCTTTCAATCAATGACTTTTTTCCCCATTTATGAAACCTTTTATTTCAGGATTTTCACCTCTATTGAAAGGATATCCTTCTAGTAGGCAGAGGATAAACAGAGTAGACCTCAGCTGAGCACTGAAAACCAAGAGAGACAGAGGCCACAGAGTCTTTTTAAAATCCAAGAGGCTCCAAGCTGCTTTGAACTGTCTTGAGTTGATGGAAGTACGCTTTCATCAGTTAGAAAAATTAAGGGCATACGCCTCAAAAGATGTCTACTTATTTACAAATTATAAACTTGGATCATTCTATTAGCTACTACCTCCAGGAATGGTATAGGTTAAAGCAATGTTCATCTTTAAAAATAATGCATGCAATTTCAAATTTCTCTTTGCTAATTTAGATTTTTGTTTTTCCATTGACCACTTCTGATCAAACTGTGATTGTGTTTACTTTGCACAAGATGAAGGGCTTTTATTAGGAGTAGGTGAAGTACCAATCCTGCTCTTTTCTTACTATTTGCTATTCTAAGAACTATATCCAAACACTGATCTTTTTGCACAAATGTTTGTAAGTCTCTTGTTCATTCTGTGACGGTTGCTTTAGTTCAGACCACATAATCTGATGTCTCAATCCATCCAACTAAGCACACATGCAAAACTACAATACATTTCAAAGCTAAAGTCCACAAGGAGCAAAGGTTCCAACATGGACCCTCTCCCTGGGGAAATGGCCAGCCTGACTTTGGAATGTACTGCATACTGCACACAATTCCTGACCATCAGAGGACTGGAGAGGGTACCTGTGTCAGTGCATCTGTGTACTATCTGTAAAAAATAACATTTTTAAATTGAGAGCCAATATGCTTACATTGAAAAGTACGGGACCCTGAAAGTGGCTACTGAGCTGGAATCCCTACTCTGCCACCTCTTTTCTTAGCACATCTCTTTCCTCATCTGTGAAATATGGACAACAATAGTCCTATTTCAAAGAATATTTGAAAGGACAGTACATGTAAATATATGCAAAACACTTAAAACAGTACCTGCCACCCAATAAATGTGTTGAGATGTTTAATAATAAATGAAAGAGTTTAATGGATAAACAGAAGTTATAATGTTTCCTCTCGGAACCCAAGTGGTTCATCCTTCACACTTTGGGGACTAATGCTTTAAAGCAGATGTATCCAAAAGAGCATTCTACTATGGTAGAAATGTTCTATATCGGTGCTACCCAATATGGTAGCCAATAACCACATCTGGCTACTGAAGATTTGAAATGTGGCTGCTATTTCAGAGCAATTGAACTTTTAATTTTAATTAATTTACATTTTAATAGTCACACGTGGCTACCATATTGGACAGTGAAGCTCCAGAAGCTTCACTATTTCTGACACTCCATAGGACCCAGCACAATTCTGTAATCCACCTAGTTGCCTTCGAGAAGGTATGACTGCTTCAGTGAGAACAAGCTAGCCTGAGTTTCTGGAGTGTAAAGCCATGGAATCCTCACCTTTACACTCCCTTTCTCTTGTCTCTTAGATGCTCCATTGTCATTGGTTCCTCCTTCCCAGGAGGGGGCAGTGAACAATGCAGCCCCGCTGGGTCAACATTATTGGAGGCCTCTACTTGGTGCCAGCCTCAGCCTGGCTTTCATTCATAGTTTGGGTCTTGAATCTTATCTTGGAAAACTCCATGAATCCTGCCTTTGACCACTGTCTAGACTCCCAGGCCAGAGGCTGTCACTATATTTCGTGTCCTGGCCCTTGTTCCCAATTTGTAGAGGGCTGTCCATATTCTACAGATGAACCTCCATGTCAATCATTCCTATAACAGTTTCCTCCTTGGAGGCAACGAGAGCAGTGACAGTCTATTCTAGGGAATGGGACATGTCTTATCTCCATTTTCACTATGAAAATATCTTATTCTATACCATCATGCCACAAAGTGACTTCATTCAAAAACCATAATCTTCACAGTACTACCATATTTGCATCTAAAGTTACTTGGTAAATCATAAAGTCCAAATAAACTATAGTTATAAATAAAAAGCTTTAAAACATTACAATGAAAGCATTCTCTAAACCCAACCTCCTCTCAGGCTGAGTTAGGTCTTTGCTTCTATCAAAATTATTTGCATATGTTTTAATCTTTCTCTCTAGATAATAAGATCCTGGAAGGCTTGACTGATACAAATTCATATCCATATCCTTACTGTCTGAAGTGGTGCCAGACACATAGTAGGTATTCAATACGTATTGGATGAAGTTACACAGTGATGGAGAATATGTTAATCCAAACAGAAAGAAAACAAAACACCTTTCTCTGCTTTCCAAGATGTATGTTTATTTTTTTTTCCTTTTCCAAATACTCCTACATTCAGGAAAACAGTAATGCTAAATCTGACTTACTTATATTTTAGGAAGCCTGGATATCTAAATTGGTGATTCCTACAGTCATGGCAATATGCCTTGTTGATCATAATACAGATTATCAACTTCTACAGAATGACAAAATCAAAGGAGAAAAGGGGCCATGATGGAAATATCAAAACCAAATTAAATACTGGAAATGAGTTAATGAAATTATACTACAGATTCAGCTTATTCAGAAAGGGCTTGTCCAAGGAAAGGGGAGAGAAAAAATAAATAAATAAAAAATAAATTTAAAAAACCCTCACCACCAGAACCAGCTGTCTAGTTTGAACTGCTAGATTGCTGAGCACATACTGTATGCATATTCATAAGGACCACAGGAAATTAAGCACCTTTGGAGCCTGCATTAAAACTCTTTCCTGCCAGCCAGTGCAGTGAACCAGTAACTCAACGGCACCCTTGTGGCCTGGAATAATTAATGCAGCTTCCAAAGGTGGGAAGGCTTTCCTTGGGGTGGGGGGTGCAACAGCAAGGTGGGCATGGAGCTTCGAGAGAGGAGAGTAGGCTGCCAAGCCATTTGTTCTTAGTGTGTTACACCTGGCCCTGTTTTGTGGAAGGGAGGGAAATACGTCATTATCATCGCTTTTTCTTTCCGGAGTCTGAAAAGGAACCCCGGGGTGGTAAATATGGCCATTCATGCTAACATTGGCTTAAGGAAGAACCAGATCAAATGAGCTCAGTTATTTACATTTAAAAACATCATTTAAGGGAATTTTAAACCGTCTGAGAAGATGGATACACTGTGTTTGTTTTCTACATTAATGAGCTATAAAAAGAATGGAATAGGCCATAAATACAGTATTTTGTAACAGCCTTTACTAAAAATGCTACTACTTGTATTTATCATTTATATCCTTGTATACAACCTCAAAATTGATTACACTTTAAACCGTACATACCTTGCTGTGTTTTTCATTCTGTGCTATACTACAAACATTTTTATAACTCAGTTAATATATTCCATATTTTGTGTTCTTATTGATTACGAATATTTCTTTAGGGGATTTTATTGCTTTTAAAATAACAAATGTTAGGTATTAAAAAATAGAAAAACCTATTGCAGCTTTTATATTTTTCTTTCCCCTGGTAATTCTAATACACACATTTTAGCACGAACATAACCAGAATATCTTTTTCCATATCTTTTATACTTCCTCCCACTAATATTATAAATCCACTAATACAGTACATAGTAAAAGAATCAGATTTTTTGGATGAAACCCACCATTTAATGTGTTTGACTTGAATTCATAATTCTCTCCTTCTACAATTAAAAAATTAAAGTGCTAAAAGATTATCCGCACGTAACATGGTTTTACATCAAGTATATATTATCTTTCCTAATTGCCATTTCAGTTTATAGGCTAAAATATGATTTATATATATGATATGATTTCACTATTAATTATCAAATTGAAAAAAAATAAAATCTCACATTAGAAATTCTCCCCTGGAAATTAGTTTTATTATTTTTTCCATAATCCTATCACACAAGCTATAAGTGCATTGCGGCATGAACACTTTAATTTTTCCAGTTAGTTTTAAGCAAGCCCAGAGGTGAGGTTTAATAAGGATCAATGGCACTTTATCTGGGACAGGGCCTCTTCACAGCATGCAAATTACACAGTAACACTTAAAAAAAGAAATAGATTTAATTAAAAAAAAAGTAGAACCACAGGCTCTGGAAATTCAATTAAAGGATTTATGCAAAGGTTTGCTAGGTTTTTATATGCGGTTACTGCTTACATAATGAGCTTTTCATATTAAAAATCAATAGGTAATCTAGACTAGAAGATCATCCCCTTAAATACATTTTTGAAATCAATTTGAAAAATAGTCCATCAACTGCTGTGACTACTCTTGCTGCTTCGATTACACTAAAAGCAATATTTAGATTGTAAGACGTGCTATGGAATATCTATGCTTAGATATTGCTTTCAAGGGCTCTTATGCTTTTGAGTGCCTAAGATGATCACCTGGTAATTCAAGATTGTGTTAAATGTATAAATAATTTATTTAATTACCAACAAAAGCGCAGACACAATCCCATCGTATTTATAATGTTAAATAAAAGGGTGAAAAAGAGGAAAGAGGGAACTGAAGGAGGAAGGACGGAAAGGAGAAGGGGGAGAGGGGAGAGAAGAGGGAGGAAGAAGATGGGAAATCAGGAAGGGAGGGAAGGAAAAAGAAAAACGAACAAAACAACCTTTTCTAAATTAGTCTTTCCTATCTCAATTGCCTATTGTGTTGGCTACTTAGCCCTTAGAGATATGCATTTCACTTTAAAACTCATTTAGGTCTTCAACTGAAGAAGCAATTAGCTAGCTTATAATTTAAGCAGACTTTTCATCCTCTGTGATCATGGGGGACGGGTCTTGAAATGAAAACGAAAGTCGATGCTCCAGTTCTTTTTTTTTTTAATATGTATTTTTTATTATATTTTCAGTTCTAGGGTACATGTGCACAACGTGCAGGTTTGTTACATATGTAGACATGTGCTGTGTTGGTGTGCTGCACCCATTAACTCGTCATTTACATTAGGTATATCTCCTAATGCTATCCCTCTCCCCTCCCCGCACCCCACAACAGGCCCCGGTGTGTGATGTTCCCCTTCCTGTGTCCAACTGTTCTCATTGTTCAATTCCCACCTATGAGTGAGAACATGCGGTGTTTGGTTTTTTGTCCTTGCAACAGTTTGCTGAGAATGATGGTTTCCAGCTTCATCCACCCAAGTGGGCGAAGGATATGATCAGACACTTCTCAAAAGAAGACATTTATGCAGCCAACAGACACATGAAACAATGCTCATCATCACTGGCCATCAGAGAAATGCAAATCAAAACCACAATGAGATACCATCTCACACCAGTTAGATGCTCCAGTTCTATCCAGTAGCTTCACCACCTGTATCACAGGCAAGATTTGCCTGGATTTGGTAACAATTAGAACACCAGATGGGATTCCAGGGGCAATTCCTGTCAAACTGGGGAGTGATCATTTTACAGAGGAAGCATGAGTAAGGAGTTGGGGTGGCGGAGCTGGAGGAAAGAAAAACCTAGGTAGGTCCAAATCCAAACTCTTCTCATTACCATAATAAATTAATAAGAGACACATTCTTTAATACCTCTTTGTCCAGGTTCTAATTTTTAAAAGGTAGAGTTTTAAAATGTAATCGCAGCATTTTGGGAGGTTGAGGTGGGCAGATCATTTGAATTCAGGAGTTCAAGACCAGCCTGGCTAACATGGTGAAACGCGTCTCTACTAAAAATGCATAAAATTAGCCGGTGTGGTGGCACATGCCTGTAATCCCAGCTACTGGGGAGGCTGAGACATCAGAATCACTTGAACCCAGAAGGTGTAGGTTGCAGTGAGCCGAGATCATGTCACTGCACTCCAGCCTGGGTAACAGACGCTGTCTTAAATGAAATGAACTAAAATAAAAATATAAACTAAAAAAGTAGAGTGAGTACTCATTGTCCATCAAGATGAAAGTCATGGCTCTAGTTATCTTCAACCCAAGTCAGCCTTATTAAAATAGGTCTAAACTTTATAAAGGACCACCTTATAACAAACCAACACCTTATTCTCTTCTGCAAAACTCTGGGAAAAAAACTAAGCAAAATATTTACAAATCCCAGTTTATCCATCTACCAAAAGCTCCTATCTCAGCAACACTAATATTTTAAGAAGGTGCTGATGCAGCCAATCTGGGTGAACAAGGAGAGCCCAAAACAGCACAAGGAGGTCCCTGCTCTCAATACACAGGGAGGAGAAGATAAAGATGAAGAAGCAGCAGCAGCTTCCAGCATCAGAGAAATCAATGATGTCCACATTATGATTTCTAAAGCAGAACTCTAGACATATCCTATTAATGAGCCAGCCTTTGTTTTGCATGTCCCTACAGCTATATTGAGGGAGAGTTTAAGAACCAAGTAATGAGCAGTGGTTTTATCAGTCACAGATTTATGCACCTGACAAACACATTTAGAATGCCTGGCTATGTTAGCACTGTTAGTGGCTCTTGGTGGCTACAAAGATGAATCTCATAAACCTGGCGTGCCTAAATAAATTAAATATTTTTGTACATATGTTTACTCATTTTGAAAAATGTATTTGTAAGAAAAAACAAGGAACTGAAAAATTAGGTGCAGTATCTTGAAAACATGATGCATGCAAAGTGAAAGGACCACTCACAAAGAACCACATATCGTGTGAGCCCATTAATGAGAAATGTCCAGAATATACAAACGCATGGAGATGAAGAGCAGACTAGCGGTTCGCAGAGGCTGGGGAAGAGTTGAAGTGGAGAATGGGAGGTAAAAAATATGGGGTGCAGGCTTTCTCCTTCAGGTAAGAAAACTGACTGTGGCAATGGTTGCACAACTCTGAATAGACTGAGCCATTGAATTGTACACTTTAAATGCATGAATTGTATAGCATGTAAATTATCTCTCAATAAAGCTGTTATAAAAAATAAAGTGCAGTTTACGGACTGTCGTTTGAGTAACAGCAGCTTTAAAGAAAAGCAAACAAGAAAATCTAAAAGGGAACCACGATGAGGGGGTGGAAATCCTTATTTTCTACCTAAACCAATCTGACAAATGAGACATTTAAGCTTTCTTCATCACTACAAAATATCTTCTGTGATGATCGGTTTAGAGAGTGCATCGGGGTAAGATGTGCAAACATAAGCTATTGGCGTCCTACAGAAAGGTGCTGAAATCAAAATAAGCAGGGGATTCCTAAGGCATGAAATGAGAACTTTAGCATAAAATGTCCCAGGTTAGTATGATCAAAATGTCAAACATAAAACTGTTTTCTAACAATGTGAGAGGTGTTAGTAATGAAAATTTGAACAATGTTAACACTTAAAATTTCAGCAGAACCATTTCAATCCATAAACGTGTAACAGTCATTTTACAGCGTGCTTAACAGGCAAGACCTAGAGCTGTTATAAAAGAAGACGTCCTCAATGTCACTTCATTTTCTTTTATTCTTATTATCACATTTAAATCTCTGTAAAAGTGGTCCTGATAGGTAACTTTATGACATATTTCAAGACTATTCATTTCGAACAGAAGTTCCTCCAAGGAATTAACAGGGAAAGGGAGGCCACTTTCTCATCATCCCTAAATTAATACGGTAACAACGGCGAAGAAGAATGGCAGCGTGTGTGCTGCAAGGACTAGGCATGCTACACCATGCAACAGCTGGATCATCTTAGAGGTGACTCTTGTTGGCATTCAGGGGACCACTGGTGGGCTGCCGTATCTTCAGCTAACACCTGACAGCTTACCTTGCAAAGACCTGGGAGTAAAGAGTAGGGTACACAGGCAAAGTCAAGGTTGGGACTTGTTTAAGACAATTCCAAAAAAAACGCTCCATATCAGCACTGGTGGCAACATTCTCATCTTTCCACATTTTCTTAGGAAAGGAGGGACAACAATCTCCCCTGAATCACGTCTGCTCACAGATAAGTGTATCTGCTCACCTGGGTGTTGGCAAACTTTGTCTGAGAGGGCCAGTCGGTCAATATTGTCAGCTCTTCATGCTGTGCTCTAACCTGCTGCAATCAGTTAACTCTTCCCTTGTCATACTGTATCAACAATACATAAAAAGGTCGGCTCATGTCTGTAATCCTAGCACTTTGGGAGGCTGAGGTGGGTCTATCAGTTGAGGTCAGGAGTTCAAGACTAGCCTGGCCAACATGGTGAAATCCTGTCTCCACTAAAACTACAAAAATTACCCAGGCGTGGTGCCACGTGTCTATACTCCAAGCCACTTGGGAGGCTGAGGCAGGACAATCGCTTGAACGTGGGAGATGCAGGCCGCAGTGAGCAGAGAACGCACCACTGCACTCTAGCCTGGGTGACAGAGTGAGACTCGGTCTCAAAGCAAACAAACATTACATAAAAGATAAGCAACACTGTGTTCCTATAAAACTTTACTTAAGGACACTCAAGTTTAAACTTCATGTAGTTTTCACACACCTTGAAATATTTTTCCTTTCATATTTTTTCAGCAATTTAAAAATGTTCTCCTGCAGGCGGCACAAAAACAGGCTGCAGATCAGATTTGGCCCAAGGGCCCTAGTTTGCTTTTTCCCGTGCTAAACCACAGACTGGGAAGAAGGGAGTGGCGCAGTAATCCCATCTTGATCTAAGATTTATTCTGCTGACGCTGTGACAACGAAATGACATAATTTTTTTTTTTTTTTTTTTTTTTTTTTGAGATGGAGTTTCACTCTTGTCGCCCAGGCTGGAGAACAATGGCAAGATCTCGGCTCACTGCAACCTCCACTTCCCGGGTTCAAGCGATTCTCCTGCCTCAGCCTCCCAAGTAGCTGGGACTACAGCTGTGTACCACCATTCCTGGCTAATTTTTGTATTTTCAGTAGAGAAACGGTTTCAACATGTTGGTCAGGCTGGTCTCAAACTCCTGACCTCAGGTGATCCACCCGCCTTGGCCTTCCAAAGTGCTGGGATTACAGGCGTGAGCCACTGTGCCCGGCTCATCATTTTTTTCAACATAGCAAAACTTCAGGGCACATATTTCAAATCAAGTATACTTTAGAGAAAAGCAAGAGAAATTAGTTTCTACTAACAGAAATTTATATTCTAAATTTTCTAAATGTCTTCCTTTAGAAACAATGAACAAGGCCCCAAAGTTTTTCATTATTTAAAAATGAACAAGGGCTTTCAGAATTGACAGGCTTGGAATATGCAGCATTTGGCTTATGAGATAAGAGGCTGACCACATTCCCTCTGATCCTCGTTAGTCATTCCATCATTAAGACAGCAGGTCACAGGAATGCAATATGCAGCCAGTTCCTTGTATTGGTGCTTCTAGGTGGTTGGGGTTTTAATTTGAATTATGCACAAAAATAGGTATTTACTGTGTTACTTTTTCCTGTTTTAACCTTGAGCTTTCCTCAACTCTCTGTCTACTGCAAGCATAGGCGCCTAAGAAAAAATGTGTGGGCAAATTGGCATCATAACACCTAACCAGAATAATCAAAGGAATGTCTTCGCTGAATAAAGTGAAACATTGGAATTAGGTAACATTTCTAAAGAAGGATTTTGCATTAATAGTATTTGAAGTATGTGTAGAATCAAAAACTGATAACCGTTATCTGGAATATTTTGGTGAATAGAAAAAAAAATTGCAAATTGGTACATTAAAATGTAAAAGTTTATTTAATGTGTACATAAATCTACTTCATGATATGACACCACTCCTTGGCATGGAAAAATCATCGTTATTATTTTGATTAAGAGAAACTCTAGCCTAGTTCAGGCCAAATGATGTTCAGGGACTATTGCTTATATATTTTTATCTTCCAACCAATGTGGCCCAAATAAAGATTTTCAAATAGCATGAGGCCATTACCCTAATATAAATGTGTCTCAGTACAAAGTCACAGAAGAAAAAGGGCAATAATAGAAAAGGCAAGACATTCAACTATCGCTGCAGAGATTTCATGGAGGATGTAAAGTTCTGAGATCATCACATCCCAAACCACCACAATCAAAAGGTGCTGGTGAAAAAGATCCAAACGATGGAGAACGTCTTCCTATGATGAAGCTGGTAACTTCCTAGAAACACTGCACAGGACTGTTCCCCATTTGAAGCAAAACTTAATTAGCATTTGTAAACATTCCACCAGACAAATGAGGTGAGAGATGCCTGTTACATTCGCAAAGCATCCTCATCTCCGAGGGCTACCCAGAATCCCTCTGAAATCTGTATTCCATGTTTGCATCAGAATGTTTATTAGCAGCTCAAGAATTGGCAGGACAGGGAAAAGCAGATCCTGGATGAAGAATCACGCCTGATTGTCTTGTAGTTGCCAACATTGGTCAGTGTTCTGCAACGTGAGGACCTTCTGTCATTCTTTTGACTTTTCCCTCTTCCCTGTTCAGTCCTAGAAGCAAGAAAACCGCTAAGGCTGGAAGCATCAAATCAGCATCCAGGGTAGGAAGGAAGAGTGAAAATACCAGCAATGCCACACCATTTTATAGAAAGCAAAAGGTATTCAAGGAAACGTGCTGTTGGTTTCTGATTTTACTTGATGGCTAGAATCTGTCATACAGCCATCCTCAGTTGCTAGGAAGGCTGTGAAGTAGGCACAATATCACCTGTTCCAGCCTGTAGAGTAGAAGGTAGGCAAAGGTACCTACCACACTGGACAATAGCAGTGGGGTCTTGCTGGTCGGGCATGGTGACTCATGACTGTAATCCCAGCACTTTGGGAGGCCGAGGTAGGTCAATCACCTGAGGTCAGGAGTTCAAGACCAGCCTGGCCCACATGGTGAAACCCCCATCTCTACTAAAAATACAAAAATTAGCCAGGTGTGGTGGCGTGCCTGTAATCCCAGCTACTTGGGAGGCTGAGGCAGGAGAATGGCTTGAATCCAGGAGGAGGAGGTTTCAGTAAGTCAAGATGGTGCCATTGCACTCCAGCCTGGGCGACAGAGCAAGATTCTGTCTCAAACATACATACATACATGCATACATACATATATACATACATGAAAATAAAAGAGTGGGGTCTTGCTTCCCCATGAGGATGAAATCGTAGAGGGAAGGAAGCATGCTTAGTTATTTCTGGTTATCTCCAAAGTCAAAAACAAAGATCTTGAGGGGGAAAAGGTAAATGAGAATCCAAAGTGATTTTAAACAAACAATACATCAGGTGAGGCAAAGATGTACTATGCCCCGCATCTTCCTGGGCACAAGGTTATGCTCTGTTTCCTAGCCTCCTGGAGTTCAAAGATTTGTGCCACTCCCAGGCCTCATCCTTAAAATGCTCCACACATGGTCCTGCAAATTCCTACTTCTTCCACCAGCTTTGTGCAGACAACAGCAGGGCAGTGCTGGAAGCCACATGTGTCAGACGGCTGAGCCACAAGATGAAAAGAGCTTGAGTCCCTGGGTTACCACTTGGAAGAGAGCAGCCTGCTAATTGGCAAGAGTCATTATGGATCTTACATAAACAAGAAATAAACTTCTACTATCTTTGAGCAACTGTGCACAGGCGTGCTTATTTGTTATAGCAGCTAGCATCACCTTCAATAACGTACCAACATACAATGTAGATGTCTTAGAATCCCTGAGAATTTCAGTTACATCTTATTGGCTCTATCTAATCCCAGGTTACAGATATCGGTTTGTCTTAGATCTGTTTAGCAAATAACCAAAGGATCACCTCTAGGTGTCACTTGGCCCTGTGGCTGGCTAGCACTGAGAGGAAGCTCTTCTTAGGGAAACAGGGAAAATATGCCTGGTAACATTTCTATAAAATGAGAGGAAAAAAAACACAACCCATGGCCCAGCCTGGTTGTCCATGGTGTAAGCAGAATCCATAGACTATTCCCCACTATCTGCGCGGTACTCAGACATGTCCTGGCAGCCTGCTATGCTTTTCAAGTTTGTTTTTTTAACATCTCTTAACTAGACCCCTTTTATCCAAAAGCCCTTCTGCACACCCCATGACATGCTTCCAGGGAATGTCTAGTTTAAACTGAATGGGTAATTCGTAACACCATCATCACCCTCACTGCGGAGCCTGTCATCTCTGTTTCAGAACACTAGTCTCCTTGTTGCTCACTTTTGGTTTGCCTTCAGCCCTTCTCCAAGTGCTCCTGTGAAGAGATGTATTTTGTAGCTTAAGAGTCTGCCTTTGTAACTTATAGTCAGCTATATTTTCCTTGTTCTGCTCTTAGATGGAAAACAAATTGCATAAGGGAAATGTCTTCATAGTACCAGTTCTTAAATATTTTACAGGTGGATATCTTGATGGGTGGTTTGGAGGCTCAATTATGCTTCTCAGGAGAGGGAATAAATATCCCTGACGATTTCCATAACAAGCATGTGGTGACTTCTTGCAACTTCAAACCTGAGGTATCACCATTTGCCTCTGAAATCTGACTCAATGGCATTTGAGTATTTGAAAACGAGTAAGGCCAGCAAAACTGAACAGGTGTTACAACAAAATCAATCTATCCATCCATCTGTCTTTTGAGAGACTCAAGAAAGATAGCTAAGTCAAGTCATTCAGAACTACTGATGTAAGACATCGTCATACCAAAAGTTTCGCTCTTGAATATACTTTTGGGGTAGAGGGGGTTACAGGTTACAAAGGGAAACCTTTTAAAATGTTAGCTTCCCCCAAAGAAAGACCCACAGAAGATGTGGTGTAATATAATATGGAATTACACTGCACAGTGTTGCTGAAATCAGAATATAGATTGTTGCTGTATCCCACTCCAACTCATTTGATCCAACTACAATTCTTTGAGGTAAGTACCATCATCCCTCCTTTGCAGACAGGAAAACTGAGGCTCAAACAGGTGCAGTAACGTAGGCTAGGTCCATGAACTAGTTAGTATAAATCAGACATGGGATGTGTACTAAGTCTTTATTCCAAGTCATGTGCTTTTTCCACTTACCCTAGCACTCCCTGTAACTATCAAGCTACAAGGGAAGGCCTGAAATCTCTTCTAAGAGGGCCGACAATGGACCATGAGATGACCCTTCCAAGAACAGCATTCCATGGGATGGCTGGAAGCAAAAGGATGAATCTGCAAACTCAGTGTGAACTCTGATAGGTGGTGTTCCTCTGTGCAATTCTCTTTTTTGCCGTTGCAACAATACGTGGGGTTAAGGTGAGAAGGAAGCTGGTATGAGAAGCCAGCAGGCTGCACAGGTGGGGCCTCACAGTCTGGAGTACAGTGTTCTGCTCACCATGAAGTTTAAAAAAAAAAAAAAAAAAGAAAGGCAGCCTAGAACAGCATGCTAAGCTAACAAAGCATATCAGGTCTCCAGAAAAGAGAAGCTGAGCAGAGAACTGGTAGAAAGCCACACAATAGTAAAAGCAGTGAAGATCCAGTGTAAAGGTAGTTCTTGGACTCCCAGAGGCCATGAACATTCCCAGAGGGCAATGAGGACACTTAGAAAATGTCAGTTTTGATTGGTGGCTTGGAAAAGAGCAGAGAGAATTTTGAGCTTTCTTAAACAGTAAAGAAAATATACCAGTGGAACCCCCCATCCCCAAGATTGCCCATTTGTCAACAGATGTCAGAAACACACAAAAAGACAATGAAGTGAGAAAGGTGGAAAAGAAGCCAGGCTGATCAGTATCACTGAGTTTGGAGTCATTTTATATCCAGGAAGACAGGGCACCTAAAATCTTCCAATATGCTTCATAGCTTTGTATGAAGTATGTTCTTCCAAATTCTAAGTAAGGAAGAAAAAGAAGTTTCAGTGCTATAATGTCTAATTCAAGCTTTTATCAGCACTAATTTCAGTCCCCTTTTTCCTTATACTTCTGAACAGAGGGAAAACAGACATTAATTAAGCAAAGCTTTATCTCTTTCTACTCTAATGAAAGCCAAGTTACAGTTATATTTTCCCCAAGATTTTTCTCCACTTAATGAAGACATTATCCCCGAGTTTTCAAAGTCATTTTACAAAAGACCATTCAAGAGACATTACAGTCAGTTTAAACTAAAAAGTCTTTTTTGAAGTCAATAAACAATAAAAGAACAATGAAAAGAGGTCCTTTGATCCTGCCTTAGTCTACAGTCTTTAATTTCTGTTTTAATCTACTAGATAAGACTTGTATTCAAATATTCCTCACCTCTAGCATATAGTAAGCTTGAATTGATCATTTTATAATTCTTTCCTTAAAATATGTGTATGTGCGCATACATGTATATATAGACTGTGTGTATATGGGTATATACATCATACATACACATACATGCATATCTAATTAACATGGGTGGTGATCAGAAAAAAGCCCTCTGCCAGAAAGGGGAAAATTTTTAAATTTACTTCCAGCCTACCTCTTTGAAAAATTTTTTTTAAAAAGAAGGAAAATGGAATCTTTGGCTTTGAAATTCATGACAAGATCAAAGACTATAATGCACATAGATTTTTCAATGTATACATTATTAATAACACAGGCAAACACATAACTAATCAATAGCATGGTCAAGAGATAAGGTACGTTTAGTGTCCCCATGGCTCTGTGAATAACCCCATGCAGGGTAGGGATCGGTGTCCCTCTCTAAGATCTGTTTACTTTACTGGGCATTACATACAACCCAATTATTTCCTGCCCATGCTACAACGTTGCAACTGTGTGATACAGATGGAAGAAAAAAATTTTTTGTGCTTTTTTTTTTGAGACGGAGTCTCGCTCTGTTGCCCACGCTGGAGTGCAGAGGTGAGATATCGGCTCACTGCAACCTCTGCCTCTCGGGTTCAAGTGATTCTCCTGTCTCAGCCTCCTAAGTAGCTGGGATTACAGAAACCCAGCGCCAAGCCTGGCTAATTTTTGTATTTATAGTAGAGACGGAGTTTATAGTAGAGACAGGGTTTCACCATGTTGGCCAGGCTGATCTCGAACTCCTGACCTCAAGTGATCCACCCACCTCAGCCTCCCAAAGTGCTGGGATTACAGGTGTGAGCCACTGCACGCAGCTGGAATATTTAAAAAACAACAACAGCAGCTTAATATGCCACATGTATCAAAATATGTCTCCTTATGTGTTAGCCTCTTTTTGCTGAGATGAAATTCACATAACATAAATTATTTCAAAGTGTACAATTTAGTGTCATTTAGTACATTGACAGTGTTGTAGAGCTATCACCTCTAGTTCCAAAACAGTTTCACCACCCCAAAGGAAACTTGTACCCAATAGCCGGGTGCAATGGCTCACGCCTGTAATCCCAGCACTTTGGGAGGCCAAGGCAGGCTGATCAAAAGGTCAGGAGATCGAGACCATCCTGGGTAACACGATGAAACCCCGTCTCTACTAAAAACACAAAAAATTAGCCAAGCATGGTGGCGGGCACCTATAGTCCCAGCTACTAGGAAGGCTGAGGCAGGAGAATGGCATTAACCTGGGAGGCGGAGCTTGCAGTGAGCAGAGATGGTGCCACTGCACTCCAGCCTGGGCAACAGAGCAAGACTCCGTCTCAAAAAAAAAACAAAAAACCAAAAAAAACTAAAGAAACTTGTACTCATTAACAGGCTTTCCATACTCCCCGCCGCCCCAGAAACCACCGATGCGTATTCTGTCTTTATGAATTTGCCTACTCTGCATATTTTATATAAATGGAATATCCTATGTGACCTCTTAGTGTTTAATGTGTTAGTCTCTTTTAATTTAAAAATAAGTCAAGCCCAACAGAATGCAATTCAGACTGTAAAGATCAGTTATTCAGAAAAAATCATGAAACACAGAATACATTTTAAAAAATAAGGTGATTACACTACTGGTGCCCTCTGATGGTGGGTATTATTTACCTGGGCAATTAAAAGGAAATATGCTAAATTTACATACCAAGGAACATTTACAAGGGAGTAAATTACTAAAACAGGTTTTATAGGTGGAAAATATGAACACATTCCTGAAAAGCATGTTAAATTCAGAGATTATGGGTCCATGTGAGTTACTAATGAAAAGGTATCATTCAGGGACATTGCCCAACATTTTAACTTGTGGTCATGTGATAAAACAGACAGTTCTTTAACAAACCCTCCCCCAGGCTGGGTGTGGTGGCTCACACCTGTAATCCCAGCACTTCGGGAGGCCGATGCAGGCGGACTGCTTGAGCTTAGGAGTTGGAGAGTGGCCTGGGCAACACAACAAGACCCCATCTCTTAAAAAAAGAAAATAGCAAAAGACAAATCCTCCCTCAGGGCCACATTCAGAAATGGTAAAGAAGGCTGAATGGTTTTAAGTCTAAATCAGTATGATTTCCAACCAGGATTATTCATCTGCCTTAGAAATAGCAATTTTTATGATTCTATGATACAATTTGTCTGTGTCCCCACCCAAATCTCATCTTGAACTGTAGTTCCCAGAACTCCCATGTGTCATGGTAGGGACCCAGTGGGAGGTAACTGAGTCAAAGCCATGGGATCTGCCTGTGCTGTTCCCTTGATAGTGAATAAATCTCATGAGATCTGGTGATTTTATAAAGGGCAGTTCCCCTGCACACGCTTTCTTGTCTGCTGCCATGTAAGATGTGCCTTTGCTCCTCCTTTGCCTTCTGCCATAATTTTGAGGCCTCCCCAGCCAGGTGAAACGACTGAGTTCAGTAAATCTCTTTTTCTTTATAAATTACCCAGTCTCGGGTATTTCTTCACAGAAGTATGGGAATGGAGTAATATGTTTTATTTCTTCTTTCTCTGATTCTCCTTATTGAGGGTCTAACATTTCCCCCCAGGTCAGAACAGAGAGTTGCAGTGGCCATTTCTCCAAAAAGGAGACTGAATGGGGCCCTTTATGAATATGAACAATGAGGCCTCCCAGGAAGAATTGCTGCACGGGTGGGGGCAACGTAAGAAATGAGGCAGCAGCTCTGGATTTACAGAGGGGCAAAAGCAGACAGATCTGCCTTCAAATCCTGACTTGCTTCTGACATAGCCTCTAACCTGCACCTTTACCCTTTAGAAAACAAGGATCCCTTGAAGGATCGTCATGAAGATTCAAGGAAATATGGCACATGGTAAGCACCCAAGAAATCCTAGTAGTTTGTGATACGATTTGTATTCAGTCACTTGGTCAAGGTGCTTTCTGTGGACTACTAGAAACGGAGCATTAACTTTTGGCCAGGATCTCCATTATCTCCCTGCCTCTCTACCTCTGTGCCTCCTTCCCTCTCTTCCTCCTTCTCTCTCTTCTTTCCTTCCTCCCTTCCCCTCTTTCCTCTCTTTCCTTCTCCCTTTTTCTTTTTGCCTCCCTCCATCTCCCTGTCATCCTCCATCTCCCTCCGTCTCTCCCTCTCTTCCTTCCATCCTTCCCTTCCATTCTGCTTAGTACTAGACAACCCACAGAGTCCCTTGTCCACAATATTAAGCAATAAGCATTAGGTCTCAGTGTTCCTCATGCCACATCTCTCAGATGAATGGGTCAGAGCCCTTCCCAGGTCCTGACCGGTTGTCACTGGTGTGGGTGTGCTCTGATCAGCTTCATCTCCTCTACAACAGCCCACTGCCTTGCCTGTCCTAGGTTCTGACCGCCAGATCAACAACCTAAGACTTCTGTTCCCTTGGAGAAAGACTCACTTAATGGAAAGGCAGCTCCACCAGCAGTACAAATTGAACATCCTCATCCTGAGCCCCAAAGGTCCATACTAGAAAAGGAGGAAGTTTAGCTCACCCTCTTAAATTACCAGGTGATCATTTGCAAACAAAACTCCCTCATAAAACACTTCTTTAAACTCTTTACTTGATCATAAACCCTAACCTAACACACATCAGCCCTGGGATGAAGTAAGCATTAGAATTACCCAAGTTTTATGGAGCAGAGTGAGAGCCAGATGACAGAGTATCAGCCAACAGATTCTAACAGTCACAGAATCAAAAAAGATTTATTGAGAACCTACTATGTGCCAGATTCGTAAGATGCTTCAGTGTATGTGATCTCATTACCTCATCTCATTTTTCTCTACTATGCATCCTGATAAGCCATATCCTACTCAAAACAATACAAATGACCAGTTACATGTTTATCAATAATGACAGCTACTCAGCACAACTGGACAATGCTGGATAGCTGCTGCTTCTGTGAATTTAAAGAAAAATTTTGCTGCGAGGCATGGAAATATCTCCAGTCTATATAAATTAGCAGTTGGACACCCTAGGTTTCAAGGGTTATCCTTTTTAACCAGCCTGGCAATTCATTAAGCATCGGGTAAGAATTTCTTCTATTGCTTTTTACCACGGATGGACAATGCCTACCTATACCTGCAAGGGCACCTCCAACATGCGCAGTGCACCTAAAATAGCCCTGCGTTAAGAAAAATGCCAAGCTCAAGTGTATAATTCCTCAGTGCTGCCTGTTTATTTTCTTTCGCGTTTTCACTCTGGCATGCCAACCCCAAATCTCCTACAGTAACACAGAATTGCAGTGGGATACGGATCTGACATGAAACAAAGACCTGCCCCTGCCTCAGCAAAGGCAAATAAAACAAAAGATCAATGAGCCTCAAAGCCAGTGTGCATAAATGTCACTGCGCCTGCAAAGAGGAGAGATCAGAGGACATTTACAAAATCACAGTCCTCCCACGGTGGTGGGAAAAGGTTACTGTAGTATGTCCTAAGGGGTGAACAGCGTGCCCAAGGGAAACAGTAAGGACAGGGCAAGACCCAGGAAAGCAACAAAAATTTAGATGTTGTCTATGTGGCTGCCCCAGTGCCCGCTGCCTCGTTTCTCAGAGCTAATCAAGGGAAGCGTAACTAGTCCAGGCGGCAGGACGAGTTTACAACAACTGACAGTAACTATAACATACGCCAGTTTGTATTAAGATGTTATTGCACCTTTCCAGTTCTAATCACCAATTATGACTCTATTACTCCTACTTGGCAGTTCATCTGCTCCTGCCTCCGCTAAGGGCGACTTGGAGACGGACCTCTGATCTCCCGGTTCCACTTCAGTGAGCGCTCAGCACGGCGGCTGTCATTTGCAGACACTGAAGAGGTAAGGCATTGCTTTTGCTCAGATAACTGTACCTGACCTTACAACAATTTACTAAGGAAATACCTGCTTAATAGCAGTGTGAGTGCAGTTTCCTTTATGCTGGCAAGTGCGCTGCAAATTAGCGACAACAGGATAAATCTATGGCCGGCTCACTAGACACTTCATTAAATCACTGTTCTCTTGCCTTGTAGTGCGCTAATAGAATCACAGCCCTCGTTAGCTACTGAATAAAAGATCAATCACAGACTTTGAAAGCTCCTGCTACCAGCTTCCAGAGGAAACAAGAAAAAAAAAAAAGAGCGTGAGCAAGAGAGAAAGATATTTAGGATCATCGCTGAGATTCTGAATGGCCTCGCTGCAAGTTGCTTAAATTACCTTTTCCACAACTGACTCCAACTGTAATACTCAGAGGAACTTGTTAAGCCTGCCTTCAAGAGCAGCATTCTAATATATGACTGCTAGACCCTGGTCAAAAGTTCATAATGTGCATATGTAAAAAGGTACTAAATTGCCTGAGGGCTAAAACCAGAGGAGTTTAATTGTAGCAAAATGCTGAAAATGGTCTGTTGAGGGTCCTTCCATTGGGATACTGCTGGCTCTAGCTGATTGAAGTACAGAACATAAAAGTCTTACAACAATATTTCCTTAAATGCTGGGGAAACTGCCAGCAGTTGGTATTGCATGAATGTTGTGGTTAAAGAAAAACATTTTCCTCCCCTAAAATAAATAGAGTATTAAAAACTGCTCCAGCCCATAATTCTAAAGCATGACGGGAAAAGGGAGGGCTCGACGATCATAAATAAGGTATAATTCATAGGGCATGTCCAATCGACTTGCAGTGTATTTTTACATGGGGCACATTGAAGGTATTCAGGCGTGACCTGTGAGGGTTTTTGAGCTGTGCATGTCTGTGATTGTGAAAACAGCTTTGCACTGAAATAACAGCAGCTCCTGGCTGCCTTACCTGTCACTGGGTTAGACATACACACATGGGGATCCTTGCGAAAGGATCTGTTTGACTTGCCTTTATTTCTTTCATAAAACAAGATCAGCAGTCCCACCTATGCACACATTCCACTTGTTTGGCTGGGTTTCTCATGCCCAGAATTCTCTACCATCTATAAATACGCTCTTTCTTTTTTTCCTATTTTTTGTTTGTTTGTTTGTTTGTTTTTTCTCCCTTTCCTTTCTGGCCTTACCGATGAGTTCCTCATTTGGAAAACGGACAGTGCAAGAGCAGCAGACGATGACTCAGAATGCTGGGAGGGGCTGTGTCAAATACAGGATGCCCAGGAGAAGCTAGAATTGGACAGGTGGGCTCTCTGATTTAAAGTAAGTACATGAGAAAGTTAAGGCCACAATTCATGGATAGTGAAATCTGTATCCACAATTCATTTTCATCAAGTCAGAAAGTTATCAAACATGGAATTCTGCACTTTTGTTATGGCATCAAGCTTCCAAAGCAACACAGTAATAGTCATACACTTCAACAACCACCAACACTGTGTCAGATGTCCACTCTTCAAGTATGAAACTTGTGCAGTAGCATGGCTTCTACCTGTGGCAAGAACTTAGTAATCAACATTACTGATACCCCTGTCACTACTGATATCTGGAGGGCCTATTTCTTCAGAATTATTCTCCAGAGAAAACACTTTCAAACTCACACTGAGGTGCAAGTGATGTGTCCTCACGTAACAGAGCAAACTAAAAACTCAACTGAAATAGAGTATTCATTTAGTATTTATGGTCAGGAGGATGGCGTAAAGATCACTCCATCTTGTGGATCCCATCCTTGCTATGCCACGTGGATCGAATGTCATGTTTAAAAAGTGGTCAAGTCTACTCTTTAGTTCTTCAAAAGCAAGGACACAGCAGGTCATTGGACACGTCTGCCACAGGCCACATCAGTTCTCCCTCTTTCAAGCTCCAAGTCTGAGTCATTCAGGCCAGTGTTCTGCAAAACAAACAGGCATC
Organism: Homo sapiens; assembly: GCF_000001405.40. Taxonomy (NCBI): domain Eukaryota; kingdom Metazoa; phylum Chordata; class Mammalia; order Primates; family Hominidae; genus Homo; species Homo sapiens. The sequence continues at coordinate 78,460,562 of NC_000016.10, read as the reverse complement.
TGTGGAAGAGCTAGTATGGTGTTGGTATCAGTCACATTCAGGGTTGGAGAAATCTGTGCACTGGAAGCTTGAGTATTCAGGGAGGAAAGGAGAGAAAAGGACAAAGAGTAGACTGAAGACAGGTTATTACACTGAAAACAACTAAGGAAAGTATCAGCCAGGCGGGGTACCTATAATCCCAGCACTTTGCAAGGCCGAGGAGAGGTCAGTAGTTTGAGAACAACCTGGCCAACTTGGTGAAACTCCGCCTCTACTAAAAATAGAAAAACTAGCTGGGTGTGGTGGTGCATGCCTGCAAAACCAGCTACTTGGAAGGCTGAGGCACAAGAATCTCTTGAATCCGGGAGGCACAGGTTGCAGTGAGCCCAGATAGTGCCACTGCACTCCAGCCTGGGGAAAAGAGCGAGACTCTTTAGGGTGGGGAAGGGAGGGAAGGGGAGGGGAAGGCATAGTGGAGTCCAGGTACAGTGGCTCATGCCTGTAATCCCAGCACTTTGGGAGGCCGAGGTGGGCGGATTGCTTGAGCCCAGGAGTTCAACACTAGCCTGAACAACATGGTGAAAAACCCAACTCTATAAATAATACAAAAAATTAGCTGGGTGTGCTGGCGTGTGCCTGTAGCCCTAACTACCCGGGAGGCTGAGGTGGGAGGATCACCTGAGCCAGGGTGGTCAAGACTGCAGTGAGCCATGATTGCACCACTGCACTCCAGCAGCCTGGGTGACAGACTAAGACCCTGTCTCAAAAAGAATTAAAATAAAATAAAATCTAGTCTAACAATTTTTCAGTTGCAGCATCAAGTAGGCCTTCAGGCTGAATGTAAATGCAAACATGTCACTGGTATTATTTTTAAATACTTAACTGCATTTAAACCAGAAGACGACTTCCAAGAATATCCATTGGCAAACATCAGCAATCTATAATAATGGCACACGCAAATGCAGAAAGTAGATTTTGCCTCATAAAAAGCCATTGATGCCTGATCGCTTACAATTAAGCCATATACCACAAATATTCATGTGCACAGAGTTTAAGGAAAACATGAAGCAAAGCAAGAATATGCAAAATGGCAGATACCGCATGACCTTGATAGTTAGAAAAGGAAGAAAACGGATACAAGAGGAGGAAAAGCTGCTTCTCTTGATGAAAGATGAAATCACGCTCCACTTGTAGGCCACTCGGAAATATCCAGTTACTTATGCAAGAAAAGGGCATTTATTAAAAATGCTGGGGATACCATGTCCGTTAAAACATAAAATAGGCAAATTTCTTGGAGCCTGGTGAAAAGGGCATTACACCACTCTCTTTCAGTGTGAACTTACGACAGTCTTTCAACCTTTCTGGGTTTGGCTTCTTAATCTCTAAATTAATAGCCTTGGCCTAGATAATCTCTAAGGTTATGGGAAACTGTGGCCACCTGAGAAGGCTAAAGGAAGCTTCATTTAATCTTCACACAGAAGGCCCTTGCGGATCAGTCCTTCCAAAGTCATCTGCTGGCTTCCATTTAGGTACTGTAATCCATTAGTTTACTAATAGAATCCCTCTAGGTTGTAATTAATAGGACCAACTAGCCTGGGACAACTTCAAGTAGTTTTGTGACGGAAGTAAATTAAATGCTGAGGTGACACAGAGAATGAATATTGTTGGAAATGAAAGATTTTTTTTCCCTCCCAGGCCAAATAAGAATATACTAATCATCCCACAGTCTCCTGTCCCCTTTGCCAACCTCTACATGCTAATTCCACCCCCAACACACACAGATAAAAAGTGGCGCCACCTATTAGCAGACACTAGTACTGGTATTTATATATATACTTCTATGTATGTATACACATATAGACATGTATTTTTAAATGTCAGATTATCTTCCCTAATATTAATGCTAAAAAATTAATTTATATTCTTTTTACTTTTATATGCTATAAAATAATTTTAAATGACCACATATGCTGTAAATATAAGAAAATAAATAAATGTTTAAGAAAAACAATGGTATACCAATGGCCTGACATGGTGGCTTGTACCTGTAATCCCAGCACTTTGTGAGACTGAGGTGGGAGGATGGCTTGAGCACAGGAGTTCCAGACCAGCCTGGGCAACATAGGGAAACCTTGTCTCTATAAAAAATTAAAAACATTAGCCGAACATGGTGGCATTGCCAATAGTCCCAGCTACTTGGGAGGCTGAGGCCAGAGGATTGCTTGAGCCTGGGAGGTCAAGACTGCAGTGAGCTGTGATCACGCCACTGTACTCTAGCCTGAATAACACAGTAAGACCCTGTATCAAAAAAAAAAAAAAAAAAAACTATACCAATGAAACAATTAATTAATTGGCAGGGAATAGAAGTGGGCAGAATATATAATAAAACAGTATGTAGGGCAAGTTCGACAAAATCATGGAACACACCTTCACATCTGAGGGATTTCTCTTCTAGAAACAAGGGGATACGAACTCCAGGATGAGAAGTCAGGCAACTTACTAAGCCCAGGTAAAGTTTTTTTTTTGTCACCCAGGCTGGAGTGCAGTGGCACCATCTTGGCTCACTGCAACCTCCGCCTCCCAGGTTCAGGCAGTTCTGGTGCCTCAGCCTCTGGATAGCTGTGATTACAGGCACCTGCCACTACGCCCAGCTAATTTTTTTTTTTTTTTTTTTGAGTCAGAGTCTCACGCTCAGGCTGGAGTGCAGTAGGGCGATCTTGGCTCACTGAAAGCTCCGCCTCCCGGGATCAGGCCATTCTCCTGCCTCAGCCTCCCAAGTAGCTGGGACTACAGGCGCCCGCCACCACGCCCAGCTATAATTTTTGTATTTTTAGTAGAGATGAGGTTTCACCATGTTGGCCAAGCTGGTCTCGAACTCCTGACCTCAGGTGATCCACCTGCCTCGGCCTCCCAAAGTGCTGGGATTACAGGCATGAGCCACCGTACATGGCCAGTTCATGTTATTTTCATGTGCGTCCTCTGCAGCCCCCACAAATGTTGTAAATGCAGAGTCTTATAAAAACGGCTGTTAAGATTTCCCCAAATAAAGCTTAGCATTTGGGGAAAAAAAAGATTGGTGAATGAAAAAAAGAATCAACAGTTTTTCTATTTCCACCTACCAATTGGTGAAATTCACCTTCGCTTTCTCAGGACGTACGTGGAAGACACGAAGCAATACCTGGTTGGTGCAGCTCTCTATCTAAAGACCTGTACTTAGTCATTACTTTGAAGGAACCAAGAGAACAAGTAGCAAATCTGAACTGAATGAAAAGACTTCTTGCTGCTTTATTTAAAGTCGTGCAATGGAATATTTGCAGGAGAGCTTTTGCTACCTCTGGATAATCCTGTTCCAGAAGAACTGTTATCTGAGATCCCAGGAAGGTTCCTGAAAGGTCTATTAATGAAGACAACAGAAACAAAACAAAAAAGGGTGCAGACACAGACACGATCAGAGAGAATGTTACCATTCTGTCTGAACACTGCCAATTCCCTTAACGGCACAGAAGATTCAAATCGTAGGGTGGGCACATATTGTGTGACATTTCAACATCAAATTAACCATCCTGCCAGTAGCATCATTTAAGGCAGTGTTAGCAAAAATGCTGCCAGCCCACAAGGGGATGTGCATCTTCCCTCTTCAAACAATGCAAGTAACTCTTCATAAGGGTGATCAGCCAACGCCACGTGAACTAATTTGATAGTTCCATCATCTGATGCATTGCAAATTTCATTACATATTTTAAATCATGTTAACATGGTTTGTTAATGTTGGTATTCACTAAAAAGCCACAGCACTTTAAATAATGAATGGGCATGATAATTTTTACACATATTATGAAACTGAGACATGTGGATATTCTACCTTTTCTCTTCTTAGAATCTGTCTTACATCCTTTGTTAAGAGTCATCAACAAAAAATATATCAGGATGTTTCAGAAACACCACAGATTCAGAATTTTTAAATTTTTTTATAAAAATGAACTACATACCCATCAGAAGAAAAAAATACTTCAAATTATGTTAAAATATTGTTCTATATTAGCTCTATCAGGTATCCCTGGGACAAGAATTTAAGGCTATTGCTTAAGACAGCAAACCAAAAAGAGACAAAGTATTTTGTTAAGTGCTCAATCTTAAATATCAAATATTTTCTATTGCTTTGTTTATGCACACATGCATAAACAAAATTAAATTTTTTTTAACAAGTTTGTTTCCATTGCTACTTGTACAACATTAGGACTATTTTCTTCTCTTGCCTCTCAGCCCCCAACACTATTCACAGACACTCGTGACATTTCTAAGTGGTCAACTCTTCCAGCCTCTCTTTTGGTGTCTATGTTAAAAATGTGTCCCTCTTCCCAACTTACTGTGTTGCTGCTATAAAAACAACCTCTGAATCTCAGACACAACCTGGGGCCAACAGAGGCTGTGGGTGGCAGGGATTTAGAGCTTGGGCACTTCAGTCCGTTGCAAGGGGCTTGAATCCTCCTCCACCCCCTTTAGTTACATAGCCTTGTCCACGTCACTGATTCCCTCTAAGCTCCTTCGGTAGTAACAAAAGTAGAATCAGCATGAGAAATAGATAAGCTACATAGCACAGGTCCTGGCCTATAGCCACTGCCGGCCTATGCCAGCTCCCTTAAGTGCACAGGAGATTAAAATAATGTTAACACAAATACTAGTTAAAATAATGTAAAAATAAAAGTTAGTTTTTTAAATCTCATCATCACTGCTCACTTCCGTCATCATCAACTTTAACATGAGGTCCTTGGTGGCCTTTTTTTTTTTTTTAACCTTCACCTCCCCCAGGCATCATTACAAATTCATGTTCATTACTTGAACCTTTGCTATAATATTGAATTTGTCTTGATTTAAATTTTGAAATGTTATCATATTTTTTGCATCAATTTTGATTTTTTTTTTTTTTTTTTTTTTTTTTTGAGACAGAGTCTTGCTCTGTTAACCCAGGCTGGAGTGCAGTGGCATGATCTCAGCTTACTGCAGCCTCCTACTCCCAGGTTCAAGCAATTCTCGTGCCTCAGCATCCAGAGTAGCTGGGACTACAGGCACACACTACCACACACCCAGCTAATTTTTGTGTTTTTAGTAGAGATGGCATTTCACCATTTTGGCCAGGCTGGTCTCAAACTCCTGAACTCTGGTGATCCGTCCACCTTGGCCTCCCAAAATGCTGGAATCACAGGCATGAGCCACCACACCTAGCCTCGATTTTTTAAAATATTAGATTAGAATATCATTTATCTTCATTACTGAGGTTTTTAGCACCCCCATAACTTTGTCCATCGTCCTTGTCCCAGCCCAGCCACAGCTACAAAGAGAACCTAAAATTCTCTCGTTTGTGTCAACATGTTTGCCTCCGACACATCATTCAAGTCTCAGTAAAGACGTCATCTCTGTTCTGCAACTTTATCTGACTCCTCTTCTATCTATCCTCAAGACAGAAAAGCCACACATCCCAGTGCTGCTCATCTCACCTCCCTTTCACATTCTTCCCATCTCCATCCTTCTAAGGTAGGCACCCATAGAGCCAAGAGAACACCTTGCTCATTTTTGCATTTGCTATGCCTTAAGTCAGTACCTGACATGTGGGGCACTCAATGAACATTTATCAGAGGGGAGCACATCAAACAGTATTGGGGCAGTGACTGCCAAAGAACAGACTGTGATCTAGCGGGGTGGTGAAACCAATAGTGGGTGGTGAAAGCAACAGTTGGTATTGAAACTGGGTCATCATTGGCACATACACAAAAACAAAACAAAAAACACAGGTGGGCACGGTGGCTCAAGCCTGCAATCCCAGCACTTTGGGAGGCTGAGGAGGATGGATCACCTGACGTTGAGAGTTCGAGACCAGCCTGATCAACAACCTTGCTAAAAATACAAAAAAAAATTCCCCAGGTATGGTGGCGCATGCCTGTAATCCCAGCTACTCAAGAGGCTGAGGCAGGAGAATCGCTTGATCCTGGGAAGCGGAGCTTGGGGTCAGCAGAGATCGTGCCATTGCACTGCAGCCTGGGCAACAAAAGTGAAATTCTGTCTCAAAAACAAACAAAGAAACAAACAAACAAACAAAAACACAAAAACACAACCTAGGGGAAAAAAAACAGCAGGACACTGCTCAGATAAAAGTATCATTTTGTAAAACTTTTATTTCAGACAAATACACACACATGCATATAATACACACACACACACACACACACACGAATATACATAAGTATAAATGTATTGGGTTTTAACAGAAAAAACTTAGATAGTGGTCCAAAAAAGTTTGAGAGATGCTGTTTTAGAGCAACATAGAACATCTTGATCTGTCCATCAGAATTTGTCCTGCTACAGCCTACAGAAATCAAGGCTTCCAAAGTCATCCAAAACATTGAAAGTTTGGGAAACAATTAGATTAGGAGTATGCCCGGAGACCAATCCTCAAGAAACGAGAAACTCTAGAATACTGGAAGAGGCTTGCTGGGGAATTTCTTGGGTATTAGTTAATAAATAAATACTGATTTTTCATCAAATTAATGGCATATATTTCTCACTGAAATCACCCCATCACAAAAACTCAATGACAACAAAAACCAGGTGTGGTGAAATCCAGATCTGCCCAATCTACAAGTTGGACTTGGTAGAAATAATTGATGCAAAAGAAAACTCATGATACAAAAAGCTGTAAAACTTGGCATGTACAGAAAACAGATACATGAAATCTTCACTATAAAATAAAAAAAAATGGTTTTGGTAAAAAGGCTTTCAATAAAAGAAGAGCTTAACTATCTTCGCACTGTTTAAAAACTGGATCTAAGTATTTAATTGACTTAATGGAATTCACCCTGTATTACACTTCCATGAAAAAAATTGATCAGTGTTGATACAGCACTGATTAAAATGTTTTATTCATAAACAGAGTAAAAAAAAAATCTTCAGGATAAAAATAGCAGGGCTGAAGTAGCTGGTTTTATCTCTCCCTACCCTAGACAGATTTTCTAACTGCATATGCCTGTCTGCACAATATAACTTGAACAAACCCACGTATTGAGTCCTTACTGTCTACAAGCGTCCATTCGCATTTCTACCGCTAGCTCATGTTGTCTTTATAAACCATCTTAAATCAACTGAATAAGAAATTTTTTTTTTTTTTTTGAGACATAGTCTCGCTCATGCGCCCAGGCTGAAGTGCTGTGGCGTGATCTCCACTCACTGCCACCTCCACCTCTCGGGTTCAAACGATTTTCCTGCCTCAGCCTCCCAAGCAGCTGGGATTACAGGCACCGCTACCATGCCCAACTAATTTCTGTACTTTTAGTACAGACAGGGTCTCACCATATTGGCCAGGCTATTATCAAACTCCTGACCTTAGGTAATCCTCCCACCTCAGCCTCCCAAAGTGCTAGGATTACAGAAGTGAGCTACCACACAGGGCTGAGGAATAAATTTTTTACAAATACACATATAAGATATAAATAGCTGCAGCCTGGCCAACATGATGAAACCCGTCTTCACAAAAATACAAAAAATTATCCAGGCATGAAGGCAGGTGCCTGTAATCCCAGCTACTCGGGAGGCTGAGAGAGGAGGATCACTTAGGCCAAGAAGGTTGAGGCTCATGAGGCTGCAGTGAGCCATAATCTTGACATGGTACTTTAGCCTGGGCAACAGAGTAAGATTCCCTCTCAAAAATATGTATATATATATATAAATAGCTCACTGGAAAACAATAGCAGCCATAGGGGAAACGGAATGTAGAAAAACAGAAAAAGATCGAAAGACATAAATACGTATTTATTAAGGCTAGGCACAGTGGTTCATGCCTGTAATCCCAGCACTTCGGGAGGCCAAGGCAGGCCGATCACATGGAGGTCAGGAATTCGATACCAGCCTGGCCAACATGGTAAAACCTAGTCTCTATTAAAAACATAATAATTAGCCAGGTGTGGTAGTGCATGCCTACAGTCCCAGCTACTCGGGAGGCTGAGGCAAGAGAGTCCCTTGAACCTGGGAGTCAGAGGTTGCAATGAGCCAAGATCCGCCACTGCACTCCAGCCTGGGCAACAGAATAAGACTCCGTCTCAAAAAAAAAAAAAAAAAAAGAGAGAGAGAGAAAAAAGTATTTATTAGGTCCTTGATGAACTGTGATTACATGTACACACACATGCATACACACACAAACATATCTAATTAAAAGATCTGCCATCTGGTCTGCTGGCAGACTGCATGATAGCAATCAGTAACTAGCATGTGAATCATATGACAGTAAAAAAAAATTGAAAAAATCTAAATCTGAAGACAGGATGGTTCTCAAATATCCATTTGTTCAAAGGGTGTTACGCAATCTCTTTTTATGAGTGCGGACAATCCAAGAAATATGTCCGAACTACAGATCAAGATAAAGTTACTTTTGGCCTGGTATTAAGAGATTCTGTGGGATATGCCTGTACTTCAACATAAATCATTTTATTAATTCAAATTTGACCTGCTTCCAAAAAAGGGATCTAACATGACTTAAAGAAAGAACATGCAGAGAACAAGGTGAATATAATGTATTAGAGTCACTAAAAACAGAAGGAAGTTGATATGCTAACCATTGCATTAATATGACCTGAAAAAAGACAGTGTTGAACTAAGGGCTCCAACAATACATTACGTTATAATTTCATTCCTTCGTGGAAGGAATGATGGCGGCTCCCCAAGGATTTTCCTTAGAATCAAGAGTTGAAGGGTATTTCTCACCTGCTGTGATGTAACTCCATATGTTTGGGGATCAGATAATCAATAATATCTTTGACAATAAGTGTCTGTATACCCTCAGAAACCAGTAAGATGTCAGCAAAATTCATTCTAACTGGTAGCACACGAAGAAGACTAGCATTGCTTTAGTATCCACTATACACCAAAGGTTTCAGCTGTGTCCTGCACACCTCCCACCAACAGCCCAAAGATGTGGGAGCTACTTTCCCCATTTTACAGTGAAAAAGAAAATCCAAAGCCCAAGGAGGTAATGTGGCTGGCCAGCAGGTCACTAAAAGGAAGGGCTGGGATTCATTCCAGGCTGGTTTCTTCAACTTCAAAATCCTGTGTTCTTACAGCCCCTTCTGCTACCTCACATTGCATCCTTCTGCAACCAAACTCAGCCAAATATGCTCTTCTCAGCTCCTCCCCATCCCACCATGTTGGTAGTGGACTGTGGAAAATAAATTAGTCCTAAGAAATGTGAATTGTTTTATTATCTTTATCTTCTAGTTCTGCAGAATGTATACTCATTCAGTGAAAATCACAGTGAATCTCCTATTGTATCAAATACATTTCATATCTTCACATTACAGACTAACATGAGGACCCATCCCTGGTCAGGAGGACTTGCCAAAGGTGAGTTTAATTTCTAATTTTAAAAAAAATGGCTTTGGATGAAATCGGCCTCCACTCTGGGTTCAACTAAGAACCCAACAGAGCCTTTAGCTTGGCAATGAGATAATGTGACATCGGAAGATGCAATAAACAAGCTTAAGTATAACGGGAAAGCAAACCACAGTCCAAGAAAGACTCTTCCGGGTTAGGGATAAAGGAATCCAATATATTATTCTACTTTTCATACATAAGAAATATGCCAGCTCCTTCCCAGTGCTTGGAACAGGAAGGACAAAAAGCAGAAGAAAATTGTATTGTTTTCATTATTGGGTATATTTCAGAACCTAATTCTTTTGAAATATAATGTTTTCTTTTAAGCATCTTCTTATGATCTTTCTTAGAGGAAATCTGCTCTGGGTTAATATTCAGAATTCAGCCATGGTAATTTCATTACTTGCTCTTTTATATTTATAGAGAATTAACAAAGAGACAAATCATACACATAGCACACACAATAGCCAACAAGAAATGTTATGTTCTAAGATCAAAAAACAGACTTATTGCACTCACCTGCCTAGAAATATTAAAATATCAAAAAAAGTTTAAGTTCCCAAATTTTACAGGTTTTCTTTTTTCTTTTAAAGAGTGAGAATACTAAGAAAACATTATGCAGGTCTCAGTAGTTGATACACAGTATTTTTTTTGGATCCGGCAAATATACTTTTTATAACTTTTCTCTGAAAGAAGGAACTTTCTAGCTCAGATTACTTGGACACTCTGACTGTTTATTATTCCCTGTTTTGAGCAGTCAGAAAAGATTTCTCTCTCAGTACTTCAAATAAATAAGATATCCAGCTGAACAAACACCATACATTCTCGTGGATTACTTTGGCTTCTTAAAGAATATTTCACTTTCTTTTTTCAAAATGTAAATGATTCAAGAGATCCCATCATATGCAACTCAAGGATGCAATGTTTAAAGTGGTTCAAATTCTACACAAGGTGCCATGTGAAGAAGCATAAAAAGAGCTTGATATTTCATAGGGGAAATTTGAATTTTGCTAAATTAGATACTTTATTATACATTTTTAACATGGTTGGCTTTATAACATGAAAACTATACTTTAGTATTCAAAATCAATCTCAAACCTATTTTCTAAAAGCAGCAAAGTAACGGGTGGTTATTTTTTTTAGCTTCCTGCTTAAAAAAAATCATAACAAAACAACAACAAATCCTAGGATTACATATAGTCTAGATATTCTACACAGGCTTTGAAATGATTGGCTAGCCTTACCAAGCTTTATGGCTTAAAAAAAAAAAAAGTTCACGCTTTCTGGCTAGTTTTTGTAACTCAAATCCAAATTCTGCAATACACATTTCTTGAGAAAGACAATTTGGGCCATCGATTAACAAGGGCCCCTTCTACTAAAGCAACATGAAAGCAAATACTTGACTTTAGGATACATTATCTACCAGTTTGTTTATTCTTTTCATAAGCTTTCTTATTAAATGACTAAATCTTACCTCCCATCAGAAAGCAGAAATGCATATATGTTTTAAATGGGTGCATTTGGTGCCTCTCTCAGTCCAGAAAGAGGGAAGAAAAGGATGACGAAAGGATGCAAACAGAAAAAGAACGAAGAAAAGACAAACTTATCCGTAATAAATGCTATGGCTTCAGGCAGGTCAAGAAAAATCATCAAGTCCTGTGAGTAAATCTACCACAATGTAGCAGGGTCCCCAAAAGGCACTGAAATCTAAAACAAAATTCAAGTTGTAGAGTGTGGTAGCTGGCCCTGATCACCCCTGCCTCTCAGGATTCATACCACTGTGAAATCCTTTCCCCTTTAACAACGATCAGACTCAGTGATTTCCTTCTAACAAAAAGAATATGGCAAAAGCAGTAAGACGTCACTTCCGTGGTTACATTACAAAGAACTGTGACTTTCATTTTACCAATGGATTCTATTTCCTTCTTGGCTTACATGCTTCGATAAAGCCAGCAGCCATGATGGAGATCCCTACGTGGCAAGGAACCAAACACCAGGCAGGAAAGGAAGCCTTCAATCCACTGGGCCATAAGGAACTGAGTCCTACCAGCAAGCACGTGGGCTTGCAAGTGGATCCTTCCCTGCTGAGTCTTGAGATTGTTACCTGGTATAATGCCTACTTGACATAGGTGAATTTCTACCCTGTAATAACACTGCTTATCTTTAAGAAACAGGACACCTGTGATAAAAAGTTCCCTCTGTAACCAGACCAGCTGAGATTTGTTAGAAGCAAGATAGCCGACCCAAGGACTTCAAAAAGACCTCAGGTGTCATTATAATCCTATTTCCATGCTAAACAGCCCCCTCACCAGCGCCAAGACAGTTGACAATCACCATGACAATGATCAGAAGCAGCCATAAAAGGATAAAAAGGAAGGCAACACTCTGGTTCCGGGAAGTTCACTGCCCATTTCAAGAGAAGACATGATTATTCCTCCCCTTGATTTTAATGTCCAGCCTCTTCATTAAAACAGCAACAACAACAAAGTCTATATTTTAACTTCCTCACCCCTCATTAGTGGAGAAGCTGATTTGTGAATTTGTGAGCCATGCTCCTGCTTCTCAATTCCATGGCCATTGAATAAAGCCTGTACTGCTTGACACTACTTTCGGTTTTGTGTGTTGGCTTCATGACACCCAACAGGATAAGACCCCATTCTTTTGGGGCACCAGCTTTGTCGGTAAGAAGTTGACCCCAGCCCAGTGGACACCTTGAATGCAGCCTGTGAGACTCTAAAGCAGATGGTCCAGCTAAGCAATGGCTGGTTCCTAATCTACAAAGGCTATAAAATAATGAATGTGCATTGTATTAACCTGCTAAATATTGAGGTAACTTGTTATGCAGTGATAGATAACTAATACATAGAGTTTTATTAATTTCTGCCTTTTTTGCTCGTCTTGAGGAATTTTACTCCCCCGTTATGCATTACTGTGCTCCTTTGGTCAGCTTCAGAAAATGAGCTGAAGGGACCACATACTCACAGGCCAGTATTTCATTGCATGGATTGGGGGCAAGTAATGAGAGCAGGGCCGTTGTCCCAGAACTTCTATTAATAATAGTTTCTAGGCCAGAAGCAGTGGTTCACACCTGTAATCCCAACACATCGGGAGGCTGAGGCAGGCAGATCACTTGAGGTCAGGAGTTCAAGACCAGCTGGGCCAGTATGGTGAAACCCTGTCTCCACTAAAAATACAAAAGTCAGCTGGATGTAGTGGTGGGTGCCTGTAATCCCAGCTACTTGGGAGGCTGAGGCAGGAGGATCGATTAAACCCAGGAGGTGGACGTTGTAGAAAGCAGAGACTATGCCACTGCACTTCAGCCTGGATGACACAAGGAGACTCCAACTCACATAATAATAATAAATAATAATAATAGTTTCTTCTGCTTTCCTTGGCTGCTAAGTAGCTTAGAACAAAGTCTGCCTTCCTCCAGTACCCCTCCACTGACTCCCCAGCAACAGCTGTAGAGGTTTGTGAAATGGAATCCTGCATGGTTTCTTTATTCTTTCTCGAGTAAATGTCCACTTTTGCATTTCCTTCCGCCTCCGACTAATTTTTGTTGTCATTACCTTTTGGAACAATGGAGTCTAAGGGGAGGCATGCATGTATGCGGATATTTACCTAAGTGTAGTTGAATAATTACACATATACTTTCACCTCTGATAAATACAGATTCAATTCCATCCCTGTCACTTGCTAGCTAAGTGATCTAAGACAGTTTACTTAGCACTTCTAAACTTCAGTGTCCTTGTCTGTAAAAGGAAGACAATTTTCTTAAACTTCTGCAGGATGTAGAAATTCTACATGATGATGCAATAAGCAGCTTTACACAGATTTACTAATTTATAGCAAATGCATAAGAAAAAATTTATTACAGTATTAAAATATTGCCATTGTTACTGGCACAGGAGTAAATGTACAGAGTTACAGATCTAGTTTCCTCTGTAATTTTAGAAAATCCATCTGTCCAGGGTCCGTTCCAAAGCTACACAGCTAACTTGAACTGAGCCAGATTTTTGTAAGATCAAATACTCTGCCTGTCTGGTTCAGAAAACAGGAAATAACTCAAACCTTTCTAAAAACCTTACTTCTGAAAGGCACTGGACAGGACAGAGTACAGAGAAGCATAAATAAGACATCCTGCCATCATGACCTTCCAGTATAACAAAGAAAAGCACAGGGCACAGCATAATACACCTAAAATAAGTATATAATTGGCAGTGGCTCACACCTGTCATCCCAGCACTTTGGGAGGCCAAGGTAGGTGGATCCCTTGAGGTCAGAAGTTCATGTCCAGCCTGGTGAACATGGCAAAACTCTGTCTCTACTAAAAATATAAAAGTTTGCCGGGGGTAGTAGCACATGCCTGTAATCCCAGCCACTGAGGAGGCTGAGACTGGAGAATGGCTTGAACTTGGGAGGCGGAGGCTGCAGTGAGCCGAGAAAATGCCACTGCATTCCAGCCTGGGAGACAGGAGATTCCACCTCAAAAAAAAAAAAAAAAAAAAAAAAGTATACACTTGGTACTATACTCGATGTTCACCAAATAGTAAGAAAAACATATCATAAGTAATTTTTATAAGGTAATAATGAACAATTATAATATTAATTATAATATCAATAATAGGAGTAGTAAAATCATCACAATAATCTAACACTTGCTGGCATTTACGGAGTTCCTGGGATGTGACAGAAATGCTTCCAAGTCTTTCCAGGCCTTCCTGATTTTAGTCCTTGCAACAACCGCCTGAGGCAGGCAACATCTCGTGTCAAAGCAAAGGCAGACAAGGACCTGAGACTTCAGGATGTTGACCAAGGCCATGGAGAAAGTAAGTGGCAAAATTCGACCTTTAAACCCAAGACCTCCTCAGTCAAAAGCGCATGCTCTTTCCATACTTCCTCTCTAAGACTTGAAAAGAGCGTCACAGGTTACAAAATACTCTCTGGAACATGGTCTCAAGTATGATGTATGTATTTCTTCACCATTGTACATTAAACTGATAGTTTACTAACTAGTTTTATGAATGATCCCTACTGATACCTTTTTATCACACCAAAGGAAGAAAAACACATCAATACCATTAGCATTTCTATTTTGCGCTTAGTCTTTCCAGATCTAAAAGAAGCAAAATAAGCCCAGTTATCAGTCCACATACAGCCAGCTACGCATTTGACTATTTCAGCCAAATTCCACAGCCCATTTTCCAAAGCACAGCAAAGGCTAGGCTCATCAAAAACGTAAGTAAAGCTGTTTCTCTTCTTTCCCCCCTCCCCTGCCCTGCCCCCCGCCCCAAGACAGAGCCTTGCTCCATCACCCAGGCTGGAGTACAGTGGCACGATCTCTGCTCATGGCAACCTCCACCTCCTGGGTTCAAGTGATTCTCATGCTTCAGCCTCTAGAGTAGCTGGGACTACAGGAAAGCTCCACCACACCCAGATAATATTTTTGTATTTTTAGTAGAGAAGGGTTTCACCGTGTTAGCTAGGCTGGTTTCAAACTCCCGGCCTCAAGTGATCCAGCCCACCTCAGCCTGTAAACCTGTTTGCCTATTTGTTTTGTTTACTAACCGAAGGTGATCATATTATTTCTTTCTGTGAAGATGAATTAGTGAAAACAATTACTCAAATTAAAGCTCCTTCCTGGGCTGAAGTCGGAGTGGTTTGTCTCTTCATTTCCATGCCTATCATCTGTCTTCCCAACATACGGTCCCCATGAGGACAGGGACCTTGTACAGCATTCTGTCCCTAGCAAAGCACCCGGCTTATGTTAGATGCTCAATAATATTTGTTGAATGAATGAATGCATGCACATCAACAAGATCTTGTGACATGATTTTTGTGGCCCACCCATCAATTTACTGAGGTGAGCGCCCTTCTTCTAGAACATATTCCCCCTTTACTCGCTAATGCCCCAAATCCTTTGTGGAAATAGATGGGGTATGGTATTTACAAAAAGGCACAGGCTGAAAGAATGGCTTCTGGATAAAAAGAATCCAGACTCTAGGACAGCTTATACCCTGATGTACACCTGTATCATTTCTTTCCCTTCACCCCACGAGGTGGTACGTCCAGAAAGGTCTGCATTTCACAGATGAGCTCACCTGGCTCACTACACGATTAGGTGAGATGCAGCAACAAGTTTTAGTGCAGGTTTGGAACCTGGGATCCGAAACACACACAGAAGAACTATGGAGCTTAAATGGTACCTGTAGGGTTTTCTAGGCCAGTCATTCCAAGTACAACCCCATCACTTCCAACAAAGGGAAAAACAGTAACAGCAGCATTTGAGTGAGTTCTCCCTGAAGTCAAATATATTCCATTGAAAGAACTGCTCCTCATAGGCCGGGTGCGGTGGCTCACGCCTGTAATTCCAGCACTTTGGGAGGCCGAGGCGGGTGGATCATGAGGTCAGGAGATCGAGACCATCCTGGCTAACACCGTGAAACCTCGTCTCTACTAAGAATACAAAAAATTAGCCGGGTGTGGTGGCACGCGCCTGTAGTCCTAGCTACTCGGGAGTCTGAGGCAGGAGAATTGCTTGAACCCGGGAGGCAGAGGTTTGCAGTGAGCCGAGATCGCCCCACTGCACTCTAGCCTGGTGACAGAGTGAGACTCCACCTCAAAAAAAAAAAAAAAAGAATTGCTCCTCATCCCATAACTGTATCCTTCCTATAATTTCTGACATGAAAATATCCATTCTCTTAATAAATGATGGTAGGTTCAGTTTTCATCCAAAATTTATGAAATACAATGTCTGTGGGCCCATGTTAGTCTCCTTTTTTTATTTCCTTTCAAGTTAAACTGTTCTATTAACCCAAGGGATGGCTATTCTTGGTTAACTGATTCATTTTACAGATAAGAAAACTGAGGACCAGAGAGGATAAGTGATTTGCTCAGAGACACACAATTATCTAAAGAGAACACACTCTAAAATTACATTAGATGAGTAAGACATAAAGAAGGAAACCCATGACCACAGAGCCCGGCACGGAGCTGGGAACATGTGCTCAGCTGATTTGCAAAGTATTTCTTTATCTTGGTGTAAAAAGAAGAGGGAGAGGAGTTCCGTTTCCAAACGATTCTGAGCACCAGGTTTCAGCCCTCTTTGTTTTTGCTAGGAAAACATTACCTTACACCTCACAGGGAAAAATCAACATGTCCAGTGAGTTATACAAAAATCACTGTTCACAGAAGAAACATTCCAGAAACATCGTCATGGGGCAATACAAACTCTTGGCCTCGGTTTAATCACGCTGGCCTCCAATATCTAAACTGCGTTGCAGCCAAAAATCACTGGAAATAAGTATGAAATTGGAGAAAAGGAAACTGAAAGAGGGGAGGATCAAAGAAGGCACCACAAACTTAAAAGAAAAAAGAAAAGTAATAAAAGAGCTACAAAGAGTTATAAAGAGGCAGCACATTACCAAAATGCCAACGGGCACACAGAAGAAAAGGAAACCGGGAAGATAAAACTAGGGGAATTGCAAATCTTGGTTAAATGTTCATTAAATAATTTGTTACACATACTAAGGCCAGATAGTCACTTTCTCCCCTTCTCGGGTGCTCATTCAGGAACAAAGGCCGAGGCGGATTTAAAACACTATAAAGCAAGGCAGAAAAAATACATTGATGAGGTGCTCCAGCCTCACAAAGGCAGATCTAGTTTCCCTCTCTTTGTTTTTAACAAGAAAGTGGCCAATGTTTCCTCCAAGCTAAGGTGTGTTCTTGGTGCCAGTAAAACAGGCAACTGGAGGGCTTAAAATCTGCACTGTGGAAGCCTGCTGAGTTCTGATGAGCATTGTGTAATCTGTCTTAGTGGTTCCTGAGGCTTGCACATATAGTTTTGGGTTTTTTTTTGTTTTTTTGTTTTTCAGTCTCACTCTGTCACCCAGGCTGGAGTGCAGTGATGCGATGTCAGCTCACTGCAACCTCCACCTCCCAGGTTCATGTGATTTTCATGTCTCAGCCTCCCAAGTAGCTGGGACAATAGACACGAGTCACCACACACAGCCTTTTTTTTTTTTTTTTTTTTTTGAGATGGAGTCTCGCTCTGTCACGCAGGCTGGAGTGCAGTGGTGCGATCTTGGCTCACTGCAACCTCCACCTCCCGGGTTCACGCCATTCTCCTGCCTTAGCCTCCTGAGTAGCTGGGACTACAGGCACCCACGACCGCGCCCCACCACCACGCCTGGCTAATTTTTTTGTATTTTTGGTAGAGACAGGGTTTCACCATGTTAGCTAGGATGGTCTCAATCTCCTGACCTCGTGATTCGCCCGGCTCGGCCTCCCAAAGTGCTGGGATTACAGGCATGAGCCACCATGACCAGCCAGCCAATTTTTTTGTATCTTTTTAGTAGAGACAGAATTTCGCAATGTTGACCAGGCTGGTCTCGAACTCCCAACCTCAGGTGATTCATCCGCCTCAGCCTCCCAAAGTGCTGGGATTTCAGGTATGAGCCACTGTGCCTGGCCCATATGAGGTTTTTATGTTCAATGTTAACAGGGAGAATTAGGCCTTCTATGACAGACACAGTGCCATCATTACGAGAATGGGTATCTATAAACAATGGGAAGAGAAGCAATCAATTTATCGTAAAATAAGCCAGGCGCAGAAAGACAAATACTCTATGATCTCACTTTTTGTGTGGAATTTAAAGCAGTCAAACTCACAGAAGCAGAGAGTAGAGGGCAGTTCCCAGGAGGGGCTGGTAGTGGGGAAGTGGGAGGGGGTGATAAATGGGGAGATAGTGGTCAAAGGATCCTAAGTTTCAGTTAGACAGAATGAATACATTCTGGAGATCTATTGTACAGCATGGTGAATACAGTTAACGATAGTAATAATAATAACGTATTATATACTTGAAAATTGCTGAGACTAGACTTTCAATGTTCTTGCCACACACAAAAAATGATAGCTATGTAAGTTGACCGATGTGTTAATTAGCTTGATTGTGGTAGTCATTTCACAATGCATATGAATATCAAAACATCACATTTCACACCACGAATACATATAATTTTTTTTTTCCTTTAGAGATAGGGTCTCACTATGTCACCCAGGATGGAGTGCAGGGGCACCATCATAGCTCACTGCAGCCTCCAACTCCCAGGCTCAAGTCATCCTCCCAGCTTGGCCTCCTCAACTGTTAGGATTATAGGCAAGAGCCACCATGCCCAGCCACACACACACACACACACACACACACACACTCATGCGCATATATGAAATTTTTGTCACTCATACCTCAGTAAAGCTGGGGAAAATAATGTTAATAATGACAGCAATAATGGTTATTGAGTATCTAGTATATTCTGAATGCTGAACATTCATAATCTTTAATTTCTACTGCAAGCCAATAACAATAGTAGTTAACATTTCTTAAGCATCTAGCACACTGTAGAGGCCTTAAGTTCATAACGTCTTTAATTCTCAAGACAAGCCCATGAGGTAGTTCTAACATCTCAGTTTTATGCATGAATCTTAATCAGGTTTTGAACCTTGCCCAAGAGTTAGAATGGGAGAGAGCTAGGGCTGGACCCGAGAGCTGTCTACCTCTAAAGCTCATCCTGTCTCTCCTGTGCCTCACCTCTCTCTCCTTACATTCATTCCCTCCAAACATACCCACACCGCTGGATACGTCCCTTACATGTCATTTGACCATGAGCCTGGGGGACCTTGGGGGCTTGCTGTGTGACTCTCAGCAGGTCTCCTTGCCTTATCTTTTACGTATTTACACATTCTAAACTATAATCCCTTGCCTACCTCAGAGGGATAAATGATAAGAAGTACATTAAGGACTCTCACTGATTCAGCACCTGGTCATCTTTCATGTATTCATTTACAAACATTTACAGAACATTTACGGTATGGACCAGGGATACAGTAGTGTGAAGGCAAAAACACCACTGTCAAGAGAAGGGGGGACAGACATTAAATAAGAAACTACAGGCTGGGTGCAGTGGCTCACATCTGTAATCCCAGCACTTTGGGAGGCTGAGGCAGGTTTGAGACGAGCTTGGCCAACATGTTGAAATCCCGTCTCTACTAAAAATACAAACATCAGCCGTGCGTGGTGGTGCACACCTGTAATCTCAGCTACTCAGGAGGCTGACACAGGAGAATCGCTTGAACCTGGGAGGCGGAGGCTGCAGTGAGCCAAGATTGCACCACTGCATTCCAGCCTAGGTGACAGAGCAAGACTTCATCTCAAAAAAAAGAAAAGAAAAGAAAAAAGAAAAAGAAACTACAGGCCAGGCACAGTGGCTCATGCCTGGAATCCCACCACACTTTGGAAGGCCAAGGCAGGTGGATCACCTGAGGTCAGGAGTTTGAGACCAGCCTGGCCAACATGTTGAAACCCCGCTTCTACTAAAAATATATAAATTAGCT
The DNA here is from genome assembly GCF_000001405.40 of Homo sapiens. Taxonomy (NCBI): domain Eukaryota; kingdom Metazoa; phylum Chordata; class Mammalia; order Primates; family Hominidae; genus Homo; species Homo sapiens. The sequence continues at coordinate 78,440,779 of NC_000016.10, read as the reverse complement.
GGGTTTGGTGGCCAGTGCTTGTAATCCCAGCTACTTGGGAGGCTGAGGCAGGAGAATTGCTTGAACTGGGGAGGCGCGGAGGTTGCAGTGAGCCGGGATTGTGCCACTACACTCCAATCCGGGCAACGGAGAGACACTCCGTCTCAAAAAAAAAGAAAAAAAAAAAACTACAGAAATTATGTTTTCAAACTGCAGTTGTGTTCAATGTTATGAAGAAGAAATTCCAGGGACTCTTCATTTACTCATTCAACACATAAGGAGTGCTACTACGAGTCAGGCAGTATTCTAGGCACTGGCTGTTCTGAAAGAACATATTGGAGAGCTTCATATAATCTGAGAGACCAAAACTGCTTCCTTGACGTGTGCTGTTCAGACTGAGTTTTGCAGGATGGGTAGAAATTAAGAGTGGAGGAGGAGTATTCTAGGCTGAAGAACATGTTTCAAAACCCTAAGGAAAGAAAGAGCATGGAGCCAGAAGTGGCTTGAGGTATGGTGGGTCAAGTGGATGGGGACCGGGGAAGACTAGATGCCTTTCATTTCAATTCTCACTTCTTCTCACAACGATCCTATAAAATCGATAGCATTTCCATTTGATTAATGAGAAAACTATTAAAATATGTACATACGTATTCAACAGTGCCTGTGTCAACACCATTACCCTATCCTTTTTCCTCAAAATCAGAGTTCGCCTGCCACTCTAGAGGCTCAAAAAGCCAGTTATGCACTTTTCTAGTCTCCTTTATAACTAGGATACAAACAGATGACTCAGTCCCAACCAGTGGGATCTGACGGGAAGTCAACTCAGGAGGACAGTTCTGAAGCAGAATGCTCTGTCTCTTGATAAAGGAAAAAGGCATGCAATGAGGAGCCTCATCCCTCCCATCTGTGCCTTCAGACCTTATCAAATAGGATGCAATGGCTGGCACCACAGAAGCCATCTTGTAAGCATGAGGGAAAAGTAAAGATTATCACAAAGGAGCTACTCATATAGTAGCCAAACACAACCCTTGCTGCCTCAGCAACTCTGGATACATGGGAAGCAAAACCTCTATTATTTCAGCCACCTTTAAGTGGGTGTTAATAACTTGCGGCCTAAAGCAGCTAAACTGATGTAGAAAATTAACCTCAGAAATGTCAAATGATTTCAAAATTATGTAACTAAAAGGGAGTAGAGGCTGCAGTTTGAATACAACCCTCATGATTCTAAATCCTTTGCCCTTTTCCAACTTACTTACATCCATTGGTCACTGGACTAAGCAAGCACTGTAAACTTAAAAGCTTTGGACATAATGACGTAAGACTACTAAAACCAATGGTAATGTTAATCCAGGGCAGGAAGAAGTATGTTTCTTCCTGCAAGAAGGTGGCCTCAGTGGTGTAAGAGGACAAGCCAGCTACCAGGTCCTTCTGTTGACAGACAACTGCAGGAAAGCGCCAGTGTGGTCCAACCACAGAGGGGTCCTGAGAGTCCAGTTTTCTAACATATCTGGACTGGCAAGAGAAAGGCAACCAGAAAATTCAAACCTCACTCAGGAGTCTCAAAATGTTTAGATTCATGAAGAATACAATGAAATTTCCACTTTGAAAACCATATTTCCCCCTCGCAACAGAAAGCCTGTTTTATACACCCTCTGCCTTGTATGTGATACACCAATGTACCAATACACATTCAAACAGGGGGCTTTGCCCTTGATAGTATCTATAGTGTAGTCAGCTGCAGGTATTTAAAGATGGAAAGGGGGAGAAGTATTTTTCTAAAATACTAATTTCAGGAACAAATCAACATCTATTATCTCCTTCATTACGTTTTAAATTGTACAACTATAAATCACCCTGCAGCGGGTTATTCAAGGGCAGAATTACCCCGTTTGGCTTTCACGAAGGTTAGAAGAATGACATCTTGTGCTTTTTCTAGTTATAATTTATAACTTTGCAACAGGACCAGCATTGCCGGCCCATCCATTAGCAGGGTAGCTGCACATCCGTTAAAACTCAGCACGATGACTGGCTTTACACGGGCACAGGAAACGTAACCCGATCGTCGCAGAAGTTCCATAAACGTAAGCCATTTTTTAATGTAAAATGATTTGAAAATGCAGTTCCCTAAAACATCTGCTAAGCTCTTGCTACCCTAACACATGATATTCTTTCTACTGTTATCTGCCAACACAAATATGTGGTTGCACAAAACACTCCTAAGAGGCAAGTGACAGTGCTCAACTTCAAATCTGCATACTGGTCCACAAAGGACCGGCTTGGACCTGGGAACTCTGGCAAGGATGTATTTACCAGAAATGAAAGCTTATGTGGAAAAAAAAAAGGTGGGGTTGGCGGTGGTGGCAGCATTCATTTCAGTGAAGGTGCTGTCAAACATTTTAAAAAGGAAGCATAACTGCATAACTAGATATGGATGCCAGGGGCATTACCGTGCATTGGACAAAGCAAATGCAGCTGCAATTAGCAAGTGAAAGTTTACAAGGCTGGTATATCATTTTCTTGAACACGCTGCATGAGGTTTCTGTGCTTTTCAATTACAAAATAAAGATAATAATTCTAAGATTGTAGAACTTGGAATTATTAATTCTAACAGAAATTATGAGAAATTAATGAAAATATATGCTGATACATAAAGCATCGTGGTATCTGGGAAAATGGTCAATCTGCATCTCTATTTGGAAGTGTGGTAGGATTCTAAAGTCATCACACATGGTTACAACTGCAAAAACCCAAGATTAGCCTTGAAAATCCCTTATGTGCACCAGATACAACACCTGGTTTTGTGAATTAAAACCCATAGACTAATATGTATATATAAATATAGATACTAAAATACAATACATTTTTTCACCAACTCGAAAGTTCTTACCAAACAATACACATTAATGCGTGCAGGTGCAAAACATTTTAGAGTAATTTAACTGCATAAAAGAATGCTCTAGAGTCAAGAAAATAAACATGTAATGCACGTATGATGTGACTTCATTATTAGAAAGTACTCAGCAAATGTTAGTTTCCTTTAACATATTTTAGAAGCAGCTATTTGAAGTATATTGCATCTTTTTTAGAACGACACTTAAAAATAACTCACTTTCCAAGTTTATCTGTGATTTTTATTTCACCATAAATTGAAGGGAGGAAGAAACAAACACTTCCCTCCCAGGACGCCCCAATACACTTGTCCAGTTCTCTGGATCTGAAGAAGAAGAGGGAGGCAGAGACATGGCTTTACCAGTAGGGGCCGCTGTGCTGAGAATTGATTCCTGTGAGTTTCTCATTAGTGATTATTATATTGCAGGCAGCCAAAATGGAAAAATTAATTAATTTCAAAGTGATAATGCATTTACAGCAACAATTAGAAATGTGTAACTGTAAAAGGGCAACATTTAAAAGACAGATCACATTTAATAAAGTTGCACAAGAACATCCAATTGTAAAATTACTGATCTGCAACAATATTCCTTAAAGAGGCACTTAAAATAGCCCGACTCCATGAAGAGTGACCTAATTACTGTAACTAAAATCACCGTAGTCACAGCAAGTCACAGCAAATAAAAAAGGGACGTTGATATTAGAATACTGCTGTTTAATACTTAAGGGAGCCAGCTACAGAGAAGAAATGAAGGCAGGGCTTCCGAGCGCAAGTCTGGGTTGTATTTCTTGCTCCCCTGACCTCATGCAACAGAATGTGTACTCCAGCAATACCCGTGTCAGAAGGAAGCACCCTCTCTAAGGTAAAAGGCAGACAAGGCAGAGCACACTAGCCATCTGGTGATAGGGACATTGCATCTATGCTAAGCTTCTCAATCACAATTAGAAACCCAGCCTTTACCTACGGAAGAAATGGGATGCAACTGCGTGGCTTATATCCAAAAATATGTCTGCATTCAAATAGCAGAAATGCACCCTTTGTCCAAGAAACTGATGCATTATCCTGACGGAAGCAATGCCGAGCCACATACGCAGGATAGCCCAAGAGGGTGACTTTTCCAGTCAGTCTGGTCTATCTTACTAGGAAAATGACCAACCCGAGGTCTACATTCACAGTGATTCCTCTCCTAAATACAGAGTCCTAAATGTTTATGAAAGAAAAGTGAATGCCTGTGAATTTGACAAGCAAGCTCAGAGCGCCAATTCCACCTCTGCATGAAGTGACGTATTACTTTCAATGGCAAAAACCTCAATAACTTCTGTATCAACCTAATATAGAGAACGCTGATGGCTAAAAAAGTACTACCAAACGCTTAAATATATAAATACACTAGAGAGGATTTTAGTAAGACTCTTAGCTACATATTCCACAGTCTTCGTCATCTTCATGCTTATCTAAAGTCCATTTGTGACATATAAAAGCTGCTATTTTCTAATCACTCAAGGTCAGAAACAAGAAAAGTCCACACCCTACGGCTTCCTCACAAATGAGACGTGCAGGTTGGAGATCACTGAACCAGGGTCCCTTCACCTGGACGCCCTTTCTACCTGGCCAGTAAACCTCTCCCTGAGTCTTTGGGGCCAGGGACAAAGCCCTTCTCTTCCCTTTCCAGACTCCCAATTTGCAGACTCTTGTTCTGTCAGCAGAGATTACATTTTGGAGAATCATCATCGGGACCAAGGCACTGCTCACAACGACAAGAGTAACAGCCATCGTGGCAGGAAGTACTGCATACCTCCCATGCGAAAGGCACTGAGCTAGGCATGTCATTTGACCACGCTCTCCAGTATGGCAGCCACTTGGCACACGTGGTGTTTTTCAGTTCGAATTAACAAACATGGAATCAAATTGAAAATTCACTTCCTCAGTTCTATTAGCCACATTTTTAGAACTCAATAGCCACATGTGGCCCACGACTACCATACTGGAGAGCCAGATTATAATAACTGCAGAAATTCTATATCCATCATTATTGATGTTATATGCATTATTGTCGGTCCTTACACTAACCTGTATCACAATTTTCATCGTAATGAGACAGGCTCAGAAAGCTGGTGACATGTCTAAGTTGTTCCAGTGGTCAAGGGTAAGAGCTGAGCTTAGCCATCAGCACCATTAGCAGGAGAGCTGTGAGGTCCACTGTCCCAGGTTGCCACTTTCTTGTCTTGCCACCACCAGGAAGTCATGTCAAATCCCATCTCAACTACAAGGGAAATGCTCACGTCCAGTGCCCTTTCTATGAGTGCCCCTCCACAGACAACTTCAACAAAACCTGGGATTTTTGCGATGTCACCACTTTTCTCCAAACCCTCTCATGAGCTACACACTCATTTTCCCACAGCTTTCTCACTCAGGGATCTAAAGCTCAGTGCGCAGTTAATCTTTTACCCAAGGCTGCTCCCAGAGGACATTTGTTTCTCCCAAGCCTTGCCTTGCTATAGGCATTGAGGCCTGTTCACAAGTAGTCTCTGAGCTCTCCTGCCAGGGAAATAGGAGAGACTGCAGTAGGGTGCGGCAGAGGCTGCTGCACACTGGTGGGGTAGGCAAAGGAGTTAGGCATGGAGGTTGGGCATCTGCTATTACTAAGACACACTACAGGTACGGTGCTCACTGAGTTGCAACCTTCGTCCAATTCATTGTGCATCCTCCCCGACATGGTAGTCCCTCTGCCTCCATTTCTAACCCCATACTCTGGTTTTCCACTCAGCCCAAGTCCTGAGCACACGTACTCCCAAAACAGCTAACACTCCGATATCATGATACAGTCACCGATCCAACTTAATTTGCTGGTATTTTTTAGAGATACTCCCGTTAGGTCCAACCAGCCAACTTTCAAGTCTGACTTTATTAAGCATATTATATTAAATATTAGATAATAATCAACTCTTCTCCAATAAATAAAAATGTTTACCCTGACTTTATATTTTAGCAGAACTTGCCTTCCTTCTTTTCCCACATGCCCTGGCACAGAGTCCCTAAGCAATGGGATCAGGCCACAGAATAACAGTTTCCACTATTTTCTATCAATGACTCCTCATCCATTCGAGTCTACAACAAATGGCAGGATGGTTATATCACCCCTCACCAAATTCCATAGTCACAGACTCATCTCTAAAGCTTTCCCATCCCGTTCCTCTGATTAGGGACCTTATGGAAGAAGGAGAAAACGAACTCTCTGATGCCACTGAACCGAGCTCCTTAAAACACATCAATGATCAAATACAAGTGAGATGACTCAAGACCCAAAGATTACAAATGATGGTTGACTGGGCTTGTTAAAGCGGAAGGCACTGGGCCAGCAGAAAATAAGGAAGAATCCACCTCTCTCCTCTCCCCATTCCTAAATGCCTCATTTAAATGGCACTGGCACCCAGTTCAGATCCATATTCCTTCTTTTCATGTAAACTGAAGGACACAACAAAGTATGAGGCATAACCATGGTCAAAGAAACTTTCATGAAGAGGCTGCGCTTATGCAGTCATCGGGAGCAAAGTGATGGGGAGATTTCAAAACCCTGTGATCCACCTACAGGTAAGTTTCATTCATTTACTTCCTAGAGATCAATCCCACCCTGCGGCATGGAACACCATTCTCCGTAGGTCCTTTCACTTCACTGCCACTGATCCTAAGTATTCGACTCTTGGAATATGTCTGTTTACTCTGCCTAAAAACCACTTGGGTGATTAGAATAAAAGATATACTTACTTACCTCCTCCTAAGCACTTCAAAAGACTTTTGATGTGGTTTTAAAAGTCATCCCCAGGCCGGGCGCGGTGGCTCACGCCTGTAATCCCAGCACTTTGGGAGGCCGAGGCGGGCGGATCACGAGGTCAGGAGATTGAGACCATCCCGGCTAAAACGGTGAAACCCCGTCTCTACTAAAAATACAAAAAATTAGCCGGGCATAGTGGTGGGCGCCTGTAGTCCCAGCTACTTGGGAGGCTGAGGCAGGAGAATGGCGTGAACCCGGGAGGCGGAGCTTGCAGTGAGCCGAGATCCCGCCACTGCACTCCAGCCTGGGCGACAGAGCGAGACTCCGTCTCAAAAAAAAAAAAAAAAAAAAAAAAAAAAAAGTCATCCCCAAATACGAAGGTTAAGGGTGGCAGGTGGGAATGAGTGTAAGAGAAGGCAGCAGACAGTTTCCAAGGTCGTGAGATCAGCTGGAGGATAATAGGCCTGCAATAGTTCTTCTTTTGTTGTTGTTTTGCTTTGTTTTATTAATATCCTAGGTCCAACTGTGAAGGCCTGTGATATCGCTAAAAGGCAAATGTGTTTGGGAAAAGGGTGATTTCTGTCAAGTAGATTTTAAGTTTGGGTAACTGGAATACTGGTGTCCACTAATAGGAAGACATTTTTGAAGTCCTTTGGTTTTGAAAAATAATCTACCAAATATATTGTGGAAAATACGCTTTCTTCATTCAAAATACTTCCTACTAAAACCATTTCATAGAAGAAGGTTCTTAATATGGTCGATAAATGAACACCAAACTATAAAAACATCTTATCACCTTTGTAAACACTTCCAAATGTAACCACAGTACCATGATTCATCCAAAATTGTCTTTGGGAAAGTAAAGAAGAAAACACACTCCTAGCTATCAAAGGACTCTCCAACAGAGGATTATACCCATTAGAAGAAAAAAATTTAGAACAAAAGATACAGTTTTTCTGTGAAACAAAGGAATCACATCTGCTGAAAATTCAGTAGTCACCAATGTTTGTTGTTTACCTACTGACACAAAACAGCAGTTTTCAAGTGCTCCATTCAACAAAATAGATTTTCAAAGTTTCTGAATAAAAAACCCCAAAAAAAACAAAACCAAACAAACAAAAAAATCACCATTTCCATAAGGACTTTCAGCCATACTTAACATGATACTGAAACCCACATCTTCTACCCAGCCCTCCAAGACGCATTTACCCAAACAGACTTAACCTAAAGTTGATGAAAATGTGTTCAAGAGCCCTTTATGATGGGCTGGACAATGTTATTACTGAGACCAGACTCATGCCCGCAAGAGGTAAAAAGGTGGAGACACAAGTGTGCAGGTTTCTCTAGGACCCAAGGTGTTTGCGGCGCCAGAAGCTGTTCTCTTACCATGGACTTGGTGAAAGGCCTCGCCAAGGTAAACAGCAGTGTGTACACCCACCAGCTGCGATGAATGTTGGAGTACATCATATTTCCAGGATGCACTGCGTTCGACGTGACCCCGCGTGGGGAGAGGCGACGGTGCAGCTCGTTGGAGAAGAGGATGTTGCAGAGCTTGGACCTGTTATAAGCCAGCATCGCCCAATAGTCGTTTTTTGTTGGAGAGAGGCGACTGAAGTCCAGTTTTCCCAAGGAGTCGTTAATATCTGTAAATCTTAAAAATAGGAAATATGACATGAAGCAACCAAGTTCTGACTTCCCACACAGCTTTTTATTTTTATTGGAAATCTAAGGAATGCTGGGTGCAGTGGCTCACATCTGTAATCCGAGCACTTTGGGAGTCTTAGACGAGTGGATCACCTGAGGTCGGGAGTTCAAGACCAGCCTGGCCAACATGGCAAAATGCCATCTCTACTAAAAATACAAAAATTAGCCAGGTGTGGTGGCATGCCTGTACACGGGAATCTGAAGCAAGAGAATCACTGAAACATGGGAGGCAGAGGTTGCAGTGAGCAAAGATTGTGCCACTGCACTCCAGCCTGGGTGACAGAGCTAGACTCGGTCTCAAAAAAAAAAAAAAGCAATCTGAGGAAACTATGTAGAGATGAGTAAAAACTCAATCTTACATACATCAAAACAAAGTCTCCTTTCAAGATTGACAATGGTGATTTAACAATATAAACACAGGTCATGTCTGGTGGCTCATGCCTCTAATCCCAGCACTTTAGGAAGCTGAGGCGGGAGGATTGCTTGAGTGTAGGAGTTCAAGACCAGCTTAGGCAACATAGGGAGACACCATGTCTACAAAAAATAAACAATTAGTTGAGTATTTTGGCACATGCCTGTGGTCCCAGCTACTTGGGGGGCTGAGGCAGGAGGATCGCTTCAGCCTGGGAGGTCAACGTTGCAGTGAGCTATGATTGTGCCACTGAACTCTAGCCTGGGCAACAGAGTGAGACCCCCATATCTAAAAGTAAGAATTTAAAATTTAAAAATTAAAAAAAAAAAAAGGATTGGCTACAAAGAGAGACTTCAATAAAGACCCACACTCATAAATGTAGCAGTCCTGACATACTGAACTCTCTCCCCACCCTCTAACATATATTTTTCAAAACCTTCAACAGGAAGTTCAAAGATAATTAAATTAAACAGAAAAGTGTCTTGAATAAAGGGCTGCTGCTTTTGGAAACAGAAAGATATCACATTCCTAACCTTTGACAGGGCTTTCCTGGATTATTTTAGCTAATGCTTGAGTCCTGTATATTTTCATTTGAGCATCCAAGAAATTATAGATGAGTCTTGTTGTCTCCAAGACTCTTTTCTAGATTAAAAATTAATGATTATAAAGGGGTTATAACCTTGGTGAGGTACCATCAATAGTCTTATACGTTTAAAAGAAAAATGTAAACAAAGCCAAGATGAGTTCTGGCAAAATCTAATGTTTTTAAGTATACCCATGGCATGGATGTACACAAATCAACGTAACTAGTTGATGCTTTATAATTGGGTCTGACGGAGTCGTTAAACACCAGCTGTTTGTTTCTTTCCGTTTGTCTCTTTCTCTTAAATAACAACATTATAGTGACTTCCCTTACAAAATGGATCACAGCAAACAAAAGGAATTTTCTAAACAGTCTCATGTTTGTCAAAGGACCCCTCATATTCTGCTTCTATAAGTTCATTCTGGGCACCGGGTAATGAAGAAGCATAATGGGAATCCTCTAGATAACTGCTATGGAAAACAAAAAGCAAAAGGTAAAATGAAAATTATGGAATTATCCTATTATTCCTTAATATCAGCAGCTCAGGTTGGGCTAAGACCAAGAAAAGCATGGCAAGGGCAGAATGAAATTCATGTTTTAATGGAAATTAAATATCCCTTCCACAGGACTCGGTGACATCCAATTTCTAGTGTTAAATGACATAGCTGCTCTAAAGTCATCAACAAAGCTGATGGCCAGAAACGTCATCAAGGATACAGAAATGAGACCTTGAAACGAATTGTTGGCTGCCTTTTTTCTAGTACCCAAACCACAGGAAGAGTCTGACTTCCAAGCTTAATTGTCTAAGGCAATGGAACTCAGCAGGCAATTTGAAAATATATGACGGCCTTCTTCTGGTTGTCGTGATGACTGCTGGTGATGGTAGCAGGGATGGCAGATGTCTTGCAATGCACATGATGTATTGCTCAATGAAGAATGCCCCAGTGGACACTCATGGAGATGAAAAGCCTGTGGATAATTATCTGAGCCTAGAAACATCCACTGAATTTCCAGGTGGGTAGTGCAACAACTATTTACATGTAGAATGAATAAAAGCACTTTCAGATTTTGTGTGATTTTTGGAGGGTGACTGATACGGTTCGGCTGTGTCCCCACCCAAATCTCACACTGAATTGTAATAACCCCCATGTGTCAAGGGCAGAGCCAGGTGGAGATAAGTGAATCATGGGGGTGCTTTCTCCCATACTGTTCTCATGGTAGTGAATAAGTCTCACGAAATCTGATGGTTTTATAAATGAGAATTCCCCTGCACATACTCTGTTGCCTGATGTCATGTAAGACATCCCTTTGCCCTTCCTTCATCTTCCGCCATGATTGTGAGGCCTCCCCAGCCATGTGTAACTGTGAGCCCATTAAACCTGTTTCCTTTATAAATTACCCGGTCTCGGGTATGTCTTTCTTAGCAGCATGAGAACAGACTAATATAGTCAGGCTTCACTCAAGGTTGGTGGTGCTGGAGTCTGCAATACCACACACCTGGTAATGGTGGGCTTTTTTATGAGAGTCCATTCAAGGTGATTCATCCACGGATACATACATCCCCATCTTTCCTGTAGCCTGGCCCAAGCATTTACATGTTGAAACACACGCCATTTTGTTTCAGTTATTTTTTCTTTCATTACAGTAAAGCTATCATATCGAATTGAAAATATATTTGTGCATGTAAGTTATGTTATTTGCTAACTTTATTTCAACATAATAAGGTATTACAGAAGAGGTGTCACACAAAGGTGCTACTGAGTTGAGAATCCAATGATCCAAGGTATGGGACATGACTTGAAAACTCTACCTACATGGCATAGACAACAGGGACAAGGATTTAGAGAGTATCTGAAAGGTATGGAATAAATATAGCACCACCCCCTCCCTCTCTCTACTCATCTTTTGTCAACTGCTTCCAGAAACCCTTCTTGGCATATTTGTTTAGCCCAACCCAGTTCAGGGACTACTTCTTCCAGGAAGCTCTCCATAATGAACTCTTCCACAGCTGGATATCATGGTGATTTTTTGGGTGGAAGTCAGGGAGAGAATGAAAGAAGCCATGCAAGGCAGATAAAAATGCATGCCTCCATGGACATTAAGTATCCACTCTTCAGGACCCAGGCCATGACACCATTCCTAGTGTTCACTGACATTACTGGCCTTCCAAGATTGGTGAAAAGGCTCACTGTGCCATCCTTCTGTTCTATCTGTACATTGCTCCTCTGTCATCACCATACCAGACTGTAAGTCAATTGATCACCTGATTCCAAAACTAGACTGTGAATTCTTGGAAAGTAGACTGTAAGATTCTTGAGTGTTGCTTACTACAGTGCCTGACACATAGTAAGGACTCAATACAGAATTAGATGATTACAGTTTGGTCATGGGTTTGGAATTCCAATCCAAGGACCAAGTCCTTAATAAAAAAAACAAAGGAACACAAATCCCATGATGAGAATTTGACAGTTTCCCTTGTTTCAAGCATTGCTCTAAAGGTAAAATTTACCACTAGGTTCAACTCTTCTATGTTTTCCATTAATGTTTACATGTGGAATTTCCTCATGTTTAGGGCTTTTGGTTTCTGCTTATTCTTTTAGAGACAAGGTCTTGCTTTGTTGCCCATGCTAATCTCAACTCCTGAGCTCAAGGGATCCTCCTGCCTCAGCTTCCTGAGTAGCTGGTATTACAGGTATACACTATCATCATACACAGTGATTTTCTACTGTTAAGAATAAGGTCCCTGTTTCAGTATTTAAGGATAACACAGAAGTATGTCATGACTAGGGAACACTAAGTGAATTAAATGTCTAAGAGGAGAAAGTCATTTCTTCTTGATCCCTAATCTAGAAACAAGTCAAAAGAATCCCATGATGACAAATTAGACAAAACCAGGAAGGACAGTTTCAAGATGGAGAAGTACCAGCTGCTACGTATCAGGCACTCTCTCTGCAAAGAGCCCTTCCCTGTAAGGGTGACCCCTGATTTCCTTCCTCACTGTCTCCTGGGCAGATAGTCCACTTTTACAGTCTCATTAGCTAGCACTGACAGTCCTCCAGGAAGTGGCAAGGGTGGGCCAGCTTCTTATCTGTCTGAGCCAGAAACGGCTTCCTGAAAAACGACTATGTTCACCTCTCAGCTCCAGAGGTAGTAAAACAACTCTTTAGATGCTGCTGACTCTATTTTCAAGTTGACAAACTGACAAAGCCAAACAATTATGTCTTAATAGAATTTTCCCTTACTAGTACATTAAAATATTGACATTTGCTCTGTGGACAGTAACACTTGCTTTGTAGGGGGACCCCCGCCCCTCACAAATCTTGTATTTCTATATATACTGTGGGGGTTTTGCTTTTTGGGTTTTTGTTTTCTGAAACAGGGTCTTGCTCTGTCACCCAGGCTGGAGTGCACTGGTGCAATCTCCACTCACTGCAATCTCCACCTCCCAAGTTCAAGCAATTCTCCTGCCTCAGCCTCCCAAATAGCTGGGATTACAGGCGTGCACCACCACACCTGGCTAATTTTTGTATTTTTAGTAGAGATGGGGTTTCGCCATGCTGGCTAGGCTGATCTCGAACTCTTGAGTGCTGGGATTACAGGCGTGAGACACTGTGCCTGGCCTATACTGCATTTTTTTTAAACAATTTTTAATTTTTATTTTAGAGATGGGGTCTCACTCTGTCACCCAGGCTGGAATGCAGTGGCATGATCAACGCTTACCGCAACCTCAAACTCCTGGGCTCAAGCCATCCTCCCACCTCAGCCTCTTACTAGATAGGATTACAGGCATGTGCTACCAAGCCCAATTTTATTGAGGATTTTTAAAATTCCCGCCTAAAATAATTAGGCTGGATTCTGTCTACACAGAAGCTGAGAAACTCCGTGTGTGTGTGTGTGCGTGCGTGCGTGTATGTGTGATTTTGTGTGTGGGGTGGGGGAGGGCAATTTGGCACTCCATGCAGCTGCAGCCATTGAGGGTTGTTCAACCAGCACTCTGCTCTTTTCATTCTACTTTAATTGTTATCTGAAATTTTTTCACAGCAAAGAAGTCAACTTCTCATTTCACTATGATGTATTTTAGGTATGCAGAAACTCAATTCAGTTGCTCAGATTCCAGATAAGTAACTAAAACACAGTGAAGACACAGGAAGGCTAATAAATATTTTGCCTTGGAGCAGTCTAGTATAATATTTTCTGCAAACATAGGACTTTCTTTTTTCCCCTAACAGGGGGTCTTAACTCCAACGAAGAGATTCTGCCAAGGTTGATGGAGGTAATTAGATATCAGCACTTGCATTTTACAGCATGGTTTAGGGCCCTGAGTTCTTGGGTAGTGAGCAACTGTCTTCACGTACCACCTACGCACCAAGTCACCACGCTCACTCATGGGAGCCAAGGGATGCAATGCGAAGGTAATACACAAGCCAGCCTGGGGAAATTGCCATTTTGTTAAAACACCCTTAAATAATGTGCAAAGAGGCCGGGCGTGGTGGCTCACGCCTGTAATCACAGCACTGTGAGAAGCCAAGGCAGGCGGATCACAAGGTCAAGAGATCGAGACCATCCTGGCCAACATGGTGAAACCCCGTCTCTACTAAAAATACAAAAATTAGCCAGGTGTGGTGGCAAGCGCCTGTGGTCCCAGCTACTTGGAAGGCTGAGGCAGGAGAATCGCTTAACCCTGGGAGTCTGAAGTTGTGGTGAGCCGAGATCATGCCACTGCACTGCAGCCTGGTAACAGATCAAGACTCCATGTCAAATAATAATAACAGTAATAATAAATAACGATGTGCAAAGAATAATTGGAAAGCATAAAACCAGTGCCAGCCATCACACAGGAGCAAGCCTGACAACACATTTCAGGAAGGCCTCCCTATAAACTAACATAGGTCTAATTCAAGAGCCCAAGTCCCTTCCTTTCAAACTAATCTTTTAAATGATGCTGAGATTTGGATCTCTGAAGTAGGCATGAATTACACCGTAGTTAAGCAAAGAACAAAGACGTCACACGAAATACCATTTGAGATACAGATTTACAAGGAGAGTGAGCAGCTGACAATTCGACATAATCTCCCATTAAATACCAGCTCATTTAAACATATCCCGTGGTGCCCTCCACATCTGGTGGATGACTGGGGCTGGCAGATTTATTTCTGGAGCTCTCTCTGCTGCCTGCCCCCACAGTAGCCTCCCTCGCCCCTTAACAGGGCCACTCCACTTTCCTTCACAAACCTGGTGTGATTTGCAAAGATAAGGCTGTCCAGATTTTGTTACCACCTAATTACTAGATGTTTCATGTCTTTTAACACGGGGGAGGATTATTACTGGCATTTACCTTTCATTTCAGCCATCATAAATTTAAAATGGCAAAAGTAAATCTATCTGCAGTGTGTCACTTATACCATAAGCCCCTGTGTTTGGGAGTGATAAAGGGTTCAAGCTAACCCTTGGCTGGTCTCTCTCTTCCAAGTCCCAGGGGTTACATTTTATGGAAGTATGATTAAAAAAATAAGCTTCATTCTGGGTCACTAAAACATTTCAGGACTTAAGACGGAGAAGAAGGAGGAAAAAATAGGCCCCTTGCACGTTATTTTTTTTTCTAGCTACTTTGCTAAGAGTGTAAGTTCCCCCCGCCAAACACACACCAAGCAAACGTGAAAGAGAAATCTCCCTAACATGTATTAAATCCAGCCTCACCCAGCAAGGCCTTTGTCTTTTCAGAGTACTTCTCTCTAGACAAATAGTTGTTTCTCCAACTCTAGAAACAAATATGCTGAAAATACGAGGAAATTTTCAAATGTCCTTTTCAGTCAATTGAATATTCTCCTAATGGCAATAGGAAAAAAGTGCCATCTGATGTTTTAATTGAAATTTTAACCAAAAGAGGCACGGCCAGATTTCTAATATGCTCTAACTACAGTTCTTCCCTTTCCACAATTACACAGCTAATGTCTGCCTCGAATTCCCTAATTTCTCATTATAAAACAATTTGATTTCATCTCGCAGGCTCTAATTGCATTGTTTCTCCTGCTAGAATAACTGCACATTCTTCTTGGTAAGATGTTGAAGTTGTTGAATTACAAATCAATAAAGGTCATGCCATTCAGATTTCATCAATTATTATTCCATCTCTAAGCAAAATCAATGAGGAGCTTGAAGTATAGTCGTAAAAACAATCTTCCTTGCTCTAGAAAGTCCTTCTAAACAGTCCCCCACAATCACAGGCGAACAAAAAAGACCTGGAAAAATTAAGTGAGCCAAGCTGAGTCCACCCACATGTCTCAAGCAGGACTAATGAAAATTATTTTCAGAATGAGAGCCTTGGGGGAATATTAGCTGGTATGAGAAAGGGGATAAGTGAACAAATATGCAATTCAAACCCACCGATGGGACTCTGAGGAGACCACAATGACACGGGCAGGAGCTGAGCGGCACAAAACATCCTGGAGGAGCTGGACAAGGTAGAAGTGCCCCAGATGATTCACTTGAAAGGTGGTCTCCAGGCCATCTTTGGTGAGACTCCAGGGTAGAGCAAAAGTTGCTGCGTTGCACACAAGCACATGAAGAGGCCTGAAAAATAAAATATCCCATGTGATGTGGACATAAACACTACAACCAAGGATAATCCATGCTCCTTCGGGAATCCACGTGATGTGGACATAAACACTACAACCAAGGATAATCCATGCTCCTTCGGGAATGAGAAATTCTTTCTCCGTCTTCTAGATTCCCACCATGTAGAAATAGGATACCCTAGAATGTCACAAGGCTTTGAGTGGGCAACTGTCCTCCGTTGCTGAGGATGAGAGGCTTATTAGGATACGGAACTTTCAGTGTGAAAACCAGGACAGCAGCAGGCAATCTGCGAAGAGTTGTCACCCTAGTTGGAACTCAGGTTCAACCACCTGATTAATTCTTTCTTAATTCATCCAAGTCTCACTTTGTCTGTAAATCAAAATAGCCCTTAAAGTAGTTATGACTAATAAAGGAAAAATTATGCTGTTAAAAAGGCTGACACAGGGCCAGGCGCGGGGGCTCACGCCTGTAATCCCAGCACTTTGGGAGGCCAAGGCAGGTGGACCATTTTAGGTCAGGAGTTTGAGACCAGCCTGACCAACATGGTGAAACCCCATCTCTGTCAAAACACAAAAAAAATTAGCCAGGTGTGGTGGTATATGTCTGTAATCCCAGTTACTCAGGAGGCTGAGGCCGGAGAATCACTTGAACCCAGGAGGCAGAGGTTGCAGTGAGCTAAGATCATGCCACTGCACTCCAGCCTGACCAACAGAGCAAGACTCTATCTCCAAAAAAAAAAAAAACAAAAAAAAAAAAGAAAAGAAAAGAAAAGAAAAACAAAGAAAAAGAAAAAACAAAACAACTGACACAGGACCCAGCACTTGCTAGCTGTTAATAAAACATAGCAAGGGGGTAATCGCTCTGTGTAAAGAGAAGGGCACATGTTGTTTAAGGATACAGAATTTCTTATAGAGATCAGATTAAATGAACATTTTATAAAGAAGCCTAAAGATAGGTAAGTGGAAGCCTGTCATAGTATTCTCCCTTATTTTGTATATATTTAATTTTTTTTTTTTTTTTGACAAGATCTTTCTCTGTCATCCAGGCTGGAGTGCAGTGGTGTGGTCATAACTCACTGCAGTCTCAAACTCCCAGGCTCAGACGATCCTTCCACCTTAGCCTCCCGAGTAACTGGGACTACAGGGGCACACCACCATGCATGGCTATTTTATTTCTTATTTTTTATTTTTGTAGAGATGGGCTCCCCCTATGTTGCCCAAGGTGGTCAAGGTGGTCTTGAGTTCCTGGTCTCAAGCAATCCTTCTGCCTAGGCCTCACAAACGTAACAAAATTGTTAACAATACAAGTAAGGCTTTCACGTGAATCAAAAAGCTAAATTCTCAGAAAGTAATTGTATACTTGTGAAAAATCATACTGTACCAATAAGAACTATACAACAAAATAAATATATACAAGGCTATCCACGGTGTTTGTGACAAACTAAAGCAGCAAATATAAAGTAAACTAAATATACCATTGAGGAATTATTACATTTAGAATATATCCATATGATAGAATACTATGCAGCCATTAAAATCATAAACAAATCTACCGACCTTATAAAACATTTATGTTATAAAATAAAATTTAATGTATTTTATTATCAGACACAGACACACACAGAAACAGAGAAAGAGAAAGAAAGAGATAGAAAGGTTATGGAAGATATATAAAAATAAGGGCAGGCATGGCGGCTCACGCCTGTAATCTCAGCACTTTGGGAGGCTGAGGCAGGCAAATCACGAGGTCAGAAGTTCAAGACCAGCCTGACCAACATGGTGAAACCCCCATCTCTACTAAAAATACAAAAGTTAGCCCAGCGTGGTGGCACACGCCTGTAATCCCAGCTACTTGGGAGGCTAAGGCAGGAGAATCACTTGAACCCAGGAGGCAGAGGTTGTAGTGAGCAGAGATCATGTCACTGCACCCCAGCCTGGGCAACAGAGAGACACTCCATCTAAAAGAAAAAAAAAATATATGTGTGTGTGTGTGTGTGTGTGTGTGTGTGTGTGTGTGTGTATATGTATATATATATATGTGTGTGTATATATATGTGTGTGTATATATATGTGTGTGTGTATATATATATGTGTGTATATATATGTGTATATATGTGTATATATATGTGTGTGTATATATATATGTGTGTGTGTATATATATATGTGTGTGTGTGTGTGTATATATATATATATATATATACATGTAAAAAAAACAGGAGGCTGGGCACAGTGGCTCACCTCTGAAATTCCAGCACTTTGGGAGGCTAAGGCAGGATAATCACTTGAGCCCAGTATTCAAAACCAGCCTGAGCAACACAGCAAGACCCCATCTCAACAACAACCACCCGAAAGTGAGCCAGGTGTGGTGGTGTGTGGCTGTAGTCCCAGCTACTTCGGAGGCTGAGATAGGAGGATTACTTGAGCCCAGGAGTTCAAGGGCTGCAATGAGCTATGATCATACCACTACAGGCATCAGAGCAAGACTCTGTTTCCAAATCAAAAAAAAGACACTTTTCACATCGCAGCCTAAGACGTACAAGTTTTTAAAAAACAAACATTGGCATGCAATAAAGGGAAACATAAAAATCTTTATAGAAATTAAAATCTTCTGCTCTCTAAAACAGTGGAACAAAAGTGACGAATATATGCAATCATATAGAAGCCCCATATTTTTAGTATATAAAGAGTTCTTACAAATCTATGAGACAAACACGTATCTTCTTAAGAGTCTAACAGAAACAGTGGCAGACATTAGAAATTTTATAAAGGTAGATTACAAATAACCATTGCAATATTTAACACGTCCAACTACACTAGTAGTAAATATTAAAATATTTTCTATCAAATTAGCATATTTATTCATACTATTATATTTGTATTATCTTGTATAAAGTTGGTGGGAATATATATTCCTGCACCCTGGATATTAAGTTGAAAACATGTATCATGAGAATTGAAAGATTCACATTATTTCACCAAGTAATCCTGTTTCCAAGCAATAAAGCATGTATGTAGCAGGGGCAGCAAAAATTGCACAGTTAATATCATGAGGGAGAAGTATTTTATCATTGATAATGTTTAGAATTGTCAGCACATGACTGTAAAAAGCAGATCAAGTTTTAGCCAGCTTTACTGTTGTTTTTCCATTCTATATAAAATGCTTCCCCATTTTACCTGCATCTGGGGCAGACCATTCCCATAGCAACCTCCCATCCTTTTCATATGCCACTGCTTTATAGTGGGTTGAATGGTAGGAATCTGTGAGTTGAATGGTACCTCCCATCCCATTGCTTCCATAGTGAGTTGAATGGTAGGGATCTGTGAATGCGACCTTATTTGGAAAAAGGGTCTTCGCAAATGTGATTAAGTCCCACATCTTAAAATGAGATCATCTTGGATTAAGGTGGGCCTTAAATCCAATGACAGGCCTATCCTTACAAAACAGAAGGGGAGAAGGAACACCCACAGAGAAGGAGATGGAAAGACAGAGGCAGAGATTAGACTGACTAAGATAAAAGCCAAGAAATTCCAAGGGTGGCTGGCAGTCATGGGAAGCTAGGAGAAAGGCATGGAACAGATGCTCCTTCCAGCCTCCAGAAGGAGCCAACGCTGCAAACCACTTGATTTCAGATGTTTGGTCTCTGAAACTGTAAGAGAGTAAAATTCTGTTGTTTTGAGGCACTCCATCTGTGGTAATTTGTTATAATAGCTTTAGAAAACTAATATAGCTTCCAAGATTATTTCCTAATATTCAAAATTCATATAAACGTTTATGCCCAAGAATCCATAATGACATGTCAACTAAAATTATAAAATTACATATGAACTAGAAGCAATCTAACATCCAACAACAGAGAAGTGGATAAATAATGATTAAGCCAGAGGTTCCCAAACTTTCTCAATTTAATTGAAAAAGCAGGAAATTAAAATTAATATGTGTGATTCATACCCCATACCCCACGAAAAGATTTCCAGATATACAGTCAGGATTACTTTTTTTCCTATTTCCTGTTTATGGTTTTTGGTATTTTCCAACTTTTCTACAATAAGCATTAGCTAATTTATTAAAGAACTTTACTGAAATATAATGCACATACCATAAAATCTACCTATGTATACTGTACAGCTGTTTTAGTATACTCAAATAATTGTACAACCATAACTACATTCTAATTTTATAGCACTTTTTTAACTCAAAAAAAAAAAAAAAAATTAGCAATCACTAGCCACCCTCTATCTACCTACACTCTTATTCCCAAAACACCATCAGTGTACTTTCTGTCCTATAGATTCGCCTATTCCGGACATTTTATATACTAAATGGAACCATACAATACGTAGTCTTTTGTGACTGGCTTCTGTCCCTTGGCATGATGTTTGCAGGGTTCATCCATGTTGTAGCATATATCAGTAATCCATTTCTTTTTAATGGGCAAATAATATTCCATTATATGAATATACCACGCTTTGTTTATCCATTCACCAATGATGGATATTTGGATTGTTTCCATTTATTGGCTATTAGGAATATCACTACTATGTACATTCATTTGTAAGATGCTATGGAAATGCATGTTTTCATTTCTCTTCAAGATACATCTAGGAGTGGGATTATTGGGTCATATGGTAATTCAATGTTTAACTTTTTGAATAATGGCCAAACTGTTTTCCAGTTTGGCCATACAATTTTACATTTCCGCCAGGACTGTATTTGAACTTTCATCTCTCCATGTGTTTGTAAGTATTTGTTATCTGACTTTTTTATTTTAGCCATCCTAGCAATAAGTGGAATCTCATTGTGGCTTTCATTTGCATTTCCCTAATGAGATTGAACATCTTTTATGTATTCATTGGCAATTTGTGTATCATATTTGGAGGAATATCTATTTAGATCTTATGCTCATTTTTTAAATGAGTTTTCATTATTGAATTGTAAAAGTTCTTTATTCTAGATACAAATCCCTTATTTAATATTTAATTTGTAAGTATTTCCCCCATTCTGTAGGTCATCTGTACACTTTCGTGATGGTATCATTTGCAGCACAAACACTTTTCATTCTGGATCATTCTGGATATCTTTTTTTCTTTTGTCACTTGTGCTGTCAGGGTTGTATCCAAGAAATCATTGTCTAAGCCAAAATCAGAAAAATATACCCCTATGTTTGCTTCTAAGAGTTGTATAGTTTTAGCTCTTACATTTAAGTCTCTGACCCTTTTTTTTTTTTTTTTTTTTTTTTTGCTATTTTTTGCTGTGTAGTTTATGCAAGTGTGATCTAATCTCATTCTTTTGCATGGGGCTATCCAGTGGTTCTAGCATCACTGTTGAAAAGACTATTTTGAATTGTCTTGGCATCCTTGCTGAAAATCAATTCACAATATGCATGGATTCATTTCTGGACTCTCAAGTCTATTTTATTATCTATAGATCTATTCTTATGCCAATATGACACTGTCTTTATTACTAAGGATTTATAGAAAGTTTTGAAATTGAGAAATGGAAGCCCTCCAACACTCTTCTTTTTCAAGCTTGTTTTGGTTATTCAGGTTCCTTTGCATTCATATACAAAATGTAGGATCAGCTTTTCAATTTCTGTAAAAAAGTCAACTGAAATTTTAATAGAGATTGCACTAAATTTGTACACAATTTGCAGAGTTTGGTCAGCTATACAATATTAAATCTTCTGATACATGAACATGGGATGCCTTCATTGCTAGTATATAGAAATACAATTGACTTACGCATATTAAACTTTTATCCTACTTTTATCCTGGCTGAACCTGTTCATTTTAATATTTTTTAAGTACCTTTCTAGGATTTTCTACAGATAAGGTGATTTCATTTGCAAATAAAGATAGTTTTACTTCTTTTCAATCTGGATCTTTTTTTTCCATTCTTTTGCTTTTTTGTTTTTTGCCCAATTTCCCTAGCTAGGATTTCTAGTAGAATATTAAAGTGATGAGAGTGAATATCCTTGTCTTATTTCTTGATCCTAAGGGGACGGTACTCAATCTTTCAGCATTAATTATGATGTCATTTGTGGGTTTTTTGCAGATGCCCTTTATTGAGTTGAGAAAATGCCACTTTGTTCCAAGTTTACTAAAAGTTTTCATCAAGAAAGCGTGCTGGACCTTTTTAAAACATGTTTTTATGTATGTATTGAGAGGATCTTTTATTCTACTATTATGTTATATTATATTGACTGATTTTTTAATATAAAACCAACCGTGAATTGTTTGGATAAATTCCACTTAGTCATAATATACAATTCTTTGTATATGTGGCTGCATTTGGCTTGCTAGCATTTTGTACAAAATTGTTGCATCTCTATTTATAAGTGAAAGTGACCTAAAGTTTCCTTTTCTTGTGATATCTTTGTCTGCCTCTGTTGTCAGAGTAATAGTGGCTTCACAGTGTCAGATGGAAAGTGTTTCCTCCTCTTCTGTTTTTTTAAAAGAGTTTGTGGAAAATTGATATTAATTCTTTTTTTTTTTTTCTGAGATGGAGTCTTACTCTGTCTCCTGCCCAGGCTGGAGTGCAGTGGTGCAATCTCGGCTCACTGCAAGCTCCACCTCCCGGGTTCACGCCATTCTCCTGCCTCAGCCTCCCAAGTAGCTGGGCCTACAGGTGCCCGCCACCACGCCCCACTAATCTTGTTTTTGTATTTTTAGTAGAGACGGGGTTTCACCATGTTAGCCAGGATGGTCTTGACCTCCTGACCTCGTGATCCACCCACCTCAGCCTCCCAAAGTGTTGGGATTACAGGCGTGAGCCACCGTTCCCGGCCAGTATTAATTCTTTAAGCGCTTGCTGGAAAGCACTCATTAATTTTTTAACTAGAAAAACGTATTTAATCACTGTTGTTGTTTGAAGTATTCATGCAAATCTTATTATCACTCGGTAATCTGGATCTTATTAAGGAATAATTCATTCTGTTGCCTCATCTGTTTTCCCACCCATCCCCTACCTAAAACCTGAAAAGTCATGGTGTGGTTGGGGTCAGTTGCAGTTATTTGACAACACCTGTTTTCCACATAGGGTGCCCACTACAATTGTCAATACACAGTCCCTCAATAGCCCAGCTACTCTGTGAAGAGATAGGCAGAAATCCTTTGAAGCACCGAGCCTACCTGTAACACTCATTAGACTCTGCTTCAAATCAAAGCAGAATCTACTAATTTGTAGCAGGGATAATTCATATATTGTAGTAAGACAGGACCACTGCTAAAAACCTTGCGGGGAAGAGGGAAAGATGGGCAAAGTGAAGAGAGACTTACATTTGAACTCCTTTCAGGTTGCATCTGAAATATTTTGCTCACTTTTCCAGGGCTATTAATACTTTTTTTTCCTTTTTTGAGTACTAACTATGGGTTAGGCACTTTTTAAGAGCTTTTTGTATTTAAGAACCCTACGTGACATATATTATGATTGCCATTTACAGACAGAAATGAAGTTTCAGAAATAGCTAACATAGGCCAGATATGGTGGCTCATGCCTGTAATCTCAGCACAGTGGGAGGCCAAGACAGCAGCATCTTTTGGACTCAGGGGTTCAAGACCAACCTGGACAACATAGCAAGACCTCATCTCTACAAAAAATTAAAAACTCAAAACTAAAAAGAAAAAAATAAAAATAGCCAGTGGCATGCACCTGTAGTCTCAGCTACTTGGGAAGCTGAGGTGGGAGGATCTCTTGAACCTGGGAGGTTGTGGCTGCAGTGAGCTGTAATCACCCCACTGATCTCCAGCCTGGGCAACTGAGGAAGAGCAACACCCTGTCTCAAAATGAAAAAAAAGCTAATATAAAGAAGCAAACACACACACACCCCCAAAGGGTCACCTGACTTCAAGGCTACTGCACAATACCTTCTGTCTTACATAAGCTCCCTGAAATGGACAGAACCAACTTCTTAGAGAAACTGTAGCTCAGCCATGTTATTTTCCTTACCTGACTCATGGCCAGTTAGTTCACCCCTGTGAATCTGTGTCCTCCCCTGTAAACTAAATATACTCCTCCCATGGTTGTGAGAAGTAAAGCCCCAGTATCTTGCTGGCCTGCCAGCTTAGATAATTGTTATTTCTCCTCTTTATCCTTCACTTTTATCCACAAGACAAAATTAAATTCCTCAAAGATAGTTTCTGCAGTGTTTACCTAATTTTAAGACAGGCCTGGACATTGGGAATTTTAACTTCATACTTCTCAATAACAACAATGTCTCTTCTAGTTACTTTTATTCTTGCCTGTACATTCTCTCAAGAAAATGCAAACCTCAGCAAACCAAGGAACTTGCTACCAAAGACAGGCCTGGAGGCAAGAACCCACAGAGGACCTGGGAAAACCCTTTCCTCTCTCACCAAATTTTAATACCCTTCATTAATGTTAATTGCACAACTCCAGAGGCAAAATATGTATCCTGTACCTAAAACTTGTCACCTCTATTAATTAAAAACAGGCTTGTGGAATATGAAACTATAAAGTGCTTGACTTTGTTTTAATTGTAAAGACACTTAATTGGCTTGTACAAAAGGAAAAGAATTACTTTTGCCTCACTTTAATGAGGTTCTTATTATTCAAATGGCACATTGCGCTCAGTTTTGACTAAAAGCCATTGCAATTCAAAAGGCTCTGAGATGATGAATATTTACAGACTATGAAAAGGAAAAGTTCAAACTATAAAGACAGAATGGAAACAAAAATAGTATCCTTCCAAAAACTGATGTTACTAGTCAGCATTTTAAGGGGCTGATTTTTTTTCTTCTTCTTGGGTGGATTCTCATCTGTGAGAGGTGATTAAGGGCAGAAAAGGTTGTCCTCCTTGTTTAGAGCCTGAGATTCCAATGGAAGGCAGCATGCAGGTTCTACATGGCTCTCATCTACCCACAGATAAAGCCCCTCCACCTTTCTGATGAGTGGCCCCATGGCATTCTCTGTGTCTGCTGACTGTGGGGATGCTATTTACAAACCAGCAACCCCTTCAACTAGAGCCAATGCATTCCTTCTGGGCCAGAGGACATCCCCTCAGTAGTTAAGGTGGTAGTGGTGGGGGCGGGGGTTGTCATCAATGAGAGTGACAATGGGCCAAGATTCCTTATGACAGAGCCAGGCTTTCTGGCAAGAGTGGAGTGAGGTGGCACTTCCTACTGCAAAGGGACCAGCTCCTTCCCTTTTTTAACCCCTCAAGATCCCTACCACTGACTACCCCGTCTCTTTCTAGCATTTTCTATCTTTCTGAAACCCCCTTTGTGAAATAATAACTGAGGAAATTAAAACTAACCTAACAGACTCCATCTTGTCCTTAGTCTCAGAGGTTTGTCAGAAGCATTCAAACCAGAGTGACTCCATTTTGAATAGGGGCTGGGTAAAATAAGATTGAGACCTACTGGGCTGCATTCCCACGAGGTCAGGCATTCTAAGTTACAGGATAACATAGGAGGTCAGCACAAGATACAGGTCATAAAGACCTTGCTGATAAAATAGGTTGCAGTAAAGAAGCCGGCCAAAACCCACCAAAACAAAGATGGCAACGACATTTGGTCATCCTTACTACTCATTATACCCTAATATGAATCCATTAGCACGCTAAGAGACACTCCCACCAGCACCATGACAGTGTACACATGCCATGGCAACATCAAGAAGTTACCCTATATGGTCTAAAAAGGGGAAGAACCCTCACTTCCGGGAACTGCCTACCCCTTTCCGTGAAAACTCATGAGTAATCTACCCCTTGTTTATAGTTACATAAAATATATATTATATATAATATTGTATTATAATTATATATATTATATTAAAATATATTATAGCTAATCAATAATTAACTATAAATATCCTTAGTCCAACAGCCAAAGTTGCTGCTCTGCCTATGGAGTAGCCATTCTTTTATTCTTTTACTTTCTTTATAAAGTTACTTTAATTTTATAGACTCACCCCAAATTCTTTCTTGCCCAAGATCCAACAACTCTCTCTTGGGGTCTAGATTGGGACCCGTTTCCGGTAACTGGTTAGCTGTCTTTGGTCATTCCTGGGCATGGGCCAAGCTAACTTTGGGAGAAATTTCGTTTATAGTTTAAATAACAGCTTTCCCCCAAAACTAAACTGTTCCTGTAAAATGAATGAAAGGCCACCACGTTAGGATGAGAGGGGCTTGAGTTTTAAATAATTACCAGCCGTTATTCCTCAGGTCACAAGATTTGCAACTTTCTCAATTATTCATGCAGATAACATCACTGTTGTAGAACCTAAGATTGGCTTTTGAGATGTCTTTTCAGATTTTTGCTTTTTGTTTGTTTGTTTGTTTTAAGACAGTTTCACTCTGCATTGCAGGCTGGAGTGCAGTGGCGCAATTGGCTCACTGCAATCTCCTCCTCCTGGGTTTAAGTGATCCTCGTGCCTCAACCTCCTGAGTAGCTGGGATTACAGGTGCACAGCACCATGCCCAGCTAATTTTTGTATTTTTAGTAGATGCAGGGTTTCACCACGTTGGCCAGGCTGGTCTTGAACTCCTGACCTCAAGTGATCTGCCCACCTCTGTTACACGTGTCCATGTGAAGAGACCACCAAACAGGCTTTGTGTGAGCAATAAAGCTTTTTAATCACCTGAGTGCAGGCAGACGGAGTTTGAAAAAGGGGTCAGCAAAGGGAAATAGGTGTAGGGCAGTTTTACAGGATTTGGGTGGGTAGTGGAAAATTACAGTTAAAGGGGGTTTTGTCTTGCAGGCAGGGGCGGGGGTCACAAGGTGCTCGGTGGGGGAGCTCCTGAGACTCACTGCCTCAGGAAGAGGAATGTCACAAGGTCAACTGATCAGTTAGGGTGGGGCAGGAACAAATCACACTGATGGAATGTCATCAGTTAAGGCAAGAACTGGCTATTTCACTTCTTTTGTAGTTCTTCAGTTGCTTCAGGCCATCTGGATGTATATGTGCAGGTCACAGGGGTTATGACGGCTCAGCTTGGGCTCAGAGGCCTGACAACCTCAGCCTCCCAAAGTACTGGGATTACAGGGGTAAGCCATTGCACCAGCCAGATTTTTGCATTTCTGACAACACGGTGGCCCCATGCAGACCTGCCAACCAGTCCTTTGGCCCCCACCCAGGAACTGAGTCAGCACAGGAGGGCACCTTTGATTCCCTGTGATTTCATCTTCAAGCCAACAAATCAGTGTCAGGCCTCTGAGCCCAGGCTAAGCCATCATATCCCCAGTGACCTGCTCGTATGCATCCAGATGGCCTGAAGCAACTGAAGATCCACAAAAGAAGTGAAAATAGCCTTAACTGATGACATTCCCCCATTGTGATTTGCTTCTGTCCCTACCTAACTGATCAACGTACTTTGTAATCTCCACCACCTTTAAGAAGGTTCTTTGTAATTCTCCCCACCCTTGAGAATGTACTTTGTGAGATCCACCCGCTGCCCCAAAAACATTGCTCCTAACTCTACCGCCTATGCCAAAACCTCTAAGAACTAATGACAATCCCATCACCCTTTGCTGACTCCTTTTTCAGACTCAGCCCACCTGCACCCAGGTGAAATAAACAGCCTTGTTGTTCACACAAACCCTGTTTGGTGGTCTCTTCACATGGACACGTGAGACAATCAGCACTCCCAGATCACTCACTGGCTCCCTATCCACCACATTTCTCCTTAAAGACTCCGATCCCTGAATTCTCGGGGAGATTGATTTGAGTAGTACAACTCTGGTTTCCCATACAGCTGGCTCTGTGTGGATTAAATTCTTTCTCTATTTGCAGTACCCCCGTCTTGATAAATCAGCTCTGTCCAGCTAGCAGGAAAGGAGAACCCATTAGGTGGTTACATTTTCCTCTCCACTGGCTCATTCTTGCTACGCGTCAGCTCAATCAGATCTTTCTGACCATCAGGTAAGGAAAAATCAGAACAGAAGGAAAGAAATGCAGAAAACAAAGAGGGTAAAAAAGACAAGGGCTGGGAAGAGAAAAAAGGACATTCACTTGACCTAGGCAGGTTGCACTCGTCTCTCTCTTCCCATTTATGGTCTATAGTTTTGAAATATTCATCTCCATTCAGTCTCCTTCCCTGACCCAAATCTACTTCTCATCATCAGCTGAATGAATTCCATTCTATCACCATCCAGAACCTCTCAAAACTGCCTGGCGAGGAGTGGCTTCTCAATCAATAAATTCAGCAACCTCCTCTCTGCTAAGACTAGACTGCCCTGTTGCAGAGGATCCTGCTCCTCCCTCACTTCTGGCTCACTTTCCTGTCTTGGCTTCTGTGATACCATCCACTCTTGGACCTCCCAATGCCACTACCACTCCATTTTTTGTCTCCTCCAACCCTTCCTCTTTTGCCCATTGTTCCATCACCAATCTCTTTTCATTCCATCTCTAAAATCTTCCCTGCAGCAGTTTCTTCCAAATCCATGACTCCGAACAAAATCGCCATGAAGACTTCAAACCCTTAGCTCTAGCCACTATATTCTTTCCAAGTTCCAGAATCTCATTCCCACCTGTCAGTCTTATCTTCCTGGATACCTTCCCACAAATTCAGGGTCAACATGCCTAAATCTAAACTCTTCATCTTCTCTCCTCACATCTCCTCCCCGTCCTGATACCCTTTATTTCTGTAATGGCTGATATTTGCAAACCAGTCACCTGATTACAAATACTTAGGAAAACAATGTGCTATCCCATCTTCTCCTTTAGTCTCCATGACTGGTCAATGTCAGTATCTCTAGGCTCATTAGGAACCCCTAAAATACCGTGCCATCCCCTACTTCTCCACAGAGGTAGGCACTACCTCTGGAGCATGAACTCCTCCAGATAACTGTCCATTGCTGGAGGGCACCCTCACATCTGGGAAGTCATCACCCCCACACACATGCTCTGTTGACAAGGAGGACCAACTCGGTGATACAATTCCTTCTCCAGAGCTCCCCATGGAATCGGGCGGAAACAGATTTCCAGTAGAAACCAAAGCCTGCTTCCCTCTCCGCTCTCCTCTGGGAACAGTCCCCTAATCGATCATAGGAACAAGAATCCCCATCCCAGGCTCAGCTGCTAGGATCACCAACCTAAGACAATGACTTCATGTCACTCCATGTTTCTAGCTCTGTTCCTTTTAGGTGTAGTCACTGCAATAGCCCACACCTGGTCTTGTCACCTCTACATTCTCCCACTTGACTTTTTATGAATACTGGTTAAAGCCTAGTTAAACTTATTAAAATACTATTCTAATCTTACCTACCCATTCTCAAAAACTTTTAATGGTTCCTAAATGTCTGCTAAATTAAACACAAATGCATCCTGACATTCAGGTCCTTCTGAGCAACAGCCACAACTACACCCCCTTCTCCTTAAGCTCCAGGCAGGTGAATCATCCACTGCCCCATGGATGAGTACGCCCCTCACTTGATTAAGTCTGGGTCTTTATTCGTGCCATTCCCTCTGTCAAATTCCTAATTGTTCTTCAAGGTTTTGCTCAAATATTATTTCACTGAAGAAAATTTCCCTCTAATCAACACGTTGATTAGCCCTCTTTAAAATCCATTAGCAATATATAAACACACAATGGCATATTACTCAACATTAAAAAGAAGCAAACTACTACTAATGGATAGAATAACATGGATCTCAAACGCACTGTCCTAGGCAGGGTCCAAATGACTCCCAATGCTCCCTGCTTCCTGGTTTTCATACTTTTGTGTAATCCCCTCACCTCAAGGGTGGGTGAGACCTAGGAATTTGTTTCTAACTAACAGAATATAGAAAAAATCATGGACAATTCTTCTGAGATTGGTTTACAAAAAGATGCTGGCTTCTGTATCACTCCTGTTCTTGCTCTCTTGCTTACTCAATCCAATGGAAGCTAACTGCTGTGTTATCAACTGCCCCATGAAGAGGCCCACATGGCAGGGAACTGAGGTTCGCCTCTGGTCAATAGTCAGGAATTATAGCTTTCAGTTTAATGCTCATGAGGAAGTGACCTCTGCCAACAGCCATGCATGATGTTAGGTCCTTTCATAGTCAAGACTTGAGATGACCTTGGCCCCAGCTAACTTTTTTTTTTTTTTTTTTTTTTTGAGGTGGGGCCTTGCTCTTTCACCCAGGCTGGAGTGCAGTGGTGTGATCTCAGTTGACCACAACCTCCGCCTCCTGTTTTGAAGCTGTTCTCCAGCCTTAGCCCCCCAACTAACTGGGATTACATGCATGTGCCACCATGCCCAACTAATTTTTGTACTTTTAGTATGGCGTTTCACCATGTTGGCCAGGTTGGTCTCAAACTCCTAACCTCAAATGGTCCACTCACCTCGACCTCCCAAAGTGCTGTGATAACAGGAGTGAGCCACCATGCCCAGCCCCCAGCTGACATCTTGATTGCAGCCCAAGAAAGACCCTGAGCCAGAAACAACCAGCCAAACTGTCCCTAAATTCCTGAGTCACAAAAATAGTAACTGGGAAAAATAAAAGTCCCCCAAAGAAGTCCACATCCTAACCCCCACAGCCACTGAACATATTACCTTACATGGTAAAAGACATGCTGCAGACCGTGATCAAGGGTAAGACCTTGTGTGTTAAGCTATTCTTGCACTGCAATAAAGAAGTAACTGAGGCTGGATAATTTATAATGAAAAGAGATTTAATTGGCTCCGATTCTGCAGACTCTACAAGAAGCATGTGCTTGGCTTCCGGTGAGGCCTCAGGAGGCTTACAGTCATGGCGGAAGGCAAAAGGGGAGTAGGCAGCTAACATGGTGAGGGCAAGAGCAACAGAGGAAGGAAGGTGCCAGATATCATGTGAACTCACTTATCACCAAAGGGATGGCCGTAAGTCATGCATGAGGGTTCCACCCCCATGATCCAAATACCTCCCAGCACACCCACCGCCAACACTAGGGATTATGTTTCAACATGGCATGTGCAGGAGAAAAACATGCAAACTCTATCACCTTGAGACAGGGAGCTCATGCTAGATAATCTAGGTAAGCACAGTGTCATCACAACAGTCCTGAGATCCTTTCCCGATTGTGGCTAGAGGGAAATGGGACTACAGGGCTAAGGTCAGAGATGCAACAGTGCTGGTTTTGAAGATGTTGTGGGTGACCTTTAGAAGCTGGAAAAGGCAAGGAAAAATATTCTCCCTGGAGTCTCTAGAAAGCAGCAGAGCCATACCGACACCTTAATTTTAGCCCAATGAGAACCATGACAAATCTTTAACCTACAGAGCTGTCAGATAATAGCTTTGGGTTTTAAGCACATAAGTTTGTGGTAATTTATTACAACAGCAATGGAAAACTAACAGAGTGAGATAGTGTATGTTTGCTGTTTTAAGTCGCTAGGTCTTGGGGGTAATTTAGCAGAAACAGACAAATACTGCATGCATTATGCTATGGGAAGGAATCCAAACTCCAAAAGCGACACCCAGAATATTTCTGTTTATGTAACATTGCAGAGAAGACAAACAACTAGGGACAGAAAAAAGATCAATGGTTCCCAGGGGCTAGGTGTCAGGAGCAGGTATGACTACAGTAAGGCACAGAGGACATTTGGGGGGTGATGGCACTGTTCTGTATCTTGACAGTGATGATGGCAGCTCTATGACTGTGTTTGTCATAATTCATAGTGAAATTCACCCTTTTATTGTACAGTGCTAGCTTTAAAACTCAATTCATTACAAAAAAAAATTTTTTTTAAACCAATAGGACTTTCTGTATTTCTAAAAGCACTGATCACATCCTACCTGGAGTGAGCCACTGTGTATACATCTGTGAATAATCTACACCCAGTGGGACTTTAGCAACAGGGTCTCACTCATCTGTTTTTGGAGTGACTTCAAGAGCTATAAGCAGCAGCCTTATAACGTGGCATTAAGAAATCAGAGGTAGGTAAGATGCTTGAGCTACAGCCCATCTCCAAGCTGGCTCTCATCTGTACAGTAGAAAAATTAACATATTTTAAATCACAGTACTTTCTGTTCCCTGCTTACACACTTATACCCAGGGCTTACCCACCTTCCTTGAGTGGTCCACTGAGATGGGGCTCACAGAATCCCTCACTCGTTCCCAGATGCCCAGCCTACATGTCAAACCCTTCCTACCTCCCAAAGGTGACTCAGGAAACTCTTCCTTTCTCCAGGAATTCTTCCCTTGCTCTTTATCTGCAAATTAGCTGTATCTCCCTCTTCAAAACTTCTTGCATGCTTACCCAAGACCTTTTACAAGGTCAAGACGACAGGCACAACGGAATGACACAAGTTCCTTCAACTTCTTACCAATAGATAGCTACGTAGGACAGGAGATCAAGCTGTTACACAAGTTCCCTGTGATACAGTCTTTCTGCTCCTTAGCTCAGCTAGGTCCAACTGCTTGTCTCACAACCAGGAAGAATTAGGCATGCAGACAATGGAGAGTGAGTGGAGCCGAATTTATTAACTAAAAGGAAAACTCTCAGTGGAGAGGGAATGTGGTGGGGGTGGTTCCCCTACCTGAAGGCAGTAAAGTTGCCCCATGTGGCTGGGTCTGGGGCCTTATATTAACTCAGAATGGAGGGTACATGCTAATTACTTTGTGAGCATGCACAGAAGGTTAAAGTGAAGGCAACACTCAAAGGTGGGCATGACAGCATAGGAAACCAGTTAGGGAAGGGCAGGAATATGTAAAATAGGTGAAAGGTGGGGATCAATCAGAAGAGTGCACCAAGTAAGAAGACAAGTTCTCAATCTGGTCCGAGGATTTAACTTGTAGCTTGGCTTTCAGTCTTTAAACTGTCTTCAACTTGGAAGTGGGGTTTCAACAGGGACCGGCTCCTATCTACCTAGGCATTTGGCTGCCTCCTGCCACTCTCACCTGGACTTTAAGTACCCATTAAGGCACCATACACCAGTCATACCAACTTGAGCAGGGACAGGGGACTTGGCTTCCAATTTTGCTTGGGATATGTCCATTCCTACATTACTTAACACTTTCTACCATGTGCCATAATCTGTATGTGCAAATGTTATCTCTACAGTAGACAGTAATCAATGTCCATAGGAAGTGCGTGTTTGCCCAGACTCAAGATGTGGTAAGAAGTAAAACTTTTTTAGGTATCTGGATGGATACGTTTGAATCAATGCTATTTTTCTTATGGCATTTGGTCTACAGGACGTTGAATAGCCATGTTTCACAATATATCACTGAAGCTGGAGGGAAGAAGTTGATGTGGTTCTAGTTGATCAAGAAAGAGTCATTTATGCTGTGGAGACAAGACAAACCCATTACGACTCAAGGAACCCAAGAATGAGACATATCATTTCAAACCTGAGATGAGAAAGGTGCTTTAAAGAGTCTAGGAGCAGCAGTAGACACCACCATGGGGTTGAGTTACACAGAAGATTTGTAAGTGAAATTGTTAACATGCTCCCCAAAAGTGAGGCAAGATTTTGCAGATTAAATAAACACTCTTCTGAATGTTAAGATAATTGTGGCTTTGGGGGATTCAATTTCAGACACAGCAAAGGAATGAGCTGAGTGGAATGTTATGTAAAAGGAAATACTTTCCAATCCCTCCTGGAAGCAGAATGTCACACCATCTGGGGCATTTCTCAACTAAGCTGCAAGACTTCATAGTATTTGGAAATACTCTGAAATTCAATAGAAAGGGCCCAAGGACCCACAGTCTTCTAAGAAACTTCTTAGTCTTTGCTGGTGTTCAACTGTCTTTCCTCCCAGAAAAGGGAAAAAAATAATGTAGAATTCTAAGTTTGACCCCTGCTTAAATAGCTAGAGCTGGTTTCATGAAATCATGGATGGCAGTATACACTGAACACAGCAATTCCCTTCAACAGCTGCCTCAGTCCAGGTAAGGTCAAATCTACTTCAGCAATCCACCAAGGCCACAGCTGCCCAAAATGCAGCATGTGCCACTAGCAAAACAAGATGATTTTAGGTAGCATCCAAGGAGTTTATAAAAATTATTTCTATCCGGCCGGGCACAGTGGCTGACGCCTGTAATCCCAGCACTTTGGGAGGCTGAAGCGGGCGGATCACTTGAGGTCATGAGTTTGAGACCACCTTAGCCAACACAGTGAAACCCATCTCTACTAAAAATACAAAAACTAACCAGGCGTGGTGGCACACGACTGTAATCCCAGCTACTGGGGAGGCTGAGGCAGGAGAATCGCTTGAACCCCGGAGGAGGAGGTTGCAGTGAGCCGAGATTGCGCCACTACACTCCAGCCTCGGCAACAGAGTGACACTCCATCTCTCAAAAAAAAAAAAAAAATGTATATCCCAGCACTTTGGAAGGCCAAGGCAGGCGGATCACGAGGTCAGGAGACTGAGACCATCCTCGCCAACATGGTGAAACCATCTCTACTAAAATACAAAAAATTAGCTGGGTGTGGTAGCACATGCCTGTAGTCCCAGCTACTCAGGAGGCTAAGGCAGGGGAATCGCTTGAACCCGGGCGGCGGAGGTTACAGTGAGCCGAGATTGCACCACTGCACTCCAGCCTGGTGACAGAGCAAGACTCCGTCTCAAAAAAAAATAATAAAATATATATATATATATATATATATATATATATATATATATATATATATATATTTATATTTATATGCTGTAATGTAATGGAAATTATATCATCATCCTCACAAAATCAATTTCACAAATAGTCCTATAAAGGATTTCTTAAAATTGGTAGCAATAAACATTAAATAATAGTAAACTGACGCAGTGATTTTGCAAAAATGACGATATAGTTGGCTTAAGTTTGAGAAAGCAAGACTGCAAGATACACAATACGAAGGGCATCTTTTAAAAAGAACAAACATGAGCGATTTACTTTCACGTGAGACACCCTCAGAAAATGTTAGTCATTCTATTGATGGAATGAGAAACATGATCCCCAGTTAAAGAATATCTTTTGCATGATATGTGCATAAGAGAATTCTTTTGTTTAGTGCAATTTTAGCATGTCAGAGAGGTATGTGACAGATAAGATGGCGTGACAGGGAAAACTCACTTCGTCACCTGTGTCTGCCTCTCATTATGTGTGTGGCCCTCAGGAAAGTGAATAAACCCCTCTGAGCCACAGCTGTGTCCCCTATAAAGGGAATGATAATGCCCACCTTGTTTGACAGCCACAAGAATTAGAGAAAATATATAAAAAGCCCAGCATCAGCCTTGACAGAGATGGTGCCTAAAAGAGGATATTTCCTGTTTTCTCAAATGCTCATTCTACTTTGGGGATATGGTACCCACCAATCATTGAGAGATAAAAAACACATATACATTGTTTTCCACATTTATAAGATACTTATGTATTGTTTCTGTTGCCCTTACTCAATATGTCTGGTAGAGAATGTCCTGAATAAATATTCAAGGAAAGAGCAAATAAAATGAGAAACATCAACATATAAAATCAGTATCAGCTTGGGTGGCCAGTGACCATCAGCTATTCCTTTAAATTTGAAAGGACCGTCACATGTCGACAATTTGACAGACACCATCAAGTATTAAAATAATAATTAACTGGGAATGGATTCTGCTGTCAAGATAACCTAGCCACATTTAATTAATTTTTTTTTATTTCAGTTGGAATAGAGAAAATAATCCAAAACAGTTACCCAGAGTGGAGCACAGCACCGGCTGTGTCCCCTGGAGACCACCAGGAATTTTTCATTTCATGCACCATTTGCAACTTCTTATAGTGAATTCCAGAACATCAGTACATACACTTAACTGAAAATGGAAATACTCTTGTTTTTGTCATTTCCTTAAATTTTTGCCTCATGTCCATTACCTTGATTATATTTTCCCATCCCATCATCAGCAGTCCCAGCAACAAAATCTCAATCTCATTGATTGTAAATAGGGGGAAATGTAAAATAGAAGTACATCCACATGCTCTCCAAGATGGTTTTCTAGGGAAAATGCATCCATTTGATAATTGTGCCCCAATGGCACTTAGTGCAATGGGCATGATATCTGACATGCAGGTCTCATTCCTTGGTGTTACAGTTCTGGTTGTTTCCATTTTTCTCCTGCCCTTTGCATTCAGCACTTTACTGCCCTGTGTTCTGGCTTCCTGGGGACATTTAATAAAATGGACAATCAACTTTAAGTGCAGTAAGGATGGGGGCTGGTCGGGAAAGTAAGAAAAAGTAACTTCAACCACACTCATGACCTACTAGCCTCACTTCAACATAGTGCCCTTGGATGGAAAAGACGTAAATTAACCCAAGTGTCTCTTGGCAAATTCCCATTTGTTCGTCTGACAAATGAACCATAGTCCCGTCCTTAAGAAATTTAGTTGTGATATGAAAGAAATTTGATAGGCCAAAGTAGAATTTAGCGAACTCCACAAGAGAAAGTGACTATTATTCATACAAATAGAAGAAGGGAAAGACCTGGCAGATGAGGAGGGTTGGGGTGGCATTATTTAAAGAGGGAATTGGTTCTTTCTGTGACCCTCAGCTTCTCACGCCCAAAATGGATTAAGTCATAATAATGGGCCCCAAACCCCTGAAGGATAGAGGTGGTATCTGAAGTCACCTTGTGCTCTCACACCTAGGGTTATGCTTGGCATACAACAGAATTTTGTTGAATTACAAAATCCCCGAAAAATAATAAGATACCACTGGTGAAATCTCCCAGCATCTTTCATCACACTAAGATCACAGTTATCTGTTTAAAACACTGCATACAATCAGTACTTTTTAAAAAACCCCCGAGTCCCTCCCTCTGTTACCATTATCCACAACACAGTCATTTAGGTACCATTTGCTTAATTTAAGGACCATCTGTGTTTATAAAATTGCACTGGAAACGAACTCTTCTATACTTTTTAGCCTCGCCTCGCCCTTTGCAAAAGACTTCTGCTAGGTGGAGTTGCTCTTCTGATTTTCAGTTTTAAAAAATGAATATATGTTAAGATAATACAATATTTGTCTTGGTGAACTTTGGAAAACCCTGCTCTGTGGTCCACAGAGCTCATGCAATTAGGCTGACCTGCAGTGCAAGTAAGTGAAGGTCCATGCAGCCTTCAAACACATCCATGGCTAAGAAGTCAAAAGTATCCAGGAAACTTGAGTGAAGGGCTAGAGCTGGCAGTAAATTACTTGACAATGCCTAGGCAGAACACATTTACTCTTACAACTGAAAACTTTGTCTTTGACTATGCTTTCCTTGTGGGACAATCTGGGGAGCCCCCATGCGAAGCAGTGCCTCATCCAGGGCCTGGCACAGGGGGGATGACTGGTATTTGTCAATAGTGCTTCTATTAAAATAATACCTGGGCCTCCTGAATACATAAAATGCAACCCTCAAAGCATTTTACCCACTTGGTAAGTGGGGAAAATAAAGGCAATAAACAAAGAGCCTTCCTGAAAACACATTAGCATTGCTACAAATTAACATTATATTTCGTAGGCATAAAGCAATACTAAAGCAGCAATACAAGCCATTATTTATGAACTTCTGCAGTATCATGGATGCATAAATTCTGCAGAAAAATCATGGGAAGGGAACATTAATTTTTTAATAACTTTATAGAATAGTTTTAAGTACCAGATGACGATTTCATTCACATCATGCAAAGAGAGTTTATTTAAATACACTTTATACAGTTTTAATGCAGGGAGTGGGCTTTAATAGGTGGTGGCAGAGGTGAATTTACAACTTACAACTTACAAACAATAAGAAAAAAATTGTTTGGGGAATGTGCTTAAGCACGTGGTCAAGTCACTCAAAAAATAAAACATCTCATGCATTTTGTACATCTCCCTTGCCAATGACGACTCTTTCCTCTGTTTTGCCTAGAGATATATGGAGCTGTAATAGAGTTCAGAAGCCCCTGACAGCCGTGTGCTGCCATTCAGACCTGAAAGATTCCATGTTATGATAAAAATTAATGTACTCTGACATCCTCTGGGACTTTCTGGGCCCTGGGAATAGCTAATGAAGAAATACAACCTTGCTGGAGAATGGCACTTGGCTCTGGAGTTGAGGATTAATTCACATGTGGTAGTGGAGTGGTCCCCCTGTCACCAGCTGTAAAGCAACCAGACCCCAGGGCCAATGGGAGCCAGCACTGATTGGTTAGAATTATTTCCGAGGTCAGGAGAAGTCAAATAAGCAAAACGCTTTAACAAAATAATTGAACCCAACTTAGAATCAGCCTGTCACTTCTTAAACCGAAAATGAGTCATGTAACACCTTGTCTCTTGTTGGCTTTGATCGTGGACTTGTAAGTTTCTCCCCAGGAAAAATGCTTCCTGACTGATTGTACCAATACCAGGCACGTCCCAGGGAACTCTCCTTCAAGAGGGGCTCAGAAAGGGGGTTGGTGTTGAGCTTGGGGGAAGTGCTGAAGCCCCCAATTTCTACGGACCTCCAACCCTACTTTCCAACATGTTTACTGCAACCCCCCACCCATGATGTTTACAAATAAGGTATAATAATCACAATAATGTTCATAGCAGCATCTTTTACAGTAGCCAAAAAGTAGGAACAACAGAAATATCCGACTGACAACCAGATAAACAAATATGGCACATCTACATAATGGAATTTTTTTCAGCCATAAAAAGAAATGAAGTACTGATTTTTGCAATAACATAAATGAACCTCTAGAACATTATGCTAAGTGAAAGCCAGTCACAAAAGGCCATGTATTATCTAACTCCACTCATATGAAATGTCCAGAATAGGCAAACAGGTAGAGATAGAAAGCAGACTGCTGATTGCCTTGGGACTGGAGGAAGTAGCGATGGAAAATAACTGCTAATTGTTATGAGATTTCTTTTTGGAGTGATGAAATTGTTCTGCAATTCAAAAGTGGTAATGGTAACGTAACTTTGTGAACGTAATAAAAATCACTCAATTGTACAGCTTAAAATAATGAATTTTGGCTGGGCATAGGGGCTCACGCCTGTAATCCCAGCACTTTGGGATTACAGAGGCAGGCGGATCTAGAGGTCAGGAGTTTGAGACCAGCTTAACCAACATGGTGAAACCCCGTGTCTACTAAAAATACAAAAATTAGCCAAGCGTGGTGGCGCACACCTGTAATCCCAGCTACTCAGTAGGCTGAGGCAGGAGAATCACTTGAACCCAGGAGGCAGAGGTTGCAGTGAGCCAAGATCACACCATCACACTCCAGCCTGGGCGACAGAGCAAGACTCCGTCTCAAAAAAAAGAAAAAAGGAATTGTATTGTATGTAAATTATGTCTCAATTAAAAAAAAAATCCCTGGGCTCTGAGAAATCTTTACTGACATTCTCAAAATGCGTTAAGTAGCCTTCAGTGGGGTTCCTCACCCTTTCCCTAAAGCAGACTTAAGGTCTCTCCAGACTCTTTCCCCTAAATCATATATACTCCCACAATACCAAGACAGGATACAGGTTACAAGATACAGCGAGTTTCATCAAAATAGGTTACTCTTTTTTTAGACAATTGATGGGCTACACAAAGCTACATAGTTCTAGACCAAAACATTATTTCAGCCTATTAGAATTTTGCCATGTCAAGTTGAATTTATTCTCAATATCTGAATTTTAGCTACTTTAAGAAATATTAGGTTCAAAATTTTTAAACTTGGCTTTTCTTAAAATATTCAGTCTTTTCCACTTTGTTAATTTACTATCTTCACTAAATTATGGAAAATGTAGAAAAAAGTGGTATTAGAAAAAATATCTTGCAAAAATATTTGAAATCTTTATTTCTGCACACACATATTTAACATTTTTCCTATGGAAGGTCTATCATTCTCTTCAAAGAAAAAAACAAGGCAGCTGGACATGGCTCATGCCTGTAATCCCAGTATTTTGGGAGGCAGGGGCAGGAGGATCACTTGATTCCAGAAGTTTGAGACCAGCCTGGACAACACAAGGAGACCTCGTCTCTACAAAAATAAAAATTAGCCAGGCATGATGGTGCAGGCATGTAGTCCCAACTACTCAGGAGGCTGAGTGGAAGGATCACTTGAACCCTGGTGGCTGAGGCCATAGTGAGCTGTGATCGTGCCACTGCACACCAGTCTGGGTGACAGAGCCAGCCCTATCTCAGAAACAAGTAACAAAGTGCTATTCTGATATATGAATTGTAGTGTTGATTGAGGGGTAACAGTGTATTCATTGATACAAATTTAATGATCTCTTGGATTTGCTTTAAAATCAAATGCCCAGTGTACACTCCAGAATGATCCCTGCTTTCCTTCCTCCAGTCCTCCCTTCCCTGTTCCCTTTCTACCTGCTTCCTTCCCCCTTTTCCTCCCTCCCTCCCTCCTTAGGATGGTAAGAGGAGAAAAACCAAGCTGGATTCATGGGCCAAGTTGGGAAATAAAATTGTAAACCACAGAAACTCAAAGATTTTTTCCAAGTCTTCCTTCTGTCCAGCCATTCATCCATCCATCCATCGATCCACAATGCAGAACAATTACATTAGAATCCTGGGGGTGACAGCCAGACTGCAGTGTTCGATTCCCAGCTGATTCCTCACACAGCCAAGCTGGGGAACCGCCCTGTCAGTCTCTCAGGAGTTTTCAGATCTGAGGTGGGAAATCGAGGCACTGCTTTTCTATTAGCCTGGTGCATTCCATTAAGACCCATTTCCCAAAGCTGTGTAATTTGTCACCTTATGCATAACTTGTACTTCTGAGACAAACAGAGACCTTTTCCTCCTGTTTTTGGTTATAAATTATTGCATAATATCAGCTCAAATATCTTTTTGATGACGAGTAAGTGACCGAACTATAACAGGAGTTTAAGCTTAAAAGTTAAACTGACGAACTTTACCGCTAATTGAGAGGTCCCGTTTATGTTTTTCTGAATGACAAGGTATGCAATAGATTCTTCAAAAATGAAGACAAGAAAGGACTCACAATATTAAAAACACAGTGCAGTGACAAGTAGCTCAACTAAAAATATAATCTTCCTTGGGGATTTTCAGCAGGCTGCCACGGTGTAGCACCGCTGATTTATTCAAATGTATATTCAAGTTTTTAGGCTGACAAGAATTAGCTTCTCAACAATTTACTGGGAAAAGATGGTTCCCATGTTATTAAAATGTGATTTCAGTGTGGTTTTAGCACAGCTTCTCAACATGTCAATTATGTAAGTGTAGATTCCAAAGTGACAATGAGGGTGGTTAGGATGCTAAGAGGAGAAAAACCAAGCTGGATTCATGGGCCAAGTTGGGAAATATAATTGTAAACCACAGAAACTCAAACCCTTTTTCCAAGTCTTATATAAATCGAGAGTTCTCTGAGAGTAACCAAATGTTGAAACCCTGACGCCGGGGATTTGCTGCATTGATGTCTGCGTGGGTGGTCTCACTGCAGGTCAAAGAGCAGGCTTGATAGACTGGGCTGAGAGGTGTCGCTCCCTGTTCAACCCAACAATGCCAAGCTGGCTCAGTCCCATGATCCATGTCCACTCCAGGGAAGCCCTTACTCTTAACAGAAGCCCTCACTCTTAAGGTTCATAGATTCCTTGTAAGAAAACCTTTGGGTTATGTGCCTAAAATAACTATTGTTGTAACTACGATTACATACAACTATGATTACTTTAGAAGTTGTTTCCCAAGATCTACAAAGGTATAGGCTCCATGCCACCCAAGGAGGTATCAACTCAAGATTCTATCACTGAGAATCGGCACCTTAGAAGTTCAGTTCACCTAACAGTACTATGTGTTTCCATTTTTGTTCTTCCCTCTTCTTCCGTTCCATCCTTCCTGTCTTCCAACCTTCTATCCATCTAGCCAGCCAGCCACCCATCCCCTTCCTTGTACTTACCTCTTGCATCCCCTTCCACCCCTTCCATCCATCTAGCCAGCCAGCCACCTATCCCCTTCCTTATACTTACCTGTTCCATCTTTCTATCCATCTAGCCAGCCAGCCACTCATCCCCTTCCTTGTACTTACCTCTTCCATCCTTCTATCCACCTAGCCAGCCAGCCACCCATCCCCTTCCTTGTACTAGAAGGCAGTAAATGTAATAATTGCAAAGGATGATAAAGACGATGACAATGATGACACAGGTTAAAATTCACTTTTTTATTAAGTATCAGGTACTACGCTTTATAAATATTCAGTTATTGAATCCTCTCAACAACCCAGAGTGGTGTTAGTATCCTTTCCCATCTTTGCTGATGAAATTAAGAATTAGAAAGATTAAGGAATTTGCCAGCGTCACCATCTTAATAAGTTGTAGCACAGATATTACAAGCTAAGACCAAGATGTATTAGCCAAAGTTTCTGCTCCTCTGGAGCTCAGTTTAATGAAGTAAAATCAATATAGAAAAAAGCATCCCCGAAGTATTCCATGTACAATGATTGGGTGTGTTGCTGATGGTCCAAAAAATAACTCATCAACTGTGGTGCCCGGGTAAGAGCAGGTAGAAGGGAGGCTCTGTAGAGGACGTGACACAAGCAATCCATGAATCCAGCTTGGTTTTTCTCCTCTTGCCATCCTAACTACCCTCATTGTCACTTTGGAATCTATGCTTACATAACTGACATGATGATGGACAAGTGGGAGAGGAGCCACACAAGCAAAGGCTCAGAGTCAGGATCCAGAACATAAGCAGCGGAGCAGAGAAGCCTGGGTTGGGGAAGACATGGCCACAGGTGACATGGGAGAAGGGATCAGATCCCAGAGGCCTGGGTGGGCCACAGCAGGAAGTGTAGCTATTTGCAGGTCAGATAGCAGGACATTGCCAAACAGGACAGTGTCAGGGCTGGGTTTGCACTTGAGAGTGATCACGCCATCAATTTGGAGGTATAAATAGCAAAACGACCCCTTGGT
Source organism: Homo sapiens (assembly GCF_000001405.40). Taxonomy (NCBI): domain Eukaryota; kingdom Metazoa; phylum Chordata; class Mammalia; order Primates; family Hominidae; genus Homo; species Homo sapiens. The sequence goes on along the minus strand of NC_000016.10, from coordinate 78,398,102 downwards.
CTTCTTCTGTCTACTTGATAAGCATCAATTTGAAGACAAGTAGAAAGAAAGTGGAAATGGACAGTGACATTCACAGTAAATGTATAAAGATGATGCAAATGACAGTCAACAGCTGCCGCTTCAGCTTAAACGAACTCCATGAAGCAGCACCCTCTTGATTGGTTGGAAAATAGTCTGAGTACCTTAACTGAGCGGACGAGAATCTCTTCTGACTTTAACCTCCTTTACACATATTCCAGCAAAACGATTTCCCTTTGGTGATAGAAAATTGGCTGAAAGGCCAGGAGCGGTGGCTCACGCCTATAATCCCAGCAGTTTGGGAGGTTGAGGTGGGCGGATCACCTGAGGTGATCCTGAGAAAAAGGAAAATTGGCTGAAAGAAGCATCTCCTCCAACCTTGAACTGACCTTTCTAATTGTCCCACTAGGCAGTGGCTGTCCATCATCTATTTTACTCATGGGACAAATCTCCTTTAGAAACAATGTTTTTTACATGGTATATTTCCCAAATGAGACAGATCTTTCTGATTCTCCAAGCTACTATGCAAGCTGAGCTCAACAGAAGAAGAGATTTTGGACGAAGTTCTAGCCTTACTGCGTACCAGCTAGCATGAACTTGGTTGAGGTTCTTAATTTCTTAGTCTGTAAAATGTGGTTAATCATTGCACCAGGCTGAACCATTAAACACTGCCATTCTTCTGCCATTTTTTAACCCACTCTTAGAGTCATTATAAGGATAAAATGGGATGGTATGTAAGTGCTTAGCTGTACATGACACATGATAAATAGCTGATAAATATTAGCAATTATTATCATCATTATATGGTTCCATACTCCAATTAGCGCTTCAGTATCTTCGTTATTGAAACAGCACTTAGTTGTCTTATTGACCTGCTTCCCTATATGGTAATATTTCCAAAGCTCAGCAAAGCACACTGTTCCACTTAAACTCTTTCCTCTTCTCTCAGCCGTGAAATATCATGGGGGAGTTTCTTCAAAGAATTGAAATTAACTATGCACACAACATCGACTCTCAACACTTATTTACCTTGACCAGACCTAACATAACCCATTTTCTAAGAAAAACAGAATATATTTCTCATGATGAAAAAGGGTGCTAGTAAAATGAATTTCATTTAAAGGGTCTCTGGGCCACCGTCCAAGGAGTAGTAAACCACAGCTGCCAGGCCAGATACCAAATCCAAGCCACTTCCTGTTCTTTGTAAATAAAGTTTTATTAGGACACAGCCACACCCAGTTATTTATGTGTTGTCCCAGGCTACTTTTATATTACAATAGTCTCATGTAACACTCAACAATGTATTCAACAATGCTTGAATGGTTGCCGCAGAGACTGTCTGGCTGATGAGAGCAAAAATATTTACTATCTGATTCTTTGCAGAAAAACTTTGCCGACGAATGTCTAGTCTAGTGCTTTACATAATCATTATTTAACACCAACAATAATTAACATTATTTGCTATAGCTAAAGGAAGGACATCACCTTGCATGTGCACTGGTGGGATTGTGAGGAGTGGGAAAAGACAACCCTGGGGTAATTGTATCTACCCTCCAAAGCGTGGTTTTTACTCTCTATGGAAGGGAAAGTTGTGTTCAATTTACATATATGACTTTGATTTCATGAAAGATGATAGTGATAGTTAAACCTAGGATTCTGTTGGGAAATCAAAAATGTTTATTTTGTGAACATTGGTGTGGTTAATTCGAACACATTTTCATTTATGTCTTGGCAGTGATGACTTTTAATATGGCAAAAAGGCTCACTAACTTTTTTTTTTCCGACAAATGTCATGCTAAGTGACCCCTAATTGATGTAATAATTATTCTCTCCACCAGGGGCAGGTTTTTGAAGGTTGGCATCATAAAAAGTTATCAAAAAACTGCTAAGCATCACAACTACTGTAAGAAAGAAATAAGGTACAGGAGATATGAGAGAAGGCATAAGCTTTATTTCCAATCTCTAGCCAAGTTCTTGGCACTGTTGTGACTGCTGAATAAATGATGAGGTGAGGGCAAAAAAAGTTTTTAAGGAGGTGAGAAAGAAAGCAGGTAGAGTGCTCTGGGGTTCCACTGTACTTAAGGATTCCTAGTATTTGCAGTGTGTCCTGCTGTACCTCACTTATCCAGAGCAGGCTGCTTTTATGGCAACTCATCTGAAAAAGATGCCTAAAATCAAGAGGAACAGACATAGTCATGTCAAAGAAAATGGAATCTAAGCATTTACTCCGAAAGAAAACTGTGAAGCATCCTTGGGTCCATGGCTTTCCATCAGCATAAATCAAGAATAACAAAAGAATAGCAAAAAAGAAAAAGAAAAAGAAAAAGAAAAAACAAAACAAAAAACCATACTCAGTAGAGTAATAAAGTACTTTATGATCCTCAGTGGAACATCACTACAGTAACAATAATTTCTCTTGGCTCTTGTCACCCTAGAGCTTGCAGGCAATGTGAAGCTCATTTCCCTTCTTCTCTTGGTTGTCAGGCATTGTAAAGATCATTCCTGGGCCCAATTTTCCTTTCTTCCTTCCCTTCTTTCTTTCTGCCCTTCTCTCTCTTTTTCCTTTTCTTTACAAGACAGGTTCTGGCTCTGTTGCCCAGGCTGGAGTGCAGTAGCATGATCATGGCAGCCTCCACCATGCTGGCTCAAGTGATCCTTACTCGTCAGCCTCCCAAGCAGCTGGGACTACAGGTGTGCACCACCACACCCAACTAATTTCTGTAATTTTTGTAGAGACAAGGTTTTGCCAAATTACCGAGGCTGGTCTCAAACTCCGGAACTCAAGCAACCTGCCTGCCTTGGCCTCCCAAAGTGCTGGGATAACAGGCATGAGACATCACACGTGTCCTCTCAAACGATTGTGAAAGCCCTTATGAGACCCACACTTCCTCTCTGAGCACAACATCCCCTTTTCCTGTTTAATTAATTAGTTGTCTTATTGCTGTCTTAAACTCTATATATTCTCAGAAACCTTTCTAAGATCATTTTACGATCAAGATGAGAAAGAAATGCATATTACCAATAGCCCCAGGCTCCATAAAGTGAGATGTGTCTGGTAATTTCATGCATTATGGCTATTTTCAATAATCAACAACCTGCAAAGCACTGTGAAAATACACATTACACACACTTGGAAAGTGACGCTGAGAGATTTTCAGTAGTTTGCCCAAAGCCACACAGCCAGTAAGTGGTAGAGCTGGAAGCGTCAGTTGACCCCCAACACCCACGTTCTTTACACTACTCCAGGGCATACAGGTTGTTGCCCAGGGGTAGCATACTATGGCCCCTGGCCAATCTGGCCCATTGTCTGTTTTGTAAAGTTTTATTGCAACACTGCCATGATCATCCATTTCCATACTATCTATGGCTGCTTTCAGGCTACCACGGCAAAAGCAAGCAGTTGCAACAGAGATCTTAATAGTCTGAAAATTCTCAAATATTCACTCTCTGGCCCCTTACAAGAAGTTTACCTACCTCTGCCCTTTACGGTCATACTTTGATGTTTTTGGGAAGAGAGTGTATGATCTATTTCAGAAATATTTTTCTAAGTATTATATAAAAAGACTGAATGCTGAAAAAGTTTCAGAAGGCAAAATTTTGCTTAGGAGGGAAGCATTCTTCCCTGATGTTTCTAGATACACTAAGTATTTCACAGTGTGCTTTTTCAATGCCTTAGGATGGAAAATGTATGGGATAGAAAAAAAAATTTAACTTGTAGACTTTTCAAAATTTTCCTTAAAAAATCATAATTAAGAGCTAGATTTAGAGCATTCATTAGAGCAAAAAACTGCCTCTGTTTTTCTTTTCTTTGGGTTTTCATACTGTGTAGAGAAGCAAAGCAAGATGATCTTCTGTTAGGCAAACCAAAAATGGATTTCTCATATTGAGCCAAGAGTAATGCAGATATGTTGGCTAAAACATTATTCTTAAAACCGAGCTAGGGAGAAAAAGAAAGATTAATATGTAATTTACACGTTGGTCTTCAGGGTAATTCATCCCACAAAATTTGGAATTTATTTATAATTTATAGCCCACCCACTTCCCTAGATGGATTTGAGACAGCAAAATTTGGAATATGAATCCAAGAATATTATATCTGGGATTAGTAGATTCAAGTTCTGAAAGTAATTTAGCAGAAAATGAAAATAAATAAACTTGTTAAAGATTTTTTTTCCTCCCATATGTTTAAGAAGTAAAGCAAGGATACAAAACCGTTATTTTAACCTTTTTTTTAATTAAAAAAACACCACTGTTCTATATTATCTTCTAAGTGAGACAAAGCTTAAGTATAATTTCTTTAAATTATACCGGTGACAGAAAGTTCAGAAGAGACATAAAAATCCATGATCAAAAATGCAGTTCTAAAAATGTTTGGACTTGGGTAATTATTTTAATATGAATTTCCTATCAATTCCAGGAAGAATCAAAACCCTTGGTCAGTATTATACAAGCTGACCAGTAACTGCAATCTAAGTAATAAATATCTCAGGTGTCGTCACCAACTTTTTAAGTTCCAGGATTGCAATTCAGTTCTCTATTTTATCAGGGACTTAAGGACCTACAAACCGTTTTTTAAAAAATTTTGTAATATAGAGACAGCGTCTCACTACGTTGCCCAGGCTGGTCTCACGTTTCTGGGCTTAAGCAATCCTCTCACCTTGGCCTCCCAAAAGCGCTGGGATTATAGGCATGAACCATTGCGCCCAGCCATAAACCATTTTTTGAAGAAGAAAAAGTATTACAGAGCACCTCTCTCTAGGAGCTGTTAACTCTTCTAGGCCCTGTTCAAAATATGCACTTTTCAGTAGACTAAGCAGCTACTGCTAGGAAGGAAAATGTGCAAAGCCTCATAAAAACATACTGTTATTTCTCAGTCCATTTCAGAAAACCCCAATATTTGGTCTGAGTGATTAGAAAGGGTCCCAGCTCTTCATACTCCTATGGACACCACTGCTGCCAGGCAGTAGGAAGTCTGGCTCCTCTCCAGGAATGCAGTTTAAACAAAAATATCCCTCACAAGCCAGTTTGGGTGGAACTTACCACAGGCTTTGGTTTGGAACTTTCCAGTAATGCCCAAAATAATTTGACCCGAGACACACTGGCCGACGACCGCTGCTACCGCTAACTCTGAGGAGAACTATCTGGAAGCAGGCTGAGGCTTCCTGGGCTGACCACCCAGAAAACTTAGTGGAGAATAACAGAATCAATGAATGAAAATGGGAGTGAGTAAACAGAGAGTGGGCAGAGGAGTGAGGAGGTCAGGACGTGCTGGGCCTGAAGAAAACTGGCTTTGGCAATCAGGCCTGTGTGTACTCTTGGACGATTACACCACTGCCTCTGAAGTATTCTTACGAAAACATTAAACACGAAGTTGATTGAGTCTCTTGAGTTATCTACCCTTTCACAGGAAACTCAGGAGACAGAAGAGTATGTTAAAAGACACCACAGAGATGCAATCACCAAAGTACAGACTGCAGAAATCTCTAGAGCAGAGGTTTCCAAATTTTTTTGGCACCAGCAAGTGGTTTTCTGGAAGACAATTTTTCCATAGACTCAAAGGAGTGGGGGTGGCTTTGGGACGATTCAAGCAGATGACATTTATTGTGCACTTTATTTCTATTATTATTACGTTGTAATATATAATGAAATAGTTATCCAACTCACCATAATGTACAATCGGTGGGAGCCCTGAGCTTGTTTTCCTAGAACTAGACAATCCCATCTTGAAGGTGATGGGAGGCAGTGACAGATCATCAGGCATTAGATTTTCGTAAGGAGCATGCAGCCTAGATCCCTTGCATGTGTGGCTCACAATAGGGATCACGGTCCTATGAGACTAATGCTGTTGCTGATCTGACAGGGGGAGGACCTGAGGCACTAATGAGAGTGACAGAGAGCGGCTCTAAGCACAGACGCAGCTTCCTATGCTTGCCCACCACTCACTCCCTGCCATGCCACCCAATTTATAACAGGCCACGGCTCCGCTATTGGTTTGTGGCCTAGAGGTCATGGACCCCTGCTCTAGAGAACACCCTGGTCCCTTAAATCTGTTGCATTAAAAGAAATTTTTTTAAGGAAAAAAAAAAAAAGGAGACAAAACCTATAGATTAAAAATGCATCGACCTTATTTGAATCCTGATTCAAACAAATTAACTATGAGAAAGAGGGAGGGAGGAAAAGAGGAGGCACAAAAGAAATGTTTCTTGTTTTACGTTGTTTTTTAGCCACTAAATTTTGGAGTAATTTGTTTGAGACAGAGTCTCACTGTCCCCCAGGCATGATCTCGGCTCACTGCAACCTCTGCCCACCCCAGAGCTCAAGCAATTCTCATGCCTCAGCCTCCTGAGTAGCTGGGACTTCAGGTATGCATCACCATGCCCGGCTAATTTTTGTATTTTTAGTACAGACGGGGTTTTGCCATGTTGGCCAGGCTGTTCTCAAACTCCTGGCCTCAAGCAATCCACCCACTGCGGCCTCCCCAGGTGCTGGGATTACATGTGTGAGCCACCGTGCCTGGCCAGAGTCATTTCTTACTCGGCAATACATAACCAATACAGAAATCCACACTGAAATTCCTATGACTGAAGTGTGCAAAGTAACAAAAAGTCGTTTTGGATTCAGAGAGATTTGGGTTCAAATTCTGGATCTCCTACTTGCTCAAGTTGAGAAAGTGTCTTAGGCTCTCTGCACTGCAACCTTGTAATTTGCAAAGTAGGGATAATCATGGTTAAGTGTGCAGGACTCTTATAACAAACTACAGACAGAATACATGTATGTAAGTGCTTAGCACACTGCCTTGCATAAAACAAACAACAAGTTGCCTAGCAGCTATTGTTTACATAATCATGGTTAGGAGGGCTCCCTCTACAACAGCCTCCTTTGCAGCCTCACCTCCCAGCACCCGAATAAAAAGAAGAGATCCAGGAAGAGGCTGATCCCCATCTCCCACAGAAGGCAGACGGCGGGTGGTTCCACAGTACAATATGCTGCTTTTCTCACCAGTGTTTGTACTAAGAATCTGTTTCTACCTTTTCTGCTCTAAGACTACACAATATGCTGCCTATCCCAGTGTGGAGAAACACTTGAGATGGAGCATGGACCAAGGGAATACACACAGGAACTCAGAGCCTGATAATACTCTGGCTTGATCACATACAGGCTTTGAAACGGCATATTAAATAAGAGCATCCACATGGAATTCAAATTTAAGGGATTTTTTCCTCTCCTCAATGCAACAGCGTGAAAAGAGATTGGTTCTGAACTGGCAGCCTTTCTTTCATTTGTCATTATGTTTTACACACAAGAAAATTTTAATGTCTGAAGATGGGGGGTGATAAGAATAGAGTTACATGTGTTTCTCTGGCAGCCTAGTCACCAGCACTTAAATTCACTTCTGACAGTTGTCAGAATCGAAAGACCTGCAAGTACTAAACTGTCATCTGCCTATCCAAGAGAGATTTCACTTTGGCAGCATTTCAAAAGTAAAATCTCTCGCTTTTTTATGCATATTTTCACCACCACAGTATTTCTCTAAGCCATGTAAAATCCTGTACTCTCATGGGACACATACAAAGAGGGTTGTGCTACAGAGGTCTCTATATGGAAAATCACCCTTGTTTCTCAACCTAGAAGTACTTTCTAAAATTCCAAAGTCCTGTGCTAAAATCTGGGATTAGGGCAAAATGGGTGAGAGTTTCCTCCAAGGTTTTGAGCTTGGTGATTACAAAAGGCACTTGAACTTGATGATTTCCCAACTACTTAATGGTTAAAAACTAATGGTCCAGTTAAGACGTGGAAGATGATCCTATTATGTAACAGTTGGCTCTCTTCAGCAAAGCTGCTCACTTCCAACACATTCTGACAGAGGAACTGGACAAAGTTATTCAGCGGCAGTGAATTGTGAGATCTCACATGCTATGAGGAAAAGAACAAGAGGCAGACTGGAGTGAAACCCCATGCCCGTCACCAACCTGCTAAGTGACCCTGCGAAAGTCACTCACATTCTCTGAGTCTGTTTCTATCACATTTAAAATGAAAGGGTCGGGCAGGGTGGCTCACGCCTGTAATTCCAGCAGTTTGGGAGGCCAAGGTGGAGAGATCACTTGAGGTCAGGAGTTGACTAGCCTGGCCAACATGGTGAAACCTCATCTCTACAGAAAATACAAAAATTAGCTGTGTGTGGTAACCTGCACCTGTAATCCCAGCTACTCTGGAGGATGAGGCATGAGAATCGCTTGAACCCAAGGCCAGAGGTTGCAATGAACAGAGATTGCACCACTGCACTTCAGCCTGGGCAACACAGCGAGACCCTGTCTCAAAAAATAAATAAAAAATAAACTAAAATGAAACACAGTATAGTACGGTGGTCAAGTTGGAGCCGTGAAGAGGCTAAATCGGCCCCTCTACCCACATTCCACATGCCTTGGATAAATTATATATCCTCTCTAGCCTCACTTTCCTTATCTGTATAGTAGAGATATTAATAGCATCTACTCCCAAGGACTGCTTTGAGAATTGAATCAAAACATACATGCAAAATATTTTCCACGTATGGCCCATAAGCCCTCAGTAAATGAGCTGCTGACTCCGCTGCTGTTCTTGTCATTATCATTCCCTCCCAAACAACCACAGACAGATGAGTTTGAGGAGTCAGCCATCCATAATAGCTGACAACTGAGGTGACAGCTTGTGTGCGGTTACTGTGGCTTCCAGGGCCACCACTCTCTTCTCAGAGCCCAGAAGAATGTCTGGGGCTTTAGAGGTGCTCCTGAAATGTGTGTGAAGTGAAGGAACGGGTGGATAAATGAATGACGAAGCAAATCAGCGAACAAATGTCTTGAATGCTAGTGTTGCAGCCTGTTGAGGTGCCTCTTGATAGTTCTGGCAAAGGGTGGAAGCTACTAACAGCCAAGCGCTGCAAAGGACACACACAGGAGGGCTCTCTCAGATCTGGCTGGCTGGGGGATGTTATCTCACTGTTCCTACAAGCCAGCTTGGGGTCTGCGCTTAGGCGATGTTGCAACTCTCACTAAGACTGACTCTAATGTAGACCTCAGTGACTTGGGACACTGACATACTCCAGCAAGAGCCTGAGTCAATTTTTTTTTTTTTTTTTGAGACAGAGTTTTGCTCTTGTCACCCGGGCTGGAGTGCACTGGTTCAGTCTCAGCTCACTGCAACCTCCACCTCCCGGGTTCAAGCCATTCTCCTGCCTCAGCCTCCCAAGTAGCTGGGATTACAGGCATGTGCCTCCCCGCCCAGTTAATTTTGCATTTTTAGTAGAGACGGGGTTTTACCTTGTTGCCCAGGCTGGTCTCGAACTCCTGACTTCAGGTGATCCGCCCACCTCGGCCTCACAAAGTGCTGGGATTACAGGCGTGAGCCACCACGCCAGGCTGAGTACAAACTTTTTTTTTTTTTTTTTTTTTTTTTTTTTTTTGAGACGGAGTCTCAATCTGTCGCCAGGCTGGAGTGCAGTGGTGCCATCTTGGCTCACTGCAACCTCTGCCTCCCAGGTTCAAGCGATTTTCCTGCCTCAGCCTCCCAAGTAGCTAGGACTAGAGGTGTGCACCACTACACCCAGCTAATTTTTTGTATCTTTAGTAGAGATGGGGTTTCACAATGTTGGCCAGGATGGTCTTGATCTCTTGACCTCATGACCCTCCCCGCCTTGGCCTCCCAAACTGCTGGGATTACAGGCATAAGCCACTGCACCCAGCTGAGAGCAAACTTTTTAAATCTAATAAAGTAGAGCGGCTGGGCGCAGTGGTTCATGTGTGTAATCCCAGCATTTTCAGAGGCTGAGGCGGGTGGATCACCTGAGGCCAGGAGTTTGAGACCAGTCTGACCAATATGGTGAAACCCTATGTCTACTAAAAATACAAAAATTAGCAGGCCATGGTGGCAGGCATCTGTAGTCCCAGCTACTCAGGAGGCTGGGACAGGAAAATCACTTGGGCCCACAGTGGGACGTTGCATTAAGGCGAGATTGTGCACTACGTTCCAACCTGGGTGACACAGCCATGCAAGGAGAATTGGACACTAGACAGCAGTGTGGTGTCAGCTCCCCACAGGGCCATTTGAATATCTGGTTTAAGATCCCTTCCCTCACATCCTTCATCTGCTTGCAACACTGCAGAACTAATGTTCCCAACAGAGCCTAACCCAAAGGCAGCTTGTCATTTATGAGAGCTCTCCACATTCAGTGGTTCTGGTGCCTCTTGTGTAATTATCTTATCCTTCGCACAACCTGTGCTATTATTAACTTAATCCTCATGTTTGAATCAAGTCACTGAAAAAAAATAAATGAAGTTATTTATTAATGAAATTCAAACCTCTATGTTCAACGAGAAACCAGGATTGCCTGCCCTAAATATGAGTAAAAATAAACACTTGGAAACAAAGTATTGTAATTAGTGTAGCTTGCCATGATCACTTTCCTTAGCTCAGTGTTTCAGGGTTTGAGGCCTCCTGTCTGTCTCTCTGTCTCCCCACCCCCTTCCGCTTCTCTCCCTTTCTCCTACAACCTTCTCTGTTAGAAAGGGATGCTAGCATATGATAGGATCAAAATATGCTAGGCCCTAACTAAGGCTTTCTCCAACTGGAATTTTGAAAGACTGAAAAGGATGAAAAAAAATAAATAAAAGGAATGTGAGTCCATGTTTTTTGGAACCACATCCATGTACCACATCAAATCATCGAAGGCTTTAGAAACTAGAGGTCTTTTGGGTGCTTGGATTGTCAACCTCCCTGCCATACTGGATAACTGAGTTTACTTGTTCCTGAATGCAATTTAAATATACTCTTACTCCATTCTGAAATGCACTACAAAAAATCTTATAATCAGGATGCATCTTACTATTGCCAAGCTTTTATTAGCCACTTTTACTAGTGCTTTAATAGTGTCTTCTCTTTTGGTATGTGGGAAGCTGTTATTAGATTGATGACACATCTCATAATGAAGGTGACTGTGAGTCAAGAAAATACGGTTCACCTTAACAGGGCCAATATAAATGAGCCTCCTGTTTGGACGCCAAGACAACACAACAGCCTTGCATTCTCCCAATTGTGTTCATCTGATAAAGATATTACAATAGCAAGAAATTATGATCTATAACCCTCCACTGGAACACTCACACATTCTTGGCCTTGAATGCTTCAGCAAAATGCTGCACGCTACGGAGCAGAGCGAGGTCCAGGGTCATTGCTTCTACCTTGGCTTTATGCTGCAATGAGAGAAAATAAAAAGAAATGATAAATAACAGCAAGTGTAGTTCATGGTATCAAGTTACAGTAAATGTGTTATGGAACATGTCGGAATTCCCCTGTTTAATATAAGACGCCCAGAGAGAATATAAATCATCGGAATGAATGGAAGAACAGGGCTTTTACTGCCAAGTTCGGGGAGGATGTGAGGCTGGGATTCTGCTAAACCTACAGGCTGGGGGGTGGGGCGGGGGGGTGGGTTGTGCTGTGTTTCAGCCGCGCAAAAGAGGCTGCAAAGGCGCTTCGGGCTAACGTTATCTCCTCTCAATCTGCATCCTAAAACGCTGTAAGGAGGGGAATGCACGACAACGCCTCGATCATGGAAAGATGCAATGGACAATATCTTAATTTCAAAAGCTGCCATCCAGGTTCTGAAATATCTCCATTAAACCTGCATCAAAAATCAAAGACAACTCCTTTATAGAAAGTACAAAAGCAGAAAGACTCGTTTATACCAATGGATTCTGACGGACCTCGATCCCAAAGGCAACACCCTGGCTTAGTAAACCCAGAAAACTCTATCAACAGGTGGAATACATGCTGGTGATAGGAATAATAATGGTAATAATGGCTACTGTGTACTTAGGGCCTGCCACGGGCTGGACATTTGCATACCATCTCACTCAAGGCTCCTAACAACTCAAAGACAATGTTTTCTCCATTTGACAATGCAGCATCTTACAAGAGATCACAGAGATAGGAAATTGAGTACAAGAACTGACCCCAGTCACTGATAAAGAAGCCCAAGTTCCCGCCTAGCAAGAAACCAGGAGAACTGGAGAGGTCGGGATTTGAAGCAATGGTGTTCCATTGGCCATGTTCTTCATGGCATCATTCTGCAAGGACAAATCTCCGGGTTGCCCCTCCCACTAGCCTTCTGTGTATGGGCCACTCCCAACTTTTAAATCTGGGTGCGCTTCGGAGTGCGAGATTAAATACTATCACTTCTTAGACCTAGCTCCTTGAAAGGACAAAAAACCCAAGAACACAGGGCCACCTGCCTATTCAAATAAGAAGAGTCCCGTAAAACAAACGGTTGACTTGGGAATTCTAGTCTAGACTGTGATGCTTAAGTAAGATTAAGGAGGATAACATGATACCTGTAAGGCTATGAAGGGGGATGCAAATGGCACTGCTGAGAACATCCTCTACCCTAAGTGTCCTGTTCAGGGATGGACAGGAGCTGGGCTGAGACGTTCAGCGTAATTGCAGCTGGTTTATCTTGGCTGCCAAGTCCTGGGCTCTAATCCAAGTCCTAAGCTTTGAGCAGTAAACATCAGGCAGTGACAGCTAGAAAACACACTCATTCTGGACCATTTAACACTGTTGAGCCTCAGTTTCCTTATCTGTAAAAGATGAATATTAGTCATCTACTCATAGGTTTGTAACGATACATGTTCATAAGTTCCTAACATCCTGTCTGGAAGACAAATTATCTAATTAATTTAACTAGCAGAGAAGATGTTTCTTGTGTAAAACTCTTGTCCCGATGCCACTTGGCAATAAATGGTAGTCTGGGTGGGTTATAGTCCAGCACAGTGGACAGATGGATGGCAATGATGTCCAAAGATCCTCCCTGAAGGCCACATCAGACCAGATTACTGAGGGAAGGATCCTAAAGAATCCAAGTCATGCCTGCTAACAAAGCCCTGTGCTTTTGTGTGTGTGTGTGTGTGTGTGTGTGTTTAGATGGAGTCTCACTCTGTCGCCCAGGCTGAAGTGCAGTGGCACCATCTTGGCTCACTGCAACCTCCACTTCCTGGGCTCAAGCGATTCTCCTGCCTCAGCCTCCCGACTAGCTGGGACTACAGGTGCGTGCCAACACACCCAGCTTATTTTTGTATTTTCAGTACAGACGGGGTTTCACCATGTTGGCCAGGATGGTCTCAATCTCTTGACCTTGTGATCCACCCACCCCGGCCTCCGAAAGTGCTAGGATTACAGGCGTGAGCCACCGCACCTGGCACAAAGCCTAGTTTTAAGGAAAGGTGGTAGAAAGTGATGAAATTATGTCCCCAAACCCCAACAGCACATCAGTGGTGGAGGCAAACTGGCAAACACAGATTTAAATTCCTGGTCTTGGGTAACAGTGGCAGATGCCAAAGTGTGCAGATTTTGGAACGAGGAGGAGAAACATGAACCTGATCTAGGAAAAGGGGAAAACGCCCACACGTGGGTTGTTAGTTTCCTACGTTCAGGAAATAACAGAGCTAGAGGGTCTGCTATAAGGTGACGCCACATCCCCCCTATAAAGAGGGCAACTGCCACCAAGAATATTGAAGGCATGTGGTGAAGTCACACCCCGTGAAAGGTGTGTACCTCCAGATGAGGAGCAGAACCCTCATAAGCTGTCTGAGTAACTGATATTTATCTGATGATTAAAAATATTTTCAAAGTGTAAATGTTTCAATACCCCACAGAGACGCTGATGCCTCATAAACACAACTACCTGACATTCAGAGTCAGCAAACAAAGTGACCTTTCATCCTCATCCTAAGTCCTCTGGTCCCTGCCTCGTTTTACTTGGAGCATGACACTCACTGCCACGTGCAGAATCTTACAGAAATGTGAATGTATCACAAGAGGAAAGGCAGCCATTCATTATGCTGTGGAGGGGGTGGTAAAGAAATTGCTCTGCTCAGCCAAGCCCCCAGTGGAAACCCCAAGGGATATGCAGGCTACATATTATAAAAACGCATGTATGTATTTCCCCCATAAAACAGGAAGAACATTCCCAGATGGCGACCCCAAAGCAGTATTTCAACAAAAATGATAGCACAGCCAACTAGCCCAGTCTTCTCTGTAAGTAACTTACAACTGCTAAGTTTTCTTTTGGTTCCCCTGCTTCCCTTCAAAATAAAGCACAGAGCTGCCACTATCAATAAGAAGAAAATCAGAACATATAACTCTAAGGGAAAAAGGGGTCACAAGCCATCAAGTAGTTCAACAGACTAATCCACAAGCTGTGGGTTACTAGGCTCCTGGGGATAGTGATTCAAGTCCACACACTGTTATTCAGGCAATTCTCTTGCCCTAGGTATCAGGTTTCCCATTTCTGCTACCAATCCTGAGAAATGGAGAGAAACTGGAGGCAATACAGTAAGTCCAGGGGATGGAAAATGCAGCCTTTAAATTAGGGTGTGCATATGTGTTTATGTGTGTGTTGGGGGTTTGCAATTCTAATTGTCTAACAAACTTAGTAACTTTATAGAAATGTTTGTAGTGGGACATGCTCTAAATAAGAAGGTAGTGGCTGACAGATTGCAAACGGAACCCCTTTTCGAGAGGTGAACTGCTGATTGTTAGGCGAGGACAAGAGACTCGATCTGCCAAGGTGAGATTTCCTCCCAGGTCTGGCAGTGAATCTGCAACTGACCATAATTCACTTTATTGGTTTAGCTCATGATCTTCTGGTTGTTAACTTTTATTTGAAACTAATTATAGATTCACAAAACATGGCCAAACTGGTACAGAGAACACCCTATACCCATCATCCAGCTTCCCCCATATATACATCTTACATACATACAATACAATGGCAAAACCTGAAAATCAACATCAACACAACACAATTTACTAGACCACAGTCATTACTGGGATGTCACCTGATGTGGTTTGGCTCTGTGTCCCTACCCAAATCTCATATTAAATTGTAATCCCCAATACTGGAGGTGGGGCCTGGTGGGAGGTGATTGGATCATGGGGCTGGTTAAAAACAGCTTAGTGCCATCCCCCTAGTGCTGTCTCGTGATCCAGTATGCCTAAGATCTGCTTGTTTACAAGAGCATATCACCTCCCCCTATTCGTCCTCCTGCTCCTGCTAAGATTTGCCTGCTTCCTCTTCGCCATGATTGGAAGTTTCCTAAGGCCTATCCAGAAGCAGAACATGAACACAGAACAATGAGCCAATTAAACCTGCTTTCTTTATAAATTACACAGTCTCAGGTATGTTTATATAGCAGTGTGAGAAGGAACTAACACAACTTGAGATGCGTTTATTTTCTTTGCTGTACCTTTGTGCATAATTCTAAGACATTTTATCATGTGTATGTATTCATATAACCATCACCACATTCAAGACATAGAACTGTTCCATCACCACCAAGCAAACCATGACTTTCATTAAGAAGTGTTAGAATTAGCACATGCCATCTAGAACATGAAAAGTTCAGGCCTCGTTCAGTCAGAGCCTGCTCTCTTCATTGGCAAAACCAACCCTTTAGTACGTCAGAGTGGTCAGTAAGACGTGGGCTGAATTCCTTAGCATGGCTCACAAGATCCTCTGCATCAATCAGGATGTGCTTCAGTAAGGAACAACCCCCAAATCTCCATTAATTAGAATAACCCAGAATTATGACTTGCTCACACTTCACACTCATTGTAGGTCAGTGGGCCCAGCTCACCGTGGCCACTCAGGGACCAGGTGGATGGAGCCTCTGTTGTCTGTAACACTGCCAGCCTCTACGGCATGTGGAAGGCAATGTGGTGAGTTACACGTGGCATCTCAAAGACTTCCACTTAATAGTGACTGGTGTTGCTTCTGCTCACATTTCCTTGACAAAGTCATGTGGCTGTGCCTAGCTTCTAGAAGGTGCAACGTGCTATGTGTCCAGAAAGAGGAGAAATAAAAACAGAAAGTGAGGAACAACAACAACTAACTCAGTCCATGACTTGGTCCCTGTCTACCTCTCTGGGCTTGTTTCAGGCCAACTCCTACTTCACACTCACATCCATTATAAAAAAAAGTCACAAAGACATATGAATATGGGCCATATAAAAAAGCATCTAAAATATAACTGGCTGGGCATAGCAGCATGCACCTGCTACACAGGAGGCTGCGGCAGGAAGATCACTTGAACCTGGAAAGTCGAGGCTGCCGTGAGACATGATCGTGCCACTGCACTCCAGCCTGGGCAACAGAACAAGACTGTCTGAGTAAAAAAGGAAAAGAAAAAAATCCCACCACCGTAAAATAAACTGCTAGCCTTCCATATATCCCTCATTCCTTCCTACCTATATGTCTATCCATTTATCTTCCCACCTACCTATCCATTCATCCATCCATCCAATCATCCATCCTCCCATGCTTGTTTAACCAAAAGAGGTTCTGAGATCACTGAATCTTGAAATGCTGTAAAATGGCTCTCAAAATTTTCCTTCCCCAAATCTTCATTCTTCCTTCTGATCACACCAGTACAAGCTTATCTCAGGCAAAACAGAAATGTTAATGTATTTTAAATTATGTATACAGACTCTACCTACCCATCATTTTAAAACAGAGCCACACAGGTGGCATCCCACATGTGAAGCATCAGGCAACTTCTATGTAGCTCAGAAGCCCACTTGCTCCCAACATCCAGGGCTCAGCCAGAAGGTCATAATCAAACAACCCAGGTGCATGTCTCCCATTTCCCTTGAATATAGTGGCACTCATCAGTAGCACAGTTCACTGCCACCTTAATACACTAAGTCTTCTTCATCTATTCTTTATATATACTGAAACCTGTGTTAGTGACTCAAGAGTCTGTAAGTGTGGAATCAAAGGGGTTTCTTGTTGTTATGCAACAGTGATCTCTAGTATCATTTTATGACTATAAATTAGCCATATGTGACTCTGATGCGATACTGCCTGAAACCAAAGAAACCATATGGGGAGTGTGTGGTATTTAAACAGAGAAATGGGGAGATATTGTCATTGCAGCAAAGACACCAGAGCCAGGCTGCCCTGGAACTACAGCCCAGTATGTCCAATGCACTGGCAACTTGACTTCAGGAAAGCTACTGGAAGGATCTGGGCTTCAATTGCCTTAATTATGAATGAGCATAATAGTATTGCCTTCTATGGTTAGAGTGAAGATTAGATAGAGTGAATATAAGGTACAAGCCACACAATGGGCTCTCAATATATGCTATTATCATTATTTTGAAGGCCACTGCTAAAATGTGATGACCATTGTTTTCCAATAATAATGCATATTAATAACTGTGGGTCTCCCTTGTTTTCTTTTTTCAGGGGGTGGTTTGGGGCTGGGCAAGTTACTGCTTCTTGTATATTTAGTTTGCTCCTCTGTGAAGTGGGAGTAATAACAGCACCTGCCCTATCGGGAAGTCAGGCAATGTATCTAAAGCAGTTGGAGCAGAACATGATACCTGATCAGTAGTTCATAACTCTAGATCCTTATATTGTGATTATGTATTGTTTTATCATCGTGATCATCACAATGCATAAGATGTGGTGGTCACCGCTGAATGGGTGATAAACCATTCAGCCCTATCCTTAAAGAGTGCAGTGCTTCACTCTTCACTGATACGGCTGAATGGGTCGTCACTGGCCCAATGATAAAAGCCATCTCAAAACAACAACCATTTCAGTCCTTGCCCCACAGCAGTTATTTATCCCTATAGCATCTTCGCAGGGTGCAGTCATTATCCACCTATTTCACAGATGGAGAAGCTGAGGTTCAAAAGGCTCATGCACAGCCGCATCAAGATAATAACTGCAAAGCCATGATTCAGCCCAACGCAAGATTTCAATTGCTATTCCATATTCCATTATGTCCACACTATGTACCTGTCCTCTCATCCCCCAACCCTCCTTGCCCCTTAGAAGCCCTCATGGCAGCTGAGACAAAGACCAAGAAAAACCATCAGATCTGTAACTGCCTCATGCTGTCCTGCTCTTGGTAACCCGGTAGCCCAAGTACACTTCTCCAGTTTCCCTCGGATACAGGGGCACTCATTGGTAGCACAGTTAACAGACACCTTCAATACACCATGTCCCAAATAAGGGAGAAAACATTTACAGGACTAAATTCATGTACTCATTAACACTGCCTCTAAAGATGAATGCGTTTTCCAGATTCAATCTCCGTTTTCTTTTCTCCTCTCCATCCTTCCGACACTTCAAAGGCAACGTCTCATGCCTACATTATGCTTACCAATAATGGGAGGAGAAAAAACATCTCAAGGCAACAGGCCTTTAGAACATAGGACAGGAATAATTCCAGTGATCAAACCTAGTTTTCAAAACCACAAATTATTACTTTACAATCATTGTTAATTGCAGATTGCCTAGGAATTAGCTGGGAGGGTATCAGTGAGTTCGCTCTCCTATCCCATTTCTCGCCATAGTGAACCCAAGTAGTTGGTCTGCTGCCCACATGTTGGGTCTTACGGAGCATGCTTCAAAATACTCCCATCTTGTGCATGTGGGCCTTGCGTTCTCCACTTACCTCCAACAAAAGAATCCCTGGCACAGACTTTTGGCAAATCTAGCAGCACAAAGCAGCAGCTCTTTGTTATGCTGTGTTGGAAGCATCATCACTATGTGGGTGAAATAAAGGAACACGTCGGTACAGTGGCTGGAGGTGGAAGAAGCCCAGGTACACTAGATGGCTGTGTTGAACGTGGCCTCCATTGTATCTGGAGGAAATTCTCTTTTAACTGGGGGACTACTCATGTGCAACTGCAGAGAGAAGGGTTGCTGTTTACAGGGAATTAGCTATTTTGTGATCTCACTTCAAGGTACCCATTGATGCTGATTGGATGGCAGTGTATCTACCCCTCCCTTACACATACGGAAAAACTTATTTCCAGAATCTCATTTAAAAAGCTCTAATTTGCATGTATTTATTGATCATAAAAGCAACAAAAATAATAAGCACTGATGACATGCTTGTTTTCATTTAATAGTGATAGCAAATATCTTCTGAAGCATCTATAATTTTCCCCATTTTACAGATGAGAAAACAGAGGCTGAGTGACGTGACAGTGGCCAAGCTAGTAAGACACAGATACGTGTTGCCAACTGAGATGTGGCTGGTTCCAATGCTCATGTCGTCACATGACTGCCACACTGGGCTGTTCCCCTGTCGTCATATTCTTGAAGACGTAACACCGGGAAGCTCTGAAGAAATTAACATCATCTATATATTCTTATTTGTGTCTGTTTTATATCATATTTATTTTACCCAGTTAGAATTTACAAGAGAAGTGTTACCGCTGAAGGAGAAAATGTAAGCACGGCAATAATCTACACTCAGAGCTTATTGCTAATGGCATCCTGCAAATTCTAATCCAATGGGCCTTAATTGCATTATGCTGATGTCTCTCACCCTTCCGCTTTACATACTCTCAGTCCTGATTTTATGTTCTAAAACCTTAAATAGGAGCTGTCACATTTACAACAGCAAGAGACACTGGCGTTGAGCACAGTATTGACATGACATTATTCACTGAACTACAATAGAAATCTAACTCAACTGGTTTAATAATTCATCAATATCATATGTGGGACTTCATAACACTAATTCCTCTAATATTATTTAAGTAATGGTAACGGTGGCAATGGGTGATCGCATCTTCACTGGAAAATGCATGGGGACACAGTTGCTTTCATTGACTAGTGATTCTTTTCTCTCTTAGTCAAACCTGAAACAGCACCATGTGCCAGTCTGATGGGGAGTTTGACCCATCTTTGCCAAGCCTAAAGATGAAAAGTATGCCCTCATAAATGTTCTTTCTGATAGGATTCGCAGGAAAGGGGAGTTTGAGAGTCTCTTCACTGACTTGACACATTTTATCACTTTGCTTTTAATAAACAAACACTTTTGGAGATGATTCCACATTTTAAAACACAGAACCACACCAAAAATGATCCCTAGCAAAGCCCTGGATTTCCTTTTTTTTAGGCAGGGGGCAGGGCGGGGGGACGCAGGGGGATTCTTGAAGAACAGAGGCTGAGTTTGCCATTCCTAACCTTCAAATCAACCATCCAGCATCAACCTTCACTCCAGGGCCCTCCATCAGGTCCCCTTCCTACCTCCCCCTGCCAAAATACACAAACATCCCTAATAAGAAAATGATGACAACTCTTCCTTCATTACATACAGGCCAAAATTTTTGCCTTGTGTTGCTGGAACTCAATTTATAAAATAACCGTGTCAATATCTATAGGTAATTCTAAGTCTATTCAAGGAGAAATTGCACCAGATAACAGCTTATTTAATTTAGTATATGAGTTGCGTGCCATGGAAAGCAAAACTATTAAAAATGCTTAGACAGTAATTGGCAATATTTTGCAATCCGGATAAAAAATGCTTATCCTGCCAGAAACTAATAAGAGAGCGAAAATAATCCAAAACCTTCCTATTTCCCTCTATGCAATATATTCACTTTGCAGCTTAAAAACAGTTTAAGGAAGGACAGTGAATGACACAGGAGGTTGGCAGTCAACATGATTGTGCATTTATGCCTTGCTATTGAAGTAAGAGCTTTTTTTCATAGTGAATTTTTCATTCTAATGTAAGTGATGATTTACGTTAACTATAGGTAAAGCGTGGTTACATTTTCCTGAAGGATTGCAGGCAAGTAAAGAGGAGTACAATAAGTTGAAGCGTAAAAGCTTTCTCTGTCATAATATTTATTATAATGGCATATAAAATAGCTGAAATAAATAATAGATGACTAAAGGTAAATTCATATGATAAAGAATCCTTCAGCAGACACCATTACTTTTGACTGCTCTAGTTTTATACACAGTTGAAGACTCTTAATAAACATGCCCTATATCTTATGCAAGTACTGCATACATCAAAGATCTGCTTAAAAGGCAACGTACTGGACATCAGCTAATTTACTGCATAATTACATTCTCAACAGCAACAGTCTGTATATTCTGAATATTTAATAGCTGTGTTCTTAATGAAACTTGTTAAGCACTGGAACTTCCCACTTCGGGGAAGTCAGTGATAAAAGAAAAATCAGTGCCCCACCTCCTCGATTCAGAAAGACGTGTAGCTCCAAACACAGAGATCTGGGATCTGGTGATTGCCGCAAGTCGCAAGTCAATAGTGGTTAAATTCAATAAAAAGACAAAAACAAGATTTGTCTGTTCTGGTTCAAAGGATTTTACATTCCACACGGTGGACTTGGGAAATCGGAATGATCCTCAAATGGAGGGAGATGGTCTCAGTTCCAGCTGTTGGGAGGGAGAGAACTATACCCTGATAGCCCAGTGTGAGCAGAGTCTGCTCTGATTCTCAACCAGAGGCCATTCTAACTGCTAGCAGACATCTGCTAATGTCTACAGACATTTCTGCTTGTTGCAACTTGTTGGAAAGTGAACTGGCATCCAGGGGGCAGAGGTCAGGGATGCTACTCAATATCTTACAACGAACAGAACAGCCCCCATAACAAAGGATTATCTGGCCTCAATAGTCCCGAGGATGCCTGCGTGTGGTTTGTCATAGGCACTTCGGTTCACCCCAAGTGGTCATCAGCTATTTATACTTACTGTTAGTTGCAAAAATAAAACTGGTTCATTGTATTACAAATAATACAGAAGTTGATAACATATAAAGTGAAAACGTGCCCCAAAGTCCTACTGCCCCAAGATAAGAACAGGGACAGCCTGGTTCAAATCCTTCCAGAGTATATTTTCTACCCATGTAAAAACATCGTGCAACTTTTCCTAAAAACATAGTATTGTAGTTCCACTAAAGAATGTTCAATCATTCATTAAAAACCGCCCCCACATACTTCACTAGCTTTGTGAACTTTTTACTTACATTCTCTAAGCGTGAGCTTCCTTATCAGTAAAAACAGAAATTACAGAACAATCTCTTCCTTGAAGTTACTGTGAAAATTCCTGGGTAGTATCTACGAGAAGCGGCTGGGCGTGGTGGCTCATGCCTGTAATCCCAGCACTTTGGGAGGCTGAAGCGGGTGGATCACTTGAGGTCAGGAGTTCGAGAACAGCCTGGCCATGATGGTGAAACCCCATCTCTACAAAAATACAAAAATTAGCCAGGCATGGTGACATGCGCTGGTAGTCCCCGCTAATTGGAAGGCTGAGGCAGAAGAACCACTTGAAACCAGGATGCGGAGTTGCAGTGAGCCAACATCATGCCACTGCACTCGAGCCTGGGCAACAGAGCAAGACTCCGTCAAAAAAAAAAAAAAAAAAATCCTATACATGTTACTCATTGTTTCTCCGGTAATATTATTTTATGTTGTTTCCAATTTTGTTTTGTTTTGTTTTGTTGGCCACTGAAAGCAATGCTGCAATACAAATACTTAGGAAACTATAATTTTTTTCTTTAAGATGAATTCCTGGAAGTAGACTCACTAGGTCAAGAGATACCCACATTTTAAATTTTGATAGCTTTTTACTGAGGGTCCTCCAAAAAGGTTATACCAATTTCCATTCCCAAGAAGCCTACGGAGACTATGAAAGAAAAGCAAAACAACCAATAATTCACACTGACATTTATCGTAAATTAAAAAGTACAGTTTCATATCTGTGTCTCTAATACCTGATGCACAGTCAATAGCACTGAGCACGTTTTCAGGACAGGCTTTAATTTAGAAAATGAATGATTGACTGTTTAACATACCATCAAATATGGGGAAAAGCCATTAAATAGAAATGCAAGTAGGCTACTCATAGTGGCAGCAACAACTTACCATAAGCCATTTGGAAACTCAGGCATTTCTCCTGGTTCTTCAGGCTGTTTGGCTGAATGCCGGCCTCTCGGAAGTTGGCCACACTGCGTGTGACGGATATGTGCTTGGTATGCAGAATATGCAGTAAACGTGTAACAGTATCGTCACGCTTGAGAAATGACGACGACGGTTATTTTTACTTTACAGATGAATCGAAAGAGATAAATCTTTCAGAGGATCTCCAGAAGCAAAGGAGGATGTTTAATAGATAAACTGGAAAATATTTTTAAATGTGCTTCGGAAAAAAATAAGGTTTCCTGCTTAAAATGGTATCTGCCTCGCAGTGGTTTATGGGTTCCCACCATAATACCAGTAAAGACAGAAAATGTAGACAGGCGCAGTGGCTCACGCCTGTTATCCCAGCACTTTGGGAGGCCGAGGTAGGCAGATCACCTAAGGTCAACAGTTTGAGACCAGGCTGGCCAACCTGGTGAAAACCCGTCTCTACTAAAAATGCAAAAACAGGGCCGGGTGCGGAGACTCGTGCCTGTAATCTTAGCACTTTGGGAGGCCGAGGCAGACGGACCACAAGGTCAGGAGATCAAGACCATCCTGGCTAACACGGTGAAACCCCATCTCTACTAATAATACAAAAAAAATTAGCCAGGCCTGGTGGCGGGCACCTGTAGTTCCAGCTACTCGGGAGGCTGAGGCAGGAGAATGGCATGAACCGAGGAGGCGGAGCTTGCAGTGAGCCAAGATCGCGCCACTGCACTCCAGCCTGGGCGACAGACAGAAACTCTGCCTTAAAAAAAAAAAAAAAAAAAAAAAAAAAAAAAAAAAAAAATTCAAGACAGAAAAAGTTGAGGACTCAAAACACCATAAACACAAAAAGAGTCATCAGTTTAGCCAAATTTTGTGCGTCATTTGGAGTAGCTACAGGACCAAATAAATTATACTGAAAATGAATTTAAGAAGCAACTAAAACAACACTAACAAGTGAAGTTTGTTTTATGGGGGGAAGGATTTCACTGATCCATTAAATCATGCATGGTCTGGCTTTGTTGATTAGAATGATAGACATTAAATAACTTGATACTCTAAGAAAAAATTTAAACATGTACGTAAGACTTTCAAGACTAACAGGGAGAGAGGAAAACAGAGAAAGACAGAAAGGAAGAAAGGGAGGAAAGAATCATTAGCTTCCAAATGAGCAACAGGGAGAAAAAATGATGTATGGAGTAACTCAGATAAAAAGAAATTCTATCAATTCCAAAATATGCCTGGTGGCCAGGCATAATGGCTCACGCCTATAATCCCCACACTGTGGGAGGCCAAGGCGGGCAGACCACTTGAGGTCAGGAGTTCAAGACCAGCCTGGCCAACATGGTGAAATTCCATCTCTACTAAAAATACAAAAATTGGCCGGGCCTGGTGGCACACGTATTTAATGCAGCTACTTGGGAGGCTGAGGTGGGAGGATTGCTTGAACTCAGGAGGCAGAGTTTGCAGTGAGCCGAGATCAAGCCACTGCATTCCAGCCTGGGTGACACTGAGACTCTGTCTCAAAAAATATACATATATATGCTCAGAAAAGTTTAAAAATAAGAAAAACTTGGTAGTGAAGAAAACACAATGAAATACAGAAATTATTTCAAATTTATCAGTCATCAAAAGAAACATGAACTTAAATTCACACATTGAAAGGCAGAAACCAAGACTAGAATTAAAAAAAAAAAATAGTTCTATGCTGTTTAAAAAAGATACACTGCAGATAGAACTAGCTGTCCCTCAGAATACTTCTCCTCTTTCCACAGCATAGGAAAAAGAGGTTGACTAGACAGAAAGCCACATTTCCTAACCCACACTGCATTGAGGTGAGATATTTACATTTCCACTAATGGTCACTGAGCAGAAGAGAATGTAACTCCTGGGCTATTTCTCATATGAATTGGGTTCCCCATACTTCAACCTTCCATGAGATAAACGTTAAGTTATAATAAGTTCCTAGGGGACAATACAGCCACTAAATGAAATGAGCTTGGATATCCTACTCACCAAATAGACAAAGCCAACTGTCAATCAGAGACACCCATGTGGATCTGTGTCTTTACACTGAAAGACTTTTGGTAAAATTGTGCTCTGCCATAACTCATAAGGTAGATCTAGTACCTATTGAGTCTGAAGCTCTAGGGAAGAGCTAAAATGTCATTGTGTGCTGGCTGCTCCACGCTGCTTTTACAAAGATATTACAAGAAAGAGATGTGTTCCTGAAAAAAAGCATTGTCCAGTGTGCAAGCAGAAATGAAAGTTAGGACATTACAGAGTTGAAAAAGTCAATTGATTCTGGAGTCCAAAAAGCATAAAATAAGCCTGCAAAAGTCTTTGAGAGACAATAGCCCATTATGAATTCAAATAATTCAGCCCAGTAGCATATATCAGATTAATGATGCTACTTTTCAAACCAAGCTCATTATTCCAAATAGCCTCATAGTAGCTGCTACTGTGCTGAAAGAGAGGCATGATGATAACAAATTAGAAAAATAAAGCAACTTGAGATTCAAGTCTAGGAAAGACTGGTGTGGCCACTACTCATGAATTAATGGGAAACAAATACATCTGAATCCTATAAGATTATTAAGAAATTAAATAAAGATTAATCTGACCTTAAAAGCCTATAACTGCTAAAAACAAAAAAACGGAGCCTCAACCATGCACCAGCAGGAAGTGGGCTGACAGCTGCTAATTCCCCTAAGGAGAGTAACCCTTCTCTAGATCCAGTTCAGATGGGACCATGGAGGATAATGGACAGGGCACTTCCCTCCAGAGAGCAGATTTCAGACCTGGATAAAGAATGCTCTCTTACTACAAGGTTCTTTACCTCCCCAGCGTGATTCTATCATTGACTGTCATGGAGCAACATGTTTCTCATTCTTTTCTTTTGAAAATGGAGATTTTGCTACTGATATTCTGTCTCTACTCCACCTTCTATTATATAGAGCAGCAGGGGGGTAGACGGCATGAATGGGCTGCCTTTCTGAAACCCACAGGACCATAAGGAACCATATCTAAGCATGAAGGACACCCTAGAATTTGCACAGAATCAAAGAATTAAATGGGATTTTGAGACTCTGCCTTTGGAAGAAAAGTGAATATGTTCTCTGTGTGAGAATAAGGGAGCAAAAGGTACTTGTTGTCCAGATGTGAGAACTGTAATGGAGACTACCAGCTGTTCACAAAAATCCCTGTGCCTTAGTTTGCAGGGCACTCAACTAGATTCATTGCCCAGTCTCCTTCACAATTAGGCATAGCCGTGAGACTTAGAGTTGGCCAGTGGAATATAAATCTAAGGGAGGTACACTTCTTCAAGGCCTAGTCCATAAAACACTCACATGTCTATTTCCAGCCTCAACTGAGCGCCCAATAAGCACTGTTACATAAGCTGGAAATAAATTACCATTGTGTTAAGCTATTAAAACATCAGAAAATATTTTGTCCTAGCAGCTATCCTTGCCTACCTAACACACATGATTAAAAGAGAGAAATATAAAAATGTTAAAGATAAAAGATAAATGATAAAGATAAAGAAAAACATCAGGAACATTTTGAAAGCAGAATAGCTAGTATAGCAAATATTAACATAAAAATAAAATTTTAGGCAAAATAAAAATAAAAAACACTAAACACTAAAGATAAAAATGGATGATGCATAAAGGGAAAAATAATTAAGCAAGAATATATAACAATCATGAACTTGCATGTGCCAAATAACACAGCCATAAACAAAAAGATGGATTTAACAATCTTAGTAGAAGAGATTAACCATTTATAATAGAAATAAGTAAAAGACAAAATGGAATATTTAGATAAAATGGTCAACAGACCATTAAAAGAGTATAAACCAACTAAAAGAGCTACAGAACACTACACATAAAAATATGGATTCTTTTCATACGTTATTGAAGTTAACCATGAGCCAGATCACAAAGGCAGTTTCAACATACTTCAAATTCCTGCCATCACAAAAAGTACACTTTTTTACTGTGAGGCAGTTAAACTAGAAATTGAAAATAAATGGTTTTCATCTTAAAAAAGTTATATCCATCTGTAGAGAGTCATAGCTAGGAAGTGGATGCACAAGAAAATTTTAGTACAGTGATGTCACCTTCAGCTAAAATTTGCAAAACAATGACATTCATGCTGAGGAACTGTGCGTATCAACTTAACTCATATACTTAAGTAAAATTACCTAGGTATGTCAAAGATCATGTTACACACTCTAATAACGATTAGTTTGAATGCTAATTAAAGGATGAAGAACAGCAAAGAAAAAAGTGAGGATAACAGCAAGAGATAATAAAAGAAAGGACAAACAAGTAAAAAAAAAAAAAAAAGAAATCACAACACAGTCTCAGAGCAACCTGACCTCTAAACGTTCTCTATGTCAGGAAACAAAATTTTTAGAAATGTTGGCCATCTTCCATTTTGTATGCATCTCAATGAAACAGAAATAGAAAACAAAAACAAACAAGAATAGGCTGAGAAAAACTGGAAGGGGGTTAAGAATGCATTGCCCCCCCCCCCCCAAAAAAAAAAGAAAAAAAGTTTAAAGTTTAAAAGTTTATAGAGAAACTAAAACTCACATTGGCAGATGGTGAAGACCAGAATTGATCCCAAGAAAAATAATCAGTTATAAGGAATGGAAACTTAGATGTTTCTCCCAGAATATGGAGAAAGACAAAAGATAGACACAATAAGAAGATTAAAAAATAAATAAGACAGAATCCATAATTATATCCTAATAATTACAGGCATACTTTAAGAACAGAACAGAAGAATAGAAACATTTAAAATGACATAAAAAAATCAAAAAAAAAAACATCGTAGATACCCCCAGCATACGTCTCTCATATATTTCTCTCCTTTTTCCCTTTCCCAATGTAAACGGTATTTTGAATTTGATATTTATCCAATGAATAATATTAATGATGGCCAATTCTTACACAGTACTTACTATGTACTGAACTCTGCTCTAAGAACACTTACATATGAATTTACCCATTTAACAACTCTCTGAGGTAAGTGGTAATATCATCCCATCTTGCTAAGGAGCAAACTGAAGCAGAGATTAGCTAACTTGCCCCAGATTGTAAAGAGAGTTTACAATCTTTGCTTTTGGAGCAAAGATATGCACCCAGATTGTCTGGCATCTAGATCCATGCCCTTTTTTTTTTTTTTTTTTTTGGAGACAGTCTTGCTCTGTCTCCCAGGATAGAGAGCAGTGGTGTGATCTTGGCTGGCTGCAAGCTCCAGCTCCCAAGCTGAAGCGATTCTGATGCTTCAGCCTCCCAGGTAGCTGGGATTACAGACATGCACCAGGACACCTGGCTATTTTTGTAGTTTTAGTAGAGATGGGGTTTCACCATGTTGGCCAGGCTGGTCTCAAACTCCTGGCCTTATGTGATCCTCCCGCCTCGGCCTCCCAAAGTGCTGGGATTACAGGCATGAGCCATTGTGCGTGCCCTTATGGTTTCCATTACAGCACTGTGCTGCCTCTATCATTCCTATATGATAGGCCATCACCATACACATTACTATACACAACTGTATCCACAAGCAACGTATTTGTTGGATTTTAACAATTGGGTTTAATTGGATTTCTGATGGTGTTTATTAATCCTCCCACCGAGAGAGACCTTTCTGGAGAAATTGGTCCCACAATAGGATGGATAACAGTATGTAATGAAAATGTTTGCCTCTTTGAGTTTTGCCCAGACATTAATGAGAAATCAGTCCAGCCCCTCAATACTGTGGCAGGTGCACTTGTGTGGCCAGCGCAGGCCGAGTGAGCTGCCCCTCCTTGGTTGCATGTTGTGCCTGAGGAGACTCGACCCTACCAGTTGCTGCATACCCCTTCATTCTTAAACTCTTTATTTTGGTTCTTCTCTTTATAATCTGGAATAAGTCTTCCACTAACTTAGTCAAGAAAGCTAAATGGAAAGCATTTCCTGAGTCTTTTTTTTTCCACGTTTTTTTCTCTTGCTTCACACTTAAAAGATACCCCTGAGTATGAAATATGTGAGTTTCAGTGTTTTCACTGCAATATTCTTCACTATCTTTTGGAACTTACTGTGACAGAGGAGAAATCTGACATCACTGTGTAAACTCAGAATAATGTCTAGCACACAGTAAGCCCTGAGCATACATTAGCTATGATGCTCCTAATTTTCCACATTAATGAGTTTTCCTTTAATGTGTACATCACAAGTTCAATGAGAAAACAAACTCTAAAGAAGAATAGTTAAAAAAAAAAGGGAAAGAAAAAGGATAGAGGAAGGAAGAGTTGAGAGAGGAAGGAAGGGGATTAGATAAGAAGGGGAGATGGGGAGACTGAGAAATGCAGAGAAAGGCAGACAGGAAGTCTATGAGGAGCAGTAGAGAGCAACTGACAGTCGCACACAGACACAGAGCAGTGGTGGGATGTACCATTCTGTCAGTGCACACGTGCAGCCTGCTGGTTTGGGCACCGGCACAGGGCCACATTCGAATCTGGCTCTGTAGTCACCTATCCCATGGCCCAATGGGACAAATGAATCGCGATGGGTAATTTTGCTAAAAGCCAGCTAAGTTGCAGACTGCACGTGTTGCAAAGAGCAACCCAGGCAGCATTAGAGGGGGGAGGGGAAGGGAGGGGACACCACCTTACAAATGTCCATTAGAAGCCACTTCACGATGGCATGCATGTTAATACACCCTGGCCTCAGTGCAAGCTCTCCCTGCCTCTTCAATATTTATGAACAGCAGCTTCCTTTTTCTCCTTGGTTTGAGGATATAGATGTTCTCTATGGGAAGAGCTTCTAGCGCTTGCAGCCTTATGGGGTGGCCCAGAGCTTTTACCACATTGAAAAGAGGCCTTACTACATTTGGTACATCAGGAAAACCAAAGGACAGCAGTGACTTTATGAGTCCACACTCCTTTCTGGGATATCAGGTCTACAAAGCATCCCCCAGAAGGGCATGTGGGGAAATTGTGGCTAAGGGCCATATGTTCCAGTTAACTTAAGTATCACCTGTCATCACTCATATAGGACCTACAACTTTCTCCTCCATATAAATTTAGAAAATCCATTCCACTCATGTTAATTGAAGGCTTTTGAGAACATAACCTCTGTTCACAGAAGGGGAGATTACAGACATGGCCTTATTCTACGCTACTGAGCCCTTACAAAGTTGACATAATTACTTCTAGTTTATAAACACAACAAAGGCAGAAAAAGCAGCGAAATCTGCTCAAAAATCATAATGAGAAGCTGGCAGAAGCCGGGCACAGAGGCTCACACCTGTAATCCCAGCACTTTGGGAGGCTGAGGCAGGCAGATCACCTAAGATCAGGAGTTTGACACCAGCCTGACCAACATGGTGAAATCCCGTCTCCACTAAAAATACAAAAATTAGCGGGGTGTGGTGTCACGCACCTGTAATCACAGCTACTCAGGAGGCTGAGACAGAAGAATAGCTTGAACTCGGGAGGCAGAGGTTGCAGTGAGCTGAGATTGCACCACTGCACTCCAGCCTGGTGACAGAGCGAGACTCCATCTCGAAACAAAAAGAAAAAAAAAAAAGAGGTTGGCCCAAATGGGATGGTAGTTCTCCGTCCATTGTGACAAGTCAATTCTCCTTCCAAAACAGTACTGCTGTCTCCATGACACAACCTTCTCCCCAGCCTGGAAATTATCCCTGAGCCCAGGAGATTACAAAGGGGCCACATCCGTAAATACTTTACTTACAAAAATGTTGTTCTGTCCATGAACTCGAAGCCTTTTACACCTTTTTTCTGTTTTATTCCCAGGGTGTCCAATCTTTTGGCTTCCCTGGGTGACACTGGACAAAGAATTATCTTGGGCTGTGCATAAAATATTAATACACTAACCCTAATGATAGCTGATGAGTTGAAAAAAAAATGGCAAAAAATATCTCATCATGTTTTAAGCAAGTTTATACATTTGTGTTGGGCTGCAAAGCTGTCCTGGGCCACATGTGCCCACAGGCTGCAGGTTGAACAAATTTGATTTAGACCATTAAAATTATAACTTTTCGGCTGGGTGCGGTGGCTCACGCCTGTAATCCCAGCACTTTGGGAGGGCGAGGCAGTTGAATCACG
This sequence comes from Homo sapiens, assembly GCF_000001405.40. Taxonomy (NCBI): domain Eukaryota; kingdom Metazoa; phylum Chordata; class Mammalia; order Primates; family Hominidae; genus Homo; species Homo sapiens. Next base: position 78,367,213 of record NC_000016.10, on the reverse strand, counting down.
AGGTCAGGAGATTGAGACCAAAGTGGCTAACATGGTGAAACCCTGTCTCTACTAAAAATATAAAAAATTAGCCGGGCGTGGTGGCAGGCACCTGTAGTACCAGCTACTTAGGAGGCTGAGGCAGGAGAATGGCGTAAACCTGGGAGGCAGAGCTTGCTGTGAGCTGAAATCACACCACTGCACTCCAGCCTGGGCAACAGAGCAAGACTACGTCTTAAAAAAAAAAAAAAAAAAAAAAAAAAAATGTAACTTTTGTGATACAAAAAAAAAACCCCAGCTAATTTCAACTTCTCTCCTACATCCACCCCCCAGGCTTTGGATTAAGCAAGTTTGAAAACTGAGTCACGTATGATAGGAACAGTTTCTATATGTGTAGAAAGAAAATACTAATCCAACCACCTGCTCATTTTGTCTTAACATACTTTTCTTTCCAAATGACCACGAATCCTCTAGAACAGAGATTGGAAAACCTTTTCTCTAAAGGGCCAGATAGTAAGCATTTTAGATTTTTCAAGTATCTCCCAAATACTCAGCTTTAATAGCATGAAAGCAAAAGTGGCAACAGACGAGATATAAATTAACTGGTATTCCTCTGTTCCAGTAAAACTTTAATTACAAAGCCAGGTGCTGGGCAGGAATTCTGTCTGAAGGGCACAGTTAGTTGACCACTATTTTAGAATAAGAGTGTAGTCCCCTGAAGTCTAACAGTCTTATAATTAATACTACATTCAGGTTCCAATGAATGCAGGAGAAGAAAGGAGAATGTCATGCCATTCCTTAGAGTGTCTGTTGTTTTATCACCCACTATTTGATGAAATATACAATAAAAAAACAGCCTAACAGTCTCAAACAACGTGAAGAGTTAAGGATGTGTGGATAGGCATAGGAGGGAGCATATCTAAACACTTTGCCTTGTAAAATGTGTCTTCTATTAAATAATCTAAAAGTTTAACAGTATTTCACTTCGTACATAACAGCGTTAAATGTTTTCTATCATTCCACAAGTCTTCTTGAACATGAAAGCTTTTTGAAATGCATTTTGGCATCTCTAGGAATTTACCAAAAATGGTCAGTAAATTGAAATAGGGGTTTCTAGACATTTCCCAAGTATGCTAATACCTGGGCATTTAGGGTGCTAAGAACAGACATTTTCCAATGGGCCGAAAGATGTATTCCCTGATTAACCAGTGATACTTTCCTGAATCTAGGAAAAGAAGCTTCAAATCACAAGCCCCATCTTGGCCACCTGGCACATGGGCATAATACTTCTGTCCAGTTCATATGCATTTATACTTCAGAAACCCAAACCAAAACAACAATAACAAAATAATGTTTCTGTAAGGAAAGGAGAACTATACACTTTCCTCTTTACTGGAGAAAAGAGAGTTGCAAATGAAGACACAGAAATTTGGTGGGGGGAGCCATAGAGGAGGGGCACGCAGAAGCACACACAAAAAACAAAAGAACAAAAAACAAGAAATAAGGAGATTGCTTACAGAAAAGTTACTAATGAGGCTATTTCTTCCACATCTGGCAATCTGTTCCTAATCTAAACGACAGCAGTAGATACAAGGTGGTAGGCAGTCTATAGAGCCACTTCATAATGTGGAAAGAATTACAAGCAACACTATGATTCAGGGAATTCCAGAATCCTACTGGGGACAGCACATATGGACCTTCCAGCAGGAATCTGAATCTTTTTGTCATTATTGAAGTCATGTTCATTGTTGCCCAGATTCAGTTGCAAGCCTTGTTGGGAACCACAGTTTATTGGTGGGATGCTCTGTGTGCCAAGAACCCTAGCAAGCACCTGATTTAGACGGATGTAAATATTTCTCAATAAACAGAACCCACTATCCAGCAAGTAAAAAAGAAAAACAAAACAAAAACATAACCAACAGCTGGCTCACGGCATTAGCTTCCTCCAGCGGTTTCACTTCCATGGATGCGTTGGAGACAATCACACTGATAATGTCAGAAGGTGACACAGACCCACCAGTTACTCTTGGCAGGCACTAAACTGGGCACTTTGCATTAACATTTATTTCTTCCCTCAACCTCAGCATCTTCAAGAAGTAGGTATTAGCATCTTCATTTTGCAAGTGAAGAAATGGAAATCACATAACTTAAGCTCATAAACTAGTTGGAGAAAGAATTTGAACCCAAGTCTAACCGGCCCCAAAGAATTACCCACAGCTCAACCCATAGTACACAGAAAATACTATGACTTCAGCTGTGACTATCACAGACAGAAGAAAGGTTGGGGACCAGGAACATCTTTGTAAAGAATGAAATTCCAGGTACCTAGACAGAATGGGATAAAGACAAGAAAAATCAGAAAAAGGCCAAAACGACTGCATGTAGGAAAAAGCACAGAAAACACCTTGTTCCCTCCTGCTCTCCCACGATCTGTAATCAGATGCTACACTGTTCCCTGGAAGTGCAGACATACACAGGGTAGCACATTAATCCTTCAAACACTAACAGATGCTGGCAGGGATTTAGACTGGAATGTATTTACAAAGTGACAAATTATGTTCTGTATTATAGAGAAAGAGCACCCACAAACAGGCTGATAAATGTCAGCTGCAGTCACGACAAACAGTTTATTTTTATTATACTGTAACCACAAATTTTTTTTTTCTTTCCCATTTTTTTTTCTTCCGGAGTCCCAAAGATTTATTTGTTGCAGGGAGAAAACAAAATTATATATGACACAAAGTAATAACTGTAAGATCAGATATTCCGGGCACCCTGCCCTCCTGGAAAAGCTACATGCAGGCTCAACAGTACTACTAAAAATGCTGCCTTCTCCAAAGCCAAGTAAATGGTTAATAAATCAGAACCGATACAATGCCTTGTAATTAGATACAGCCTTAGTTCAGAGACCAACCAATTGATAGACAATATCCAATTCCCCCTTTAGTGGCTATCAGGAGAGTAGAGTAACTATTAAAATAAATTTAATGGCTGTGACAGGTAAGAAAATATACCAGAAGCTAAAATGTAATCAGTATATCCAAACCCAAAATAAAATTATAGTCTTTGCTGCAAACAGGGTCGCTGGAAAGGAGGGTTACGGATAGAGAGCGACATCCACAGGCCAGGAAGGGCAAGGTCACTAGCTCTGAAGGAACCTTCAACCTTGAAAACAAGACTGAGTGGGGGGATGTGGCACGGGGCCAAGAGAAAATGTAAGCATTTATTAAATTGTTTTGAAGAATTCCTCTTGCCCACTTGGTCAGTCGGATGTCAGCAAGAGTGACAGGCATTCTTCCGGAAGCATCACAACAAGATGGCGGAGAGACGGCCTGGGGTCTCCATGCTGGGCTTCCCATCCAGGCCCTGCCTCGAACTCTGCACATGACCTCGGGCAAGTTCCTGCTCTCCAACCTCATCCTACAGGACCTCACTGTCTCCGCTGTAAGCTGGAGGGGTTTGAGCTCATGATGTTGCTAACATCTACTCCAGAGTCCCATTTCTTGTTTCTAACAGGTTGAGGGTTGGCAAATATAGGAAGGTTAATAGAAGAACCTGAATGGTGGTGGTCAAGTATATTTAGAAGAAAGGGGAATATCTTACCTTCTGGGACTCTCAGATGTGGATTTCTTATGAAATCATTCTGAGTTAAAACTGGCCTGGGACAGTGGCTCACACCTGTATTCCCAGCACTTTGGGAGGCCAAGCTGGGAAGATCAGTTGAGCCCAGGAGTTCAAGGACAGCCTGGGAAACACAGCAAGACACTGTCACTACAAAATTTTTTTTTAAATAATCAGCTGGAAGTGGTGGTGTGCACCTGTGGTCCCAGCTACTTTGGGGTCTGAGAAAGGAAAATCACTGGAGCTTGGGAGTTTGGGGCTGGAGTGGGCTGTCATCGCGCCACTGCACTGCAGCCTGGGTGACATATTAAGACCCCGTCAAAAAAAAAAGCCCTCAAAAATGCCCCAAACTTGCACATACTCTAAAAGCAACATTTTAAAAATATATGGAATTGACAGGAATACATTTAAAGCCACAATTCACACAGCACGGTGAACACACAGACACATACACACACACACACACAAACACATACACACACAGTGACCACTGGACGGAAAGATGTTTCTTTTTTCCTAATACTGAATAAAAAAGATTTTATGGTGGAATACGGGTGTGGGTACCACTGTCATTAGGGAGCAGAAGGAAAGTCTTCTCCCCTACACATGGAACTGAAGACTTGAATATTGCCTAATGCTGGGGAAGGAATCAGAGGCCTTCCTCTGGACACTGTCCCATGCAACCATCTGAGCAGGATAACATTCTGACACCACCACCTCCTTTACGCATTTAGCAACTTCGGAAACTCACTTCCCTCATCTTTGCAAGCAAAATACTAGTATCTCCTTCATAAGATTGTGAGATGATTAAAGAAGATAATGCTTGTGGTATATTTATCTACTGGACACATAGTAAGTTCTTCATGAACTGTGTCTACTATTTTTAGGTTGAGGCTGTTTCCTGGAAACCCTCCAAGCCCCGTCCAGTCCTAAAAGAAATAAATGCCTCTCCTACAAGCACCAGGATTTTTTTTCCTTTCTTTTCTTTTTTTGCAGGGTGGGGGGTAGATAGAGTCTTGCTCCATTGCCCAGGCTGGAGTGCAGTGGTGCCATCTCAGCTCACTGCTACCTCCACCTCCCGAGTTCAGGCAATTCTGCTGCCTCAGCCTCCCGAGTACCTGGAACAACAGATGCCTGCCACCACGCCTGTTAATTTTTGTATTTTTAATAGGGATAGGGTTTCACCATGTTGGTGAGGCTGGTCTTGAACTCCTATCATCAGGTGATCCACCCGCATTGGCCTTCCAAAGTGCTGGGATTACAGGCTTAAGCCTGTAATGCCTGTCCTGTTTTTTTCTTTATCCTGCTTCACATACCCATCATCACCTTGCTGTGTCTCGTCTCTTGTTCTTCCTACAAGCAAGACGGACAAGGCACACATCTGATACTAACATGCTCCCACGAGTTCAGTACAATTCCCTAGATTAGCACGTCCCTAACAGCAGACCTTCAACTGTTCAAAATCAAGTTCTCACCAGCCTATGGCCACCGGACATAAAAAGTGGGGAGTGAGGAAGAATGTAGTGAGAAGAAAAAAATCACCCCATTAAAATAGCGTCCTTCATAGAAGCCAACCAGAAAAAGCTGGAATGGTTTCAGCAACAGAATAAATGGAGGTATTAATAAATCAAAAAAAAAAAAAGGAAATACCTGTGAATCTACGCTAATATAAAGTAATTGAATCAGAAATAAACGGGGGAGGGGCCAGGCGCTGTAGCTCACACCTGTAATCCCAGCACTTTGGGAGTCCGAGGTGGGAGGATCACCAGAGAAGAGGAGTTTGAGACCAGCCTGGTCAAAGTGGTGAAACCCCATCTCTACTAAAAATATAAAAATTAGCTGGGCATGGTGGCATGGACCTGTAATCCCAGCTCCTTGGGAGGCTGAGACGGGAGAATCGCCTGAACACAGGAGGCAGAGGTTGCAGGGAGCCGATATCGCACCATTACACTCCAGCCTGGGCGACAGGAGTGAAACTTTGTCTCAACAAAAAGAAAAGAAAAGAAAGAAATGGGGGAGAAGGGATAGCTCTTTCTTCAGAAGAATTCCAATTACTGACTATAAAAAGAGTAAGGGAAATACATAGTCACCACTAGCCAAGCATCATGGTAAACACTGCTGCAGGCAAGATCCAACAATAGAAAGTCAGCATGTGAAAGTTTAAGGAAAACGGGGCTGCCAGCATCATCTCAAAACATCTCCCTTCAAATAATTATGAATTTCAAAGGAAAAATTAATAACATTACATTGGAAAAACTCAGCAGACATCACCTTAACCAAGTGATCAAGGTTAACATTACCAGGGATGAGACAGATCAACATTATGTTCTACCTGAGATAATATACTAAGAAAGACACCACATCATTTTTATAATGTTCTTGCCAAAAAATGCTTACACTCAGCTAATGATGAGAAAATACTGGACAAATCAAGGTCTCAAGATCAGAAAGAAGGAAATAAGTAAGCAACTATCAAAGACTGAATGCTCCAAGCCAGGTGCAGTGGCTCATGCCTGTAATCCCAGCACTTTGGGAAGCCGAGGTAAGCAGATTTCTTGAGCCCAGGAGCTCAAAACCAGCCTGTGCAACATGATGAAACCCTGCCTTGATAAAACAAATGCAAAAATTAGCCAGGCATGGTGGTGCATGCGTATAGTCCCAGATACTCAGGAGACTGAGGTGGGAGGATCGCTTGAGCCTAGGAGGTGGAGGCTGCAGTAACCCATGATCGTACCACTGTGCTCCAGCCTGGGTGACAGAGTGAGACCGTGTCTCAAAAAAAAAAAGCACTAAAGGCACCAAGGAGATACAACAATTAAATATAATGTGGCATCCTGGACTAGATCCTGGAATAAAAAGATGACACTGCTTTAGTGGTGAAATTTGAGTAACAAGTATAGTTAATATTTAGCACCATTGTCTATTTTCTAGTTTTGATTATTATACCATGATTAGGTAAACTGCTAAAATTACAAGAAAGTAGAGGTACTGTGAAATATTGCTATTTCTGCAACTTTTTTTTTTTTTTGAGACAGAGTCTCACTCTGTCGCCCAGACTGGAGTGCAGTGGCACTCCGCTTGGCTCACTGCAGCCTCCAGCTCCCAGCTTCAAGTGATTCTCATGTCTCAGCCTCCCAAGTATCTGGGATTACAGGTGTGCGCTGCCATGCCAGGCTAATTTTTGTATTTTTAGTAGAGACAGGATTTCACTATTTGACCAGGCTGGTCTTGAACTCCTGGCCTCAAGGGATCAGCCCGCTTCGGCCTCCCAAAGTGCTGGGATTACAGGCATGAGCCACTGTGCCCAGCCTACTTCTCCAACTTCTATGTGAGTCTAAAATTAGTTCAAAATAAAAATTGACAGAACACCAGTGAAATGGCTGTCCCTTAGAGCAGGTGGATGTCCTCACAATATCTGGTGTCAAAACGCCCTTGCTTTTAGAAAGTAATATTGATTGTTGATGGGGGAATAGTGTTAGTTTTTGTTGATTTTTGTCGTTGTTTTTAATGTGTTTTTCTTTTGGGGGAAAATCTTTTTGACAAGCTTAAATTGGTATCCTCCTTTTTGTTTTGTTTTTAAAAAGTTTGTTTCCTGAAATCCAAAATTCTGAGAACTGCTAAGCTCATTTAAAATTATTTTCTAATGATTGAATAGTGAAGGCAAATTTGCAAGATGAGTGTTGTTCCCTCCACAGAAAACTAACAATCTTCCAAGTCACAAAATTCATTCCTCATGTTTTTGCTGTGTCAAAACAAAATTAAGTCCATAGTCACCTCTCCCAGGAAGTCTTCCCTGTTCATCCCAGATGGGAATGGCATCATGCCTTGTGTGTTTCTCACACCGAATTATGAGCTTCTCAACATCAGGGCTTCTCATGCACATCACGTTGTCTCGTAAAAGGTTGTGTTTTTGTGGCAGTTGATTTCCACAATGAAAATTTATTTTTTTAAATGTTACGGTATCTCTGTAGCTTTTGAAATATTTAGTATGTTAAATGTATTTTTTAAATCTTGCTTTAACTCATAAGCTATAAGATGCTGAAAAACTCATATTCTAACTCATTTTAAGTCTTTTTATCTTTCAGCTCTAAGATAGATTAAAAAAGAAAAGGTGTTTCAACGATTTCTTAAGTACCAACTATCGATCCTTTATATGTTTTCTAAATGTGCTCCTTACAGCAATTTGGGGGCTCTCATGATTAGTGTGTTAATAAGAATTAAGCACAGCAGAAAAAAACTTAATTTGTATATGCTACATTACTAATTAGCCTGAGAGCTTTAGAGGTTTTTATGTAAAATGCTAAAACTTTTTGTTCAAAACTTATTTAAAACTGAAAAGAATATTGGAACAAATTGCCAAGCAAACCCAGGCCTTCTTTGTGTTATCAGAGGAGATACCAGCTCACCTAGCAAGTAATACAACTCACTATAAAATGACAAATACATGATATGGTGAAGGTATAGGAAGGTACAGACACTCAGACACTGCTACAGAAAGAGTATATATGGGAAGAAGCTTTCTCAAGCATTATCTATTTGCATTTAAACTTCTTATTTAGCCCAGGTAAACCAGCAACGTTGCTCATGACTGAAAAAATGGAAAACAGAATCTGTGCCCAGCAATAAGGGATTAATTTACTAAGTTATGAAGCTATAATGTCAAGTCAGTACAACTGTACTGCCAAACAGTATGTATTGACATAGAAACATGGCCACTATATGTCTGGTTAAAAAAAAAAAAAAAAAAGACCACAGTGTGATTTCAACTTTATGAAATATATTTGAATTTTAAAAAGTCAGAAAGAGCTACACAAAATTCACAGTAATTGTTCCTGACACAAGGAACAATTTTTCCCTCATTTGTATATATTCAACTCATTTGTATATTTTCCCTCATTTGTATATAATTCATGTACATACACACACACACACACACACACATATTATTTATTTTTTGACACGGAGTCTTGCTCTGTTGCTCAGGCTGGAGTGCAGTAGAACTATCTCGGCTCACTGCAAACTCCACTTCCCAGGTTCAAGCGATTCTCAGTCCTCAGCTTCCTGAGTAGCTGGGATTACAGGCATGTGCCACCACACCCAGCTAATTTTTGTATTTTTAGTAGAGACAGGGTTTCACCATGTTGGCCAGGCTGGTCTCAAACTCCTGACCTCAAGTGATCTGCCCACCTCAGCCTCCCAAAGTGCCGGGATTACAGGTGTAAGCCACTGCACTTGGCTATAATTATTATATTTACAACATTGACTTTATTACTGTGCAATCAAGGAAAGTAATTCATTAGCAGAGTTCTAATTTAATCAAATAGATACGTTTTGTATGTGAGTGTATAACATACATGAATGAATTTACTGATGACAGCACTTTTTCTTCTTTTTTTTGTAAATACAAGAGGTTATCTTTCGATAGGAGAATTGTTGATTAATGTGTGTTGAGAAGATACTTGACAATTAGATTTCTCTGTGTTATTAAACATTTTACCTAGTGCATGATGCTTTTACAAAAACAAAGAACTAGTTCCAAGTGTATGCAGAAAGATGAAAAAGTTCTCGTGCATATGGTTCATTATGTGTGTTCTACCCAGCCCTAATGCACAGCTCCACATCTCCGGCAACAGGTCCCCAGTTGTATCAGTGACAAAGAGGAATAACTGGCCTTCTCCTACTCAATGCGTCCACCGCTTAGGCAAGAAAACAGGCACAGAAGTCAGCCTAACTGAGTTTGAATCCCAGCTCTGCTACTGGTTAGCTATTTGGATGCTGGGTGATTAATTCACCAAACTCCCAGGGATCGGGTGAAATGGGAATAATTACACATACCCAGCAAGAGTGCAGCAAGCTATAAATTAGGTAATAAATATGTAGCACCCAGCACTGTGCCTGGCATGTGGAAGTGATCAATAATCACAGCTAGTATTGATAATAACCATCCTAACAATGATAATCCTATCTCCAACACCACAAAGCTGTGTTGAACATTAATGATATGGAAATGTTTAGCATAGAATAGCCCACAAATGTGTCCCAGACCACGTTTTCTCTGATTATGCCCAATTCTATCCCTCAAAAATCAAGGTTATGATAACATCACAAAGACAGTGTTGCAGGAAGGTTACAGATTGAAGGGACCAAGTGGTTGATTCAATCAATCATTCATTGATTGAATGAACCAAAATACAAACACCACTGGAAAGAGAAGTGGCTATGCAGGGAGAAGCAAGATGGCACAGTGCAGGTTCCTTTGCATTCTGGAGTGTGTTTGTGTGGTGCTGAGAAAGGTAAGTACCTATGCTATTCCCAAAGTCAGGTCTCAACAGAACCTAGCATGTTCTTTGTGCTAGTGGCTCCCATGTTGGCATGACACCACCATCCAGAGAACCCAGCTAGCAACTCATATGACTCCCTTCATAAGGAGTACTCTCAAACATCAGGAACTTTACTGCAGTGACTCAAAGATTCAAACTAGGGGCCACGAAGGCTCTGAGAAAGGAAGGTCTATGCCTGGTGTCTCCTGGCCAGCACCCCTGCCTGGGCCTTCTAGAAATCCATCCCTGTATCTTGATAAATGGATGTCAGCAAATGCCAGTAGTACTGAGGCAAAGGTATACATGGCCATAAAAAGGTAGGCATCATTTAGGAATTGGCCATTTAATCCTTGATTGGGTGAAGATCTCATATAACATATTGTGTATTGGAACTTTTTTTTGTTTGTTTTTTGAGATGGAGTCTCACTCTGTCTGCCAGGCTGGAGTGCAATGGTGCCATCTCAGCTCACTTCAACCTCCACCTCCCAGGTTCAAGAAATTCTCCTGCCTCAGCCTCCCGAGTCGCTGGGATTACAGGCTCATGCCACTATGCCCGGCTAATTTTTTCTATTTTTAGTAGAGACGGGGTTTCACCATGCTGGCCAGGCTGGTCTTCAACTGCTGACCTCGTGATCCACTCGCCTTGGCCTCCCAAAGTGCTTGGATTACAGGCGTGAGCCACCGTGCCCAGCCGGAACTTTTGTTTCCATGTGATAGTCTTTCAAAGTGCACCTCTCTGTCCCACTGCCCTGCACCTACCTCTCCACATTCAGAGCACTGGAGATGAGGTCTAGGGTAGGCGACTTACAACAAACTAGAGATGTGTCATATCTCCTTCCTTCCTGCCTGGGGACTGAGATTTTCCCACGGGTCCACAAATCCACAGGAAAGTTAAGCATTTTAGAAGAAGGCTTTGAATCTTTACTACTTAAATAGGTTGTGCTCTTATTTTAAACAAGTTGAGTATTTTGAATATGTGAGACATAAATCAAGGTACACACACACTAGAAAAAGAAATGTGATATATATGTATATGATACATATATTTTATATATGTGTATATGATTCACACAAATATACATATATGCATTTTTATTTATTTATTTTGAGACAGAGTCTCGCTCTGTCGCCCAAGCTGGAGTGCAGTGGCATGACCTTGGCTCACTGCAACCTCCACCTCCCGGGTTCAATCGATTCTTCTTTTTTTTTTTTTTTTTTTTTTAGGAAAAAAAAATCTTGGTGGTCATATTTATTGGAAGAGCTTGAGAAAAACGAAAATACCATTTAGCTTAAGAAGTTGTGAATTATCTGCAAATCAACTCATTTCAGGAGTGGAAGAATCCCCAGAATTATTTCTTAATATCCAAATGTATGCGGGTTTCTCTTTTGAATATCTTGCACATTTAGAGAGGCCACTGTACAAAGTCTCCTGTTTTCCGTACAGGACAAATTCTTTGTTTCAGCCAACTCTCAGTGGAGGGGCAACCAGGAAAATGCCATCTCCCCGGAGAAAGAACACTGGAATATTCTGTTTTGTTGATTCATATGTCTCTTCATATGTTTCCTCATCAATTTCTATAGTAGTCACAGTTTCTTCCACGTCTCCCAAGATCATATTTAAATGTTGATCATAAGTATGTAATCTGCCTCGAAGCTCTCGGTCGTTTCTCATTTTCACACAAATTCGCTCCTCTGGGCTGAGCCTAAGATCCAGGGGATCCTCCACAGTGTTGGTAGTTTGCTGCTGGTCTACGTTGTCTGCCATGTTTCATCAAGTAATTCTTCGGTCTCAGCCTCCCGAGTAGCTGGGACTACAGGTGCCCGCCACCACGCCAGGCTAATTTTTTGTACTTTTAGTAGAGACACGGTTTCACCGTGTTAGCCAGGATGGTCTCGATCTCCTGACCTCGTGATTCGCCCGCCTCAGCCTCCCAAAGTGCTGGGATTACAGGCGTGAGCCACTGCGCCCAGCACCATACACGCATTTTTATCTATACACATACATATACGTATATGTATACATACTTTTTTTTTATATACAGACACACACACACACAGGAGCAATGACTTCAGAGAAAAAAAGGGGTTTCCTAATAGTTACTATAGAGTGACTGGCAGACAGGAACCTCATTATACTATCCTCTCTACTTTTCTTTTCTTTTGAGACAGAGTCTCCCTCTGTGACCCAGGCTGGAGTGCAGTGGCTCCATCTCAGCTCACTGCAACCTCCACCTCCCAGGTTCAAGCAGTTCGCCTGCCTCAGCCTCCCAAGTAGCTGTGACTACAGACATGCACCACCACTCCCGGCTAATTTTTGCATTTTTAGGATAGACAGAGCTTCACCATGTTGCCCAGTAGTCTTGAATTCCTGACCTCAGGTGGTCTCCTCACCTTGGCCTCCAAAAGTGTTGGGATTATAGGCATGCACCACCACCCCTGGCTGTCATCTCTGTTTTTGATGATATATGAAAATTTAATCAAAAATATCAAGAAGTGTTAAAGACAGGCCATCTAGAAAAACCCAAAAACATGAAAAATAGAAAACAAAATTTAACAGAATGAGAGAACATAATGACAAACAAAACAGTTTACCTAGTTTAAGAATATTCTTACATTGAACCAAAAAACAAAATCCAACTATTTATCAGGCAAAATATAATAAGGAATTCAGAAAGCTTAAGAATAAAATGTGATAAAAAGCCTTTAAAAGTGGCTTGCTGGATATTTCTAAGCATATGAAAAATAAGGGTCTCTTCTAAACTAGAAATGTTTTCCAGTTGTAATTGCCAGTTTATACAAGTTTTCAATACATCATCAAAAACCAGCATCAAAATTAAACTGCAGTAATGAGCGGATTAACGGGCTTCATTGGCATTAATTAAATAAAGTGCCTGAGTCCCTCTGGAAAGTCATTTGACAATATGTGCAAAGTCTATGGGTTTCAGTCACATACCTACACACCTGACCAAAAAAAAAAAAAAGTTAAGCACATCAGCAGACACTGTCTTCTCCCTATGCCAAGCAAAAAGAGATTAATCCCTTTATTTCTGGCAGGGGTGGGGGGGTGCTGGGGTGGGCACCAGCAAACGTTTCCAAACAGATGTTTACAAACAGAAGGTAACTGATAAAAACCAAAACACAAAGCTGCATTGTCTTTCCTGATTCACAGATGAACCCACTGGAACTACTGCAAACAGCCTTTCTGGAAAACATCCAGGAATTAAAAGGTGCAAACAAGCTGCCTAATACCCTTGCGTAGACTGAATTCTTATGAAGAAAATAAAGTTTATTGTCTGGAAAGAGAGAAAGCATGAGGAAAGCACGAAAGCGATGGAGGTGAACAATTAGACAGATGTTCACTTAAGGAAATAAAGAGAACAGAAGAAGCCATCACCCAGGAATTTTACGAGAATCCTGACAACTCGGCACCACATCAAGGGCAAGGGTAAAGCGAACGCCACCCAAGCCCAGGCTGTGCAACTTGACGCTAACTGCTGACCTTGCAGATCCTGCCTGCAGGTGATGTGGCTCTGAGCAAAGGCAGGTGAGCCTGCTCACTTCAATAAGTTCTTAAGTTCTTCTCCAAGGTGAGCCACAGACTGCAGTTCTTCAGGACAGAGTTACATCTCTAATCTTCATAATATTACTGCAGGTAATGGCAAAGATAATACTAATTATCCCCAAGTCTTTGCATATTGGTAAATTCCTTGGTGAATACCAAGAATATAGCTAAGGATTATTTCAGAAAGTCTTTGGCTTGCTAATCCTGTCCCAACTGGCTAGAGGAGAAGGGACAGAAAGGTGCTACGTATTGAACATCTTACAGTGGCACTGCTGCTGGATGATTTCTATTAATCGATAGATTTGGTGAACTGTCTTTCTCTTGGCTTACACCCCTGGAAGGCTCACAGGTAACTCTTCAGCCCAGCTGTGGCATCTGTTCATAGCTTCTGGCCAATATTTCTGCACAGTGCTTTACCTCTCGATTTACTTGATTTTCCCTTAATCCTAATAGCCTCATCTGTGTCTTTTTCTCTTGAGGTATTATACACGGGCCCCTACATAAACAATCTCAAATCCTCTTTGCAAAGCAGCAATGAAGAGTTGCTAAGATAGGTGTTATGATGAAAAGGCAGAAAAAGGAATGCATAGTTAGCTGGCTGGCTGGACCACAAATAGAAAGATCAAAGGAAAACAGACAGTATTTTATTTATTCCTCATACAAAAATCTGAGTTACAAACTGCCATTATTTTACAAAAGAAGAAAGACGAATAAATTACCCATTCCAGTTAATTTCTAAGACTGCTTTTCAAGTAAGTGAGAGAAATATTTTTAAAAAATCATTAAAGAATAAAATAAACTATAAGCTAGTGCTATGATTGATCTTTTCTCTATACTCCTATCCAGTTTCTTTGTACAGCCAATATTCAATCAACCGCCAATCCAGAAGGATCTATCTAACTCTGCTATACACTCCAAGGACATAAAATAAATTTAAGACTCATGCATTCTTTAAGAAGCATATACATTATAGGTACTGCTGTATGTGGAATGCCCTCTACCCCAATATGTTCATGAACTAATCCCTGATATCTATAAATATGTTACATAGCAAATGGTAATTAAGGTTGTAGATGGCATTAAGATTGCTAATTGGCTGACCTTCAAACAGGCAGATTATCCCAGATTATCAGGGTAGACTCCCTGAAGTTACAAGGTTCCTTAAAAGCAGAAGCAGAAGAGAGAGAACCAGGAACAGGGCAGTTTGAGAAGGACTTGAGCAGCCATCCCTGGCTTTGAAGATAGAGGAAGGGGCCATGAGCCAAAGGATTTGGGCAGTCCCTGGAAGCTGGAAACAGCAAGGAAGTGGGTTCTCTTCTAGAACCTACAGAAAGAAATGGTGTCCTGCTGACACATCGATTTTAGCCCACTGAGACCTATTTTGGACCACTGACCTCCAAAACTGTAAAGTGTAACTTTTGTGTGGTTCTAAGTCACTAACATTGAGAAAATTTATTACAGCAGAGATAGGAAACAAAATACAGTTATGTAACATGTTTAATTTGTGAGATTTCACATTGCACATCCAAACTTCTGGCTCCTGTGAAAAATGAAGACAGAGAAGCCAAGGTCTGGCCTGCATATGCTCACATTTTCACAATCGCATAGGCCGAGGTGCAGCTGTTCCTTGAGATGGGGCACTGACCCTCTTGTGCGCCACCATCTCCACCACTCTCTACTGTCTCGCTGACTCCAAAGCTCTGGATCATCAACTGCTCCCACCAAACATTTGAGTGTTTGACTCTTGATCTAGGTTTGAAGAAAAACAAACATACTGCTGGGCGTGGTGGCTCATGCCTATAATCCCAGCACTTTGGGAGGCTGAGGGGCGCATATCACCTAAGGTCACGAGTTTGAGACCAGCCTGGCCAACATGGTGAAACTACGTCTCGAGTAAAAATATAAAAATTAGCTGGGCCTGGTGATACACGTCTGTAATCCCAGAGACTCGGGAGGCTGGGAGAGGAGAATCGCTTGAACCTGGGAGGCAGGGTTTGCAGTGAGCCAACATCGTGCCACTGCATTCCAGCCTGGGCAAGAGACCGAGACTCTGTCTCAAAAACTAACAAAAAACACATGCATAGCCACGCAGGGCTGATATTCAGGAGCTATGTGCAATATAGAGCCAGCATCTGCTCCGCTTAGTCAGGATCCATGCCATCCGTGAATGTTAAATATTTAGAGTAGAAACAGAGGCAGCCTGCTTCCTGAACATTCCTGCCTGCACAGGGGCAGACCACCCCTCTGCCCCACCTAAAGCGTATATGATATCCCCCCTCACCCCATCCCTGGGGGCCAGGCAAGGTTTCATGGCCATAGTTCTGGCTAAACCAATGCAGTCGGGCATCCCAGTTTTCTACCTGACACAACTGCTGGACAATCAGTACTTTTTTCTGCGGAATTATTATTCTGAAACTCTTGTAGCACAAAAAAGTAAAGGGATTTAAAGGAAAAGTGATATGGACTATAATTTAGCCTCTCTATATTGTAATCGGGGAGCAGTGTTTGTTGGGGATGTGAATCTTTCCTCTGAACCAGAAGGATCTCTGTAAGCTCTTGGTATGTGCCTAAAAGCACACACTGCACTGTAAGAAAATGAGGTGGGCATGATTACAGGTGTGACCTGATAACCGCTGAAAAAAATCATCCATCCAATAATCATATGAAGAGATGTTCAATATCCTAAGCCATCAAGAAAATCCAAATCAAAATCACAATGCAATACCGCTTCATACCCAATAAAATGACAAGACTAAAAAGAAAAATGACAGCGAGTGCTGGTGAAGATATGGAGAAATCGGAACCTTCCTACACTGCTGGTTAGAATGTAGATGGGTGTGGCTGCTGTGGAGAACAATCTGGTGGCTCCTCAAAAGGTTAAACAAGGAGTTCCACGTGATCCAGAAATTGCACTCTTAGGAGCATACCCCAAAAAAGGTAAACCTATATCCACACAAAAATGTGTAGACAAGTGTACCTGGAAGCATTATGCACAATAGCCAAAATGTGGAAACAACCTACATGTCCGTGAACTGAATGCATAGATGAAATGTGGCATATCCGTAAATGGAATATTACTCAGCCCTAAAAAAAGAAGTACTGATACATGCTACAACATGAATGACCCTTGAAAACATGATGCTAAGTGTAAGGATCGAGACACAAAGGGCCACACAGTATCTGATTTATTTATATGAAAAGTCTAGAATAGGCAAATCTATATAGAGACAGAAAGTAGATGAGTGGTTACCTGGAGCTGGGAGAGAGGTTGGGAGTGGAGAGAAAAGGAAGTGGGGAAAAGGATGCCAGTCAAGGGTTTCTTTTTGGGAAAATGAAAATATTCTAAACTTGACTGTGGTGACAGCTGCAAAACTCTCTGAATATACTGAAAGCACTGAATTGTACATTTTGAATGGGCAAAGTTTATGTATCTGTGTTATATATCAATAAAGTAGCTTGAGAAAATTTACAAACTTCAGCTCGCTAAGAATTTCTAGTAATAAATCACTTGAAACATACCTCACAACTGATGGAGACATATCAGGCAACTATTGGGACTCTGATGAGATTGTGGATTGAGAAAAGTATGGTAAACCCATATGACAGAATATTGCCTAGCTGTTGGAGATCACGGTAAGAAACTTAAGTGACATGGTCAAATGTTTGCCATTTATCATTAAGTTCAATAAAAAGCAGGCTACTAGAGAATAATACACAGTACGATGTTATTTGGCTTAAGAGTGTACAAATGCAGGCATATGTATGGTATGGGCATTAGGTAATTCATAGAAGAGAGAACACTTCCATAACACAAACCGAAATGTTAACAGGGATTATTTCTGGGGAATGAGACTGAGTCAAAAGCTGAGCCCAGAAATACAAAATCAATATAGCTCAAAGTTGAGTCATTGTTTTCCAATCACTGGGCTTGCTAAAATTATTTCTACACTGAATTTGTCACCGCAAGGCATTGCTGTTTCATCGGTGACACCTGCACTCCAAGCATAATTTCAATCACTGAAACAATTGCAAATTTCACCTGGCTGATGAAACGTCTGGGAAGGATGAAGGATTGTCGGAAGGGTGCACCATTAGGGCTCATACCAATCCATGGATAAACGGGAAAAGGTATGGCAAGGCTGTGAAGGTGGCCTGCAGCACCAGGCAAGACAGTCAGGGCCATGTAATCTCACATCAGCTGACTAGGACCTCCTCCTGGCTTCTTCTAAAGGGTGGGGCAAGGATTAAGTGAGATAAGGATGCAGATGGTCTCTGAAAAGCATGATATCCCCGTGCAAACATTAGGCAGTGGTATTCGTTATAGCCTCATCCCCAACTGTTGTTAGCTGGATTCTGTTTCCCCAAAATTCATATGCTGAAGACCTAACCCGTACTACCTCAGAATGTGACTGTATTTGGAGGTACGGCCTATAAAGAGGTGATTATGTAAAAAATGAGGCTATCAGGGCAGGTCCTATTGCAATCTGAGTGGTGTCCTTCAAAGAAGAGGACATCTGAACACAGGAAAAGAAACCAGGGATGCGTGCACACAGCGGCTAGGTCACGTGAGAACACGGTGGGAAGGCGGCTGTCTGCAAGCAGACGAGGTAGACCTCAGAAGACATCAACTGTGCCGGAACCTTGACCTTGGAATTCTAGGCTCCACAACTATGAGAAAATGTATTTTTGTTGTTCAAGTTATCCAGCCTGTGGTATTTTGTTATGGCAGCCTGAGCAGACCAGTACACCGGCCTCTATCTGCAATGTGGCCCTCGTTCAGACTTCCTCTTTTCCCCTCTGCTGGGCTATTTTCCACCCTGATTTCTGACCCTCTGTTGCCTCCATTAATGTATCACCACCACAAAAACTCACTAACAACAGATACAAGTCTTTCTTTCTCTTATATTTCTCTTGTATTTTGCTTATAGCTACCTGACCCTCCTTCCCAATTTCTGAATTTAAGCATCACATCAGGGCATGGCACTGTGGCTGACACCTGTAATCCTAGCACTTTGGGAGGCAGAGGCGGGTGGATCTCTTGAGCTCAGGAGTTAGAGACCAGCCTGGGCAACATGGGGAAAGCCCGTCTCTACAGAAAATGTAGTAATTAACTGGGTGTAGTGGCATGTGCCTCTAGTCCCAGCTACTGGTGGGGCTGAGGCAGGAGGATTGCCTGAGCTCAAGAGGCAAAAGCTACAGTGAGCCAAGATTCACTGCACTCAATCCAGCCTGAGCGACAGAGACCCTGTCTCAAAAAACTAAAATAAAATAAACACCGCATCAGTATATGTATCGAGCTCTTTGGCTCTATGATCTTTTTTCTCCTATTCCATATTATCAACAACCTATCCCCCTTCCCACCCTCAAGCTATCTGCTGGGATGGTTCTTTGCCACTCTTTCCTGGATATAAGTGACATTACAGAGGCAGCTTGACTTGTACGTAACCTTTCAAATTCCAGCTTCTCTACTTACAACCCTCTTTATTACAGTCACAGTACATGAAGTCTCTTCTGGGCTTCTGCCTTGTTAAGAAGAAACACAGCTATGGCCCAGAAGCAAAGGTATTTTCATGTTGACTCTAGACCTTAGGAGCCTCAGCTCTGTTCCCATTGCAGGGAGCAATAATAAAAGAACTATTTCCAAGTTTGAATTAAACTAGACTTGAGCTTTGTGGGTTAGGGGATGGAAGCAGAAAGGTATATTTTTAAAGAGAAAGTTTTATATTCCTTTAAAACTTGGGCATGATTTTAAAAGAATCTTACTCTTGGCCTTTCAGGCGAGCCTTCATACCGTTAAACAGAATAAGACCATAGTCCATATTGTTTTATGAGGAATCCACTTTTAAGATATGTACAACATTTAAGGAACATTAAGGAAAGTGGAAAATGAATTCCTTCCAGAAAAGCTTTAAGTAGAGATAAGAAAAAAGGCCAGAGGTTAGAAATATTTCTAAAATTATAATCAGAAATTGCCAGGGCAACTATTTAGCAGTCTCATGAATAGTGAGTGATATGAATTATTTTTCTTGACCTTTAATAAGATAGTAATGCAATTAATTTCTTAAAAAGATAAAAGTGAAGCATATTTTCAAGGAATATGGAGAACACAAGTTCATTTATTTATTAGACGAATATTTATCAAGTATCTCCTTGGGCTTCGGACTGGGAAGGTCAGGAAGATGCAACACGCCTAAGAAGCTCAGGAACATGCAAGAGGTGTGGGTGTCGAGGAGGGATAGCAATGATATGTGGGGGGACATTGTGGGGGTAACAGCGTGACTTTATGAGCTGTCAAGAGTGCTGTGCCAAAGACATATGAGGTGCGAATAACCTGGGACCAACACCATGGACAGATACTTGGAACTAGACATATGGATACAGGAGTCATATTGGAATGGATTTGATGACTGAAATCTTGGGAATGGGTATGATCTACAGGGGAAGGAGCATTGGCCAGAGGGAGAAAGGGTCAACAACAGAATTGTGGGGGACACTGACATTTAAAGGATGGAAAGAGAATGGAGGGGGCGGGGGAAGGAGATAATTAGAAAGAGAAGGAAGACAAAGTTTAAAAGAAGCTATGGCTTGATTGTGACGATGACTGCACACCTGTCAATACACTAAAAATGAAACTGTGTGGTATATGAATTATATCTCAATAAACCTATTACCCCAACCCCCACAAAAACGCAAGAAAGAGATATGACCACCGGGCGCTGTGGCTCACACCTGTAATCCCAGCACTTTGGGAGGCCGAGGCAGGCAGATCACCTGAGGTCAGGAGTTGAAACCAGCCTGGTCAACATGGTGAAACCCTGTCTCTGCTAAAAAAATAAAATAAAAATAAAACAACACAAAAATTAGCCAGGCATGGTAGCAGGCTTCTGTAACACCAGCTACTCAAGAGACTGAGGCAGGAAAATCGCTTGAACCCAGTAGGCAGAGGTTGCAGTAAACCAAGATCACACCACTGCTCTCCAGACTGGGCAACAGAGCGAGACTCCATCTCAAAAAAAGTAAATAATAAAATAACATAGATATGAGCAATAAGCATAGTTTTCATGTTCAAAATCATTACTCATCATACTCACATATTTCACAATTAAAAAAAAATATACAACAAAATACCACTATGTACCCAAACAGAAAATTTAGAAGACCAATAATATCAAGTATTATTAAGGATGTAGAGGAAGTGGATCCTTAAACACTGTTGGCAAGAATGTAAAATGGGATGACCACTTTAGGGAAGTATTTGCCAACCTCTTAAAAAGTTATACATAGCCCTATACGGACCACCCTGCCCATTCCACTCCAGAGTATTATCCCCCAAGATAAAACAGATATATGTCCACACAAAGACTAGTGCATCAATATTCACGGTGGCTTCGTTCACATTAGTATCCATTTACAACAGCTAAAAACTGGGAAGAACCCAAATGTCTATCAGCAGGTAATTAGGTATTTTTAAAACAATGTGATTTCTCCACACAATGGAGTACTACTCACCAATGACAATGAGTAAGCCACTGATACAGGCAGCAGTATGGGTACATCCCAAGGTAATTATGTGGAATGAAAGAAACCAGATGCAGAACAAGTACTAGAAAACTTCACTTATCTAAAATTCTAGAAAATGCAAATTCATCAATAGTGACAGAAAACAGACCAGGGTTTTCCTGGAGCTGAGGCTGTCTGGACTCAGAGTCATACACCACAGAAGTGGCATTTGAAATCTTTTTGAGGTGATGTAAATGTTCTATTTTTTTTATTTTCGTGTTGGTTTCATGGGCATGTGCATCTGTCAAAACTCATTGAATTGTATATTTAAATGGATGCAATTTATTTTACATAAATTAGACCGCAACAAAGTTGATCAAACCAATCCAAGCAAGTAAGCAAAAGGCATGTGTCAATGCCTCAAATTTTTCCTTTAAAAAATATCAAAGTGAGCATTCAAATGGCCCACTCTGCTTTCAGAGTTAAGAACAGCAGTATTAATGGCCATTTCACTGAGTGTGTACCCATATCACAAACTGTATAAGGGACTTCCCATGCTTTATTTTACTTTTTTTTTTTTTTTTTTTTTTTTGAGACAGGGTCTTGCTCTGCCACCCAGACTGAGGTGTAGAGACAGGATCACAGCTCACTGTAGCCTTGACTTCCCAGGTTCAAACTTCCCACCTCAGCCTCCCGAGTAGATGGGACTACAGGTGTGCCATTACACCCGACTAAAATTTTTTTTTTTTTTTTTTTTTTTTTTTTTTTTTTTTGGTAGCGATGGGGTTTTGCCATGGTGCTCAGGCTGGTCTCCAACACCTGGGCTCAAGTAATCTGCCCACCTTGGCCTCGCAAAGTGCTGGGATTAAAGGTATGAGCCAGCATGTCTAGCCTTATTTTACTTAATTCTATTACGTTGGTACAAAAGTAATTGTGACTTTTGCCATTAAATAAGATTGAAGTCTCCCTTTTATAGATGAGGAATACGATGTCCAGAGAGGTTAGCTTGCTGGAGATTGTGCAGATGTTCTGCAGTTCTGAGGCCTGCACTCTGTATACCCCCATGTACTGCTCCTCAGCCACCTGATCGACTTGACAGTCATACTAGTACCACCAATAGCCATAGTCAACTTTATGAGAAAACGACATCCAGGACAATCTCCTAGGTACTTTAGGTCCATGACGCACAATACTTTCCACAACCATCTTATCAAGTGGGGACTAGGCTAAACTCCCGTTTTCACCTGGAAAAATGGAAGCTTGCTCAGAGAGGTTAAGTGACTTTCCAGAGTTCCCGCAGCAAGGAAGTGATAGGATCAAGAATGGAACACAAGCAGTCTGACCCTGAAGCCCATGTTCACCAAACTAACTTCTTCAGACATCTTAGGAAGGCCTGACAGATTAACAAGAGCTTGATGCACTTTTCTCTATTTTAAATAAGGAACAAGTGAGAAAGTACAGCTTTATCAGGGCCAAATGGCAACTGACTTGGGAAGTTGGAATGGAGAATTCTTTTCAGTCAATTCCTTCCCTTCAAATGAAGTATGTGTGTAAAAACCAGCTAAGTGCCCAGCACATAGGTACTCATTGAAACTGGGGTTCCCTTCTGTACAGCCAGTATCTACCGAAGTAGGGGAATAATAGCCAAGCTCTGCTAATTCACACGATAGAGTCACAGGCAAAGATTCCCATTCATGGTAAAGGTGAATGGCATTTCCTGTGTTCATTTAAATAAACCCTGGTATAGACCCAGCCATCTAAGCAGAAACATAAGAGAACAGGTTCCTCGTGGTAATTCCATCTTCCTTGCTGGAAATCATTTGAAAATGGACATTGGGAGCTAGATTTATATGGCCTATTTATTTAAGCAAATACCTTTCAAATAAAAAAATACAAAATTGACAAATGCAGATTTTAGAGAAATTAAGCAATGGGTGCTATCACTTACCAGACCACAAAGAAATGCTTATCACCTGGAGTCCTCTGGGCCCAGCATATTTATTCATCATCCTGTCAAAACGCTGCCATTCACTCATAAATACCAGCCATTCTCCCCTGCACCTGCCCGAGGATGATGCTCAGTCTGGTGAAACACTAATTACGCACCTTCACCCTCTGCCCTTAGGATGATATACCTGACCGTGGTGACGAAGAATAATGGCATTCTGGAACATTTCTTGATGGTGAGGAGAAAGAAAAAAAAATGTGGGGTGATGTGGGAGGAAGGAGCCGGCATGAGGGGCAGAAAAAGAGCAAGGGAGGAAGGCAAAGGAAGAAAGAAGATGATGCAACCACATTTAGACTACATTGCTCCAACCAAGGGTCATCGTCATTGTCATCATTGTCACCATCATCATTTCTCAGCAGAAGGAAAACTTTTCAAGCCCAAAACGGGTGTCATATTAATATTAAAGCAGCTGAATGACAAAGAACTGAGAGCAAGTCACTCCTTTAGTCCTTGGTATGTCCACCAGTTTAGGAACCAAAGGTCATCTCCCAAATGAATGACCATTAAAGAGGTCCCTAGCCGGGTGCATATCCATACACAAATCTGCTATCTAGCACATGTGCTATTTACAGAAATATACTAAAATACTGTCCATGAAGCCACGTTTCCATATCCTGTCCCTTTAAAGAGTTACCGCCTCTCAGCACCTGCACTAGATTTGCCATAATGAAGACTCAAGGGGGGCTGTGCCCAGAAGCTTTAAGACCCAGCTCAGAGCATCACCTTACATGATGAGAGGCGAGGAATCTGAAAACAAGGGATATACATCTTCAGGTCCCACCAAAAATGGTGCCTGTTGACAGCTGGCCATCAGTGATTGATTGAGAATATGGAAATGGAAGCATGAGAAAAATGAGGACCTGTGCACTGACCGTTTAATGTGCCTAGAAGCAAGTAGGCGAGGAACGTGGCGGTGGGTTATGGATTAGTTTGCTCAATCAGCACAGCATCATGGGTGACAGGCAACTTTCAACAGCAGAGGGCACACACACAGAATAAGAAGACCCTCCACATCGGGGACACTGCTGAGAGCCCACAGAGGACACCCAGAAAGCAGAGTCATGGTGTCATTGTACAATCTTGCATCCTGCTGTTGTCTCATGAGGCTTATGTTGACAAGAAAACAAAAGAAAAACAAGCCAACATGGCAGTGGGAATGTTGCGTGGCCTACTGGATGGCCATGGTTCACGTCAAAGGAAATACAAATACAAGGTGTGCTGAGCAGTTTTTTTATGTGCCAAAATACCTTTATTGTCATCTGCAAGGGCCTATCCCAAGGTGAGCTTATATCTCCAAGAAGATGCTTCAGTTTCATGAAATGAACTCAGATCCTCTAGCACAAAAGGGATCATTCTGGGTCCCCTCACTAAGAAATATGTGGCTCTCCTGCTACTCCGACACCTCGGTGTTGATGGCAGAATGATAGTGGAATGGGACAATCTGGTGGCTTGTTTTTAGGTACCCTTTCAAACCTGCAATTTTTGGGAGTAATGGTGCTATCCCTGGGGTGCAAATGTCTATGCATATGGTGGAAAGCATGCCTGGGAATCAGATTCTGATGCCATAAGTTCTGTGACACATTTTTCTGGGCTTCCCTGTCTCACTTGGCTGGAAGTCATGCTTCTGGGCTAGAGACCTTTAGTGCTCTCCCAACACCCATGTGCTTCTCACATCTCAGCCTCCCTCATAATTACATAGGGGCCAGGGACTCACTCTCGCCAGTGGAATGTTGATGGAAGCAACAAATGCCACGTGCAAACCTGCCCATAAAAAATGCTGCTTCATCCTGTTACAGAGTCCTTGACTTTGGAGGCTATTTGTTTTAGAGTGTAGCTCCAAGACAGTGGAGTCCCCTTCAAGTCTGCCTTCACGAGTGGTTGTGTAGGGTGGACCTTCCAGCCAACTCACACTGGATATGTAATGAAAGGAACAAATCAGCGTTTGTTGTATGAAGATAATGAGACGTTGCAAGTTGTTTGTCGTAGCAGCTGACACTTATGTACCCTGACTAAAAGACCCCAGAAAGGTCCCCTCCAAATACAGTTTTCTGATAAAGCATTCAGCCTTCCTTTTTCAATAGTTTGTATTTCTTCTTGAACATTTTCTTGAGACATAGTCTCATTCTGCTGCCTAAATTAGAGTGCAGTGGCACAATTGCAGCTCACTGTAGCCTTGATCTCCCAGGCTCAAGCCATTCTGCTGCCTCAGCCTCCGAAGTACCTGGTACTATAGGTGAGCACCACCATGCCCAGCTAATTTTTTTTTTCCAAGTAGAGATGAGGTCTTGCTATGTTGCCAAGGCTAGTCTTCAACTCCTGTAAGACAAGCAATCCTCTCACCTCAGCCTCCCAATGTGCTAGAATTACAGGTGTGCACCACCATGCCCTGTTAACCTTCCATAAATATTCCTCTAGATTGTGGAGAGGCAAAACCCAATAGGGACTCATCT
Source organism: Homo sapiens (assembly GCF_000001405.40). Classification (NCBI taxonomy): domain Eukaryota; kingdom Metazoa; phylum Chordata; class Mammalia; order Primates; family Hominidae; genus Homo; species Homo sapiens. The sequence continues at coordinate 78,341,773 of NC_000016.10, read as the reverse complement.
ATTTGGCCTCAGACATGTCCACATCCCTCAGCAACACTGACCTGCCACCCATGGAGGTTTCCACACTCGATGCTATGTCTCACCTGTGTGCTCTTGCTCACCTTTCCCAGGAGGTTTCTCCTGCATGTTGCCCACCTATCCCATCTAGACTTATCTCAGCATCACTTCCTGTCCACTCCCTCAGTGACAATAGTGATTCAGAGCTCCAAGTACACAGACACCAAGAAACTTATGGTTTGCTGCTCAAATTTTCCCAAATTGTTCTCCCAGCAAAATAAAACATAATACTCACGTCTAAGACAAGCTTAAAAGAATGAGTAACATAAAAATAAAAGGAACAAAGATGGTGGATTATACATATTGATTTTTTAAAATTTTCATCCCAAATCACACTAAAACAGCAGTAACTGCTATAAAACAACATGACAATACAAATCAAAGATTATTCAATATAAAAATTTAAAGTTGAGGCCAGGCACAGCGATTCATGCCTATAATCCCAGCAGTTTGGGAGGCCAAGGTGAGAGGTAACTTGAGCCCAGGAATTACAGTGAGACCAGCCTGGGAAACAAAATGAGACTTCATTTCTCTTAAAAAAAAAAAAATTACAGTTGGATGCTGGAAAGCAGATGGACAACTAGGAAGTGACTTAAGAGAGCTGAGTCTTAAGCTAGCCATGGGGACAGCTGAGAAGTAACACAATTCCTATCAGAGAGCCAGCAAAGGCTCAGAAAATGTGGAACCTGGTACTTCTGAAAATGGGGTTGAAAGACAACCTTTTAGAAACCTGTGTGTCAGCTATGTACAGCTTGAGAATCCCTCCCCACTCAGCCCAGCAGGATACCATCATTTCATAACTCCAGAAAAATGACAGAAGTTTATTATCAGAAGAGAACATAAACAGGTGAGAACAGTGGCATGATACTGAAAACACAGACTTTGTAAATGTTTACCTACTGAATGCAGAGACTCAGAACTCTCCCCCTCACTTGGCTCTAGAACTCTAGCAGTCAGAGCTACACCTTCCCCAAGCAGAAGATAAGAAGATCCTTCTGTGGGATATTTGTTCTGCCAACAGGACACATGCAAACATTCAAACACAGTGGTTTTCCCAAAAAATAGTCCAGCCAGATCATCCTTCAGAGGAGTCCACAGTTAACTGGCCGTGGCCATGTGCTAAGAGTTGGCAGCAGTAACTTTGAATTCTACTTAGATAGAAACAGACATCCACAGATCAGAACATTTGGGGAAAGACTTTATCAAGAGGCTAGGTGTGGTGGTTCATGCCTGTAATCCTAGCACATTGGGAGGCTGAGATGGGCAGATCACCTGAGGTCAGGAGTTCATGACCAGCCTGGCCAACAGGGTAAACACTTCATCTCTACTAAAAATACAAAAAATAAAAATAAATTAGTTCGGCTTGGTGACACGCACATGTAGTCCCAGCGACTTGGGAGGCTAAGGCAGGACAGTCACTTGAACCTGGGAGGTGGAGGTTGCAGTTAGGCAGGATCACACCACTGCACTCCAGCCTAGGTGACACAGTAAGACTCCATCTCAAAAAAAAAAAAAGACTATCATCAAACACAATTACCAAAAGAAATGAAAACAATTTTGAGAAGATAGAAACTAAACAGAAAAGAAAAATTAAAACAATTATCATTAACATCAGAGAGTTAAAAGAGTAACATCATCCATGAAACAAGAATAGAATGTTATCAAACATAAAGGAAATAGAAACGTCCCCCCCCCCCCCACCAAATCCATGGAAAGACTAGAAGAACTATCCCTGAAAGTAACACAAAGACAAAGATAAATAGAGGATAAAAATACTTATGAGGCCATCTGGGAGGTCTAGGATCTGAATACCTAAAATTCTCTTGAAAGGGAACAGTCTCCTATTTGGATAGCAGCAAGGGGTTGATGATATGCCTCCCATTGTACTCCCAAGAGAGAAGCAGATAGAAATGAAAGAGAACAGCGGTCACAAGGGTTTGTACTTCCCGAGAACAACACAGAAAGCCACAAAATAGAATTTAAAACTCTGAAGCAAAATTGATTTTAAATCTGTAATTCTATCCCTAACAATGAATAAAATGAGGATGGAACAGAAACATTTTGAAACCTGAAATACACACACACAGACACACACACATATTCTATCATCCTTTTTCAGAAAGCTACTACAAGACATGCTCCCACAAAACAATAACCAAACCAATACAGGAAAAGATGTGGAAGAGAAGTTCCAACTCCGGGTACAGGTAAATGAACTTTCCAGGATACAATGTGAGGGCAGTTTTAAAAAGAACATCACCAAGTATTCCTGTGCACCAAGCAAAAAGGACAACAACCCCAAACTGCAGAAGGTACAAAGGCTCCAGGGGAGTTGTTTTTTTTTTTTTTTCTAATAAAAGGAACTGAGATTTAGACAATCACATGAAAGTTTGAGGTTGAATGATAGGTACATCACAAACTCAGCAAATTTCTAAAAAAAGATGAGTATTAACTCCAGGGAAAAAATAAGGTGCAGGAAAGAAAAATAATCTTGATATGCTACATGGCATAGTGGTGCATACACTTACTTATTTATAACAATTTAAACAAAAAAAACTGTCTTCTTAAACATCATTATACATGATATCACTATATGGATATGATGCAGAAATAAAAAAGATGCACATCATCATGGGGCACCAAAGTAGAAGGAAGCTAAATTTCCTTCTTATTGAAAAACCTACAGATAATATCTAAGACTAGAAAATGAAGAAGTAACAGTTTACATGCAATTACTTAAAGCTACATATATAAAGACCAACTGAATTCACTAAATGAGTTAGAAATGAAGAAGAAGTTGATGCTGAGGGCTGCTTTAACTTTTTACGTAAAAATTTAATAGACATACCTGACTAACTTTAAACTCTGTACAATTTTTACAAAAAGAAAAAGAAATGAAAAGAATAGAATGAATGAATGGCATAGCAAAACATAAAAATGGAAGAAGAAAACAGAAAAAGAGAAGAAATAAAAAGGCGGTAACTTGTAAACATGTAGACAATCACATATTAGGCTTAAATTACGACAGAGCACAACCTGGATTTCTCACTATTTCTATTTTTCAACTGAATTTATAGCAGATTATGGTATTTTCCTATCTCTAACTCCGTCAGAAAATTCAGGAGAAAATAGGCATTGAAAAAATAATTCTCTGCCTTGAACAATTCTCTGGTTACTTGTGGAAACTACAGAATTTCTCTCTGTAAGAATATTTTATGTGCCCTTAACTCCATAAAGATAACAATAATAAAACAATTTAACATAAAGACATTTTGTCCCCCAAAAGGGCAAAAAAAATAAACAGACAATTTTGCAAGGATAATATTGCACACTTTACAACTGGGGAAAACAACAATTTTGTCTCTACAGACTTCACATACTATTCAAACTCTCAGCAGCTGGGAATCCATGAGGGTGTTGGTGTCTACATTTCCACCTGCTCACTAGGCAGTATCAGGCAAGTGATAAAATTTTGGTTGCTGAATACGATAGTAAATTTGCATGCTGCTTTATTTAATTCACAAAATTAATTTTTTTAAAAGTTTGTTTCCATGTGATAAATTCATATTAATAGTACTGGGTACACCATGTGAAAGCAAAAGACACTGCCTAAATTAGTTACCATCTCTCCTTTCCAGAAGGCTTTTGATCTGTCATGTTTGATAAAAATAATTTTATATATGTTTTAAAAGAACAAAAGAAACTGCTATCCTCATCAGCTTGGTTGCCAAGTGACCTGATAAAGCATCTTGTGAGGTCTCTTACTGATGAAGACCCCAGCAAGAGACACGAGGTTAGCAGGACAGGCACTGCCAGGAACAGAGAGGGCGCTTCTACATCAGCTCTACCACTGAGGTCACACGGCTCTCCACTTCTTCATGGTGGAAACAAAAGGGAAATAGGATAGCCAAGAAACTCTAGCTTCAAGATTCAATTATAATTGCTGGAGGCATCTTGGAGTACAGGGATATTTCATTCTGAGCACTGAGATCCTCTAGCCTAAAGCGCCTAAATTCTCAGAAGGACTTTGCTGGGGAAATGAGGACATGGCCAGATAGTACTTTTAATAACACTTTCAGGGGACTTTTAGAGGCGTGAAACTACGCTGTATGAAATTGGAATGGTTTCACTCCATAATGAAATGACAGACACCTGTCATTATGCATTGAACAAACCTATAGAATGTACAACACAAGCAGCAGCCCCTCATGTAAACTATAGACTAGTTAATAATGTATCGATATTGGTTTATTAATTGTAGCAAATGTGCCACACTAATGCAAGATGTTAATACCCTCATACCAGGGGCAGGACCAGGGATCAGTGGGTACACAGGACAGCATGTACTATATGCTCAATTGCGATCGGTGGGTACACAAGACCTTATGTACTATATACTCAATTACTTTGTAAATCTACAACTGTACTTATAAAGGAATAAAAAAACAAACCACCTTCAAAAGATTCTGTCTGCAGGATTCCTACCCACTCTTGGTCAACACATTGAGGGATTTGCTAATAACACAGTCTTACACAGGTTATAAACTGGCTACCTACCACAAACATGTTTTCTTTGAACTGCAGAGTGTTTAAAAATTTATGAGTTACCAGCTACTTAAAATTAAGATTATCCTAGGGTCAGGTGCACTAGCTGACACCTGTAATCCCAACCCTTTAGGAGGCCAAGGCGGGTGGATCACGTGAGGTCAGGAGTTTGAGACCAGCCTGGCCAACATGCTGAAACCCCGTCTGTACTAAAAAATACAAAAAATTAGCCGGGCATGGTGGCGGGCGCCTGTAATCCCAGCTACTCAGGAGGCTGAGGCAGGAGAATGGCTTAAACTGGGAGGCGGAGGAGATTGCACCACTGCACTCCATCCTGGGAAATGAGAGCGAAACTTCGTCTCGAAAACAAACAAAAACCTAGGAATATCTTAATACTATAATTGTAAAAACTCAGGAAATACCATTTTTATAAGCCAAAACTTTTAGCCTCTAATTTTTAAAAAAATTAGAAAAGATGGCAGCTCTGGGTCTATGTTCCCCCATGGCAACAGGCAGCTGGAACTAAGAAGTCCTTACCTCCCAAAGTACAGATGGGGACTGTGTTGTTTGACAGGTCCTCAACACTCCCTATTGTCTTCCACAAGACTCCTTTGCTCCCTCTGTTATCTGCCTGTCAACTGTAGGCTTTTTTTTTTTTTTTTTTTTGAGACATAGTCTCTCTCTGAAGTTCAGGCTAGAGTGCAGTGGTGAGATCTTGGCTCACTGCAACGTTCACCTCCTGGATTCAAGAGATTCTCCTGCCTCAGCCTCCCAAATAGCTGGGACTATAGGCCACATCACCACACCTGGCTAATTTGTTGTGGTTTTTTTTTTTTTTTTTGGTGTTATTTTTGTATTTTTAGTAGGGATGGGGTTTCACCATGTTGGTCAGGCTGGTTTTGAATTCTTGACTTCAGGTGATCTGCCTGCCTCAGCCTCCCAAAGTTGTGGATCACAGGCATGAGCCACCATGCCTGGCCTGTAGGCTTTTCATTTCATTGGCCAAGACAAGTAGCATCAACATCACCTGGGTACCTTTTATACATTTAGTCTTTTGGTTTTTTTTGTTTTTCGTTTTTTGAGACAGACTCTGGCTCTGTCACCCAGGTTGGAGTGCAGTGGCCTGATCTCGGCTCACTGCAACATCTGCCTCCCAGGTTCAAGCGATTCTCCTGCCCCAGCCTTCCAAATAGCTGGGACTACAGGTGTGCACCACTACACCCGGCAAATTTTTATATTTTTAGTAGAGATGGAGTTTCACCATGTTGGCAAGGCTGGTCTCAAACTCCTGGCCTCAAGCGATCCACCCGCCTCGGCCTCACAAAGTGGTGGGATTACAAATGTGAGTCATCATGCTCAGCTAGTACCTTTTAGAAACGCAAGTTTTGGGGCCCACCTCAGTTCTGCAGAGCCAGAACCACACGAACATGAGTCTGTCTCAGAATCACATGGAAGACTTGTTAAAATTCGGATTGGGTGAATTCCATGTCTTTTCTACTGTGAAAACTGCTGCAGTCAACATACATGTGCATGTACCTTTATAATACAATCATTTCTATTCCTTTGGTTACATACCCAGTAATGGGATTGCTGGGTCAAATGGTATTTCACAATAGCAAGGACACGGAATCACTCCAAATGCTCATAAATGATAGGATGAAGAAAATATGGTACATATATACCATGGAATATTATATAATCATAAAAAGGAAAGAGATCATGTCCTCTGCAGGGACATGGATGGAGCTGGAAGCCGTTATCCTAGGCAAACTTATGCAGAAACTGAAAACCAAACACTGCATGCTCTCGTTTATAAGTGGGAGCTGCATGATGAGAACACATGGACACACGGTGGAGGCGGATAACACACACTGGGGCTTGCAGGTGGTGGGAAGAGCATCAGCAACAACAGCTAATGGACGCTGGGCTTCATATCCAGGTGATAAGTTGATCTCTGCAGCAAACCACCGTGGCAGATGATTACCTATGTAACAAACTTGCACATCTTACACATGTACCCTGGAACTTAAAGTTTTAGAAAAAATAAACCTCAGACTGCAGGCCCCACCCCACAAGCTTCTGATTCATTATGTGTGGAATAAAGCCCAAGAATTTCTATGTCTAACAAGCTACCAGGTGATGCTGACACTGCAGGTCCAGGGGCTACTTGGGGAACCTCTGGTCTCTGTCTTCGTGTATCTCATAATAAACGCCCATCTCACATTTTGCTGCCTTTTTTTTTTTTTTAAAAAAAGATGGTATCTCCTCAATGAGTTTAATTTTCTTCCTCTTGTTCAGGTGTGATTTGGTGATTTTGTGTGTGTGTGTGTGTGTGTGTATGTGTGTGTGTGTGTGTGTGTGTGCGTGTGTGTGTGTGTGGAGGGGAGACTTTCCCATTTTCCTGGTGGGTGGTTTTAATTCTTTGGAAATTTCTCCCATATGGGTTAGCATTTTGTTTAGTTAGCTATTTAAAAACAATGTGGCTTTTTCTCTGTGGAAACTGGGTCATTTAAATTAATTCTTGGATTTATAATACATATAATTAGTTCCCAACAATACACAACTCTATGTTCTGTTTGGGAATATCTTGATTACACAAATGTGAAAATAATTGAACAGAATGATGGCTGGAAAAACAGCATTAAAAAATACCCCATTTCTGATATTTTTGCCATTAGGCTATGAATTGTGTAACACCTCACCGAAAGTGCTTGCTGTATCTTTAATGGTTCACTCATAGCTCAGAGTAAAGTCTGAACTATTTGTTGTTCGCTGTTGTTATATTCTGTTCCAAGGTTCATAATTTGAAAATCGACTTTGGGGACTTTTTGCTTGGTCTATTAAAATGATTCATGTTGCATTCAACATAAATTGTGCATTCACGGAGGAGGGTGAGAGCCCGTATTCACAGCATAATAACTAAAGTGAATTTTGTACGAGCCGCAGTTTGTGGCAGCGATGTGGTATCATTTGTCTTAATTTTTCTTTGGCATTACATTAGGCGAATGCATTTACATTTCCAGGTATGGCTAACCACTTTAAAAACTTTGTTTTTATAGTGTGAGTAAAGGGGGAATCAAATCTGCATCTTTATGCGATGTAACATCAAATAATGCCGTTTTACTGTCTGGAGGACGAGGGGATTTACATTCCATTTACCTGACTTCACAAAAGGAACTCAGGCTGATATGCAAAGTACATGAAATATTTACCATCAGTGGATCACGCAAGGTTTCTAAAAGAGAAGAAGAGGGGGAGGAGATGATACCTTTTCTGCTCTCACTGTGTTGTTCTGTGTTTTTTCTTTTTAACAGTACCTTAAATGAAACTTCTTAAATGGATTAACTATTTAAAATTCAAGTATGTCTTCAAGAAAACAAAACGCCAAATAAGCCAAAACTTTGGGTCACGTTTGCTGAACAGAGGAACCATTTGAAATTTTATTTCATGTGTATCAAGTCTATGTACATACATATATACAAACATATATGCCTCCTGCTTATGAAGTATGTATTCTGGAGACTTAATGAAGTACTCCTATATCTCAATTAACATCAATTAAGATGAATATCTGTTTATGTATATATGCATGTTTTAGCAGAATTCTATAAATATGATATACTGATTATTTCACATTGACGGACAAAGCAAAAAGAACTAATCTTAAATTCTGTCAAAATATTTTTTACCAGTTAAACTAAGTATTACATCAGAACAGATTACACTCACTAAATACCATGATTATAATGGTTGATAAGGCAACTTTTTCTATATAAACATTAAAATAAAATTTTAAAAAATGTAACACACACCATAGAAAATTGACCAGGTTTGGTGGCTCATGTCTGTAATCCCAGCACTTTGGCAGGCCAAGGCAGGCGGATCACCTGAGCTCAGGGGTTGAGACAAGCCTGGCCAACACGGTGAAACGCCGTCTCTACCAAAAATGAAAAATTACCTGGGTGTGGGAGTATGCTCCTGTAGTCCCAGCTACCCAGGAGGCTGAGGCAGGAGAATCGCCTGAACCTGGGAGGCGAAGGTTGCAGTGTGCCGAGATCACACCACTGCACTCCAGGCCTGGGTGACAGAGCTAGACTCTGTCTCAAAAAAAAAAAAAAAAAAAAAAAAGTATAATGCTCTTCCATGCTACTCAGAATACCCAAGCGAAGAATCTTGGTTAAAAAGATTGTTTTATATTATAAGTACAAGGGTTCTGAGCAACAGAACATGGTTTATGATTATTATAGTTAAGATTATAAGCAACGGAAACATCTTAGTTTGCATTGCAACTTTACACTGAACTGTGCGACATGAAGCAATTTTAAATTTCTGAGCCTCAGCCTCTTCATTTGCAAAATGGGGCTAATATTTCCTGTGGAACCCATGTTAGTAAAGTTCTGAATGCACACTTAACAGAGCAAAAGGCACACTCAGTGATCCTCAGTCATCATGACATTATTATAACTACAGTAAAGGCACTAATTTGGGCAACTCTCAGATTATCATATCCAATCACAATGACAGAGAGGAAAATCATCAGATCATTAACCACCCAAAAAATCAGTTTACCTGCCCGCTTAATTGAACTATATAAATACTTGGGGTGGACAAATGGATGTTTGTTCTTGAGCAAATGGAATAAGCCTTTCACCTTATAGCATGTACCCAAAAGATCTCGGGTTTTCTTTAACATCCTTCTTTTACCTTGTTAGTGCAGGAATTCATGCAGCCCATACAAATCACAGGCTACTCCGCTGGAGGAGTGTCCCGTGCCCTCAGATTGCACAGAGGAAATACCCATTCTTGGCTAGAAGGCACTCATAATCCACTGGGGTGTTTCTTAAGCTTTAACTAGTCAAATAATTCTCTGGGAAGGATTTTAGAAATGCGGAAGCAGAGATTCTAAAATAGTAGATCCATCTGGGATCTGGGATTCTGTCTCTTTAGGCAAGTTTCCAGTCTTTCTGGGAAAAAGAGATGGCAAAAAAGGCTTGGGGTGGGGAAAGACATAACCCAGGATGTAGGTGGGCACAAAACAAGGTACAAACACAGGACACCCAAACCTAAGTTGTCTTTCATGGCCCAGGGAAGGCTTGAGCTGAGCCTCAACAGAGAAACAGTAATCAGACTCCCTGAGAGCAGCTAAATGGCGTTCCAAACTTGACCTTCCTCGGCTCTGATGTACTGCTTGAGGACACAGCTTTGGAGTCAGCTAGCCTGGTTCAAATTCCAGCTCCAACTTCTCCCTGTTGGCACATTGCATAACCTCTCTAAATCTTAGTTTCTGTGTCTGTAAAGGGGGGAATAATTTGAACAGACATCTGACACGTTGTTGGAAGAATTAAATAAAGCAATGAATGCCAATGCATATGCCACAAAGCAGGCACACAACTGGCACTTCGTAAAATACTATTAATATGGACAAACCAATGTCTACACAGCTAGAGGCATTTAAGAATGTGTGTATCAGGATAACAAAACTCTTTCCCTGTCTCCTGTGTCATTTACAGTCATCACCCATGAACCCAGTGAAATAAGCAAGGATAGGGAGGATTACTCTGATTTTACACAAGGGTGGTTACAGGGCCACGTCTGTGTGCTGCCTGGTAGACTCTCCTACTTACACCTTTGTACCTATACAAGGAAGTCAAAGCAAAATGAATGGACAAAAACTAGCTATATTACGAAGACGGTCTCCAAAGAATCTCACCTACATATAAACTGGAAAATAAGACACTGTCATGAAGTAATCTGTATTAGAATGTAATTGGTTTATTACCTGGTTGCCTGTTTCATTTGGACCTGAAGGGGTTATAAGTTGCAAAAATTACACAGATAAAAATAAATATGCCAATATTACCTTCATCCTTAACTATCATTTTGAAAATCGACGTGACTTCTAAATATTTTATTTAGTAACAAATGCAAGAAACGCAAGCATGAAGAAGCTAACACCCTCAGTGATAATTTCTGCAAATGAATATTTTAGTTGCAACAAAAAGCCGTTCCAAATTACAGACACAAACCTCAATCGAACATATTCAGGGACCGTAGGTGTTAAAAAAACAGACTTTGAAAAAAATCTATATTTTAATCTTTTGGGGGGCAGAAACAAATTATCTTATTTACTACATGAATGGTTTACTCAATTTAACGCCAATCTTTAGCATCAACTTCCACCTGTCTGAATAAATAGACTGCTCCAGAAAAGACTAGATTATTTGTATTATGAGGTTGTGTTTAAAAATAAAGTGGAGAGACTAACTGTATTGAAAATAAGAACATGCATATCATCTCAGCTTACAAAAATCTAATTTTATTTTCTTCTGTTTCCAGGAGGAAGTTTGAAAGTACAAATGAAGTCGTAAATTAAATTCCCCTTTGAGGGTGACTGAAAGAAGTGAGATGAATATTTAAACTTCACTGACATGTTCAGAAAAATACACCCACATATAGTTGCATAGAAATGTTACTCCCTGCCGGGCACGGTGGTTCACGCCTATAATCCCAGCACTATGGGAGGCCAAGGCGGGCGGATCACGAGGTCAAAAGATCGAGAGCATCCCGGCCAACACGGTGAAACCTCGTCTCCACTAAAAATACAAAAATTAGCTGGCGGTGGTGGCATGCGCCTGTAGTCTCACCTACTCGGGAGGCTGAGGCAGGAGAATTGCTTGAACCCAGGAGGCAGAGATTGTAGTGAGCTGAGATCACGCCAGTGCACTATAGCCTGGCAACAGAGCAAGACTTTCTCAGGGGAAAAAAAAAAAAAATTATCACTGGTGAAATTTTCTCTTTAAACACATTAATTTAGGACATTTACATAGAGCTTTGGCTTGTTGGAAATATTAATTTTCTTTAATTTGTGGTAAAATATACGTAACAAAATTTATCATTTTAACCACTTTAAGTGAACAATTCAGTGGCATTAAGGATATTTATAGTTATTGGTTTTTATTAAGTTAAATCAGCAATTATAAAAATGAACACTTGTTAGTATGCTATAACTTCAATTTTTAAGGAATGTTTTCAAACGTTTAGGCATTTAGGTATTTTAAACATTTACGCGTTAAGGACAACCATCTATAGCAATGGTTATTAGAAAAAGACAAAAAGAAAGCACCAGGCAGTGACTCATGCCTGTAATCCAGTACTTTGGGAGGACAAGGCTGGAGGATCGCTTGAGGCCAGGAATTTGAGACTTACTATGTTACTGTGGGCAACATAGCAAGAACTTGTCTCTACAAAAACTAAAAGATTAGCTGGTCATGGTGGTACACGCCTGTAGTCCCAGCTACTTGGGAGGTTGAGGTGGGAGAATCACTGGAGCCAAAGAGTTTGAGGCTGCAGTGAGCTATGATTCTACCACTGCACTTGAGCCAGGGTGACAAAGCAAGGCCCTGTCTCAAAAAAAAAAAAAAGAAAGAAAAAGAAAAAACCATCAAACATAAAACATAAAACAGACCTCCCCATGTATATGTTGGCTACATTGGCAAGAATAACAGAGCACGCTTCCCCACAACGGTTTCTTCCCTTAAGCGTGTGCAGGAAACTGCTATATTTTACATAGGTTGCACTGGGGACATTGCCAGATGCCACAAAGTTCATCCAAAGACCTTGCAACTTGGCCTCATAGGCCACAGTCACACACCTACCCAAGAACTACAAAGGTAGGTCACATTTGCCACGAAGCCTCAAGAACTATTTTTGCTGTTTATTCCAGGCTACTGGCGACAGGGTCAGCAAATACAGAAATTTCACTCTGTCTGGAACCTTCGTGGTGGAGGTTGTTCTAAGAAACAAACCACGTTTTTTGCATCCCTCATCATTTCATATTTCTATCAGAGAGCCCTTCCCCAAATGCCCACAGAGGAGAACTGGCTGGACAAAAGTAGCCAGAGGAGGAAACTACCATCTCAAGGAAATGAGAACCAAACGTTCAGTCCACCGATACCATGGGGTTGCAATTTCACTTTAACTGTTTCTTATGATAATTAAAAATATATCAGCAGGCTGGGTGCGGTAGCTCACACCTGTAATCCCAGCACTTTGGGAGGCCAAGGTTGGTGAATCATGTGAGATCAGGAATCCAAGACCAGCCTGGCGAACATGCTGAAACCTCGTCCTACGAAAAAAAAGAAAATCAGCCTGTCATGGTGATGGGAGCCTGTAGTCCCAGGTACTCGGGAGGCTGAGGCAGGAGAATCGCTTCAACCCAGGGGGCAGAGGCTGCAGTGAGCTGAGATCGCACCACTGCACTCCAGCCTGGAAGACAGAGCAAGACTGTTAGAAAAGAAAAGAAGAGAAGAGAAAAGAAAAGAAAACAAAAGAAAAGAAAAAAGAAAAACACATCGGCAAAAGGTCAACCACCCTGAGACCAAGGCCAGGAAAAACTGGAGGTGCTGAGGGTGTGGAAATGATTTTGCTTGGCTTCAAGAGCACTTTTCAGCAGAAGTCCCAGACTGCTTGTCAAAAGTCCAGTCACATCAGCATTATCAAGAGTATTTCTGTTCTCTCTTAGTAACTTTCATTGCACTAACTCCGGATTCATCTAATTTCCACATTCGATCTTATTTATCTTATTCTCCTTTGAATACAGGCCTACAATAAATACTTGTTGCAAGAATAAAGTACTAACCCTTTGCAGCATTCTTACAGGATTATCTCTATTATCATCATCATCTTACCAGCAACTTGAAATGAAAATTAAACAGCTCATCCAAAGCCACAGAAATAAAAATCTATGATTCTTCATCTAAAATCCAAGTATGTGTTGAAGGATTCTAAATTTTTTACGACTTACATCAATCATATGCTATGAAATATCCCTAGTGAGGTGTTAACATATACCCAAACATCAAATCACATGACAAGAAAAATGACGATTATAAACAAGACCACGACAATTCCAAATCAAGTTTTGCTGCCACTTGTTGTTTTTTGAAGGTTCGGGAATTTGAGTTACAGGTAAGGGACTGTGAAATTTAAGAAATCAGAACTCAGGTACAGAGGCTCACACCTATAATCCCAACACTTTGGGAGGCTGAGGTTGGGGCAATCACATGAGGCCAGGAGTTCAAGACCAGCCTGGCCAACATGGCAAAATGTCATCTCTACTAAAAATACAAATTAGCCAGGCAAGGTGGTACAAACCCATAATCCAAGCTACTAAGTAGCTGAGATGGGCGGCTGGCTTGAGCCCAGAAGTTTGAGGTTGCCATGAGCCAAGATTGTACAACTGTACTCCAGCCTGGGCAACAGAAGAAGATCATCTCAAAAAAAAAAAAAAAAAAAAAAAAAAATCAGGACTCATTCAGGCTAGCTCATTCCTAATGTCTTGCTTTCCAAAGCCAGCTCTGGGTGCTCTAAGAGCTTTGCAGAAGCACTTTGTACAAAGAACCACTGTAGACTAAATAATATAGCCATGGTCGGGGGTCTGAAGGAGAAGACTATCTATATGCTTGCTATTCAGAGGAAAGCATCTACTGAGAAAACCAAAGATCACTCTTTAAAAAAATTTTTAAATAAAAATAGAAGATTGTGGAATCTCTGTGTCATGGCAAAGAGGTTTTCCAGTGGGAGTTGGAGTGAAGGGAATCCTAATACCCCAAATGATTGGAGGAGATGGGCTGTGATTTGTATTTGCTGAGCGCTCCATGTTCTACAAGCATGATAGAGCTTCATTCTCACAGAAGCCTTCTGTGTCCTGCCCAGTGGGTCATGCTTTCTCCTTCCACACTGAGGGTACTGGGGCTTGGAGAGTCCAGTGAAGATGCCCCAGATTCATAACTGGGGAGGTACAGCACAAAATGGAGTGACAACTGGCTTTGAAAGCTGGCACGCTTCACACCCCCATCCCAACTTTTAGGGACACTGGTGCAAAGAAATCAAGCCAGCCTGTCATATGATGACAGAGTGATTTCTTTCCCGATATGACACATCCATTTATCATCTTTCATAAGACAGACCTGGCCTATAATTTGGTCCCATCGCTGCCACTTAAATGAACTCTGGGCTTGGATGGCCTTCACCAGATTCTTCAGTGTGGGGTCACTTAGGGACTTGAAAGTCACAAGGTCAGGATTTGAGGTGCATGGATGCTCCTGGGGGGCAGTGCCCAGCGCAGTGCTGAGGATCGAGGAAGCCAAGGATGACTATTAATTGATGGTATTGATGATGATGAGCCTCTGGGGAACTTCAGAAAAAGCAGCAAGAGAAATTCAGTTTGCAAAGTAAACATTTTATGTGTTTGTCATCTCCATGGTGAGAAACTTCAGTATTCAAGATTCATATAGAATACAACCGAAAAAGCCCCAGATACTGAGCTTTACTGGAGAAACACATTTCCTAAAATAAGCATGTTTTGACAATTAAAGTTATATCTGCATTTTAAGTGTATTGCCCACTTAAATGTCTAAATGAAACAATTAAGTCCATGTCAGTGGCAGGCAAGAATACAGCAATCTGTTGCTTTTAATGATAAAAACAAAAATTATAAATTAAACATATGCTGTATGCCAGAAAATATGCTTTATGTTCTTTTTCAATAATGTAACAACTCTGCCACAGATTGAGGCATTGCGGGGGGGGGGGGCGGGGGGAGGGCAGGCAGAAATAAAGCCAGAGAGGTTAAGTAATACATCCAGAGAAACACAGTAAGTAACAGTGATGCTGGCATTTTAGTATTTACATTCCTTTACTAGGCCCAGCTTCCTTTGCGCGATAACAACGTTCAACCCCTTGTTTCTCCCAGTGAATGATTACAACCTGGCATTTTCCTAAGTATGATAGGGGTGGCAGAATATAAAAAGACAGAATATGCCAAATTGGCATATCATATACAGCCTTGCAATTTAGCAATTTAGGTTTCTGCAACTGAGCATATGCACACTTAACATAAAGCATCAAATGACAGCAACCGTTGTGTTTTGCCCTTTTGTGAGCATCCCCATAATTCAGGTTCCCCCACTGTGATCTAGCTGTGTGATCCCAGTTTCCTTGCTCCTCAGCACAATGGCAACAATTTAATGGTTGAGTACAAAGTTTCTAAGAGCCCTGGACTTCTGGAGGGGAGCTCAAGAGTTTAGAGGCAGACAGAGATTCACTCCTACCTCCCCCTTCTGCTTAAGGGTACAATGCTAGATAACTCTGAGCCTGCATTTCCTCATCTGCAAAAGAGCCCTATCATGTCACAAGGGCTGTGAAAATGAAATGATGTTGTATGTGCTGAGCACCAGGCACAGGATCCACAGTGGGCATCATTTCATAGCCTTTAATTTGATTAACTCTTAAAATCATCATCATTGTTGTCATTATCCAAAGCTCCCAATGAGTGTGTTCAAGTTGCAAAAGCAAACAAACCCTTAACTCCTATGCCTTCCATTCCAGGGCAACGGACTTGCTTCCTTGCCTGCAAGGCTAATATATCAGCAGTCACTCAGGTTACAGTCCCATGAAAAACACAGGGTGACAAAAGCCCCTTGCAGCAATCTCCAAGAAGGAGAAATAAATTAATCAAGCTGCCAAA
Source organism: Homo sapiens (assembly GCF_000001405.40). Classification (NCBI taxonomy): domain Eukaryota; kingdom Metazoa; phylum Chordata; class Mammalia; order Primates; family Hominidae; genus Homo; species Homo sapiens. The sequence continues at coordinate 78,325,644 of NC_000016.10, read as the reverse complement.
CGGAGAAGGCCGGGTTGACCTCCTTCTGATCTCATTACTTCTCTATTAGCCTTTTGAAAAACATTCTCTTACAGAGATCACTAACTGAAGATTATGTGGAGGGAAATCGCACCTCTCCATCACGGTGGTAACTTTGCCTCATTTGTCATTCTAATAATTCACTTCTTTTCTTTCCTGAAGAGACAGAGACACTAATGGACTATCACCAGTTAAAAAGGCAATTTTTCCATTTAATTGCACTCATTAAATACTGCAATAGAACAATTGGAAAAGCAATAGTCTCAATATTTAATCATAGTATAGGAATAATGAAACATTGCTTCAAAATAAATCTGAGTATTTATAAAGTCATAAAAGAGCTGTTTTAACAACACCTGTGATCAGAGGCAACATATTTAAAATTAGACATGTGATTTTTCATTTCTCCTGATTAGAGCTTGTAAACATTTGCATGGTGACGGAAAAGGATTCAAAGGAACCAGTTCCTCTGAGCAGTGCCTTCTAGCTTTAAAGGCTGCCACAGCCCTGTGACGGGACCAACACTCCCAGGCTGTTACAGAGACTTGAGGCTCTCACACAAGCCAGGCTTCCAGCATGGCCAAGGAATCTGAGGAATGGGTTTTTGTGCCCATGAGCAGCTCGGGCCCTGAGTGGTTTTCTCTGGGAGCAAAGATTAATTGACACTTTCAGATTTTTTAACAGCTTTATTGAGATATAATTGACATACCATACGATTCACCCATTTAAAATTGTATAATTCAATGATTTTTAGTACATTTAGAGTTGTGCAACCAACACAGACAATTGCAAAACATTTTCATCACCTTCACCTCTACCCCTCCTATCCCGCCCACCCCCAACTCCCCCAGCCCTGAGTCATCACTCATCTATTTTCTATCTCTAAATTTCTCTGTTCTGGACATATCACAGAACGGAATCTCACCATATGTGGACTTTTGTAACTAACTTCTTTCACTTAGCCTCATGTTTACCAGGTTCACTCACATTATAGAATGCCTCAGGACTTTGTCCATTTTTATGAATATAAAATGGAATATTCCATTACACGCATTTACCACAACATATTTATCCATTTGTCCATTGATGGACATTAGGGTTTTTTCCACCTATTGGCTATTAAGAACAATGCAGCTATTAACATTCATGTACAAGTCTTGGTCCATGTTTTCATTTCTCTTTGATACGTACCTAGGAGTGGAATTGCTAGGTCATATGGGAACTCTTGACTATTGGAGGAACCGCCGACTGTTTTCCAAGTTAGCTGTACCATTTTACATCCCCACCAATGGTGTGTGAGGGTTCCAACTTCTCCACATTCCCAGCAACACCTGCTGCTGTCTGACTTTTCACTTCTACATTTCAACTGTGAGTTGAGCAGTATCTAAGACCAGGGAAACAAGAAGCCACCACCTCACTGCCAACAGAAAACCTCAGTTCCTTGCCTTGAGGAAAGCAGCATGACCTGAATGACAAAGGCCACGGTCTTGGAATCAAGCAGACAGACGTTCAAATCCCATCCTTGCCACTTCAAGCTTACTGTAGCCTTGAACAAGTCACTTAAACTACCTGTAAATTGATTTTTCTTGTCTCTAACACAGAGGAAATAATCTCATAGGGGAAAGTGAAGTTGGAGGAGGAAAATGCATCCAAAAATGCCTAGCACAGTGCCCAGCACCCAGCTGCTGCTCAGTAAAGGGGCATCTATGCTTATTATTCAGACCATACTGCACTTAACCTTGAGCAGGCCTCTGAGTCCTTAAGAGTGCATGCACTGGGTTCCTATCCAGTTTTAGGCTCAAAAAGCTCTACAATTAGTCAAGTATGCCGGACAAAGGAAAAAGAAAATATATGTTACAGGAGCCAGGAACATGCAATCTTATTTATCAAAGAACATTTAGAATAGAAACATGTTTTCCTGATTCCAAAGAGGAAGAGGAGATGGGGAATCCACCCTTCCCTGTTCTTTCAATGCCATGCGTGAAAAGTAAAGTCCACAGCCTCACAACCAAATAGTGGGCATGATTCACTTAGAGGACAGCTCAGTGGGGTTCCCGCCTCTTCCCACTGCATGGCATGTTCAAACCCAGTAACCTATTAGTTTAAATAGAGCTCAAAGAGGAGGGTAGAAAAAGCAGAAACTGCTGGGTCTCCTGATAACAATTTATCATTAACTGAGCCTTGCTTGCTTACTGTCTCCCTACTATTAATACAAGATCCCCGGCCGGGCGCAGTGGCTCACGCCTGTAATCCCAGCACTTTAGGAGGCTGAGGCTGACAGATCATGAGGTCAGGAGATCGAGACCATCCTGGCTAACATGGTGAAACCCCGTTTCTACTAAAAATAAAAAAATTAGCCGGGCATGGTGGCGGGGGCCTGTAGTCCCACCTACTCAGGAGGCTGAGGCAGGAGAATGGCGTGAACCCGGGAGGCAGAGATGTAGTGAGCTGAGATCGTGCCACTGTACTCCAGCCTGGGCAACAGAGCAAGACTCCGTCTCAAACAAACAAACAAAAAAAAATACAAGAACCCCAAATCATAGCAGGCTGTAGGTAAGGAACGCCTGTTTTATTTTCTTCTTTTTGAGACAGAGTCTCATTCTGTCACCCAGGCTGGAGTGCAATGGCCCATCATCCAAACCTAACCCAATGCCAGTGTTTGTAGGGCTTGTAAACTAAGAATGGTTTTCATATTTTTAAATGGTTGAAAGAGATCAGAGTAAGTTGTGATCATGAAAATCATAAAAAGTTCAAGTTTCCATGTCCATACATAATTTTAATTGAAACACTCCCATACTCATTTTCTTACGTAGCGTCCATGGCTGCTCCTGTGCTGTGGTGACAAAGTGGAACAGTTGCAAAAGACTGTACTGCAAAGCATAAAATACTGTCTCTCCCTTACAGAAAATGTTTGCCTGCCCCTGCTCCACAGAGTAACTTTGTTGATAATCATAAAAACAAAGTAATCATTGGAGGTAGCCACACCTGGTGATGAAGAGTTGCTTCAGAAGATTTAATTCAGGTCTACCTGGGTTTGAATTGTACCTCTCACACTCACTGACTGTACGATGCTAGGGGCAAGTTACTTCATCTGTGAATCCCCACTTTCCCCATCCTTAAATTGGGCTAATAACATCTATCTCACTGGGTTGTTGAGAAGTTTAAAAAGGCACAAGCGTGAAAACCTTTGGCCTGATCCTGGCGATCACGAACACTCAGTGAGTGCTAGTCATTATTATCATATACTATTTCCTTAAGAAAAACTTCAGAAATACATAACAATGCATTACATTACAAAGGGAGTCAAAGTCAAAATGTCATTTTTTCCCCTTAATGCTGGCTAATACACAGAAGGCTTGGAAGACATTAAAAACAACAGAAGAAACTATATAATCAGCATTAACAAAATCCAGATGGATTTTGGCTCATTTGCTCTTTCGAATTGTTTGTCCTTGTCTTCCCCCCACCAACCATCCCCCTGGCAGGGCAAGTGAGAAGTAAATACACAATCATCTGGTTTATATAGGATGAAATTGAAACCATTTGGCTTTTTGTACAACTAGGAGCCAAATATTTAGGCAAAACATTTGGGTCTGTCCACTTTAGCTGCTGTTCTCATGCACTGATTTGAATTTGCGTTCCATCCACAACCTGTCTCTGCAGGTCTGTCACTTATGCAGGTGTTAAACAACCACTCACAACTAAAATCCATTTGCATCTGTTTGGTTGGGAAGAGCGCATGTCACTAAATGTCAACAGAATCATATGCCTCTCCATCCCCCTCTCCCCAGCCTCCAAGCGTCGCTCTTTAGAGCTGTGCTGGAAACACTAACAGACGACAGCCACTGACAGGGAGGGCCTGTGATGTGTGTGCTGACGCCAGGCACCAAGCCTGTGTTCTCACTCCTACATCATCACCCTTAACTACCACGCGGCTTCCAATCATTTACTTTTCCATGCACTCTGGTGTACCACTCAAGAAAATGACAGAGTAATAAGATAATACATAAATTCAAGCCCCACGTCTTTATTCACTGTTAGGACATCCATTTAAGGACTTCAAATTCAGTCCTACACACCCACAAACATCAGACAAGGATTCTCGTGGCAGACTACGAATCCACTCCAAGTTTCAATAAGCCTTCCCATGATGTCATTCTACTCTAGCCTTAACATTATTTAAATATATTTTTATATATATATATACACACATATATATATACGTATATATACGTATATATATACGCATATATACGTATATATATACGCATATATACGTATATATATACGCATATATACGTATATATATACGCATATATATACGTATATATATACGTATATATATATATTTAAAAAACTAAGAACCTACGTGTTGCCTTAAACAAAAGAGAATTGTGGAGCAAGGGAGTGGGTGGTACTCAGCTTCTAAAACTCCTGTTCCAGAAAGATACATTTTCAATTAAGGCCTATACATTCCTTTTTGCAACAGAAATTTTATGTACCCAACTTTTCTACGCTTTAAAAGACACTCTGGTGTTCAGGCAGCAGGCTGTTTTTAGCAGCACTGAGTATGAGTATTCTCATATGCCATCTGTGAGGCTATTGGTTAAGGTGTGAGTACATTATAAATAGAATCAAGCTACAAACAATGCAGACTCTAATTGTAAACAAGACAATTAACCTAAAATCCTGTGCAGTCTGGCGCCCAAAGCAAGACAACAGCTTCAGAAACACATGAAGCTATTTTCATTTTTGTGATCAAGTCATGGCTTCAATTAAAGACAGAAATCCTGTGTTAGTACAGATGAGATGATGTCAAAGTTTTCTAAGAATGTTACTTCTCTCTTCTGTTAGGCAAGGTATACCATCTTCTGCAAAACAGCTGGATCATTTGTCAATAACCAAGAGAAACAGATGGTTAGAAACATCCAGATACTTGAAAACATCTGGATATTTCATTCTTCATCCAGATGTTTGGCTTCCCCTAGGTGCAGCCTGCTGTCTTTGGTTGAATAATTCTAGAAAGCATTTGGCCAAGAGGTAAGTTGACTTCTTCAATACCTTCTCCAGATAATTAGGTTTGGCAAAGGAAGCCCACTTTGGGGAATAATGCTCTTACGGGGATTTATTTTATCAGTATGAATTAACCAAACTATTTCTGGAAACAGCTAGGGACTTAAAAACAAATGCACAATGTGTCCACTGTGCAAGTTCAGTCATGTTCAACCGTCTACTTGGAGTTCACAGAAGTCTAACTACCCCCAGATACAGAATCTGAACCAATTTAGTATGACAACCTACACCGAAGGGGATAAAAAACAAAAGTCTGTTGAGTAAATGCAGGTAAAATTGCTTATAATGCTTGTGTACTCTTCCACTTAAAAACCCAGAGAAAATTTCAGTTCTGTACCTTGAATACTCTCATTTGCTCGTACATGCAAGGAAGGTTTTCTCGGCTCAGACTCTGTATACAGTCACGTACATGAAGCTGAGAAAACATTGAGTAAAGCTAAGTTTTTGCCCTCATGCAGTTTCCAGCCTACTTAGGGAGAAAGAGAAACAAATACTCTCACCCAAATATACCATTATCCATACAGCATGATAAGTGCTAAGAAATAAAGTTAAAAGATATAATGAGAGTTTACATTAGGAGGGAATTCTGATTGGGATTAGATGCTCAGAGAGGGGTTGTCAGAGAACTTAAAAGATGACTATTTCGCCAGGAAAACTGGAAAAAGTGCCTCCCAGGCAGAAAAGACGCGTGAGGTGATGCCTGAAGAGTAAAAGTTTTGCTTCCTCACAGGCTGAAAGAAAGGCTAAGGGCGGAGGGTGGCAAGTGTGACTTCAAGGGGTAGCACAGAGAGACCTCGGTGCAGATGGAACAGTCCTGTATTTTAGTAGTGGCGGTGGTTAAATGAACCTACGCATGTGATAAAAATGGCATAGAACGTTTATTTTTCCATTGCTATGTGACACATTAATAAGAAATTCACGGCTTGAAATAACACACATTTATTCTTTTATAGCTCTGGAGTCAGAAGACCAACTGGGATCTGAAGGGGCTAAGATTAAGACATCAGCAGGGTCCTGTAATCTCAGCAGATTGGGAGGCCAAGGAGGGAGGACCGCTTGAGCCCAGGGGTTTGAGACCAGCCTGGGCAACATGATGAAACCCCACCTCTACTAAAAATACAAAAAAGTTAGCCGGGCGTGATGGTACACACTGTAGTCCCAGCTACTTAGGAGGTTGAGGTGGGAGGATCGCAGTGAGCCATGATAGCGCCACTGCACTCCAGCTTGGGCGAGAGCAAAACCCTGTCTCAAAAATAAATAAGAAAATAGTAAAACGACATCAGCAAGGTGTGTTCCCTTCTGGTAGCTCTACGGTAGAATCCATCTCATTGCCTTTTCCACCTTCTAGAGGCTGCCTACTTTCTGTGGCTCATGCCCGCCTCCCTCCATTTTCAAAGCCAGCAATGTGTGGCGGTGTCCTTCTCATGCTGCCATCTCACTGCCTGACTCATCCGACTCTCTCTCCCCCTTTTAGGAATCCTGGCAATTACACTGTGCCCAACCAGATAACCCTGGGTAATCTCCTGATTTTAACTTCGCAGGATCAGTAACTTGAATTTCATCTGCAATCTTAATTTTCCTCTTCCATGTAACAAAGCATATCCATAGTTTCCGCGGATTAGGACGCAGACATCCTAATAAGGGCCATTATTTTACCTACCTGGAATTATACACTCACATTGTACCCAGGCATGTTTCCTGGTTTGGATCCTGTACTGTAGTTATATAAGGAGTCATGCTTGTAGAAAAGTGAGTAAAAATCACAGGGATCCCCTCTGTGCTATTTTTTAACTTCCTATATCAGAATAGTGTTAAAATAATTTTTAAAATAGCCAGTACTTACAGAAATTATGTATGTACAGTACAGCTAAAAGCACTTAACATTTATTATCCCACTTACTCCCCACAGCAAGCCTATAAGGTGGGTACTATTCCCATTCTACAACTGAGAAAATGGAAGGATTTTATTAATTTATCCAAAGCTACTGGAATCCAAGTACTGTGTGCCTAAATGTTGTGTTCTTAACATTTGTTTTAAGAACTCCAATTTAGTTAAGGAACCAAATATATGGACCACAAATCAACAATTAGGAAACAACAGAATAATATTATTTTTGACAGAATTGCGCTCTTGTCGCCCAGGCTGAAGTGCAGTGACGCAATCTCGGCTCACAGCAACCTCTCCTTTATACATTTTCTCCTCATTCCTGTCTCCATTGCCCTCAAAACCAACACTTTTCTAGAACTGTAAACACAGATATACCAAAAAAAAAAAAAAAAATTCCTCCCAGACGGAGGGCTCCTAAGAGTTTCTGTAGGCTGCTTCTGGGTTTCCACAGCCATTTAATTATGGTCCTCTGCCCCCGGGAAGTAAAGATCAACTACATGTCACCCTCTAACTCTGAATTTGAGGGACGCAGTGCCTTTAAATCAAAGGGAAAGTGACTCACATCCCCTTGGTGTTCTCTAAAAGGATATTGTTAGAACCAATTTCTACGCCTGGATCTTTTGTGCTCCAGGGTAGAAGCAGGCAGCGGTCCAAATACTGTGGAACCTTTTCAGCAGCTATCAGGAAAAAGTCACTACCACTTTGCTTTCAAACCCAGGCTGAAAAAGAAATTCGCAAAGCCAGTGCATGAGGGGATTAGCAATGTCTTCTAAAACAGAAACAGAAGATGTTTACGGGGAGTGAAAATGAATGATAGTAGTCTCACTGTCCACTCTCATTTCCTCATGGTTCCACCAAGTCCTTGGATGTCATAAACACTGTTGGGGGAATAAAATGCTCTAATAAATCAAGGTGAGGACACCGTGAAGGGGGCCCATGGGGAGGCACACCTGCTGAGTCGCTTACTCTCTGGACAGAGTCAACAGAGAGCAGGAGTCCAGAGCCTAAACGAGGCAGACTTCGAAAAAACACCAGATTTTTCTCACTTTACGCAAGTGTGTGCACACACACACACACTCACAGTCACACACTCTCAGGTTCTGGAAGGAGGTAAGGTACTTTTCTCTGCCATTATCCAACCCGATGCTTGTCCTGTGCCTTAGTACATGGTTTCTCAGCCTGAATACTGTTGACATTTGGGGACGGGTCATTCTTTGTGTGGGCACGGTCCTGCACATTGTAGGATGATTGACAGCATCTATCTGCTAGATGCAGTATCCAGTCTCCATCACACTGTAACAAACACAATCACCCCTGGGGAAGAAACACTGCTTTACCTAAAATGTGAGTGAGAGAGACAGAAACAGAGACAGAGAGAGACAGACAGAGAGAGAGAGAGAATTCACCCCAAAGTATCACTCAAGTTCCTGCAGTTGTTCACCCCATTCCTCACTGGCCTAACTCCTATTCACCTTTCCAAACACAGCCTCAACACAACTTCTTTCCAGAAGCCTTCCCTTACTCCTCCATTCTTTGGACGGGTGAGATGGTCCTTCTCCAAGTCCCTCCAATTTCCTGGGCCAATGGATCCCTTATCCCACCACTGGCCTACTTACTGTGCAGGCTTCACCTTTGGATTCTAATATCCTTCCAAAAAGCAACTTTCCTTCATCTTTGCACTTCCAGCATTCAGCCAAATGTCCAGGTCTTATTAGATGTTCAATAAAAGTTTGTTGGAAAAACGAATAATGAATTCACAAAGATAAATGGTAGTTTCAGCAAGGAGGCATGTCCCAGGGTGCAGGGTTGGTACTGAATGGTATACATCTATCACTTAAAAAGCAGCATTGAAAAATACTAGAGCTAGCAGTCTACCCTCTGTGATGGAACATAAGAAAGCAATTACTTTACCATCACCATTTTCCAGTAACAGAAGCTTATAGATTGCAAAGTTGGATAAAGCAGCAGAAAAGACAATACAGAAGTTAACAAGTCCCATTTTCCAGATTTAAAAAACAGACTTGGCCAGGCACCGTGGCTCAGGCCTATAATCCCAGCACTTTGGGAGGCCGAGACGGGCAGAACACCTGAGGCCAGGAGTTTTAGAACAGCCTGGCCAACACCGCAAAACCACATCTCTATTAAAAATACCAAAATTACCCAGGCATAGTGGCAGGCACCTGTAATCCCAGCTACTCAGGAGCCTGAGGCAGGAGAATCGCTTGAACCCAGGGGGGTCGGAGGTTGCAGTGAGCCAAGATCACGCCATTGCACCCCAGCCCAGGTGACAAGAGCAAAACCCTTTTTAAATTCCCTGGCCATTCCACTTCAGGGAATCTAACCTAACAAAGCCATCTGAGGTACACAACAGAACAATATTCTGTGCACACATGTGGATGCTGTTTGCTGCAGTGCCACCTTTTTGGAGATGTGGCTCTGTTGCCCAGACTGGAGTACACTAGCATGGTCTCGACTGAATGCAACCTCCACCTCCCAGGTTCAAGGCGATTCTCCTGACCCAGCCTCCCAAGTAGCTGGGACCACAGGTGCATGCTAACATGCCTGATTTTTTTTTTATTTTCAGTAGAGACAGGGTTTCACCATGTGGGCCAGGCTAATCTTAAACTCCTGACCTCAAGTGATCCGCCCACCTCAGCCTCCCAAAGTGCTGGGATTACAGGTTTGAGTGACCGCAACTGGCCTGCAGTGCCACTTACAACAAAAACAAAAGAAAACGAGAAACCTGATAAATATTCAACACGAGGAGAGTAGTTAAATACAGATACATCTACTGTGGCTGGGAATTTTTGGTGATTTTTCTTATCTTCTATGTATTTTTTTTTAAACTAATGGAATCATATTTCTACCTGAGTTACCCATCTGAAAATGGCGATAACATGGAGTCATTGTAAGGATGAACCAGACAGTGTAAGCACCTGCTGAGTGGCATTAGCGCACAAGAAATGATTGTTTTCCCCTCTCTAATCACATAATTTTTATTCATTTTTATTCTTTTTTGAGACAGTCTTGCTCTGTCACCCAGGCTGGAGTACAGTGGCATGATCTCAGCTCACTACAACCTCTGCTTCCCGGGTTCAAGCGATTCGCCTGCCTCAGCCTCCTGAGCAGCTGGGATTACAGCTGCACCCCACCATGCCCAGCCAATTTTTATATCTGTAGCAGAGATGGGGGTCTCACCATGTTGGCCGGGCTGGTCTCGAACTCCTAACCTCAAGTGATCCGCCGGCCTTGGCCTCCCCAAGTGCTGGGATTACAGGCTTGAGCCACCTCACTCAGCATAATCATATAATTATTTTTATCATATCAAACTACAGAGTTATCCTCTAAAGGGCACAATGAAGCTTTTACAAGGAAAAAAAACAGTTTCACTTCTCATGTCTACATTTCTATTACTCCTCACCTAGTGATTTTAGATATAGAACAATTTCAAGGAAAAGGTAGCTGTTTCAGGGAAAATTCTACTTTGGCCTCGCGTTCAGAGTTTTCTTACATAAGAAAATTTGCTATTTCTATAGCAGACAGAAGAAAAAGTGACAAAATTAAAGCCAAAAAAGAGAAATCGATAGATAGCTAGATGATAGATGATTGATAGATGGTGGATGGAGACAGAAAGGCTAGAATGAAATGCTGAGGAAGTATCAGGACATGTGAGTGAAGGAGAAGTTCTTCTTTTACGAAGGACATTGGCAAGAATTCCCATCCCATGTGTTAACTGACCTTCTAGCTGACCACAAAGGTGAGGGAAGGTTGCTGGAAAAACTGAGATGGCTCAGTACATCAAAATGACACCATTCACCAGGCGTGATGGCTCATGCCTGTAATCCCAGCACTTTGGGAGGCCAAGGCGGGTGGCTTGCCTAAGGTCAGGACATTGAGACCAACCAGGCCAACATGAAGAAACCCTGTCTCTACTGAAAATACAGAAAAAAAAAAAAAAAAAAAACAAAAAAAAAAAACCCCTGCAGGGTGGGGTGTGCCTGTAGTCCCAGCTACTCAGGGGGCTGAGGCAGAAGAATCGCTTGAACCCAGGAGGTAGAGGTTGCAGTGAGCCAGTATCACGCCATTACACTCCAGCCTGGGCGACAAGAGCAAAACTCCGACTCAAAAAAAAAAAAAAACCCCACAAATTGGCACCATCCTGATAGAGGTGGACTTGGTGGTTGCTGTAACGTACTGGCAGCAGGGGGATAAATGTTCAGGGGTCCTACGTATGTCCTGTACTTTTTTTTTTTTTTTTTTGAGACAGAGTCTCACTCTGTTGCTCAGGCTGGAGTGCAGTGGCTCGATCTCGGCTCACTGCAACCTCTGCGTCCTGGGTTCACACCATTCTCCTGCCTCAGCCTCCCGAGTAGCTGAGACTACAGGCCCACCACCATGCCTGGCTAATTTTTTTTGTATTTTTAGTAGAGACGGGGTTTCACTGTGTTAGCCAGGATGGTCTCCATCTCCTGACCTCGTGATCTGCCAGCCTCTGCCTCCCAAAGTGCTGGGATTCCAGGCGTCAGCCATCGTGCCCGGCCTCTCCTGTACTTTCTTAGAAGTGCTTTGTGTTTTTTATTTTAATTCTCACCATAACTGAAGGAGACAGATGCCCAGCTCCATTTTATAGATGTGTGAGGCACAGAAAGATGAAGCAGCTTGTTAGAAAGCGGAACAGCCAGGATTTCGACTCGACCTGGTCTCCTGAACCTGTGTCAGCACGGATATAAGGGAAGTGTCACTGGGGACAAAAATCACTCTAAGACTGGACAATTCCAATCTGAGAATGAATTCTGATGAATGACAGGGAAGTGAAGCTAAATGCTGAGCTCCTTAAACAGGAAGGATCAAAGGCTAGTGAAACCAAATTCTGATGGCCTCTCTAGCCCTCTTCCATAATAGAAGAGCCTCAAAATGTAGACAAGGGGACTCAGCATTTAGATGGCAGGGACATCGACAGAGAAGAAAGCAAGCAATCACGGTACGTAGGAAAAACAATAGGCCTGACGCAGTGGCTCATGCCCGTAATCCCAACACCTTGGGAGGCCAAGGCAGGCAGATCACCTGAGGTCAGGAGTTTGAGGCCAGCCTGACCAACATGGAGAAACCCCGTCTCTACTAAAAACACAAAAATTAGCTGGGTGTGGTGGCACATGCCTGTAATCTCAGCTACTCCAGGGGCCAAGGCAGGAGAATTGCTTTAAACGGGAGGCAGAGCTTGTGGTGAGCTAAGATCGTACCACTGTACTCCAGCCTGGGCAACAAGAGTGAAACTCCATCTCAAAAAAAGAAAAAAGAAAAACAACGAAACACATCTCTGAACACTTGCTATAAGCCAGCACTGTTCAGACGTTCTATCATGTTCCCAGCAGATCTATAATACAGGGTGAGTTATAAGCCATATTTTATAGATAAGGAAGTCAAGGATCCCAGTCTGAGGTTCCATGGCTAGCAAGTGGAAGAGCCCTGTGTTGGAGTCTAAGATGTCTGATTTCCAAGTCTACCACATGCCCTTTCTGCCCATTACATTGACTTTGGCCACCCAGGTGGATTTTCCTGTTATTCTTTAGATGTTATAGGTACTCAGATGTTGAAAAAGAAGTAATCTGAAAACAGGACATGTCTGGTGTTAGTAGGACACAAATCTGCCCCCGTGAATGAAAACATTCACAATCACTCAACAGGTATCTACTTAACCCTCCTGTACACCAGGCAGCTGGGAACCCACTGATAAGGGGAGAGAATGGCACACAGCACATGCCCATAGACAGAGGCAGTGGGAAGTGAGGCCCTGCGTGCTACCACCTCGGAGGCTGACCACTTAGGGCAGAGCCTAGGCCTGTCTGGTTGGTTCAGTCACAAGACTGGACCTAAGGTATGGCATGAACTTCTAAGCACATTGTCCATAAAGCCAGACGACCTTCAGTCTTGCTTCCTCCAATGCAGAGAAATCCTACAGTTGCTGAGATTGCTAGAATTAGGCCTACAACCAGCCAGGCACAGTGGCTCATGCCTGTAATCTCAGCACTTTGGGAGGCCAAGGTAGGTGGATCACCTCAGGTCAGGAGTTCGACACCAGCCTAGCCAACGTGGTGAAACCCCATCTCTACTAAAAATTCAAAAGTTAGCTGGGCATGGTGGCAGGCACCTGTAATCCCAGCTACTCAGGAGGCTGAGGCAGAACTGCTTGAACACAGGAGGTGGAGGTTGCAGTGAGCAGAAATCATGCCATTGCACTCCAGCCTAGGTGACAAGAGCACAACTCCGTCTTAAAAAAAAAAAAAGAATTAGACCTACAACTCCAGCTGGCCACTCACTAGCAATATAAGTGTTTCCTTACTTGAAGTTTTCAACGGAGAAAGAAGCTAAAATTACCCCCTACAAAAGATACTGTAAAGCTGAATTCAATTAAAAAATTAAAATAAAATCGAGACTACGCCAGGTTATATGAATTAAGGTTGCAGATAGAATTAGGTTTGCTAGTCAGCTGACCTTAAAGTGACCCTTGATAGCTATCCAGCTGAGACCAATGAAATCACAAGGGTCCTTAAAAGTAAGAGGAGGAGGCAAAAGACAAAGAACCAGAGACATGGCCATTGAAGGAGTCAGCCCAATGTTGCTGGCTGGAAGGTGACCGAAAAGGAGCCATGGATCGAGGAACATGGGCAGTCTCTGTAACGTGGAAAAGGCCAGGAAATGTATTCTCCTCTACAGTATCCAAAAGAACACAGCTCTGAAGACACCTGGATTTTAGCCCAGGGAGGCCTGTGTCAGACCTCTGACCTCCAGAACTTTAAGAAAATAAATGTCTTGTCTCAAGACACTAAGTTTGAAGAACTTTGTTATGGCAGCCACAGAAAAATGAATACCCCCCCGCCAGGCTGCTTTTTAAAAATAATTATTACGTTAAGTAATGAACATTTTTCTTCCTTCAAAAAAATATTAAAGCATTATAAACCAGACTAAAGTCTGCCTTTGGCTTTTCTTCTCCTACTCCCCATCTCTCCTACAGCCATTACCACTAGAAGTAAGTTGAGTCTGGATTCTTTAGGCCCACTCATCTGCATTTCTGCACATGTATTTGTAAGGTCACATTGCTTGCTCACTGTTACGGCATTGCCAGTCATTAAACAGTTAACACGCATCTCCCCAGGAGGGAAGTAGCTCAAAAGCCCAACAACTGCAGAGGAATCAGTGTCTGCTTCAGTGCTCCTGGGGGTGAAGGAAGTGACAGTTTGAGTACCTTTCAGCATACCTTCTGTCTCCCAGTTATAAATCCTCCATTCCGGACCTTGTGGTAGGAACTGAATTCTCCAAGCTTGACTCTGTTAAGTGTTCATTGCTTAGATGATCAAGAAAGGAATTTGTTTATATACATCAGGCCTTGGATTACCAAAAAAATTGGCTGAAGACATACAGGGAATGCAACTGATAGGAAACCAACCAGTCCAACCACACTGTGCCACCTAGACATAATAAATGCCCACAAAGCTGCCAGAAATTGCTCACACTTCACCCACCGCCCCCCTTTCTTTTTCTTTAACCCACAGGATGTCTGGTATTTTTCACAAGTCCCACATCTGTACCCCATAGCTTCTGGGAGACTATTCACAAATCACAAATTAAGTCAGACTTTCAGTGCACTAGGTGTTTGAAATCTTCCTCTAAGCCACGCAGGCAGCTGGCTCTTGCACTCACTCGTCTATTTCTCTGGGGCTTCCCAAGCATCCACTCCGATGCCAAGCCTGGCTCCTGTACATCGTGACAACAAGGGTGCCCCTACCCTCGAAGGTGGGTCTGGGGCTGCGTTACAGAGGCTCATTTCTTGCTGGGAATTGAACTGGGTTCTCTCAGGGCTTAAAACATTGAAAAGAGATGAAAATGGGCTGACACAGCTGTGAGAGCAAGCAAAGGTGAGTAAAACTCCTTTCTTACAAGCCTTACCCTTGCTAATGGAAGCCAAATCTCTAGAGCAAGGTTTTGGGGTATAAATCCCCGATCCCAGAGAGATGCCAAATGTGCTGACACGAAGCATGCCTTTTCCACTGTGACTGGCACATGGCCCGCACCCTTTGCATGCAGAAGCACCGGGGTGGCATGCATTCTGGTGACCACTAAGTCTTACTGTACATTCAGGTCCACTTAGCTGCAATGGCACGTCCTTTAGATACACAGCCAAAGGCATCAATCTGGTGATTTGGCCTTGCTCTCAGAGCTGAAAACAAATTAGCTTCCCAAGGAGTATAATCAGCATGTGTTTGTTATTCTGTGAAATATTAATTCATTCAGTCAACAAACATAGTGCAGGCTGTGTGTGCGTGCATGTGTGAGCACATGCCAAACACTGGCCAGGAGGTGTGAGACAAAGCCCAGAAGCACACGTTTCTAGAAAAGCCACATACAATAGAGGTGAAATTTCAGTGGGTTGTGTGTGTAGCATAAGAAAATTCGTGGGTAGAAGGAAACACAATAAATGTTCTTACGGAAAATTCTGTATTACTTTTGGATACAGTTACCAGCAACAAAAACAGATGGGTTTAAAACAATGGGGCAAGAGAGCTATGGATGATGATAGAAAGAAAAGGAAAAAGAGAGGGGGAAGGAGGGGGAAGGAGGAGGAAGGGAAGATAATGACAATAATTGTGCAGATCACAGGAGCGACAGTAACTAAATGCGTATTAATGCCCAGACCCTGGCTCTACGAACTTCACGCATATAACCTAATTTAATCCTCCCCCAAATCCTGCCATACATCCAATTATTATCCCTATTTACATAGGAGAACACTCTAACTAGAACAATTAAACAACCTGTCATGGTCCAGGTAGTGGAGCCAGGATTAGAGTTAGACTTCAGGACCACAAGACAGACACTGCTGGGTGCACATCTCCCATCATCCTTTCATTTCTCTTATTAACAGCATTCCAGTTTAATTCTGGGTAGTCACGTACGTTGATTGAAAGAGTGAAACTCTAAAATATTTAAAGAAGTTTATTCCCGACCCAAACAAGAGTGAACAAAGCCTAAGACAGTCTCAAGGGGTCCTGGGAACGTGTGCCCAAGGTGGCTGGGTTACACCTTGATTTTATACACTTTAGGGGAAAAAAGTTACAGGCACACTTCTATCAATATATGTAAGGAGTACATTGGTTTGGTCCATAAAGGAAGGACAACTCAAAGTGATGGGGATGAGGGCTTCCAAGTCATACGTGGTATATTAGCCCATTCTCACATTGCTACCAAGAACTGCCTGAAACTGGGTAATTTATAAAGGCAAGATGTTTAATTTACTCACAGTTCAGCATGGCTGGGGAGGCCTCAAGAAACTTATAATCAGGGCAGAGTGGAAGCAAAGCACCAGGTTCACAAAGCGGCAGGAAGCAGAATGAACGCAGAGAAACTACCAAACACTTATTTATAACCATCGGATCACGTGAGAACTCACTATCGGGAGTATATGATTCAATTACATCCACCTGGTCTCTCCCTTGACATGTCGGGATTGTGGGGATTACAATTCAAGATGAGATTTGGGGTGGGGATGCAGCCAAACCATATCAGGTGGATTCAAGGATTTTCAGATTGGTAATTGGTTACAAGAGTTATTAACTAAACACCTGAGATCAATAGAAAGGACTGATTTTGGGTGGGGATGTAGCCAAACCATATCACATGGATTCAAGCATTCTGTGATTGGAAATTGGTTAAAGGAGTTATTAGCTAAACACCCGAGATCAACAGATAGGACTGTCTGATTTTGGGTGGCGATGCGGCCAAACCGTATCAGGTAGATTCAAGGATCTTCTGATTGGCAATTGGTTAAAAGTGTTATTAGCTAAACACCTGGCATCAGTAGAAAGGACTATCTGGGTTAAGATAAGTCCACAAAAAGACCAAGGTTCTTATGATGCAGATGAAGCCTCCAGGAAATAGGCCTCAGAGAGAATAAATGGTAAATATCTCTTATCAAAACTAAAAAGGTGCCAGACTCCTAGTGAATCTCTCCTGGATCAGGAAAAGACCTGGAAAGGGAAGGATGTTCTCTACAGAATGTAGACAAGAAACAGCTTTGCAGGGCCATTTCGAAATATACCAGAGAAATATATTTTGGGGTAAAATAATTTGATTTCTTTCCATGCCTGCTATCTGCAAAGTGATCCTATACTAGAGTAGGGTTGAAATTTGGTATCTTATTGCTATAAAGAGTCTGTTTTGTCAGCCTTAGGATCTGTTTTAATGCTAATGCTGTTCAGTTGTGACTGAATTCCAAAAAAAGAAGGGTATAATGAGTCATATCCAACCCCCTCTTCCCATCACTGCCTGAACTAGTTTTTCAGGTTTATTTCGGAATCCCCTTGGCCCAGAGGCAGGGATCCATTCAGTTGCTTGGGGAGCTTAGAATTTATTTTTGGTTTACACTCACCTAGCAAGGGGCAATCACCTCTGCAGACTCTCTTGCAGCTCTGGGTGGCTGTGTGGCATGGTGCTGGCCACTAACATGCTAGGGGAAGGACTCCCACACTGCACTGCCTATTTCCAAAGCTCTCACCATGAGAGAAAAATGAAGGCCTGACTGGGAAAGCTGGGGTCTCAGTCCAGTCCCTGCTAGTGCAGGCACCATGGGAAGGTTAACTCAACTACTGCAGATTCAACTTCAGCCCCCTTCCTCCATCAGCTGCCACATTCCAGAGTGTCACACATGGATCTGAGCTTGGTTCTGAAGTGTGAATGGCATGGTGCTTAACCACAATTGAAACTGTGCTAAATTAGAGTGTGATTTTTTTTTAAGGTACAGTCTTTAACATGCTAGACATCTAGTAAATATCTTTTCAGTAAAAGGAGAAGAGTAAGGAGAGCAAGGAGGGCAGCAATCTGCAAAACCTCCCATGAAAAGGAATATTAAGGGTCCAGTATGTGGGAGGCAGGTGCCTTTACTCTTAGCATTCATACTTGTATGAGTTTCTGATCACTGCTCTAACAAATAACCATGATCTTAGGTCTTAAAACAACACATTTATTCTCTTATCATTCTGGACGTCAAAAGCCCAAAATCAACCTCACTGGGTTAAAAAAATCAAGGTGTCAGCACAGCTGGTTCCTTCTGAATCCTCCAAATGATAATCCATTTCTCACCTCTTTCAGGGGCTAGAAGCCACCAGATTGTTGCCTCACACCTGCTTCACCTCTTCTCCCTGTTTCCTCCTCTTTCGTAGTCACAGTCCCCTCTGCCTCCCTCTCATAAGAACACTTATAATTGTACTTAGGGCCCACTTCGGTAATTCAGGTTCATCTCCCCATTTCAAGATCCTGAACTTGATCACATCTCCAAAGTCCCTTTTTGCCACATAAAGCAACATTCACCGTTTCCAGAAGCCTAGAAGCGTACTCTATTCACTTGTTCAAGAAACATTTATTTGACACTTGGCATTGTGCTAGCAATGAACGGGCAGCAGTGAACAGGTAGTTAGTTCCCTACTTACTTCATAAAAAAAATACCTTTTCTAACAGATGCTGCTTAAGTTCTTGATAAGTCAGGTCCCACAAAGTAGCCACGGTGTAGAAATCCCAGTGAAAACAAGATATGGTAGAGGCTCAAAAAGTTGGAAGTTATTAATGGGTTGCTAACTATTATCTAACAAAGATATAATGGAGAACTGTCACAGGAAACGTTGAAGGAAAAAACCCAGAAGGTTGGAAATGGGTTATGAAACAGATAATACTGGAAACCTGTCATAAGGAGAGTGGGCAGACTACTCACAGACACACTACACAAGTGGGGTTCACTGGGAATTGTGGGAAGGAGTGGGGCTCAGTGGGGATTGTGGGAAGGAGTGAGATTTACAGGGAATTGTGGGAAGGAATGGGACTCAGTGGGGATTGTGGGAAGGAGTGAGATTTACAGGGAATTATGGGACAGAGTGGGGCTCACTGGGGTTGTGGGAAGGAGCAAAATTCACAGGGAATTGTGGGAAGGCATAGGGCTCATCAGGAATTTGGGGAAGGCATGGGGTGGGAATTGTGGTAAGGAGTTGGGCTCACTGGGAATTGTGGGAAGGCAATGTCTCAACTCTTTGATCTGGAGTAAGAAATATCCTCTCCTGGCCACAAGTGGAAGCAAGCCCAATATCCAGGAACAACATTATAAATAGAGTGAATAGTTGAAGCTGCACAGGGGGCCTGCCTTTGGGAAAGGTGCCCAGATGAACTCTCATACAACTCTGGGGACTTCTGTGGACACCATGATGCAGGGTTCTGAAATATCTACTGCCACATGGGAAAGAAAATCTTCAGCAAATCCCTGATCGCCTGACCAGTAACACATAACAACCCATGGAAACACACTGGGAACAGCTAGACTCACCCTTCTAGAATCGTATACTGTAATTATTGTCATTATCCAGAGGTATCATGAATGTTATTATTCCATAAATGCGGTTCCCAAATCATCAAAATTTTTCTTTTTGTCATTTGTTCTTTCTTTGGATGAAGAAGCCACCCGTTCACTATAAATGTAGTTAAGCTATAAAAACATGAATTACTAGAAGGCAAATCCTTTGGAAGACAGGCAGCGAGACGCAAATGCTTCTCCACATGGTCTCTGTGGGCAGGTGTCTATATATAAACACAGCTCGAATTGATTGTGGAATCAATGAGAAAAGTGGATTGCCCATGTAAAGGACATCTGTATTAGAACCTGTTCCCAATCAAAGGAAAGTAATTCTTGGTGGTCTGACCACTTCACTCAAAAAAGAACTGAGCCAACTTTCCTCAATGAGCCTTTCTTCCAACCAAAAAAAAGAAAAAGAAAAAATGAGAGTTGGCTACTGGTTATGGCAATGTTGTGCCACAAGGTTAATAATGATGGGTTTCAGGTCACCGGCAATTTCTCATTTCAAACTAACTTGAACTATCCACTGTCAAGGGCTAATTGTTTAATGTGGGCTGCGTGGTACCCAAGTGGTGGGTGGGTGACTTTCTGTCATTAAATCATTACCAAAACAAGAAAGGGGCTTTTCATTCTTTTTTTTTTTAAAGTGCTCCTATGTTCAAGCTCCATGGATGACACGGTCTTGCTCAGTTTCAAGATGACTGGAACGGGAATGGTCTGGGGCTTTTTAATCAGTTCACGGGATCTGGGCTTTAACTTCCAGAGGGAACTCAGGGGGAAAGATTCCAAATATCCCTGCCATCATTTGGAAGAGTTCTTCCTCCACATTGTCTATGCTTCTTCTTGGATGTTCATTTCACTTCTAAATGGCCAAGGGACTCATCCAGAGGTTACATGGCTTTTTCCTCCTGGCTATTGTGAGCAAGGAGGCCGGAGGGACAGAACACCAGCTCACTTGGCATTTGCTATTAACAGCACCTCCCTGGCAAGGGAGGATCATCACAGCAGCTGGAGGGCCCCGGTCTCCATGAAAAACGTAGTCCCCCAGAAAGGGGAAGGAAAGGAAAAAAAAATTCAGTTGGTGATTTGAATCACACTATGAAGTCCTGGCCTAATACACACTAGTGTGGCAGGAGAAGCTTTGATTTACACAACTTGGGGACTGAGAATCCACAGCAGCAGAAAAGACAGAATTCAGATTCCCAGGTAGGGTGGGGTGAGTGCCTGAGTTTAATCACTGCCCTGTGCTGCCAAGTTATCAGTATGTTTTAAATGGCAAGGAAAGAAGGAAAGAAAAGGAAAAAGGGAAGGAAAGAAAAGAAAAAAAAAGAGGAAGAAGGGAAAAGAGGAAGGAAAGAGAGGAAGAAAAATGGATAGTGAGGAAAATGGGGATTTTCCCAATGCTAGCGAAATGTGTCAAATGGTTCAACCTCAACAGAGAGAAAGTTGGCCATATTGTACAGAATTCCTCTTCTAGGAATGGATCCTTTCTAGGAATAGATCCTTTCCATTCAGTGATACATGTTGACAGGAAATGTGTACAAGGTTGCCCATTATGGTGTTGTTCATAATAGCAAAATAATGGATACAACCCTAACATCCATCAACAAAGAATGCTTGAATAAATTACAGACCAGCTCTGCAATGGATTATCGTGAAGCAGCACGCGTATATATCTCTTTATATATTAATATGAAAAAGTCTCTATGAAATATTGTGAAGTGAATTGTGTGGAGTGCAAAACAGTGTGCTTACCCTGCAGACATTTTACTAAGACCCACCCTAGCACTATGGGTGTGCTGGAGTTTGCAGAGACTATTTCTGAAAGGATTCTCATTCATCTGAAAATTCTAGAAGCCTCTGCAGAAGGCAACAGCATGGCTGGAAAAAGTGGGGAAACCAAACCTCCACACTCACCCTTTCCATCGTTTGAATGTTGAACAATGTCAATGCATTAACCTAATTAAAATTTTACAAAAAAGTATAGCATTCAAAAAGGTAGAAAGTAAAAGGCTAAAGGCCTATGCATTAGAAAGGAGAGTGAGCAGAGGATGAGTAATGATGAGAATCAGATGTCCTGGTTATTAACGAATCCCTCAGATAACAAACAGCTGATCGGGAGAAGAGGCCACGGGAAGGAAACACTTTGGGGAGGTCATGACTCAGGTTTCTTGGAGAAGGAGCACCGAAGCTATGTTTCCAAATGTTCAGAAGAGGAAAAATAAGTAAACAAAGGGCTGGCTCCTTTAAAGCTCCTTGGCTGAAACCTCAGGGCTAGTAAAACTATTTCATGCTAATTTAAAAGGGCTCTAAAAGAAGCTGCTAGAATTGCGTATAGATTCAAAAGCAATAGCTGACGGCTTGGCTCTTTCCAGAATAGGAGTGGGGGTGGTGGTTGGCACAGGGCAGTGGTGGGAGAAAGAGCACGGGTCTGGCCGGGCACGGTGGCTCACACCTGTAATCCCAGCACTTTGGGAGGCCAAGGCCAAGTGAATCATCTCAGGTCGGGAGTTTGAGGCCAGCCTGACCAACATGCAGAAATCCCGTCTCTACTAAAAATACACAATTAGCTGGGCATGGTGGCGCATGCCTGTAATCCCAGCTACTCAGGAGTCTGAGGCATGAGAATCGCTTGAAACCGGGAGGTGGAGGTTGCAGTGAGCCGAGATTGTGCCATTGCACTCCAGACTGGGCAACGAGAGCGAAACACCATCTCAAAAAAACAAAAAACCAACCAACAAACAAAAACAAAAAACAAAAACGAAAGAGCACAGGTGGTGAAAATTTGAAAAGTGGAGCTCAAATCCAAGCTCACTCAACTCCCTAGTTCTGGATCCTGATTAAAAGCAACGTCCATGAGCTCAGTTGCTCAAGTTTCATGTCTGTGTAGGCTGTTCAAGCTCCTCTTCAACCAAGGCTGGTACCTAAAGCGCATCAGGCCTGGGATTAAAAAGACCACAATGAGACCAACATAAAAAATACTTCTGATTATTACTTGGATGTCTTATTTATTTATACTTTACTTTGTCTATCAGAAAAAGAATTTGTCATTGCTTAAGTAACATAAATTAGAGATAGATTTTATTTAAAGTAGGGGAAAAAAGGGCAAAGATATAAAATGTAGTTAAGAATAAGACAAATACTCTATACCTTAAAAAGTGAGCAACAATTCTGATTCTAAGCATCCTAGAAGCTGCTGGACTCCCTGTTTTAAAGGGAAAACCAGCTGTTCCAATAAGAGCATCTATCTTCCCAAATGAAAATCCATATGGAGAGTTCTCCCAGGTCCTCTGAGAAAGGCTCTGGGTCTGATGATGTTCTAAGCCTTGTCTTCAACAAGACCATTACAGTTGATAAAGTAGTGAGGTCCACAGGGAAATTTCCTGCAGCAACCCAGTAACATCAAACCAAAGCCAAAGGTTTGGAGCCAGGAAAGGGGCTGAGGGAGCTGGCAAATTGCATAATACCTAAAACTCTTAGGAACCAAGAGATATGCCAAGTAACAGGTAGCAAACTTAAATGTGTACAGTGTCTTGGCAAGTAGCAGGAGTGTGTAAAGCTGCTTCGACTGAGAAGGGAGACAATAAGGTATGGTGGAGATTGTGGCAAAGTAGAGACCACATGCCCTCTACTCAGCACTGGCCAATTGTTACCTCCTCTTCCAATTTTCAAGTCTAATGGGAAAGCTATATTTTTATATGAAACCTCTGAATTGGCATTTCTCTCAGCATTTTTATTTTGTTTTTACATCATGTGTGGATAAGACAAAACATGTCTGCAGGTAGGCAATATCTCCTGAGGCAGTGGAATGGTCCACTGAGTTTTCTCCTTCAGAAATAAAACCTATAGCTGTGGCTTGTCTCTGGGCTGGGGCAAGACAAGGCTGAAAAAGAGAGGCTGAGGCAACTTCTGGGAGTTAGTTGATAATTAATCCTAAAACTTTTATAACTGATATATTTACCTGTCAAATTTCATGGCTTTGGGAATATGAAAAACACATCTACAAACCTCATCTAAGGCCGGGCACAGTGGCTCACATCTGTAACCCCAGCACTTTGGGAGGCCAAGGCAGGCAGATCACCTGAGGTCAGGAGTTCGAGACCAGCCTGGCCAACATGGCGATACCCCTTCTCTACTAAAAATACAAAAGTTAGCCGGGCATGGTGGCAGGCGCCTGTAGTCCCAGCTGCTAGAGAGGCTGAGGCAGGAGAATCGCTTGAACCCGGGAGGTGGAGGTTACAATCAGCTGAGATTGTGCCATCGCACTCCAGCCTGGGCAACAGAGTGAGACCCTGTCTCAAAAAGAAAAAAAAAAAAAACACCCTCATCTAATTTTAGAATGTTACTTTGATGTATAAACCAAACTTATGGGTAGAAGAGGCCTTACTCTGTGATCTAAGATATGTTAAATTCCTGCCCTCCAACCCCAAGAAGGTGGAAGAAAGGCTCAGTCCTAACCCTAGGTAACGTAATCCTGAGGCCTGGCGGTGTGTCTGTTACCCAGTGCATCTGTGCTGTAGTTGAACCATCAGTGACCAGAGACAGTCCTGATTTCCAATTCTCAGTCTTTCTTAGACTCTAATCACAGGCAAACAGCCCTGAGGTCTTGGAGGGTTTGTTTTTTAACCTGAGACTTGAATCTTCCTTTCCAGCTCAGAGCCGTGGGAAGCCTATTCTGTTAGAGATAAACAGAGTGCACGCCCACAATTCTAATTAACAGATTTTTCCTCCCTCTTCTCCCATGTTTCACCAAAGGAAACCAGCTTCTTAGCTGGGCCAGAAGTCAAAACCAGATTCATAAAGGTACAACAAAATGTACAAAACAATAAGTTTCCTCAATGAAAGAAAAGTATGAAAAAAATAAAGAAAACCTTGGTAGCCGATAAAGAAAATTAGTAGTATACACAGTATCCAGAAAGGAGCCTTCCCTCTAACCCTGATCCCTGAAAAAAACTCTTTAATAAACAGACTAATAAGATACAATACCAAATGTAATGTGTGAACTTTACAGCCTGATTGAAAACAAAAAGCTATAAAAGACAATTTGTGAATAATTCAGTAAATCTTGTTATGGACTAGGTATTATTTTATGTTAGCAAATTATTACCAATTTCATAGACATGATAATGATGATAGTTGTGATTACGTACAGCAATGCCTTTAGTTTTAGGAGATGCCAGCCAAAGTCCTTAAGGGTAAAGTTTGTTGATGTCTGCAACTTACATGCATGGATGGATGATGGATGGATGGATGGATGCATGGATGGATGGATGGATGGATGGGTGGGTAGATGGATGGATAAATGTATGGATGGATGGGTAAGTGGGTAGTTGGATGGATGGACAAAGAGATGGACAGATAGATGAACTGACAAAACATGGCAAAACATTAGCAACTGTTGAGTCTAGGTGGTGAACATATGGCCCCTGGAGACACTGACAACCTACAAGTTATATGCTGGTATAAAGGACAAATCCCTAAGAGCTGTCCCAAACAGAGTCAACTTTTAAAAATAGTTTCCAATCATAATATTTCAGTGACAGGAGAAAAAAACGTTATCTTGATGGTAAAGGATTTAAATTTATGGCATAGCTGAAAATGGTTACTGAATTGAAATCATAAAGTAATGAATCATTTCCCGAAAAAGTCAAGCCATTAGTAATGCCATTGCATGAAAAACTATTTGGAGATGTCAGATGCGAAAGGAAGAGAGGGAAGGGAGGGAGAGAAGGAGACAGGGGAAAGAGAAGAGGGGAGAAGGGAGAGGGGAGAGGGAAGGAGGGAGGGAGGGAGGACAGGCATGGCAGGAGGAATCACTCACTCCTGAGATTAGAGAATAAAAAGGTGGCAGGTGACACAGACATGTTATGGCACCCACTGAGTAACGGCCTCCACTTCACGCTAGCTTTCGGAATCCTCTAGCCAAGAATTTTCCTTTCCGAGGGTCACTCTTCTGGGTTCTTCAGATACGGATGACAATATGACTAACACCCATATTGGAGACAAACTATTTAACCTAGCCTCAGAATATTCTCCATGTATCTCCTAGGCTCCTAGGTTTTGAAGACTACCTTAGGAAATTATTGAATAAACGTAGATATCTTCTAGAAGATTAAATTACTTTTTAAAAAGAAAATTGAACAGACTTCATGATTCTGTTGGAAAAAAATCAAGCTATGTCTTAATTTCTACTCAATTCTTTCTGTTTTAAGCACTGTCCTTCTTATAAGATGCAGCAATCTGTATTTCTCAAAGATTCCCTTGTAGGCAGCTGTTACAGATGAACCAACACTGCGGCCAAGCCTTTTAGACTTCACAATCTCTTGGACTCGGCAAGATGGTCCCTGCCATCTCTCAATACACAGTAGTGGAAACAACCTGCCCCAAATTTTAGTCCAAATTCTTAGATCTCAACTTTGATGTCCTGCTTGACAAGAAATAGGATTTCCAGGCCAGTGCGGTAACTGACACCTGTAATCCCAGCACTTTGGGAGGCCAAACAGGGCACAACACTTGAGCCCAGGAGTTCGAGAACAGCCTGGGCAACATGGCAAAACCCCATCTCTACTAAATATACAAAAAATTAGGCGGGCATGGTGGCACAACCTTGTAGTCCCAGCTACTTGGGAGGCTGAGGTGGGAGGATCACTTGAGCTTAGGAAGTGGAGGCTGCAGTGAGCTACGATCTTGCCAATCTCGCCACTGCACTCCAGGCTGGGTGACAGAGCAAGACACTGTCTCCAAAAAAAAAAAAAAGAAAAGAAAAGAAAAGAAATGGAATGGAATTTGAAATCACAGCTCAACAGATGTGCAGAAATTAGGGAGACATCATAAACTGATTCAGCACATTGATTTGTACTTTTGGGCTCAACTATTCTTGGTTGTTTTCATTAATAAATGTAGGTAATCAGGGTTCACTCTACTGAAGTGATGAAGAATTTATGCATACCAAAGACTCTGAAGGTGAGAAGTGGCCAGGCACGGCAGGAGGAAGCACTCACTCCTGAGATTAGAGAATAAAAAGGTGCCAGGTGACACAGACATGTTACGGCACCCACTGAGTAATAGCCTCCACTTCACGCTAGCTTTCGGAATCCTCTAGCCAAGAGTTTTCCGTTCTGAGAGTCAGTCTTCTGGGTTCTTCAGATACTGATAAGAATATGACTAACACCCACACTGGAGACAAACTATTTAACCTAGCCTCAGAATATTCTCCATGTATCTCCTAGGCTCCTGTGAAACCAGAATGCTGGCTGCAACCCAGCTCATCCTTTTTGGCGTAAACTTTCTTCGAAAGAGGAAGGGCAAGGAACAGGAAAAGGAAGAAGAAGAAAAGGGAAAATAAGAACACTTGTCCGGTAGCAATAAGAGAGCTAACAGTTACTGAGGCCTTACTATGTCTCAGGGACAGTGTTAAACAATGTAAATGCATGGTCTTGCTTAATCCTCACAATCTAGAAGGACATAATTTTTTTTTTTTTTTTTTGAGACAGAGTTTCGCTCTTGTTGCCCAGGCTGGAGTGCAATGGTGCGATCTTGGCTCACCACAACCTCCGCCTCCCAGGTTTAAGCGATTCTCCTGCCTCAGCCTCCTAAGTAGCTGGAATTACAGGCATGTGCCACTAAGCGTGGCAAATTTTATATTTTTAGTAGAGGCAAGGTTTCTCCATGTTGGTCAGGCTGGTCTCGAACTCCTGACCTCAGGTGATCTGCCCGCCTCGGCCTCCCAAACTGCGGGGATTACAGGTGTGAGCCACTGCACCCAGCTAGCTGTGACTATTATTAATCCCAATTTACAGGAGAAAACCGGGACTCATAAGGATTAAGCAAACTACCCAGGATCACACAGGCATTGAGGGGCAGAGCCAGGATACAAACCCATGTCTATCTGAAACTGGAAACCCCAAAGTCTTAGCTACTCTGCCATATGTGGCCTTCCAAGTCATTCTTTTTGCCTATAGAGCTCTTCTCATCTCCTAGCTCGAGATCCTGCCTAAGAAAGATGGCCCAGTCTGCAGGCTGTTTGTGATCACCCCTGTATTAGTCCCTTCTCATGCTGCTAAGAAGAAATACCCAAGACTGGGTGGTTTATAAAGGAAAGAGGTTTAATTGATTCACAGTTCTACAGGGCTGCAGAGGCCTCAGAAAACTTACATTCATGATGGAAGGAGAAGCAAATATGTCCTTCCTCACCTGGTGGCAAGAAGGAGAAGAAACAGAGAAGTACAGAGCAAAGTGGGGAAAAGCCCCGCACAAAACCATCAGATCTCATGAGAACTCACTCACAGCACGGGGGAACGGTCTCCATGATTCAATCACCTCCCACGAGGTCCCTCCCCCTAGCACATGGGGATTACAATTAGAATTCAAGATGAGATTTGGGTGGGGACACACAGTCAGACCATATCAACTCCATATGGAAAAATGGCACCTTCCCTGGAACTCCTGCACAGTTTCCTTGTACCATGTTTAAGGCTATTAAAGGGAGGGTTTTATTGCCCATACTAGGATATAAAGACAGGTCATGACTTTTGTATTCCACCATGCATAGGTCTCCATAGGCTCCCAGTTCGTAGATTACAAAATAATGCTACACTGCATCAGTCCGGTGCTCCGTCTCCAACAGTTGTGTCATCTATGTTTGGTGGAAGAACTGAACATTTTAAGAGTTAAAAAAATGGCATTTGTTCAATAAACATTTATTCAGTCCATAATACATTCAAATTTGTCAGACTCCAGCAGTCTACTCGAAATTGTCAGATTGCCTCTTAGGAAGAAACTAAATGGCATATTTTTTTGGCATCAAATGGAAATCACTACTTAATATGGTTCTACAAATGGCAGACTTAAGGCATTTTTTCCAAATTCTCCACCCAAAGCTGTGGGGGATGCTGTTGGAAGGCTCCCTACATGATGCCATAATTACTAGAAAATGGAAAAATCCAAGAAATATGGGGCCATGGAACAGGGTTCAGGGACTAAGGGCAACTGTTGATCCATGCAAAGATCAAAGCTGTGCAGAAACCATTCTCAGGTTTACACAGCTGCATGCTCCGTGCGAGAGCCGTAAAATAAACACAATCTGGATGGGAGGGAAAGGTCTTGTGACTAGGAGTGTGTGGGTGTCAATGACTCCCCAGGATACCAAACGAACCCAGAGGCCAGAGAGCCACCTCACTCCAGGGCTAGAAAAAGAAACTTGTGCTCTTTTCCAACCCAGGACATATTTTTATTGGGCCAGATAATTTTACCAATTCAGCCTTCAAAAATATAAGAAGAGAAAGGGGAGAGAATCATTAGCAAATAAGCAAAAGATTTCTTGACTTTAATAAACACCATCCAAAAAAAATGAATTGCTCAAATCTTAATAATCTGAAGAAGAGAAAGTCTCTGCTCCAGCTACTCTTATTTGGTTGCCATGTACAACAACCGAACGAGACCCAGAGCTCTCAAAACTCCTTTAGGTGCATCAATTCCTAAACTAAATAATAACAAAGCCATATGTTACTTTATTTTTAGATATGAATTGCTGTACAATGCACAAACACAACAGCAGCTCCCTGCTACCATTTGGATTCATTAAAAATAAAATCATCTCATAAGCTTGCAAATGTTGATTTTTTTTTATTTTTTTGCATTACAAAACTTTCATATTTCCCCTGTGTACAGAGTATAATTTCTGTACATGGTTGTTCTCAATGTCTTGAAGTTGATATACATGTACTACATGTAATTTTAGAAAATGAAAATAATAATAATAATATATATACATATATATATGAATTCCTGGTTTCATGTATTAGAAAACAATATGTTTTGCTCATCGAAGGCGCCAATATAAATGCTATAAACCATGAAATTACCTTTGAGCCCTTCCTGAAATAACCAGTTCACAAACAAATGATCCATGCAAAAAGGCAAGGGGAGATTACAATAATAAGACTAAGTTACATTTTCATTTCAGGAGTTTTTTTTAATGTAAAAAAGTATTATTACCAGAAAACCGACATCTGTGGCGGTACATCCAATTTATAAATTTATATAGAAAGCACCAAACAATACAGATAGAGTGAAGAAAAAGACATTCAAAGTAAGGCTTTACAAATTTCCCAAATGTGATACAGAACTCATATTTACAACAAATTGCTTCAATAAAACTTTTGGTTTTCCCACTTCGAAGAGCTAGTTTTAAAGCAATGACAGCAAAAGCATTTTACTAAAATAACTTTGATGCTTTTCATACTCAGAAAATAAGATTCTACCCTAGTGATGACCCAAAGAAGCTGCAGATGGCAGGAATCCTACCCCATGAGTCAATACTCTGCAGCTGAAATTAGCAAAGCCCTTCATCTAATGTGATACCCAAACAGGCATCATCATCAACATCATCTGGGAACTTGCTAGAAATGCAGATCTTTGGGCTGCACTCCAGAAGTTCGAAAATAAAAATGCTGGGGGCGAAGCCCTGTGCTACGTGTTCGAAAAATCCCTCCATGAGATTCTGGTGTCTGCTCATTTGGAGACAAGTTTTTGTTTGTTTGTTTGTTTGTTTGTTTGTTTGTTTTTTAAGACTGAGTCTTTCTCAGCCACCCAGGCCGGAGTCCAGTGGTGCGATCTTGGCTCACTGCAACCACCATCTCCTGGGTTCAAGCGATTCTCCCATCTCAGCCTCCTGAGTAGCTGAGATTACAGGCACTTGCCATCATGTCCGGCTAATTTTTGTATTTTAGTAGAGACAGGGTTTCACCATGTTGGCCAGGCTGGTCTTGAACTCCTGACTTCAGGTGATCCACCCACCTCATCCTCCAAAAGTGCTAGGATTACAGGCGTGAGCCACCACACCTGGCCTTGGAGAACCATTCTTATTCTGATAATGTAAACAGCCAGTGTTGGAGATAATAATGCTACTTCCCCTAAGATCATGCATAGAATCCCCAGTGGTTCCTCCATATTGCTCTTAAACTCGCCAACTGCTGTTCCTCCCTATCCAGAAAATGGCATCTGAGACAGCTTGATTAGCACATTTCAGTCTAGATTAATCCTCGCCACTCTCTCTGCTCTAACACATCTGATCTGCAGGGTTGTAGATGATACATCTTCAGCCAAGACCTCAAAATAAATGAGAGGTACTGGTTCTGACAGAAGCCAAGGGGACATGAGACTCCTGGATTTCCTCCAAGATTTAACCACCATCCTCCTACAGCGGCCCCACAATACCTAGGACACAGGCCAGGGTGAGCCTGTCCTGGGCAGGGGACAACCCAGACTTCTGAGCATGGCCTACCAGGAGACCTTAGAGCCTTTGTGTGAAATCCAAATAGAAAACAAAGTAGAAAGTCGCGTATCTCCTTGGGGCCGAATCTTGTTCTTGACCCACTCATACATTCATTCATTTGTCCATTCATTCATTCATTTGTTCATTTAGTGTTCATTAGTTTGTTCATTCACAATCAACAAATGTTGACCAAACTCTCTTCTTCCCTCCTTCCCATCCTTCCTTCCTCCTTTCCTTTCTTGTCTCTCTCTCACCCTTACCTCCCTCCCTCCTTTCCTTTCTTCCTTCCTGCTGGGAACATAAGGCTATATCCAACTATCTCATCATGGAGTCACATTATAAGATTTGCAATAGATAGCTGTATTTAGACTATCCTTTTACAGACCTCACAGCCTAGTGGGGACATACATACACACACAAATAGATAATTATGATAGAATGAGGTAAGAGTAAAATGGAAATCTGCATCAAGGAGTATAAATAAGAGATGACTAGGGAAATTGTTTTGTTGAGAGGGACTCACACACAATACAGAACTTGTAGAACATGGCTCTTATAGAACAAGTAGAAGCCAGCAATATTGGAAAGAGGAGGTGTTGGTGGGTTCCAGGCAGTGGCAAGACCAGGAACAACATTTTTCTGAGTGGAAGGGGCTCATCAGTTGCAAGCTCTTCAACTCAAGAAATATGCACCAGTGCCTCTGCATCTGCAACCCCGGCACTGGGCTTGGCACAGAGATGTCAAGGCAGGTCCAGAGAAGAATCAACTGGACAGGTGGTTAGGAACTCGTGGAAGGAAGTCAGCTCTTGAGGCAGGGAGAATCCTTATGGCTCTATCTGAGCAACCCAGACAAGGAGAAAGGGGAGCTGTCCCACCCAGGGACCAGCAGCAGAGGACAAATGGGCAGAAGGCACAGCAAGGCTGTGTGGAAATCCAAATTGCTAAACACGAAGGGATCCGAAGAGGCCTGTGAATCACCTTTCAGGAAAGCCTTTTTTTTTTTTTTTTTTTTTTTTTTTTTTTTCTGAGACAGAGTCTCACTCTGTCGCCCAGGCTAGAGTGCAGTGATATGACATCGGCTCACTGCAACCTCTGCCTACCAGGGTTCAAGCAATTCTCCTGCCTCAGCCTCCTGAGCAGCTGGGATTAAAGTCACGTGACAACACACCTGGCTAATTTTTGTATTTTTAGTAGAGACAGGGTTTCACCATGTTGGCCAGTCTGGTCTGGAACTCCTGACCTCGTGATCTGCCAGCCTCGGCCTCTCAAAGTGCTGGGATTACAGGCCTGAGGCACCGCACCCAGCCACCTTTTAGGGAAGTCTTGAATGAAAACAAAGGTTTCTTTGTGCTTGGATGAAGTCCTACCAGAATTGACCGGATCAGACTGAAATGGAGATTCCACTTTATGACCTACTAAACAATTCTCCCACCAGCACGGGAGGGGAAAGAACCTCCAATTGCCCAGTTCCCGCTCAGAGGAGAAGACAAGTGATCCATAGAGCTTAGAACCACCGTAAGAAAGAGGGACGACATACAGGAGAGAAGAGAGGATGTGTAACCCAGCGAAATGATGCTAGGTTATCCCAGGGGATACAGAAGAGCAGGGACCATTTCTGTTTCTAAAGATGCCTGGACTCAGTTACAAAATCTGGCAGGAGAGAGTGCAAAGATAATCAACCCTTAATGCCTGCTTATTAAGCACCATCCAGCTCCCAGGGAGATTTACAAATATCCTCCTTGTTAATTCTTGCAACACCAAGAGGTAAATGTATAATCCCTGTTTGGCAGCTGAGTTAACTAGTGGCTCAAAGAGGTGTGGCCACTTGCCTGGAGCCACACAGCTAGAATGGAGGAGGAGGTGGCTTGTGTCCCAGCCTGATTCCAAAATCCAGGAAGAATATGATCTAAGTAGAGAGGCGAAAGAAAGGCTCAGATACCTTGGAGGCTAAAGTGGTTGACAGGTCAGGCCAAGAATGCTCCAAGAGCAAAGGACCAACAAGAAATGGTGACTTTTCCAGAGTCTGTTCAACAAGGGTGGGGAGGGGAGGTGTCTCCATGAGGCTGTGAAATTTCCTCACACTCTGGCAGAATACCTTTGGCCTGGATCACTGGCTTGAAGATTCTGATTTGGAATCCTCACCCTCCTAGCCCATCCTTGAATACCTTACAAAGTATTTTAATGAAGTGCACATTCAGCTCTACAAATAAGATCTGTGTGAATCTATTTGGCTCTTCTACGAAGCCCTCCAAACACTTTAGGGTAAGGGCAGCACATTTAAACTTAATGGAATTTCCTGCCTTATTTAGCAGTGCCAGAATTGCTCCAACATGTAAATAAATTTAGGAAGAGCTTTATTTTTCTTCCTTTTTTTTAAAAAAAAAAGATATAGAACATAATCTTTCAACTAAATCCTAATTTAAATATTCTAAGTCCGACAGATACTTATTTGGACCATAGAAATACTGCATGTGGGTGTAATGTGGATTGCATGCATAGCTATAAAAAATACTTGGCTCTGTTATTTTCTTAAAATTGCTGTGTTGTTACCATTTTTATTGGGTTAATTAAAAGACCATAAAAATCCATTCAAACATGTTTGGAAACAGATTTGCAAATTTCATAAAATGTGTTCAGTTGTTAGGCCAAAGATAAGAAAATGACAGACAGCTCTGTACTCATCACTTTGACGTATTCAATCTTTCATTCTTCTAACCAATACCCCTTACTATGGGCCACGCCTTAGGATAGGAGTTGCCCCTGCCCTCATGGCACCATCAGTCTGGTGAGAGACAGAAACTGAAGGACATCATGTAGATCAGAGGGTGGCAAACTTTTTCTGTAAAAAAACCTGAGGTTAATGAGCTGAGATTGCACCACTGCACTCCAGCCTGGACAATAGAATGACACTGTCTCAAGGGAAAAAAAAAAAAAAAAAAGGTAAAAATCATCCTCATCTCATAAGCCATACAAAAAACAGGTGTTTCACAGAATCTGACTTTGTTACACAGGGAAAGGTACCATCTTATGGTTGACCCAATATCCAGAAAAGATCAATCTGGGATTCCCAGATGCTAAGTCCACTGGGCTTCTCTATCAATCCCGAAGGCACAAAAGGGGAATTCCCTCCCTCAGCTGGCGGCCATCAGACCTCTCAGCTCACTGCAAAGATGGCTTCTTGCCTGGTTTCAAGGAGCGGTCTTTTGGTGACTTTCCCTGCTCCCTGGTGGCCTTGGAAATATGCCCCAAACTTGATAAAGTGCTAATTTTGCTTTTTTTTTATTTATTTTTTACAGCCGTTGTGTAACTTTGATAAAAAGCCAAGCCAATCCTTTCTGAAAATCCCAAGAAACGTTAGCCCACAGATTGAAACCTGGGGATCCAAGTTACAACCAGAAGGCAATTTTCATGGTCAACTTCTAAAACTATCCAAACAGCGGTTTCAGACCGAAATAATAAGAAACCTCTGCAGTTTTCCCAGGTTCCCAGTCCTGCCTGGATTGCTGAATGGCAGCCGCCAGCCAGCTCAGTTATAACGACAGAAACATAACTTAGTTCACGTGAGTGGCCTTCGCGGGCAAACGTTCAAGAACATTAAGGTTTTAATATAATTATAATTATAGAACATGTTCAGCCAATTAACCACAAATATGCTGTTTATCTGAAAGGCCGCCAACACTGTGAAATGCAGTCAAAATAACATTAGGCTGTGGTCCTTAAGCAAAGAATACACATCGAGTCAAAAGAGAGATCAGAATGAAAAGGCCAAAATAAATATTTTATCTGCTATTTTATGAATATTTCTTCAAATGTCAGATAAAAATATGTCATCTCAACTTCCCATATATTTACTTGATGAAATCAGATTAAGTGAGTTCCATGACACTACTGAAAAACATCATAAACCAAAAGAAGAAAGAGAGAGAGAAAGTGCACTGTGTAAACTTGGCAGCCACGGCATCCTAACACCAGCCTAAGTATAATGTAAATAAGAAAAGGCAATTAGAACAAGTCATATTTCTTAAAGGGTTAAGAAACTGCTCATCACTCCTCCTACCTTTCTTAGTTAGTCTTACAGGAATTTAAGCAAAATTAAACTTTGCCTTAGCAACGAAATAATATAAGCCTTCTCATAACTTTCTCCTATGAAAGAATTTTTAAAAAAAGAACCTAGTCATACCATTTGTATACGTACAATTTGTACTGCTGTAAAAGCACATTTTGAAAAGTGCTCCCTAAATAATTAAGCTATTCCTTTTACCATACTTCCCATATTACAGAAGTCATTTTCCCACCAAGAATCAATAAGTCATTCTTCACGTCAGTCATTTTTCTCCATTTAACGGAATGGACTAAAGTCCGACACGGCAAGTTACATTACCTTTGAATTATGTGTGTAATTTAAAATTCAAAGTACTACACTAAGGAGCTTTTTAGACTGACCACTCTACACTCTCTTCATAAATACGGTCCCTTGCAGACCCTTCTGACAGATTTACCGAACAACAGGAGTTTGAAACAGTTGAGCCTGTGAGCCCTACAGGAAAGCTGTTCTCTGTAACAATGCCACAAAAACTACTCTCTATTCAGAGGAAGCACAAAGAAAACTGTCATACATCATTCACCAGGAAACAACTCTATGTTTCTAGATTAATGGTAAAGCCATTCTCAAGCATCTTAACTTTAATTACAAATAAACATGGGATGGGGGGTGGGGGGGGGAACGAGGAGGGAGCTGATATCGACATGTCCGCTCGCAGAGTGCTCGCAGAGTGCTCTCTAAGTAAATGTTGCCAAGTGAGTTTTGTTTGACCAATTCCAAGGCCTCGGATTACACTTCCAGTGTAGAAACCCCAAGTAGCAATGCACTAAAGACACTGTCATTCGTTAAACACATCACAAGGCACAAAATATGCAGAGGGATATATAAATCAAAAATGCTTAAAAGTGTGTGTGTGCACATGAATGCACAGTAAAAATGTAATAAAAGTGACATTAAAAACCTTTAACTAAATTCACGGGCTGATGTACTTCTGATTATAAGTAAAATACAATGACATCATTGCTTAGAAAAATTTTTTAAGTGGCTACTAAAAATGTCAGTGAACATTCTTAAATTTGCAATGTACTGACACTGTAGGCCAGTAAAACCTTTACAAAAACACCTATCAAGCAAACGGCGTTTCTCTCTACAGCCCATATTATTTTATTCAGGACCTCCTCTAAAGGACCAGACCATCCTAGCCAGTATAAAAGAAAACAAGACTGCAATGTTGTATTTTCAAATATTGTTTATTTAGAAAACAAAATAGGTTTGATTTTACAATTGGAATCTGTGTATATAAACTTAGGTCTCTTATTCTTCCCTTCGTTCATGAGGTGAATCATTTACCTTTAGGGGAGTTTTATTTTTTTCCCCTGTTACTGGTCACAGCAGGACAGCGGAACCGATTGTTGGGAAAAGTACTTCCCTGGCTGGATCCAAGTTACAGGGTTTCTCAGACCAAGTCACTGTAGAGTTGCTACCCTGTTCCTTCCCACTACCCTGCAGCCTAATAATCTTTTTTTCCCCTTTTTTTCATTAGTAAGTAATTCTGATAACTGTACACTTTTCCTGATGTGGAACAATCTTAGACTATTCGAGCTCTACTAAACCACTCTAGGACATGCCTTCTTTGGGTCATCAAAAATCAACTCTCCTCGCCTAGGTTTTATTCTTGCCAACTTAGCATTCCCACGGCAATTCACTAAAAACGCCTTAAAAAATCATTAGCTCTCATTTATTCAACTTGAACATCAGCATGGCCTGAAGCTCGGGAAGAAACAGACTGGCATAGTGACGCTGCCAGCACCAAGTAAAGTTTTACCTCCCAGCGCTCCAGGTTCCCAGCAAGACTTCCAGCCAGGGCTGCCTTCCACTCCATTTCAGCCTGGCACCCTGACTCTCGCTCTACCAGCTGTTGGCACGCCTTGTGTTAACCGAGAATTTGTGAGAAAAGCAGAACCTTCCCACTGCGTGTTAGTTTTGCTTGGCAACACTCAACAATCTCAAATTGGAAGGCCCCAAGGAAAATTTTTTGTTGTTGTTCTTCTGCCCCCAGGATGATTTTTTCTTCTTCTTCCTGAACCTGTTTGGATTTTTTTCCACTTAAAAAATCTAGCAGCCCCCACCTAACTGATGGATACTTGTAGGTAAATGACTCTATCTGAGCAATGATGCGCTGACTGGGCCTATAAATTATGACCCATTGTGGTTAGTTCAAATAAAAGGAGGTTCCGATAAAGGAAAACTGACACTCGGAATTTTCTCTCTCAAAAAGGATGATGTCTAGGGATGCAAAATTCAGGAATATAAAGAGAGACCTTGCAAATGTATCAGGCTCTTCTAAAATACAAGGGATTGGTATAAAATTGTCCTGGTGAAATCAAGGGGAAGCACACAGGACTAAGGAAAGAGAGGCAAGAAATATATTTCTTCTCCTTTGCAGGGAAAACACTGCATTGGGAAGAAGCTTGCTCTTTCCAAATACATTCCATTAAATTGACAACCACAGCCACCACTGCCACCACAACAAAAATCAGG
Source organism: Homo sapiens (assembly GCF_000001405.40). NCBI lineage: Eukaryota > Metazoa > Chordata > Mammalia > Primates > Hominidae > Homo > Homo sapiens. The sequence goes on along the minus strand of NC_000016.10, from coordinate 78,288,419 downwards.
CCAACCTAGATCAAATTACTAGGAATAGGTCTAATGTTACTTTTATGACCATGAGGTCCTGGCCCTCATCAGAACCTCTGGGTTACCCGTCCTATCACTTGGTAATGAATTTCATATATGTATGTGCTGTTAAAGCAAAAAAAAAAAAAAAAGTAAACTCATAAATAATTCATCACACTGTCTCCTGCCAACTGATCATATATTGTTCATGTTTCACCGGCCATATTAAATAAAAATTTAAAAGTGTTTCCGTTTTTCATTTAAAAACCTAGTCTATAATTGGAGGTGACCACACGAAGTGTCTTGAAGGTAGCAGGCATTAAAAAAATCATTACTTAAATTGCACAGTTAAAAAATATTCATTAGAAATGGCTAAATTAAAGAAAAAAATGTTAGGGAATCTTAGGGAAATGTTTCTCCTAAATGTTGTCCCTAAAACTGCTTCACTCTAAAAATCTGTTTTGAGCGACCTGATAAAAGGGAAAGAGAGAGTTTCAGCTCAAACTCAGGAAAGAAAGGCTGTACCAGTTTCTTCAGAATGGAACATTAAAACAGGCCACTACTGAAACAGTTCTTGTGCCTTTGTGGCTAATTATTACATAATTGATCTTAAAAAAATTTTTTTAAGTTTAGGAAAAAAAATTAGAAGCCTAGTGAAAGTACCAAAAACACTGTAACTTTTTTGTTTAAAAATTTATATCATGAATCGAAAATCAGAGGAGATGGCCGTTTTGGCCTGGTCTCCGTCCTTTCCTTCTCTATTTTGATTGAGCCAGTCCCTTGTTAAGCCATCAGAAAACAGAGCACACTTAGAGCTCTTAAACTGCTTTAGACACAAAGAAAAAATTTAAAAGGAAAAAAAAAGCAATAATCGTGTGACATCTCAGAGATGATAGCATATACTGTTGTTTTGCTTGATGACGATAACACAATTCTTTTTGAACTAAGTATCTCTCTAGACTACAACTGGGTCAAAATTATAGATATTTTTTGTGGCCCTGGATGAATTTTCTATTTGCCAAAACTCAAAGGATTCAAAACCAGGTTGATGTCTAGTTAAAGATGATGCTCCAACTGCTTGAGATGCTAGTTCATTTCAACAGACATTAAGATTGAAGGAGTGTCATAGATTGCTTAGGCAATTAGAAATTTAAAACCGTTTCAAAGAAAAGAAAAAACAACAACAACAAAAAAGTTATGCCATAGGAAGCATGAAGCCTCATTTACTAAAGTGGAGAAATGTATTTTATTTTATTGTCCTTATGGCGTTGATTGCCAGTTCTGACACATATTACAAATTTCACATTGTTTTTCTGAATGCTGAGGTCAGACCTACCATAAGCTTGTCCCGTTGTATTACCAAATGGCTAATTCCCTCCCAGGTATTGGAGAAAAAAGTCAGAAGGGCAGCATCCTAAGAGAATGGGTGCCCAGTATGACAAGGAGCTGCTAAGATAAAATGAACTTTCTAACTAAAAACAGAAAAGAAACTATAAAATTGATTTTAAAATCTGCAGGACATTTTTTTAAAATAAAGGATAAATTAACTATGAATATATTGAGTGGTTATGAAACTAATATATCTTAGCATAACAGAGTAGAGACAGCTTTAACTTTTCTATGATACTCATATAGTTATATTTTATGATGCTCTAATAGGTATAGGGTACATAATGAAGAAGAAGCTGTTTGTGGATTCATTGTATTTTATTTTATTTTATTTTTTACTGCTTTGAGTATGAAGAGTCTGCCCAAATATACTACTTATAAATCATACCAAAAGTGCATCAGTGAAAACCACAGTTCCATTTCTTAGGGGAAAAAAAAAATCAAGAATCAAGTTTTAGAATCCAACGATCACATTTTCCTTAATTACAAACGAAGACATCATGTATTATTTTTCTGTATCCACAAGAGATGAGAGAAATGTAATTTTTATCGCATGTTAAGTTTTCACTGAATCACAGTATTATTAAGCTTTAAATCAGAGGATTGTTTCCTTCAGCTAAGTCTAACAATACTAGAAAGTAAAAGGGGGGGACAACCCCCACCTCATCTGGGGCTGCAATATTTGCTGAAAAAAATCTACTTCAAAACATTAATCAAATTTTTCGCCCACTGGGCAACCATATGGTACAGCAGCATGTGAATCTCACAAACTTGCTGATCTCCTGTAACTGGGTGCAATTAATTACGCTGGCTGCATCCATCTCTTGGATTTTCGCCTTGTGAAAAAAGTATTTATTGCAACAGCTTTTACAAAACAAGGGAATGAAAATCACAATTGATTAATGAGCTGAATGGAAATATTTCCGTTAGCAGATTTTTTTAAATGAATAAGGATTAATACCATGGATGGGAATGAACACACGTCGATCTCGCCTTGTACTTTTTGGACCCCCAAAAAGGTGGCAAAAGAGTGGGCAGAGACGGTGCTGTGAGTTCTAACATGCATAATTCACTAGCAGGCTTTAGGTCGCAAGTAATAAAGCCTTAAAACTGGTGAAGTAATAAAGAGGCTGGCTTTACAAGATACTATCCTGGGAGACAGAAAGCTTGTTCTTTGATGTGAAAACACAGATATTAAATACTCAGTGGGTGAGGAACATTACAGGCCTGACAAAGAAGAGAAAGGGAAGGGCTCTTGAAGTAAGCAACCTACTTTGTCCTCAGCTATTTAGGCGCAAAGGTTGCTGCACATATGGGCCGATTACTGTTTTAAGATCCCTCCATAAAACCAAGCATCCGAGAGTCCGTCAGAATGGTACCACTGTCCTTACCTACTGGCTAAAGGCACAAACAATGCATAATTGCAAAATCTTCCCCCAGCAATGTTCAGCCATCATGCACTTGACTTTGCTTAACAGTCAGACCTCGTTCTGGTGCTGAGCCATCCTATGGGGCTTCATGGAGCTTGTTTCTTGATACACATGAGGGTCGTAATCCCTCCCTTCTAACTTAATTTTTTTTTTAGTTTTTATTTTTCAGAGACAGGGTCTCACTCTGTTACCCAGCTGGAGTACAGTGGCTCACTATAATGTTGAACTTCTGGGCTCAAGTGATCCTCCTGCCTCAGCCTCCCAAGTAGTCCTCCAAAGGACTACAGGTGGGTGCCACCCAGCCCGGTTAATTTTGTTTTCTCTTTTTTTAGTAGAGACAGGGTCTCACTGTGTTGCCCAGGGTAGTCTCGAACTCCTGGCCTCAAGTGATCCTCCCACCTCGCCTCCCAAAGTTCTGGGATTATAGATGTGAGCCACCTTGCCTGGCCTCAATCCTTCCCTTCTGAGGGAGTGACAGATCCAAGGCTGACAGTCTATAAACAAAGCAGAAGCAGATGCACTTTGCCCCTTTTCAGAAGTGCCCTCTGGGTTTAAGTCCACCAGCTAGCCAAGCATTAATGACATCATCATTACATGCATGCCTATTTCAGAAAGATCAGTTCCATTTTCCCTAAATAGACAGCAGAGGAGACCGCTTCCAACATTTTGCTAGTTGTTAAATATGTATCTTGAGAAAACGAAACTAATACTAAACATAATGGAAGAAATACGTAAGTTTGAAAGATCAAATATCGTATGACTCTTGAAACAGATAAAGGAAAAAGCTGTTAGGACCAAGCTTTGTAAGTCAACTCTTAAGCCAACCCTTTTCTTTACTGCATCTATTGCATTTAAACTTCTACCAGGAAATTCTGCAAAGGACTTGGTTAAAGAGAATTTACTATTATTTTATTAATGCCTGCAGAGTGTGTGTGGCTAGTATGATGATTTCTCTGCTCAAGTTTGTTGATTGATTTTGTAGAAATGTCCACAGGAGATAAAATCTGCAAACACCTCAAAGATGAGACTGTGTCCAAGAAAAGAGTAATGATACTTTATAAAACAAGAAGTAAGTGACATTTGAAACGATGGTTCATCTCAAACAACACATTTCCTCTGAGCTCCATGTTTATGTTAACATGTAAGTTTAGGAATGCTGATGTAATAGACAAAGATAACTCTTGCCACTTCAAAGTAGCAGGCATGCCTAGGTGGGCAAGAGGTTCAGAAAGCCAGCACTTAAGGTGTTGAAGGGGTAATTTTTAAAAATCTTAAGAAAATCATTCCATTTGAGAATCGGAGCCACCTTACAATCAAAGAAGCCACTGTTTTGAAGAAACCACTATCCTGCAAAAAGTAGACGGAAGTTACCAACAAAAAGTACTTGGCTCCCGAAGAAGAGGAAAATCAGATGGGAACGGGTTGTCCAACCCCTTAAACCAGTGACCCTACAAAGTACACCACCACCCACCACCACCTCTCAGATGATCTCTAAACCCCTCCTACACGCAATGGTTGTTGGCTTAAAAGTTTAAAGAGCTAACAAAATGTTTTAACGAGATACAAATCTCAGAGATCATTAATCAATATGTTCAATGTTATTTGTGATAATTCATCATGACGTGATATTAATGGGTTACTGTACCCTTCAGAGGTGAGATTAATGCAAATGAGCTGCCACAATTAACTTTACTGCTCCCACCTCACAGGAATGGACAGATGATTATAAATGACAACTATATGTCAATTACAATATCCAATAAAGTGAAGCTTAGAGAACAATCCATCTCCTTTTATTGCTCTTCCTTGACGTAGCTGAATTTAGCTCAACCCACTGTTGTCACTATGTAACCATTGTTTGGGGGAGGGAAAAGAGATTTTTCTTCTTTTTTTTTTTCTTTTTTAATTTTTCGATGTCTTAAGAAGTGCTTCAAAAACGTCCATGTAAATACGTTTTCTAAAGGAGGAGAGCCACAGGAAACCAGGAATAAATGCCACATTCATCCTATGTGAGTTAAAGAAAACTGTATCCGTTTTCAAATTGTAGCAGTAAGGCCAGCAAGGAAACAACCTACCCAGCTGTGTATAATATATTTACTCAATTAAAAAAGGAAGACATTAGCACAGCATCCTGAAAAGCCTTGAGTTTCACTAAACAAAAGTTATTTGAAAATGACTCCATCGAAGTAAATAGGTCACAGAGTGGAAAGCAGGTATGAGGCCGAGGGCGGGATGAAAGGTTTGATGTCAGTCTGTACACCTGCACTTGGAGGTGTGGAGTGGGGAGCAGGTCAGTAAATACTACAGTGCTGGCCCTCACAGCAGAGAATTTCTGTGTCTGCATCGTTCCTCCTTGCATGGATGGAGTGATTTTTGACAGCAGTCTCTCTGGTGAAGGTAGGCACGTTGTCATGTTGCCTCCTCAACCCAGATTCTCCTGCCGGGCTGGTGAACCCAGAAGCTGTAAGAATTAGCTAGTATCTCACAGCTACCCCTTCCTGCCCCACTTGAGAGGCTATGTCCACGCCGCCCTCTTCCCCAGCAGACACTGGCTCATCGCTGACTGCCATAGGTCAGCCAGGCCCTGGTCTCAGTCAGGACCAACTCTGCTGTACAATTCACCCTCCAGAGCTTCCCGTGGGATCAAGCTGAAGCTGATCTTCAGCTAAGCCACATCCTTCCTGGACATTTTCCCTGTCCTTTTTTTTTTTTTTTTTTTTTTGAGATGGAGTGTTGCTCTTGTCACTCAGGCTGGAGTGCAACGGCACGATCTCGGCTCACTGCAACCTCCACCTCCGAGGTTCAAGCGATTCTCCTGGCTCAGCCTCCTGAGTAACTGGGACTACAGGCGAACACCACCACTCCCGGCTAATTTTTTGTATTTTTAGTAGACATGGGGTCTCACATCACATTGGCCAGCCTGGCCTCAATCTCCTGACCTTGTAATCTGCGCACCTAGGCCTCCCAAAGTGCTGAGATTACAGGCGTGAGCCACTGCGCCCGGCCACATTTTCCCTGTTCTAAGCCACTCTTCTCACTTCCTTTCTGAAAGCATCCTGACCCCCATCAAATCAGTGGAACAAGAAGACTACCTTGACCTGTGCTTCCAGGTAACAGAACGCAAGGCAGGTATCAATGAGATGGAAACAGGAATGCTCTTAATGCAGTGCAATTTACAAAAGAACTGTTCTTTGCTGACCACTAGTAAGAGACCATCCAACAGGCTCCTTTTTGAAGCCACATCCCGAAAAGATCCCCTCCTGATGTCTCTAGAAACATGCAAAAATAAAATTGCAACGTCAGAACCATAAAAGGATCATAGCAGATTGACGGTAGAAGCTATAGATTTGTGTGTCCAGAATGTTTCCCCAGGTGCCTCCTTTTGCAAAATTGGACCTCATTTTACCATTAGGGAACGGGGCCTCTCAGACTCCGTGGAGAAGCAGAGAATTATCTCCAGCCTTGACTGCCCAGGCTGCAGAGAACCGCATCATCCGGGGACATGACTGATTCAGGGATAGGTGTCTGCCTAAAACTAGGCCAATCCTGGTTCTCCCTGTGGCTTTTGGGCCAAGGGTAGTGGGGAAAACAGCTTCTTGTCACTGGGGGAACAAGCCAAGATGGGACAGTGCTCGTCTGCCAGTGGCAGCCCCATTTGGAGAGAATTTTCCCTTTGAAGAATATAACCCATAAAAGATCATCAAAACTAAGGGATTAAATAAAGAGGGGACCTCGATGACATATTTAAGCTCTGAATAAAGCTAGACTCTAAGCAGGGGTTGGCAAACTATAACCGCTGGGCCAAACACGGCTGTGTTCTTATACAGCACACAGGCTAAAAATGCTTCACATTTTTAAATGGTTGGGGGCGGGGGGGAAAGAATAATATTTTGTGACACATGAAAATGTATATGAAATTCAAATTCCAGTATCCATAAATAAAGTTTCTCGCAGCCATGCCTGCTCCTTTACATGTCGTTTATGCCTGTTTTCGCACTATGAGGGCAGAGTTGAGTAGTTGGCAACAAACACTACAAGGCCCCAAAATATTTATTAAATATCCCATCACAGAGAAACTTTGCTGACTCTTGCACAAAACTTCGCATTTTGTCAGCCAGTAATGACCCTTTCCTCTTAAGCTAGTTTAAATTTGGAGCTTTTTGTGTGTAAGAGGAAACTCCTGATCTACTAAAAGAAAAAGCTATTCTTAGTCCTTCCCAGATATCCCTGAACCTCCACCCACCCAGTCTGCTGGGATCCTGATATAGTTTGGATATTTGTCCCCGCCCAAATCTCATGTTGAAACATGTCCGTAATGGGAGGTATTTGAATCACTGGGGCGGAGCCCTCATGGCTTGGCGCTGTCTTCACCATAGTGAGTGAGATCTCTGGAGATCTGGTCATTTTAACCCTTTTCCCATTTGCCCCAAGAATACTTACTGGTGTGCAGTGTTTACCCTGAGATCGCTTTGCCATGAAATATCTCGCTTTTATTATTTTTTTCACATCACTCTAGCATATCGACTTTGGAAACGAAGGATATCGTTCTATTTATAGCCTTCTGTTTTTAGTAGTGGTATTTCCATTTACAAAATATAATAGTTCTCCATCACTGAAAATGTCAAATCCGAGAAAATGTAGCATTCCTGCATGTGATGTTAACATAATTCTCGAACAGTTGTTGGCTGAAGATTCATTTGATGAATCCGATTTTTCCAAAATACACAATTCTGATGATTCAGATGATTCTGATGTTAGTTCTGTTCAGAAATATTTCCAAGAACTGTTTTTATATTTTATTATCACTTTGAAAATCGGTCACATTTGCTTCAGCTTCAAAGAGCATGTTTATGTAAAATTAAATGAGCGCTGGCAGTGAGCTGCGCTTTTTTTTTCCTAAACAGGAAAAGGGTTAAAAGTGGGGCACCTCCCACCCCCACCCCACGCTCTGTCACTTCCCACTGTCACCATGTCACCTGCTGCTCTCTCTTTGCCTTCTGCCATGATTGTAAGTTTCCTGAGGCCTCCCCAGAAGCAGAAGCCGCTATGCTTCCTGTACCACTTACAAAACTGTGAGCCAATTAAACCTCTTTTCTTATAAATTACCCAGTCTCAAGCATTTCTTTACAGCAGTGCAAGAACAGCCTAATACATATCCTACAGGTAACGTCTCAATATCCAGATCAAGTGACTGGTTGTTTCTCTTACCTGTTTCGCAGAAGTTATTGCATTCTTTGTTGAATATCACAAACTGTTAATATGTTAATCTTAAAACATGTGAAATATATATAATATCTATCATTACAACTACAATTCCAAATATTTATATATAACGTCAGCCATGCCAATGGACATGCAATTCTAGGCCCAGCAATGGACGATAAAGTAGGTTAAAAGTGGGGGAGAAAAACTGGTTTTAAAAAACTGTACCTGAAGAACATATTTAATTTAAAGGGAAATCCCACAACAGCTAAATTGTTCCCCCAGTTGGGTAGAGCCTGCCATGATTAGCTGTAACTGCCTGGAACACTCTAGACTCAGCTGACGAAACTCCAGTTGCCTGGTGAGAACAGAGTGATTTTGATGACTTTTGCAGAGGATCAGAAAGAGGGGAAACGGATTCATTTGATTCATCTGTGGTTTCCTGTTTTCCATAAGGAGATAGTTACAGGATTAAATTTCTCCTCCCTTTTCCCTATGCACTCACACCTGGGTCCCAGGACAGAAGGACCAATCGTCAGGAAAATACATCCATACTGCATCCCCTGATACTTCATCTCAGGTTGGGCAGGAGGGTTAGCAGAAGAGTTATTTCCCTTTGCGAAGATTAAAGGGTATCTCACTTTTATTTTAACAATGTGAAGACAACTGTTGTTCCTTACTATTACCAATCTACTACACTGGATTCTAATAGCTCTATTACATTTTCCATACATTCTCCTGGCATGGGGCATAAATGGGTGAGACAGCTCTGGATAAATCACTGCCAGCAGCAGAGGCATTTTCTTTAGGGAATGAAGGCTTCCATATAGCATTTAACTAACTCTCTTTTTGGAAACACCCCATCACAAATGAGTCTTTCAAACTGAAGAAATTGAAATTGATTTCTTAGGGTAATAATTAACCTCAGAAAATAATGATGAAAAGTTGCTTATTAATTATTTTTTATAATATACTTTGGGAATATTTCTTTTTTCCATGAAAGATAGAGACAAAAGTAGACACATTTTACAATCATATAAAATGTGATTAGACTCATATTTTATAGGAGAATGAAACTCATTTAATTTGCAAAATACTTAATATGAGAGGGAGGTGTCCCCCTACACACACACACTCTTTTCAAGACTCTTAAATAGCCCTTTTTAAAACAACACAATCTCTCTGTTCTGTTCTTTATTTCTTCACACATAACTGCCTTGGAGCTTTTAATATATTATTGCTATTTCAATCCCCCATGGTTTTTCTACTTATTCAAAAAGAAGGTATTTTTCATCTGAATAGCCATTGACAGCGAACTCTGGTGACATCCTCAGTCTTCCTTGACAATGGGAGGAGGAGTTGTCACCAAGAAACTTGTTACTATCCCAAGTAACGAGCTAGCATCCCTCAGATAATACAATAGAGATGGACTAGTGTTTTTCAAACAATTTAAAACACACACACTTATGTACACAGAAAAACACATGTATACACGTACACGCACACACAAACACACACACTTTAAAACACCCTCTTTTTCTTTAGTCACCTGAAGAGTCGTAAAGCATAACTGCAAACTGATAAAGGTATAAATTAAATCATATAATAGATGTTGTTGCAAATCGTACATGTCTGTCAGATCACCGAGATAGAAGTCAAAACATGAAAAGACCAGGAAATACCCACAAAAGAAGATGTAATTGATGAGACTATTCAAGATCTTTTATTTTTTCCTTCTTTTGCTAGTGGAAAATTTTTATTCTGCACTTTTCTGGCGGAGGGTGGTATTTTGTTTTCTGTAAGATACAAACAAAAGACAGTTGTGTAAAATTAAGTTATGAGAACAACATAGAACTGTTTCTTGAAGCATTCCAAAGATAAGTTTTTGCTAATTAATTAACAAATTCAAGCTGGTTAAATAAAACCTTCTTCCAACACCTCCTATTTAATTGCAGTTTGGCACCAACAAATATATATCAAAATTATAGTATTTCCCCTGACAGGAAGCTCCTTCCTTCCACACACTATTATGGCTCTCTGCAGAGTAAGCCAGAATTGCTGACAACCTTGAACACTGCTACAACAATATTACTATACTTGGCAGAGAAGTACCCTTGCGGCAAGAGAAAAGCTGTAATTTTGACTGTCACTTCACATTACACTAGATATTATTTCACTGTATACACATACACACACTCACAAACTCTTAATAGACTACAGTTTTCGCACTGCCTGCCTTTCCAATATAAATGGCAATATAATACCAGCAAACCGCCAATGAGATCCTGGAGAGAAACAAATGTTTGGCATTATGGAAACATCATCAGAGGATGCATTTTAAGGGATATTTCATTGCTTTGTCCCCCACTCACACCGTTCACACCCCATCATCAACTTCATAAGATCATCACCTTGGTTATCAAAAAGAAATTCACTTTTTTTAACCCCATGGTGGGCCAAGTCAGCATTAACAAATTCCATGTTCAAAAATTTCCACGGTGTTAGCAAAGGTTGTGCTATGATTCGTAATATTTTGGACATTCTTCAAATCTGATGCCTGTTATGTAAAATTTCCAGATTTCAAAATGTATCCTTTTTCCTGCATTTATCTCGCTTTCCTTCACACCCGGGGGGAATCTGTTAAACTGCAGTGACCACTGGCCGAGTCCCAAGCCAAGCCAAACCGTGCAAACATGAAACGGCCCCACAAATCATGCAAACCCTACACGCTGTCCCTGCCAGAGAGCAGCGCCTGTCTTTGCAGAGAACTAAATGCAACATATGCTTCCTTCTTACCAAGCTCACACTGAAGCAGATTGGGCCAGGTTCCCCACTGTGCCCTCCCCCACCCCCTGCCCAGCTTTGATTTACAAGATGCTATGTTAATATTCCCTCTATTTGTCCCAGGCAAGGAATTCTGTGATGTCGGTATGAGCTCCAAATTGAGAACTCCCTGGAATCCGGAGCACAGGTCAGAAGGATGAATACACAGAGGGAGAAAACTGCAACTTCCCTCAAGGAGAGAATGCTAGAAATGGCAATGGGCAGGAAAGAAAGGATCCTGACATCATTTTATAGAGAGTCGTTCATCCCTTACACAAACCTGGCCAAAAATCTACAGAATGCTGAGGAAACACGGCTATTCAACAAGAAAATCGGAGCTTCTCTCTCTACTTAATCTCTGCCATCCCCCTTTTTTTCCTCCCCTTTCAAATTGCTACTTCAAACGATTTAAATAAGATTTAAACTTGTTTTACTGAATCAAGGAAAAGCAACAGCAAACTCTTTGCCCTCTGTTAAGAGAATGTATCCAAAACTTCACCGGGTCTGCTGACCACACCGAATTTAACAAGGTTCGCAAATGAACTAGAGTAAGTTTCCCACAGTGACACATTAATAATAAGTTCCTTATCCCATCCATCCCAAGCCATGAATATGTAATGTTATAAAATGAGTCCTTTTCACACAACGGAATCTCAGACGTGAATAAATAAAAACTATCCATCACAAGCCTGTGAAAAATTAATGAGAGTTCGGAGATGCAAAGAAAAATGGGGACAAGGAGAGATGGCCCAGTTCATAAAAGCCTCCCTAAAACTTTCAGACAGTAAATATCCTAGCCCCCGTCCCTCACCAAATTGCCAGGTGTGGGTGGAAAGCAACAGATTTTATTTTTAATGGGCTAAAATTTTACAATCTTAAAGCACAATTCATGCAAGCAACTGAGAGATCACAGCTACAAACACTGGACTTTCTATTTTCTCCATGCGATCCCAATTTCAGCTGCAGAGCCAGAGTTTATTTCTTTAATTATTCATAATTCATAACCAACCTACTTCCAGAAGGATTTGAGGTTGCTCACAGCAGTTATGAGAAAAGGGAGAAGAGTGGGGCTCGCGCAGGGCTCAAACATCAGGAGACTGGAAAAACTCTGCTTTGTGCATTGTTCCTTGACATCGCTGTGGACACACAGTGCCTGATTAAATTGTATGTGTCGCTTGGGTTATAATTATTATCATTGTCAAAACCACTTGCTGGATGCTCACTCTCTGCCCAGCATTACACTAGTGCTATGCCCTGCATAAACTCTGATTCTCACCCTCTATGACCCCATTTGACAAACAGGGAAACTGAGGCTGGGAGGAGCTAACTAACCTACCCCAAGTCTAAGAGCTGGTGAGAGTAAGAGCCAAAGGAAGGAGGTTAGCCAGCTCCAAATCACCTGTGCTTCCCACCTGGGGCCACTCACTACCACTCATGAGTTAAGGTGTATGAAAACGGCTTTGGTAACCTCCTTCTTGCCATCATGAAACTGCAGCACGCTAATACTGTCAGTCTGTCTCAGAAACCCCTGCCAGCCAGAAGGCTTAACTTTGAGATGAATGCAAAGCAGAATGAAGCCCAGGAAGTTTGGGGGTCTGGGCTAAGGCTGATGCTGGGCAGCAGATTAGAGGCAGAGCAGAGCCCAGAAGTCCAGCCTCCCCTCCCAGTGCACTCCTCGACAAGAGGCTGCACTTCCTCGTCGGAAGGACTCCAGGTCCCACTTTGGGACCAGACATGCTGCAAAAACAAAGAAATTCACCCAAACTGGTTTGCCCTTTACTGGATTTTTTCTGAGACTGAAAGTGTTGCCTTAAGGGACAAATACCAAAAGGAAGATTTAAAAATGGACCAATGGGGACAATCTGCTTAATCTGGCCCAACCTCCTCCCTCCTCCCTTCTCCACCATCCATTCCATGTGGGCAGAACACGTGACTCATGGGATTACTGGGAGCCTGCCATGCTGTTCTGTTTTCAACTCACTACTTTTGTCTGTGCTATTCTTTCATTCAGGATACCGCCCCAACCTCTCCACCTGGCTAAATCACTCATCCTTTGAGATGCAGAAGCCAAAGAGATCCTCAGCACATACCTCCAGAAAGCCAGTTACTGCAGGGGATGCGTACGGACCAGCCAGGTAATGTCAATTTGGAAAGCGGGCCAGGTATAAATTAATAGGGGCTGGTTGGTGTGAGCTGACCCGGTGGGCACAAGCCCCATCATCCAACTGGGGCGGCCACCGTACAGGGTGAGTCAAGGGCTGCGCCCGGGAAATGTGGGAGCAAAGGTGCCAGACCTTCCAGTTTTTTAAGAGAAACCAAGAATCCAGGTTTTTATGCGAACTTTAAAAAAAGAGGATGTGGGGGTGGGGGCAGCAAACACATGCCTGCAGGCTGAATTCACCACCCCCCTCCACGTTTTAGATCTTATAATTACATCTTCTCTTTAGGATCCTTAAAGCATAAAGGCAAGAGCCAAGTCTCAGTAAACTCTGCATGGGCCACAGCTCGGAAAAGAAAAAAACCTGTTATATCATGGGAGCTCAGTGCTTGCTGAACTGAACTGATTCACATCATGACTTGGGATTCATGAACCAGAAGCACAGGAAATTAATAAAAACTGAAAACGAGCCAAAGAGAAGGGAAAGGCTCTCTTACCACTGTTGAGAATGTTATGTTTAATCCCTGCAAGCAGTAGAGACTCAGTGTACTTCCATGAAGTGCTGCTTGGGCATTCATGAGGCATTAAGGGAGAAAGAATTTTTAAAATCTTTGTCTTCTCAAAAGGGAATACCACGATGGGGCCATGTCTAGAGCAAGGTGTCTAAGGTGATTCTAGGGCCCTCGCCCAAGAAACGAAAGCAGCATTGAACATGTCCAGGAAGGATGTGAAGCCTGAAGCCAATGCAGAAGACAAAGCTAGATAACCCCTGTCTCTAAGACATAGGGACTTAGAACTCTTACCCTGATGAGCAACATTGAACATTGGATGTGTTCACCAGAATGGAAGGAGACACACTCCTGCCGAAATCATGAAGGGCAAACTGACCCAGAAAAGGGACAGGTCAAGGAAGGTATTACCTCTGCATAGTTCTAGGTGTCCTGCTTAACTCATTCAGGAATTTCGGGCCAGAGGGATATCCAACAGGAATTCTAACCTGAAGAGTTTAGAAACCAGTAGGAGAATCAGGATGAATTCAGAAATTACTATAATATGCATTTTCAAGTGATAAATCCCATCAAAAACAGAAAAAGTGCTTGAAGAACTGGAAGGAACAGTGATCATTCTTGTCAGATGGAATCTTAAAATCCAGTGGGTTTCAAAGGATGAGCAGGAGCTGGACATGAAGGGATTGGAGGATGGGGACTGGAAATGGGGAGTTCATTGCAATCAGAAGGAAGAGCAAGAAAGGAACAAAAAGCAAGCAGTGTTTGGGGAGACCAGGATGTGATTCCAGTTTGGCCAAAATATAGGGTATACTGGGAGAATCTATTGAGGTTTTGGGAGTGTATTTGTTTGTAGTTTGAAAACACCTAAGCAATTTTGAAGAGAAGCAGACTCTTTAAGTCAGATGCTGGGTTCTCCAGTCCAAATATGCCAATATAATTGTGTCTGGTCAATGTCTATCCTGTCCATCCCTCCTGAGTGCCAGATCTAAATCCAGGTGCCAATGGATGACTTCCACTTGGGTGCCCCACAGGCGTCATGAATTCAGTATGACTGAAAAGGACTCCTCCTATCTTCAGCGATGGTTCCACTACACAATACACTGTCCAAGCCAGAAGTCCCAAACTAGCCTTCTGTCCTTCCTTCTCCATTCACCACGCCTGTCATCCCCTTCAGAGCTGTTGGCCAAATCTTGTTGATTTTACCAAGTATCTATCAAAATGTTTCCTCTTCCTCCCTGTACTCACTGCAATCACTTTTGCTCAAGGGCTCATCATTTCGTGCCTGGGTGACTAGAGTTGTTTCCCAGCAGGTCTCCCCACCCTCCTTTCTCACATGGCTGCCAGAACGGTCTTCTGAAAGGCAAATCTGACCATTCGACAACTCTGCTCTAAATTCCTCCTATGGATCCCCATGGCTTGGATTTAATAAATGTTTATTGAGTGAATGAGTTCTCTGCATACATGTTGTTCTCTGCCTGGTACCGTGGAGGTCAGGCTCGCACAGAAGCATACTTATGGTCAGAGTTAGTCAATAAAAAAAGTGATCTATTCTGAGTTCCATACCACCCCAAAACACTGATCAGCTTGGGGAAACTTAGAAAGTTCAACCACCTGGGGATAAAGTTTGGACAACTAGGCTAGGGCCAATTCAGGGTACAGGTGGAGGCTAGGAAGTTTGGCATAGGATATCATTAAAGGTCTTCTAAGGATGAAGGCAATTGGAGCTACACTATAGGAAGGCACAGCAGGCGGAGAACAGACTTGAGAAGGATTTGGGAGGTGAAGAAACAGCTAAAAGACTCTATCTCTGACAAAGATATAATGCCCAGAATTAGAAGAGTGGAAATGAAGGAATGATGAATGAAAGAGATTATCAAGAAGAAACAAACAAACAAATAAACAAACAAAAATCCCTGTAATCAGTAACCATCTATTATTATGTCCCAGATTTTGGAAATGAGACCCTAATGACAAGCACTCCTAAACCTTCAACATAGCTGCTGTTAAGGATGTTGTCTTGTGGGGGTGAAAGGCAGACCAAAATGATACTACCACCCTACTCCTTACCGATGAGTCCTTTCTGATTTTAAGCAAATGGCATACAGTGTGGTGAATTAAAAACAGCATTATCCTGATTTTATTACTAGTATCATTACTATTAGCATTATTGCTACTGCTGTTATAGGTAAAAATGGGAACGTTGTGAACATTTCCCATTGCCTATCCAAGGTGCTTGGTACTTTACATGATATCTCACTTAATCATCAGAAAGTTTGGAGTTATTCTATAGGTAATGAGGGAGATGCTATTATTACCTGCTGTGGTGGAATAAAGATGGCTGCAAATTCTTTGTCACTTCTACCAGAAGAAAGTGAGGTGTATGTCTGCTCCCCTTGAATCTGAGTGGGTTTTGTAACTGCTTAGTCCACAGCAGTCATGCTGTGCCAACCCCTAAGCCAGGCCATAAGAAACTGGCAGCTTCCTGTTACTTTCTTTTGGAATCCTCTGGGAGCCCTGAGCCACCATGTAAGAAATCTGATGGCCCTATATCTGCCATGCAGGAAAGGCCATGTGTAGGGCTCTGGGTAAGAGTCCCTCAGCTGAGCCAAGCATCCCAGTCATCCTCGTGAAAGTGCCAGACCCATGGGTGACCATCCTGGACCAGCTGAAGTGCCAGTCCAATTCATCCTCCAGCATAGCACCACTGACTGACCCCAGTCAACACCACAAGGGGCAGAAGAGTCACTCCACTGAGCCCCAACTTACAGAAATCACAAGATAAAACAAAATGGTTGTTGTTTTAAGCCTCTAAGTTTTGGGGTAATGTATTATGCGGCTATACATAAATTGGAACATCCACGTTTTACAGATGAGCTACTTGTTACTCCAAAAGTTTGGCTGACTTATCTGTAGTCTCCTGGCTGATGAGGTGTGCAGCCTGGATTAGAACCTCCATCTGCCTGACCTGGCTGCACACAATGCTTGTTAAGTTATCCCGGAAAACGTAAGGCCATACAGGTGTGGCAGACTAATTAAATTCACCATGCTCTTTGGGCTGTGTGACTGCTACCAAAATGTCCTACCCTACCTCACATATTCCCTTGTTAGGTAGAGAAGGCTGGACGATGCTACAACTGCTTCTCCGCCAGGCCTCCCAACGCCCTCGCTGGGCAGAGTCCCATGTGACTGTTTTCACTGCTAGAAAAATTAACTTGCATAATGACCAGGAAGTAAAGATAAACTCAAGGATGAGAGAAAACCTCCCACCTCAGAGGCTCCACCTCACTGGGGTGAACAAGCACTGACCTTCTATCATCCTATAAGGAAAACAAGAAGAAGAGATGCTTACTTGAATTACTACATAGGCTCCCTGCCTACATCCACATCTTGAAAATTCTGAGCTGTGAAGCTCTCGTGGTTGGCTCCTGGGAACTTGAGATTCCCAGTGATATTCCAATGCTGAAACAGCCCAGCAAGGTGATGCAGGTAAGCACGCTTGTAGGATGTAACAATGTGAAACCTCAGCACACTGTGGTTATGTTTCAAAGCACGAGGTGACGGAAGCAAGAGCGAGTTTACATGGGCTTGTGATTTCCTTTGACAAGATACACGCACTCATTCCTTCAACCTAAGCAAAATTTCCAGGACTACAACAGATTTGAAACTCAGGTGGACGAAAAAAACCATCTGTGAATGGGATAACATACGAAATCATCAAAGGTAATTGTTTTAAAAACGTGACTCAAGATGGCACAGAACAGCGTCCACAGATGTATTCTTGGTTACTTAAAAACACAATTTAAAGTAATTAGCTTAATGTTGATGTAATTCTAAAGATCGATAAATAAACCTAAAAATCTTAATTTGATATTGAATCGCCCCAAATTAAACAACATATTTTCAAACCACTAAATATTGATTCATTTGTAAGATGAGGCCTTTCAATGCAACTATTTGACCTGAACGCAAACAGGAAAGGGTTGACACATTTTCTCTGTGAAGGGCCAGATAGTTAAGTACCTTCATCTTCGGGCCACGTATCGTCTCTGGCACACAGCCTTCTTTGGATTTTTTGTTCATTTTTGTTTTTTTTAACGGGTCATAAATAAAAGGCTACTGGCTGGAGTTAGCCTTTGGGCCATAATTGGTTCATTCCTACCTTTTCATAATCTCAGTTATTGATCAGGTGATTTTTCAAACTGTGAAGGGTCTACACGTTCACCCTCTTCCTTGTAAGTTAATGAGTTAGCTACCAAGTTTTGAGGAAGCTAGCAGAAAACAGGAGACCCAGGATCAGATACAGAGGACTTCGTTACTCATGGCAGAGCAAACAGCATGAGCTTTATTTCTGCACTGATTCCCATTGCCCTGGCCCCTAGTCCCACAGGGAGGATGTGGAACAGCCCGGTAGATGCCGTGCTCATAGTACGTTTCAGTCATGGCTGAGGAGCCCCAAGCTTAGAAACCCCAACCTTTATCAAGCAAATCTGCCAAACCGTTGTCCTGGAAGGAGGCACTGTCTTTATTATACTGGAAAGAAAGCCATCCTGTCCTCTGCTCCTGAGGGAGACACTATCTGTACCTTGCAAGTTTCTTTGCTAGACAACGTTCCTTGGAAAGATGGCCTGAAACCAAAGCTGCCAGCACTTCTGTTCCCAAGACATGTGAAAACACAAGAGACCCGAGGATCACTGTGTCCAACCAATGACAGCTAGGAGAAAATGCAAAAACTAGCATTACCTTAATCACAGGGGTCTTTTTCTATGAACCAATCAAGCAGATTTATGTATTTTTTTCAGTGCCGTAAAAAAAATTTGATGATTTTGAGGCTTAACATCAAATACCAGTGAGATCAAAAGTTAGATATGACATCATACACATCATTTCTGCTGAAAAAGTATCTTTAGTTAAAAACAGAAACCAATTTGTAAATGTGAATTAAATGCATACTCCACAAAAAAATACCTGGTGAAAGTAAAAAAAAAAAAAAAAAACTTCCTTATGTATAGATATGTTTCCTGACAGATGTAAATGAAAACTAATACGGTGACATTTTTCAAATTAGCCACTGGAAAACTGTGTGTGTGTGTTTTCAAACAGCCTGAGCAATTTTCAGTTATGTCGGCCTCGGAAAGTATTTATGAAAAGGATAATAAATAATTAATTCTACTGGCCAGAAGCTGCAACTCCTTTCTGCTTCGACAATATACATTGAAATGCTGTTTAAATTAGAGGAGCAAATTGATTCAAAAGGCTTCCATTAGTGAGCTGGCAAACAGGTTTGAAGTTGGCTAATAAATTTTAGATAAAGATAGAGCTTTTGATGAGGATGGCAATGCCGGACTGCTGATCTCCGAGTCACCAGTTTGTTAAATCGGTGGCTGAAGTCTTGATTTCGCTCCCTGTGTCATAACTCACTGTGTTAAACAATATGTCACAGGGCAGCACGAGCACAGTCAAACCAGAATGGCTGCTGCAGGAGCCATCAGCATGACTGTGTGGCAGCTGCTCACAGAGCAGGGACTAACATGGGAACCAGACTAGCTTTTGCGTCCCTTTCTGAGTCTCCAGTCTATCCGGGTTTGCAGAACATTAATCAAGGTTAATTAGGCCCACCTGTGACATAAAAATTTCTACCTATGCTATGTCTTGCAGCATAAAGTCACGTCTGACATATCTATTAAGAAAGATTCTTAATCAAAATCAAGAAACTACGCATGAAGCTCTTAATTCCACTTGGATATACATACTTTAGCTGGCTTCAAGCTGCTCCTCTGGGTTGTGGAATATTACACAGCTCTGTAAAGGAATGATTTAAAGCTGTACATACTAGCCTGAAAGGGCACACACTGTACACTACCTGGGGATGGTGGAGTATGTGTCCACTTATTTCAGAAAATGAGAACAAAATCTTATATATGTGTACATCTATATTAACATGAAGGAGGATGTACAAGAAGTACAAAATACTAATCATGGTTGCCTCAGAGGGATAGAATTAGATGAAGGAATAGAAAGGGTTTTTTTAATGCCTCCTTTAGACAGCTCTATAATTTTAAAAAATTATTCAAATAATGTATAATAATGTTCTTTTATAATTAAAAAAATCTAAAACCAAGAAATAAACAACATGAAGGCTTATGTGACTTGCAGAAAATTATAAAATGGGGAAGTCATTTATTTGCTTAGCTTATTTCTACCTGGCCAGTTTGGGGAAGCCTGTGGAGAACTGATCAATCTGTCTTTCTGTCCATCCACTCTTCCACGTATTTAACCAAGAAACCAGACCTAGGAAATGGTGGGTGAAGAGTAAACAGCTTTAGAATCCACCAGGCCTGGAGAGAAATTCTGCCTCTACCCACTTGCAACCTATGCAGCTTTGGACCATGCTCTCGATGTCTTCCAAAAATAAAATAATTGTAAGAGCTACAGCAAATGCAGGTAGTGACTCTACAATTTCATCCACAAAGGTTAGCTCTTTTCCTGTGCACACCAGGATCTCAGTATGGCTACCCTGAGCAGAATAATCTACACTTGGCCAAGATGGCAACCCAGGATGATAAAAGCAAAACACATTGCAGAGATCTGATTATTAAGGAATTCAAATTTACACTTTCTCAAATTTGTACTACTTACCAATGGGGAAAAATAGAATGCTACTTTTTTTTTAAGGAATACTATATTTTCCCTTTTATTTGTAGCCACTTTTCAAATGGAGCCTTTGTGAAGTACTTCCAGCCTTGGTCCCACCATGGGAAAGGTGGAATTCATAGAGGAAAATCGTGGAGCAAGCCAGACACGGCGGCTCACGCCTGTAATCCTAGCACTTTGGGATGACAAGGCAGGCAGATCGCTTGAGTCAAGGGGTTCGAGATGAGCCTGGGCAACATGGCAAAACCCTGTCTCTACTAAAAGTACAAAAACTTAGCCAGGCGTGGGGGCACGCACCTATAGTCCCAGCTACTCAGGAGGCTGAGGTGGGAGGATCACTTGAGCCTGGAAAGTCAAGGCTGCAGTGACTTGAGATTGCACCATGGCACTCCTGGGAGGCTGAAGAAGGAGAATCACTTGAACCCGGCAGGCAGAGATGAGCCTGGGCAATGAGAGTGAGACCCTGCCTCACAATCAATCAATCAATCAATCAATCAATCAGGTGGAACAGATACTATCCCTCACTACAAGTGGACAAGTGGATCTGAAGCAGTGTAGGGAGCAGGATGAGGACCTCACAGGCAGGTCTCTTAAAAGACAGTGTCAGATGTCCTGCAGCTCATGTCTCAGGCTTGGTTTCCATGCCTGGATTTCGCTGCCAAGGACTGAGCCTTCCTCAGGGGCTCATTCCCCTCGAGTCCTGGGCTGACCCCAGCAAGAGGGAAGGACAGATACAATGCATTCCAATCAGATGGCCTTCCTTTAAGAACACTCATGAAAGCTACTGACACTTTACACTGACTTTCACATTTTAATAGACTACAAAATAAAATATCCAAATTGTGCAAATGCAGAAAATGAAGCGAAAAGTCAGAGTGATTCATTTTTATTTCTTAATTATAAAACAAGAAAACATGCAATTAATATCCGTGTGACCACATTAAGCACTCCACACATAAATGAAGCAGAAAGAACAACTAAAAAGTATTTCTCCCCTTTCTTAGATACAAAAATTACGTGTGTGTGGGTACATGTGTGTATGTGTCTATGTGTATTAGTTCATTTTCACACTGTTGAAAAAGACATACCCAAGACATGGAAGAAAAAGAGATTTAATTGGACTTACAGTTCCACATGGCTGAGGAGGCCTCAGAATCATGGCAGGAGGCAAAGGCACTTCTTACATGCTGGTGGCAAGAGAAAATGAGGAAGAAGCAAAAGCAAAACCCTCTGATAAACCCATCAGATCTTGTGAGACTTATTCACTATCATGAGAATAGCATGGGAAAGACTGGGGCCCATGATTCAGTTACCTCACCTTGGGTCCCTCCCACAACACATGGGAATTCTGGGAGATGCAATTCAAGTTGAGATTTGGATGGGGACACAGCCAAACCATATCACTATGAGAGAGAGGGGGAGAGAGGGAGACAGAGAGAGAGAGAGAGAGAGAGAGAGAGAGAGAGAGAATAGAAGAATAGAACTTGCATTTATCAAGCACTTATTACATAGGAGGCGATGTTGGAAGCGATGAGTTTAGCTAAGTTAACTTGGTTCATTCCATACAACCCAAGGTAGTGGATACTCATTATTTCTTCCATTTGATGAGGAATCTGAGGTTGAGAAAAATAAAAAAGCTCACCTACATCCCTACAGGTAGTCAGCACAGAGCCAAGACTAGACTCAAGCAGGCTAGTTCCAGAGAGTCTTATGGTCACCCTATGCTATCCTGCCTTCAGAGGGAAGGGACAAATAAGAAGAACAAAGGCAGACGTGGAGATGATAGTAGGGGTTGCCAAGCTTTCTGGAAAGGAGCAGAGAGTATTTTAGGCTTTATGGGCCATATAGTCTCCATCCCAACTACTCAACTTTGCTGGCATAGTGCAAAAGTAGCCACAGATAGCTTATAAATGAAGGTGTGTAGGGCTGTGTTCCAATAAAACTACTTCAGATCTCTCTGGAATTTCAATAAAAGTTTTTAAAATTTAGTTATGAACACTGAAATTTGAATTTCATACAATTTTTACATGTAATAAAACATTATTCTATTGGTTTTTTCCCCCAAACAATTACAAATGTAAAAACCATTCTTAGCTCTCGGGCTGTACAAAAACATGACAGGCCACATCTGACCTTCAAACCACAGTGTGTAGACCCTTCATATCAGAGACAGTTTGATGCAGGGGAAATTGTTTCACCTTTAGTGTGAGACAGGTCTGGTGTTCAGCCCATGCTCTGCCCCTGTGAAAGAGCTCTGCAACCCTGGGCAAGTTCTTCAACAGCTCTACACCTCAATTCCCACATCTGTAAAATAGGGATTAACACCCACTTCATCAATGTGTTTTGAGGATTAAATGAAACTGGATGTATATTAGGCCAAGCATTGTACTGGATACAGGATAGACAATTTATTAAGGAGTCTATTTACTTGACAAATAACTTACTGAGTCCTGTTCTGTGCTAGAAACTATTTTAGGATGAAGACACAGCTGTGAAAAAAAAAAGCTGATACAACTTTGTGCCCTCATGGAGCTGACAAAAAAAGATATTCGTGTTTTTTGTTGTTTTTTTTTTTTTTTGACATGGAGTTTCGCTCTTGTTGCCCAGGCTGGAGTGCAACGGCACAATCTCAGCTGACTGCAACCTCCGCCTCCCAGACTCAAGCAATTCTCCTGCCTCAGCCTCCCAAGTAGCTGGGATTACAGGCATGCACCACCATGCCCGGCTAATTTTGTATTTTTAGTAGAGACGGGGTTTCTCCATGTTGGTCAGGCTGGTCTCGAACTCCTGACCTCATGATCCACCTGCCTCAGCCTCCCAAAGTGCTGGGATTACAGGCGTGTGCCACCACGCCTGCCCGTTCCAAGATATTTCTAAATATGAAAGCAACCCAACTTTTCATCATGATTCTTAGTCCATCCAGGCTGCTATAACAACATACATTCAACAGAAATTAATTTCTTGGCTGGGTGAGGTGGCTTATGCCTGTAATTCCAGCATTTTGGGAGGCCAAGGTGGGCCTCAGGGTCAGGAGTTCAAGACCAGCCTGGCCTACATGATGAAACCCCGTTTCTACCAAAAATACAAAAATTAGCTAGGCATGGTGCCATGCACCTGTAATCCCAGCAACTTGGGAGGCTGAAGAAGGAGAATCACTTGAACCAGGCAGGCAGAGGTTGGAGTGAGCTGAGATCGTGCCACTGCACTCCAACCTGGACGACGGAGTGAGATTCTGTCTGAAAAAAAAAAAAAAAAAGAAAGAAAGAAAGAAAGGGAAGGGAAGGGAGGGGAGGGGAGGGAAGGGGAGGGGAGGGGAAAAAGAAAAAGAAAGGAAAGGAGAAAAAGAAAAAGAAAGGAAAGAAACAAAGATACTGACTGATTTCTTACAGTTCTAGAGGCTGGGAAGTCCAAGATCATGGCACCAGCAGATCTGGCGTCTAATGAGGGCTCCATCTCTACTTCCTGTATGTGCTTTCTTGCTGTGTCCTCACATGGCAGAAGGCAGCAAACAAGTTCCCATGCGCCCGTTTTGTGAATGTAGGGGTTATCAACAAACATTGCAGCCATACCACATGTATAGACCCTGCCCGTTGAAGAATGAGTCAAGAAATTGGGTGGGTGTTCTGTCATCGATCAACTCTTGCTTATCACCCCTCTGCAGTGCTGCAAGAGGAATCTCATATACGTGATGGAAGTGATTTGTGCTTTCAGCTGAGAGTAGCACTGTATCCATTCCAAAGCTTCAGTTAGCCTCAGTCCCTGATGATCTGCAGGAATTTCTCCTTCTCTCTTAAAAAAGAAGGAACATGATATGCCACTTCCAAGATTAGGATATTTTGTTTAAAAAGAGGGGATAATTTAAGCAGGGCTGGCGGTGGGGGCGGGGAGACAATGGAAAAGGCTGACATCTCCTGAGCATGGCTCAAGAAGGCATAATTCTTCCGCATGTATAAGAATAAAACCTCTTAACTCATCTCCCAACACACTGATGTGGTGGCCCAAAGTAGGCTTTCAGGACAGTCACCAGGAGAAATGTTATCTTGTGGGCTATAACTCACCTTCTCCCAAGTGGGTCCCTGGGGCCCTCTGTGGTGATGAGCAAATTCATGCCAAATGTCACTTCGTAATGACCAAGACTCAAGAAGTGATCACCGTTACAATATTCAGATACACTTAGGGCAGGTGGCCAGAAACAAACCATCCAGAGATAAATGAACATTTTGCGCTCCACAGCAAAAAAACAAAAAAAAAAAAAAAAAAAGATTTCACAGCCAAACACATATTTCTTTGTTGCATTAAGGGAAAAGTCGTGAGATGGCAAGCAGGCTGTATTTTTAAAGGATGAAATACAGCAAGGCTGCTTCCACACTGGCCAGCCTGAGAAGCACACTGGTGAATCCATCCCAAGGCAGAGACTTCTAGAGCCTGAGAGTTGGCTTCATTGGAGGCAGGTGTACTGGGGAAAACTGATATCCTTTCTACTTACTCCAGGTAAGTGGCAGATAAATCTCTGGGAAGTTCTGGCTCAGGCATTCTTCTCATCAGTAATTACAAACCTAAAAATTACGATCTACATTTGAGTGGAACAAAATGGACTGGTGGCACTTCTTTCTTTTCTTTCTCTCTCTCTCTTTCTCTCTGTTGACAGCCCCATCACAAAGTCTCTGCAAAGCTATGATAACCTCACGGTAAGTAACAAATCAACTGCAGCCAGCAAGGGTTGATTAAGAGGCGTTTCATCACTGCATGGTGTTAATGAGCATTTGCTGTTCTTACCTGTCCTGCACTTATATCCCCTTCTCCCCATTCACCTTTGGGCAACCCCTCTTCTCTGTGCACTTCAGGGGAGCCGGACCCCACATCCTGAATTAAGGGGTGAGCACATGGCCCTGGATGGACCAATCGGAGATGGCCTCATGACTCAGGTCTGTCCAATATGCATGAAGCCCTGGGCACTGATTGGAACTTTGAGGAAAGAGAATCACTGTTGTCCTGGTCTTGCTGAGAGGACACAGTGTATTTATTTCTTTGAGAGGAAGTCTCGCTCTGAAGTGCAGAGGTGCAATCTTGGCTCACTGCAACCTCCATCTCCTGGGTTCAAGTGATTCTCCTGCCTCAGCCTCTCGAGTAGCTGAGATTACAGGCACGCACCATGTTTCCCCCAGCTTCTGGCTTGCTACACTGTGGAATGGAAGACGGATGCCCAAGAAGACCAATGTAAGGAAAGCAGAGCCAAGGGATGGAGACAGAGCATGCCCTGAAAAAATAAGGCAAGCCCATGAGAGTTGAGCAGGGCTAAAAACTGTTTTGTCTCTCCTTGTTGTTTGATAGTGTTTCAAAGCCCTCAGGGAATGCTGCAAATAGCTTCTCAGGCTATGAGAATTTCAGCTCCTACTTTTATGATCAACAGAGTAAGGGCATCTAAGAATGACTTTTTCTCAGGCTGTCACCTCCCCACAGCCCAGATGGGCCTATATTTAAAGATCCGAGTCTTAGCAGTCCAGGGGCTATCTGTCATCACAGACCATCTGTGGGACCTTAGGTAGGGCAGGTCTGTAAGTCTAAATATCCCCTCCTCCTGAGTTCCTGTCCTGTCCCCTTTGCCTGACCTTCTCCAACTGTTCTCATTAGATTATACTTCATGGAAAGGGGCATATATGCCTTATATGCTGGATGGTAAGCTGGGGACAGGGGCCTGTCATCTCTGGTGTCCACAGGAAGTCAACTGAATGGCTGCATCTGCCCCCATTATCATCTCTGAAACCTCAGCATAAGGACTAGGGTTTGCCATATAGCTGGTTCTGAATAAAATTTACTGAATAAATAAATTAATAAAGAGATTGCTCCAAACAGACTGAAGGTCCCTTGAGAGCAAATGTAGACTTCTGTAAATCTGATCTTCTAACAGGAAGATCAGAATAGCAGAATACTTTATATCTACCAGAGATTCTCTGTATCTAACAGAATGCTCTCTATCTAACAGAGATACACTGTATCTAACAGAGACCGAAATATATTTGTTGAATGAAGACAGATGCCCCATTAGCAGTAAAAAGTAATTTTAAATCCACTTACAACCAACTGGTACTATTTGTAATTCACCCTGGATAGGAGGATGTATATTTCCCTCTTTCCTTCTTTTTTTTTTTTTTTTTTTTTTGACAGAGTTTCATTCACTCTTTTTGCCCAGGCTGGAGCAGAGCGCAATGGCATGCTCTCAACTCACTGCAACCTCCGCTTCCCAGGTTCAAGCGATTCTTTCTTGCTTTCTTAAAGCCCTACTCAGATATAATGAGGCCTTGGCCTGTACTAGGTCTTGCAATTTGCATTATTGATCTAAAATTTAACTTACACAGTCAATTTCTTAATGCAAGTTATCAGAATTGGTGGAGAAAAATGTGAATTACAACTGTGATTCGAGAACCCACCACATTATAAGTATATATATATATATATATATATATATATAGATAGATAGATAGATACATAGATAGATAGATAGACAGACACACACACACACATGGCAAATGGGCCCACATACAACATGTTTTAGAAATTGTGATATTGCAAGTGGAGCCTCAAGCTGAGATCTGAGATTGTTCTTCCATAGTCTCCCTGATTCCCAAACACGTAGTTGCAATCAGACTTTTTTTCCTAAGGTTAAAAGGACAAATGCTTGCAGGTATATATGCAAAAATACATACACAGTCAATCACAGATGAAATACAAAACTAAAAAAAAATCTGCAGAAGAGAAATGGAATTTGAGTGGCTTTCTTTTTAGTCTTTTCTTTTTATACAGCTATGATACCTTTTACAAAATATTTATTTATTTATTTATTTATTTATTTTTAGAGACAGGGTCTTGCTCTGTCGCCTAGGCTAGAATGCAGTGGTGCAATCATAGCTTACCATACATTAAAAGTATCCTCTTACCTAATTTTATATGTATGTATGTATGTATGTATGTATGTATCTATCTATCTATCTATCTACCTTACCACACATTAAAATCTTACATTTCTACACGTGCAGGACTAGAATGAACACACATAAAGCATGATACCAATCTGCTTTTTTGGCCACCATATAAACATTCTATGCTAAAATGTCAAGTTGTTTCATTTTACTTAAAAAATGTGAATGTGAAATGATTTAAACATTCAAAAAAAAACTTCGAATATCAATAATTTCACTTAAAGCTTCACATCATATTTGATTAAAACCAAATATTTATGAATCAATAAAAATTTCATACTTTCATTATTACTTGTAATTTATATTTAAATTTTAATCAATAACTTTTTTTTTTTTTTTTTTTTGAGATGGAGTCTTACTCTGTTTCCCAAGCTGGAGTGCAGTGGTGTGATCTCGGCTCACTGCAACCTCCACCTCCCGGGTTCGAGTGATTCTCCTGCCTCAGCCTCCCCAATAGCTGGGATTACAGGCACGCCACCACACCCAGCTAATTTTTGTATGTTTGGTACAGACGGGGTTTCACCATGTTGCCCAGGCTAGGTTCAAACTCCTGACCTCAAGTGATCCACCTGCCTCAGCCTCCCAAAGGGCAGAGATAACTAATTTTTTTTTTTAGATGGAGTATAGCTTTGTCACCCAGGCTGGAGTGCAGTGGTGCAATCTCGGCTCACTGCAACCTCCACCTCCCAGGTTCAAGTGATTCTCCTGCCTCAGCCTCCCAAGTAGGTGGGATTACAGGCACCTGCCACCATGCCCAGCTAATTTCTTTTGTATTTTTAGTGGAGACAGGGTTTTACCATGTTGGCCAGGCTGGTCTCAAACTCCTGGCCTCAAGTGATCTGCCCGCCTTGGCCTCCCAAAGTGCTGGGATTACAGGCCTGAGCCTGTAATGTAAATGAGCCTTACATTTTTGTGAATTTATCTGGCTTCGATCTTTCAGGCTGCTGACCTTTGGATGGGGTCTTTGTGGGAACTTGTTTGTTAGTGATGTTGTTGTTTTCTGTTTGTTTCTCTTTTAACAATCAGGCCCCTCTTCCCAGTAACACTGCTGTAGTTTGCTGGGGGTCTACTCCAGACCCTGTTCACCTGGGTCCCTCCCACACCAGGAGGTGTCACCTGTGGAGGCTGCAGCACAGCAAGGATGGCTGCCTGCTCCTTCCTCTGGGAGTCTCTGTCCTCAAGAGGCATCGAGCTGATTCCAGCAGAAACGCTCCTGTGTAAGTTCTCTGGCAACGCCTGCTGGGAGGTCTCACCCAGTCAGAAGGCACGGGATCTAGGATTCATTTAACGAAGCACTTAGTTTACATTTCTGTAAACTGCATAGGATTTTATCCTATGCAGTTTAGATCATCATAAAATAACTCAATTGTTAAATATTTTAAGTTTTTTAAAAGTCTATAAATAATATAAGCATAAACATCACTGTACATAAATTTGTGGATATATCTTTAAATATTCCTTTACAATATTTTTCTAGATATGAAATTCCTAGGTAAAAAAAAAGTTTATAAAACTTTTGATAGAGATCTCCAAATTATATCTCAGAACTATGAAAATCAATTGTTCTTCCCATCCACAGTATATTAGAATGCCCACTTCTATACTTCTCAACCTTGTGTATTAATAGTTTAAACCTAAGTTAATTTTACATTTATAAAAATGGGGTCGAACATGGTGGCTCATGCCTGTAATCCCAGCACTTTGGGAAGCCAAGGTGGGTGGATCACTTGAGCCCAGGAGTTCAAAACCAGCCTGGCCAACATGGTGAAACTCCATCTCTACAAAAATTAGCTGGGCATAGTGGCGTGTGCCTGTAGTCCCAGCTAGTCGGCAGACTGAGGCAGGAGAATTGCTTGAACCCGGGAGGCAGAGGTTGCAGTCAGCCGAGATTGTGCCACTGCACTCCAACCTGGGTGACAGAGCAAGACTCTGTCTCAAAAATAAATATAAATAAAAATAAAATGGAATACAGTCTCTCTTCTAAATTGTGTCTTCTCTGCTAATAACTTTAAACATTTTTCAAATATCCCTTGGTCTTTTGTATCACTTTTTAGAGTTTTGCCAATTGTCCCATTATTTGTTTGTTTTATTTGAGCTTGGTGATTTGAAAGAGCTGCTTACTTATTAAGCAGATGAACTATATGAACAGACAGTTTTTTAAAACTCTATTTCTAACTCAAACACATACTTACAGAACTAATTCAAAATGGTGCTTCTTTTATTAACGTGGTGCTAAATTACTTTATGAGTTCTTAAAGATTCTTATTTTTGGCACGTCTGAGGTAAGGAATGAGAAGTTCTCTGTTTCCATATGCGAGCACTAGTAACACTGTTTGCAGGCCAAACACATGTTTAAAGCAGGCAGGGAAGTGAACTCTGTAAAGTGGAGATTTGTGGAGTGTGATAATGAGGCAAGTCGTTATGTTCTAACTGGTCTTAACTGTTCCATAAATGTTTCTTTTACCCTGTAAACTTTAAGGTCAAGATAATATGAGGAGTACTTAAAGTAAAGAAAAGCCATGTGGGCCTTGGCTAGGGAATATGCCCTTTTTTTTTTTTTTTTTTTTTTTTTTGGAGGGAGGAATCTGGAATACTCTTTAACTGTCGAACGAACACATAAAAGTACATTTTCTTCTCTATCATTTTTGCCAAACTCAGAATAAAAACAACTGGGCTGCATCATTCACCTTCTAGGCTGTTCCTAGGAATTCCATGGAACTGTCAAGGCCTCCAAAAGGGTTTGTTTTGTTTTTTAAAGCAGAGCCCTGGCAGACACACCATAAACTTAGCACAGATTACCCCTCGTAGCATCCGAGTGGGAATCTAGTTTTCCAAAGGAAAAGATCATCGCTGAAGGCATTTTAGTTTTCACACCAATGCAATATGTTAATACCAAAAAAGAACATGTTGGCATTAAATCTTCCAGTGAAACTACATTCAGTGTATATAGCCTATTTTTAAATCCCTTTTTAGTCCCACCAAACGGAGAGCAAACAATATACGGTAGAATTTGCTGGTACGTTAAATAAACAGTGGAATTTTTTTGTTATTAATGCTATGATATGACTGGTTTGTTTTTGTACAAGTGGCTAATATGATTTTTAAATCTTCCTTCAAACTTCATTAGGAAATGTGCAATTAATGGAGCCATGTCTCCGAAATAAAATATTTTTAATTATAGGGAGAATATTTTAATAAATGAGCAGCTCAGAAGTCATAATTGTCACACAATTAACAGATTTTCCTACATCATACTTACATACAGTATGAGCTGCATTTAAATATAGTTGTTTTTCTGGGAAACAAAGTTTGTGAGATTTTATATATATAGTCTCTGATTTTTTTAGGAGAAATAAAAAAATATTGGAAACATACTCAGTTCCTGTTTCTAGAAAGAAAAGAAAATCCTATGCAAGAGAGTGGCTATTTGTCCCACGTCACATAAATGAGATAGTACCAGAATCTAAGTCTTAGAAGGCTAAGAGTTTTGAAAGTTATCAAATCACTTTTCCATTCAAAGCAGCAGAGCATGAGTGATAATCGTTTCAAATCCTTCCAAAAGAATAAAGAATCTGGGATCTAATTTTTCTTTTTTTTAAGCCTCCCAATGCAGAAGGAATGGAGATGGAAAAAACCGCTGCGGTAGACATCAGATTCCATTCCTTGGTTTTAATTGCGTGGTTGCAGTGGGGAATGAGGAGAGTAAACAGCAGTGCCTCCCACGGAGCTCCCTGCAGGTTCTCCTTGTAGGAGTGAGATTTTGCTGGTGATTTATATTGTTTGAGACATACCCAAAGAGTCTTGTGTCACTCAATCCCCAGCTCCATCCCTGGCTCGGAGGAGCCTGCACCGCCTCACGGGAGCCTGTAACTGTCAAATGGCATTCCCCGAATCCATCAATACTGTTTGCTGCCAAATAAATACCCTGCTGCTCTACAGGTTGCAAATATTTCAATCATTGTGCAGATCTGCACAAACTTGGAAAGAAAACTCATGCAATCTCATGGCCTTATTTCCCCTTCCTACATAAGAGAAACATACATGCCTAAACCTTCACTTTCCAAATGTTTACTAGAAGATTAGAAAAACAACAGATGACAGGCAATGTGTCAGCCTAGAAGAATCACAAAAATCCTTCTTTAAACAATCTAGTAGCCAGATGAAGACCCCACGCCACGAGCCTGTATGTGGTTAAGAAGTTCATGGGGCGACCCCATTCCTTCTGATTGCTGCGAAATGTAAAAGACACGGCCTCAAGTCCAAAGCCTAATGTGCCATTAAGAGTAGACTGCCTTGGCCTCACCTGAAGCAAATGCATCTAGACCTGTCTGACTCTTTGACTCACAGTGCAGGAGATTAGGGATTCCCTGTATGGTTGTTCAGTCTGTACACTGAACAACTCAGTTGGTCAACATTTACATAGACTACGAAATGATAGAGACTTCTACAGGTATGCAATCACAGATGACAGCTTGTGTGATTCTAAAGGGGGGCGTCTGAGGCAATCTACTACCATTCACCAATGTTCTGCTCTACTCTCTGTTCATGTTTCTGTACATCAACCATTCATTCAGTCATTCAACAAGTATTCACTAAATGCAAATGAAATGTCAGTCTCATCCAATCCTTCAACCACCTTATTTGGCAGACACTATTCTTCCCATTAGTCCCATTTAGCAAAGGACAGTTTGCTAATGACCCTCTCCTGGCCTCAGTTAATTGAGGCCAGGAGAGGGTCATTACATTGCCTAGGAGGGTCACAAAGCTCTGTCCTCCAAGTCTGAGTCCAGTACATTTCTCTCCTGGACTGAGCTACCCAGTTTATTGGAGCAAAAATTTCCTTTCTCACCAATGAATTTAAGAGTCAAGTTCTCAAGAGAAGCTGGAAGGTAGGGTCAGAGAGATTACAGTGAGAAGTGAAGCGGTAGAGGCCAGTAGGTTTAGAAACCAGTGCTGTGGGCTGACAGGGGGTGACAATTTCCAGCTTTGGTTCTCCTCATTTAGGAGAGACATGAAGTCTCATGGTGTGGTAGACAGGCCACACAAGACTGGAAGTCTGAAGTGTGCTCACTTCATGGAGTAAATGTGTAGCCTTGAATGAGTTACTTTTTTTTTTTTTTTTTTTTTTTTTGAGATGGAGTCTTGCTCTGTCGCCCAGGATGGAGTACAATGGTGCAGTCTAGGCTCACTGCAACCTCTGCCTCCCGGGTTCGAGTGATTCTCCTGCCTCAGCCTCCTGAGCAGCTGGGACTACAGGCACATGCCACCATGCCCGACTAATTTATGTATTTTTAATAGAGATGGGGTTTCACCATGTTGGCCAGGCTGGTCTCAAACCCCTTACCTTGTGATCCACCTACCTCAGCCTCTCAAAGTGCTGAGATTATGAGATTACAGGCGCGAGCCACTGTGCCTGGTCGTGATTTACTCCTTTCTTTGAACTTTAAGTTCTTCATCAATAAAATGAGAATAATAAGACCTCATAAAGCTACTGGGAGGAGTACATGGATTTATAAGAACTAGAAAAATGTCTGGCTATTGTGGATGTTCAATAAATGATGGGTATTATTATTATTGACTGTTCTTGGGATGTGTTCT